>NC_000007.14:34615242-35240242 GCF_000001405.40 Homo sapiens | reverse complement strand
TGCTCACTGGAGCATTTCAGATTTTAGATTTGTGGATTAAGGATGCTTAACCTGTAAGCATAATGCAAAATTCCCAAATCTGAGAAAATCCGAGATCCAAAATACTTTTGGTTCCAAGCATTTCAGATAAGGGATACTCAACCTATGCTTTTTACTCTCTGTTGTACATCACATTTAAAATTAATGCATTTTTGGCCAGGTGCGGTGGCACATGCCTGTAATCCCAGCACTTCGGGAGGCCAGGGTGGGTGGATCACCTGAGGTCAGGAGTTCGAGACCAGCCTGGCCAACATGGTGAAACCGTCTCTACTAAAAATACAAAAATTAGCTGGGCCTGGTGGCAGGTGCCTGTAGTCCCAGCTACTCGGGAGGCTGAGGCAGGAGAATCGCTTGAACCTGGGAGGCGGGGGTTGCAGTGAGCAGAGATCTCACCACTGCACTCCAGCCTGGGTGACAAAGCGAGACCCCACCTCAAAAAAATAATAAAATTAAAAAAAAAAACTTAAATTAATGCATTTCTTCATCCATAGGGCTTATTCCAACTTAGTAAATATTTATCAAGGCCATACTAAGGGCCATGTACTGATAGACACTTCCCATACATTTTCTTCTTTTGTGCCCAGCGTAAGCTTAAGGGGCTGTGGCAGTACTACACTCCACAGGTGAGGAAGCTGAAGCTAAGAGAGGGTGAGTAACTTCTCTCCATCAGAACGGACCAGAAATAGAATTCCTTTTCATACACTTCAATATAAAAGGAAGTCACATGCTCAGTTTACTTGACACATTCAGTTGTTTATGACCTCTCTGTGTCTTTGTATCTTGTGTTTGTTTCATTGGTCATAGGTAGCCAAGACTATTGCTCTCCTCTTGTCTTGATGTTGTTAGGTTTTGGGTTCTGAGTGAGTAGCTATTAGATGCTGCCTGGTAGATGGCTCAGAGTCCCGGGGAGGATGGTCACCTGAAAGCGAGGTGGTGTGGAGACCCTCGGGAAAGGCAAGATGAAGCTGACATCACAGCCAGCCTCACACAAATGAGGTAGTAGAAGCCTGGAAAAGGGATGTGGGCAGATGGCCAGAGTGGATGTATGTAAGGCTTACTCTCCTAGGATTTCTATACAACTTTGAGTAGATTTCATTTCACCAGTGGCTGCTGTTTTCCTTACCTAGATATTAGGGCCAAGAACTGACCAGACCATTTTAGGGGATTGCTGTGAAGATCAAATGTAGTTGTGTGTGTAGGCTTGTTTAAGCCTTTGGAAGCTGTAAGGTGCTCTGTAAATAAGACATGTGGTTATGATGGGGCTGTCTCAGAAATGTCAAAAAAAGAATTTGTCACCATTTGTATTTTAAAATTTTAGTGGTGTATTAATGAGATAGAGAAATTAATGCGTAATTGTTATCATGCCGATCATCTTACAGTAAAGGCAAGTACTGTAACCTTTGAATTATCTCCAAGATCATAACACAGGAGTGGAAACATTCAGAGAATGCCCAAACTAAAAGTTGGGGTTTAGATGGAAGCCTACAAAGGCCTAAAGCACTAATGCTGTTTCTCTGCGAATCTGGAACACTGAAACCAGCAATCCTGTTTTTAATTTATTTGAGGGCACGTGGAATGCAAATATCATAGGCTCCAAAAAGATTCCGAAAACATTCCATTCATTTATACTAATTGATTTCATAGCTTTTATAATGTACACCATGCTAATATATTATAACAATTTAAATTTATGCTCACTTAAGAAACCTTATTGATGTTTGGGAATGGCATAGACACTTCTCATGTGGAAACCTCATTGCTTTTATCATAATTCTTTTTAAAGAGGGCCAAAGCAGGAGGAGGTAAATTGTTTTCCTCTTTATTTTTTTTAGTGAAAATTATAGAGATGAACAAAAATTAAAGTTTCTAGTAAACTTTAAAGTATAATGCCTGAGATTTGGTTTAATAGGTGAGAGACCAAGACTGCGTAAGTGTTGGCGGGACCTCTCATATCATAGGAGGGTCTTATTTACATAATACAAATAACAACTAACATTTGGGTACTTACTATGTGCAAGACACCACTTGAATTCATAATCATACTTGATCTTCTCAATGATATCATGAGATAGGAACAATCGTATTTTTATTCAGCATCGTACAGTTGGGGTAATTGAGGCACTAGTTAAATAAGTCATCTGAAGTGACCTTGCTCCTCCCATTGCAGATTTGAATTCAGGTGGTTAAGATTCAAGAGGGAGTGCCCTTAACCCCTAAGCTGTGAGTGCCTGCTGTTCCCAAAGAAGCAGAACTTCACCCTCTCTCAGCTCTTGGCCCTGATAGACTCTGAGACATTGATTTTAGAGAGCATCAGCTCTTTATGCTCATTTTTTTTTTAAACAAATGTGCTGCTCACACCACACATCAGCAAGTGTAACACGATGATGATCATCCTTAACAGGAGGTCAGAATATCTGCTAGTACTCGCTGTATCCAACTGGAACCACATCTTTAATGACATTTTCTAATTTAATTCTTGTTTTTCTACTTGATTTTTTATTTAGAACAAATTTCAGATATACAAAAAACGAAACAAATAGTAAAATGAACCTCACATGCCTTCCACCCAGATTCAGCAATGCCAAATTTGCTTTCCCCCAAATTTTCTCTTTCCTCCCTCTTCCTCTCTCTATATGCAAACGTACTTCCCCTCTTCCTTCCCAGTTTCTTCCCTCCCCTTTTGAAACTAAGTTGCATGCCTCCTGACACTTCTAAACACTCTTTAAGCATATTCTGACAATGAGAACACTATTTTTGTAATCCCAACATCTTTATCACAGCTAAGAAAATTTATAAGAATTTGTTCTTTATATCACCTAGTATTCAGTTTATATTAAAATTTTCAGGATAGACCAACTGCCCCTAAACCCCCTCTGAACTAGGATCCAGCTAAAATTCATGGTTTGGATTTATTACTTTTAATTTAGAAAAATCTTTCCACATTTTTTTCTAAACACCTCATTTAATTCTGACACTGTATGCCTTGAAGAAGGCCCCACGAGTCCCATTTTGTAGAATTAGAAACTGAGGTCAGAATGGTTAAGACATTCACCCAAGGTCACAAATCTGGTAAGTGACAGAACCAGTACGAGGTTTTTGATCTTCTGGGTTTTAATTCCTCCTTTTTGGTGGCATCATGATAGATTGCAAGGCCAAGGAAGTGACCACTGACAGTGTCATCAAAAACTGACTTTGAAAATATGGGTAATGAAAATAGCTGAAGATACTAATATGCACATTTCAACACAAGTTGCTCCTTTGGCAAGGTTTATTTCTAATTAATATCATAAATGGGATCAAAATCTAGCCATCAGTGCCCAGCTATTCTTTCTTGCATTAAGTATAGTATTAATATGATTAGTATGTCATTTCATTGCTGAGTAACCACAATGGAAGTGACTAAATTCAGAATTAATTTTCTCATAGATTCTACTATGTCTGAGTTTATTTTTCGATATCCACCTTTAAAACCATAGCCGCTTGCACAAAGCCATATGCCTTTAAAATAGAAATCCAGTTAATAGTCAACAATTTGATTTTATATCCTGACAGGGCAGTTTCGCAAATGGTTTATGAACCTCATAAGACCAATCAAAATTCCTCTTGTAGGTGCTCAGTAAACATATGTGCAGTGAATAAATGAACTTGTGGGTTAGCATTTTCATTAGTCCTATGTCATTTTCTAAAGTTATCCTTGACTCTTTCTAGGCCTTCTACCATCTACTGTGACTTCACTTCTCTACCAAGTTTGTGTAGTAAGTTTCCTATAGCATACAATAATATATCCTGCAGCATATAATAGCCTATAACATATAATAAATATATAGGAAATAAAGTAAATATATACTAGGTATAGTATTAGAATTTTTTCACATACAAAGAACAAAGAGGGAGAAGAAAAGAGAGGAAGATTTAAAAATTCACATTTAGGACCACTTTCATATATCTTAAGCTTTGGATATGACTGCTATTTTTATGTGTATTGAAATCCAAGTCAGAGTTTCCAAAACAATTTGTGAAAAAATTCCTCATTTATTGTGCCTTGTAGTTTCATTTGTAAGTAATGAAAGTAGGACCTTTTATTTGCTATTTCTTTCTCTGGTTTTTGTGAGGGAATGATTGCATTTCTTTACATTATTGGATAAAAGCTAAATACATTACACTTTCAACAAACTATTTTATAATTTAAGATTGAAAGGTCATGCATTGTTTTTGAGCAGGCAGACCATTGCTGTAGAGTTGAAGTGTAGGTCAAGTTTCATTTTTAAATGCCTTTGGTCAGATATTTTCCTGATAATTGGAGAAATGGTCTCTGAGGGCCAATTTTACCTTGTGGCTGGGAACCCTAGCTGGATTCAGAGTCCAGTGATATTATACAGAATAACCACTGCAAAAGGTCCCCTTCTCTTTTGCACAGCAGGTAGTGTCAAAATCTGCTCTCCACACATTTACTTAAAGATAATAGAGATGCCAAAAGAGTGAACATTTTGGTTAGGAATTGCATTATGTTCTATATTATTTAAATACACGAAAAAGCAGGGTTGTGTTTTGGACTGAATTAGTAACTTGGATATATGTAGACCCACACTAAACAGTAGCATTTCTTAAGCACATACTACTAACCTTGCTTGTTAGTGTTTTCTCTTGATGAAGTGAGAAACATTGCTGCTTTTAAGAAGTTGTGAGTTATAAAGAAGCCATATCTCTGGTTTCTGTACATACAATGTTTGGTAGCTGATTTATTTTTGATACTTCTTTTAGGATTACTTTTGATAAACGTGATTTGTTCAACAACATTACAAGCTGCAGGCATCCTCTATTCGGACATGAATGAAATGGTGTCCACCTGAAATCACTGTCTGTAACTCAGCTTCTTTTTCTCATTAGTTCTCAGTGTTGTTTTTTTTTTTTTCAGTTATCCCAAATTTCATAAAGAGATGTAAAACTACACCTTAAAAATGAATTTCTATATAGCTACTGGTCTTTATTTAAATATTGTGGCATAAACTCTATGTCTGACCTTTTAAAACGTATGATTACCTAGAATGTTAAAATTTTGCTATTTAAAAATTATTTTATCTTAAAATTTAAAAAGTGAAATGCTTTTCCTGTAAATTCATGGTTTCACTTAGTTCATAATTGGTGAAAAGGTGAGATCATATTTCTCACTGTGCTTGTTCTTGAGGTAAAGCTCAACAAATACTTGTGGGGTTCTTATTGTGGACACCCTAGTAGATTCAGAGTCTAGTGACAGTGGGCTACAAGGAACATGGTGGGCTCACAAAGAAGTTTAATCCACAATCTCTGTGCTGCTAATTATTAATACCCCATAAAAGCTGTTCAGGAATGTGTAGCATCAACCCAGAGCTCCCATACAATTTTAGTGATAATAGATCCATTCAGTTTTTTCCTGTTCTCACGTGCAAAAGCAATTATTTTCCCTAGAATTAGATTAAATAGAAATAGAGAATGTAATTGTTTTGAATTCTTTTTCTAATTAGTGCACTAAAACTAAATCATTGCTGTGGCTAATTGGTAAATCTGGGTGTATAAGAGCACCTGTACTATTCTTGCAACTTTCCTGAAGTTTGAAATTATATCAAAATGTAAAGAAATTTCCACTGATACTCCTAGGATTTATGAAAGTTGGATTAAAATGATATTAGCAGTAGATAATTCTCATAATGAGAGAAAATTCGAAGACATTTGAAAACTCATGTTGAATTTAAGTTACTCCTTTGCTCAAAGTATGGCAGTATTATTAGATATGGTGACACGTCAATTGAGCAACATGTGTTTTGAGAGTATGTATTTTCTGTGGTATTAGAGCACTGGAGAATTTAAGATAACTTCTCAATCATATTATGAGCCAATAGTCTTTATCTTTTGAAAAAAGAACAAGAAATGTGATTTTCAAAATTCTTTTCAGAGATAAAATATGTCAAAAGTCCATCTTTAATCATTAGAACAGATAGGTAATACCTTCTATCCTTTTCATTTGTAAAGACTCAGAAAAAGCTTGATATGATTCATATCTTAGAGAGATGGCTGTAAAAAGTTCTTTCAAAATGAATTTTTTATCAGATATATTATCTGTTGTCTGTAGAAAATTTTATCCATTGGCAAGCCTGTTTACTTTTCAATTTTATAAATGTGCTATTTAAAGGCAGCCTTACCTTTATTGCTCCACCTCACAGTTTCAGTTTGAAATTTTCATGTGGGTTTGATTTACCCTTAATGTCTCTAACTGTTTGTTGGAGGTGGTGCCACCTTCTTTAGCATCATTTAGAGCCAGTTCCAGCTCTGATTAGCTGTGCATGTCATCCGACATCTAGCGCAGTGCATGTGCATGGTGATTTATCCTCATTATTTGCTGATGAATTATTGTGAAAGCATATTAATGAACTATAAAGTACTGCAGAAGTAGAACGCATTTTAAGTATAGTTGTTCATTACAAAGAGACATAGCTCATGTCCTGGAGGATTTAAAAATCTTGTTGATATTTGTAATCGTAGACTGTATCAATTGCCTGGGCTTTAGAGGATGTTTATAATTTATTTCAAACAAAAAAATATTTTCCCCTTCCCTCCCAAAACTGACTTTCAAAAACAAGTCCTAGTCGGAATAAGTGGATGAAACAAGGCTTCATTCTTCAGAGAGTGGTAGCTGTGTGTGAGAAGGTTCTCTATAAACTCTTTCCTGTATCTCTCTTCATATATATGTCTTAGCTGTTGCTGTCCATGAGAACAGGTTTCTGATTTATGTAGTTTATTTGCTTCCCTGTTTACCAATGCTCATAGCATAGCTATTTTCTTCTAACTGCTCAGCAGTGAATGTTCATGGGCTAAAAATGAGCATTTCTGAGGCACTGTCAAATGTTTTTTAAAATTAGTATTATCAAAGAGTTAATCTTATAATTTGCCAGTGTTATTGATAGAGGAGTCTTTCTGGCTGGGTTAGTATGTGAGGTTTCATTTTAAGTGAGGCATAAATAGCTTCTTTGCAGCTTGTGCCTTGGTTCTGAAAGTGTTCAGAAACCATGAAAAAGAAAAAACCACATTTCTTTTGAAATGAAAAAAGAAATTCCTCACGTGTTAACAGTTTAAAGTGTTCTATAGATATACTTTGACTGGGGAGAAAGTTGCTTTTTGGCAAGAGTATTTCTTCTTTTCTTTTGAGACAGAGTCTTTCTCTCGCTCTTGTCGCCCAGGCTGGAGTGCAGTGGCGCGATCTCGGCTCACTGCAACCTCTGCCTCCCGGGTTCAGGTGATTCTCGTGTCAGCCTCCTGAGTAGGTGGGATTACAGGCTCATGCCACTATGCCTGGCTAATTTTTTATTTTTAGTAGAGACAGGGTTTCACCATGTTGGTCAGGCTGGTTTCGAACTCCTGACCTTATGATCTGCCCACCTCGGTCTCCCAAAGCGCTGGGATTACAGGCGTGAGCCACAGGCACCCGGCCTGGCAAGAGTATTTCAAACTATCTGTTTTGATTGTGTATTCCTTACTTTGAAAGAAGAAGACATACCTGTAACTTTTTTCCCCTGTTAAGAATCTTTAGCATGCATTTCTCTCTAGAGATGAACATGGGTTCTAATTTTGATACTGAGAAGCTATGATTCCATAAAGGTTTTCTTGGTTCTAATTAAGTTACTGACCAGCTGAATCTTGGCCCTTGTGCTCTTTGAGTCTGTGTGTGATTATCTGTCGGATAAGACCATGGGCTAGATGGTCTCTCAGCTTCCTTTCAGCTCTAACAATTCCAGTATTTTCCATGTTGAGTATCTTTTAATCAATGTTTCCTTTATTTTCTTGTTACAACTTAACGTATTCTCCTTCAGAGTCATGGTGCATATAATTTCATGGATCTTTCTACACTAATAGTAGTACTATGGGAATTCTGAATACCACAGCATGGACATTTAATATTTTAGACTGTGATTATTATTAGAATGTGTTTTTCCATAAAAACATAGAGTTTATAAATAACATTTCATGGAGGGATAACAAAAGATGGACTAATTTGATTCTGATTTAGTCAAATGGAAAGGGAAATAGGAGAAAATTTGTATTCAGAAGGCTTTATGTCATGTATTTATGTCATGTATATCAATATCATATTGAACATGAGGCTATTATTGGCCATTTTACCTTTTATCTATTATGGTATGTATATGTACTCACAGTACTAAAAAAGATGTCACCAAGTCAGATGCATTCTTACTTTCATTCTCTACCGATGCTGGAATTCTGCATAATTCTCCCATTTAGGTGGTTCTCCCATTCCTCTGTTCAGCCCTAGCCTTTGACATACTATGTAATATATTAAATACTGCACACCCCAGTTCACATCTACTTTTGCCTCAAAGGCTCCCTTCCCTAATTGTATCTATCTGTCAACCTCCAGCCTGTCCTCAATACCTCCTCTCTGAGGCCTTCCCTTACCATCCCACCTGGCTGGGATTTGTCCCTCTTGTGAACATGTGTAGCATTTTCCACCCTTCTCAGGACACTGAGAAACATTAAGATATTCTTGGTGTGCTATGGAGAATGAACAAACTATTTCTGATTTTACTTCCTTGACCTCATAAATGATACTGTTTTGTACCCATTCTTTCTCCAGATAACGAAGCTGAAAATAGATAGCAATCCTTTTGCCAAAGGATTCCGGGATTCCTCCAGGCTCACTGACATTGAGAGGTAATGAGAATTTTCTGTTTACTTTCTTGTTCAGATAAGATCAAGAGAAGAGGGAGTTTGTAACAACACACTCCTTTCGACACCAGAGAATCATAACCTTACTATATATAGTCTTCTATTCTCTGCACCCCATTCCTTGTACATATGCAACTGCTTAAGTCTGACAGCTACTGTGACTGGATCTATTATATGCTTAATTTCTGAGTGAAATAGTTTCTTTGGTCAGGACATTTATTCTACTATAAAAAATAGGGCTTTGTTGTTATTAAAGACTTAGTCCTCTTGACATTCTTAAGCTTCGTGTCTCAATGAGTGGCAGTCTATAGAGAAACAGAACCGTGATAGCCTTTTACCTTCCCAAGTAGATATATTTGCTAACACAAAGAGTGTAAGGGTAGTTGGGAATTTTGAAACAAGGAGATGTAATTTAATTCAAGGTCACATAATTTTACCAATGTAGTAGACTGCTTATATTTAATAGGAGAGACATCAGGCAGGCCTCAGGACCTCTAAGAAGACAAGTGAAATCATGTGCCTGTAACTTACCCTACTTTTTACTCAATTAAAATGGTTCATGCAGTTTGAGACCATTGAGGTGATGAGTAATGACTATATGGAGATACATATTTTGCCCAGTATGAATGTCAAAAATTGTTTTTCAAAGAGAAGATTTTTAAACCTAATTGATTATTTGTACTTCTTAAACACACTAATTCTTTTATGTGGTCCAATGTCTTAATTGACCAGGGAAGTTCCCTAGCCACCAGAACCACTGATTTTCTTATCTCTACATCTGTGTAATTTCCCTACTAACTGCTGCACATTTCTGCTGCACTCTTTGTTACCTATATAGCCACATCTCCTGACCTCAGCACTTCTGTCTAATCTATCTTGGCAACTCAAATTAAAAGATAATTACATATTTTAACAACCTCTGTCTCAGCCTTCCTAAGCCTTCCCAAATGGCAGAATGTGAGGGGGAGGTTTGATTTAGGGGAACAGACTTAGAGGCTCAGTGGGGAAGCAGAGGAGCAAGCAGGAGAGGCTGAACATTGGCCAGGAACTATGGGATTTGAGCAGAAAAGAAAGATTAAATAGTTGGAGAGCTTGACAAGTTGGTTGGAAGTGTTGAGATCAGGAAAAGAAACTTGAGCTTGTGATTGAAAATCCATTGCAAAGTCCAGAGAGAAGGCAAGTGGTAACTCAAATTAGGTGGGATACAAGTCACTGAGAATGTGGTACCAGCAGTATGGACCACAAAGGAGTCCACTTGCAAAAGGCAACTTCATTTAGGCATGACTTTATTTCCTGTTTCTGAGGGCCAGAAGCCCTGCTGCAGACCGGGTTTATGTAGTTGGGATTGTTATAAGTGAACTTTTTCTCAGTTTTATTCAGGTATTAAGTAAGAATGGAGACAATGATGCAGTGGGGTGATAGTGATCCGTTTTTATAGTGTGTGTCGTATTTTCTGTCTCAGACCATGGGGGTACACGTGATATATTGGGAGAAAAAAAAAGTTAGGGCTTAGAGTCTCACCTCTGCCTTTTCCTGGGTGAGTGATCCTGGAGAAGTCACCAGACTTCTGAGTCTGTACGCTCATCTAGAAAATGGAAAAAATAACCCTGCTCACCTCAGAGGTTTATTCTGAGAATCAAATAAGCTGGCATTTATGACAGCATTTTATAAATCTAAAAATGTAAAATAATTACAAGTTCTTCATCTTGTTATATGAGCATTTCATCTAACAACTTTTATCCCATGTAACTCTATGTTTCATAGTCTTAATAAACTACTCCTAGAGTAAAAATAGCCTTGTAGTTGCACATTGGTTTACAAGATAGGAGGTACTCAGTCTGACTGCTCTTTACAACGGCAGATTTGATAATGCATGTGGCCACATTTTCCACTTATTGGATAAGCATCCTGATGTGGGAGCACTCACATGTACATGAAGCTAAGTAGCTTTCAATGGTCTGAGGGCAAAGACAGCACTCTTACATGACTAGCTGAAAGTTTGCAAGATGACCTAAGTAGTGTGAAATTGGCCGAGGTTTTGGATTTCATTTCCAGATATTTAAGTCTGAATTTTTCATAAACAGCCTTTGGGGATGGGACAAATCAGATCAATTGATCTTTAGAGACCTAAAGAAATTAAATTAGTCTGGAGTCAGTTACTGCACTAAACCATCTAGTAATTGAATTGCTCCTTGTAACTGATTGAAAACAGCCCTATCCTTAACAATATAGGGAGCTTTTCTTTATAAGAGATCTGAGAGAAAAACACATATTTTTATGACATGATGACAGATATTGCACTTTTCTAACCTAATTGAATATGATGTTATAAATATGTGACCTTAATGATTTCAAGTTTCCTGTTTCAGATTTACAGCTTAATGTGTGGGACACCCAAACAAAAATGCCTTTGGGATTGGATCTGTTTGCCTGTACCTCTAAATTCACAGTTTTAATCCTTCTACAGCTACACGAGCTTTTGAGATACTCTTAAAGGTGTTTTAGTTTTCTTGCTCTAATTTTACTAGCTCCCATTGAGGTACTTGAATGTCTCACTTTGTGTGTAGCCTTACTCTTCAGGGACATCGTCTTCCTCATTTCTAAAAGAAAACCCACCTCACTGGCAAAAATAGAAAGTGTTTTCATTACTGCTTTGTAATATACCTACTGTGGTCAACCGAGAAGCAAACCAAAAGCCCAAAGGGATATCTTTGTATAATCTAATGTCTAGTTTCTCAGATTGGGGAAACAATTATTGGCTGGTTCCGTATAATAACAAGCTTTAGACAGTCATTCAGTTGGCATTTTATGTTTCTTTTCTGGGGGCATGCGGTTCACTTTGTCCAGTACACAAAGGCACAGTGTTCCTTCTGAGAAAAGAAAAATAACTGGGAGGAGTTATCTATGTTTTATTCAAAATTAAGTTTCTTTTATTAATTTTTTTTCTTTTTACTAAAAGAGTTTGTGTGCATTGCCAAAAAATCAGAAAATACGGACAAGTAAGAAAAAGCATAAAAAAGCAGTTAAACCCCATTTCCTTAGAGATGACCTCTGGCAAAACCCCATTATATATTCTTTCAGATACTTTCTTATGCACGTATGAACATTTACTTCCTTTAAAGTTTATCTGGTCAACCATATTATTTTTAATTATTTCCCCTTAATATAAATAGATATATGTCTGCAGCACACTTTTTATTGGCTTTCTAATTTTCCATTATGTGCTGTAATTTATTTGACTAATCCTATGCATTAGTTGTTTAGGTTTCTGATTTTTTGCTGTCACAAATAGTGCCAGGAGGAAAATACATATCTTTACACATCTTCTTAATTATTACCATAAGATAAATATCCACAAATTAAAATGCTGAGTCAAAGGATGTTTTTTTTTTTATCATAGTATTATTTTTAATTGTTTAAAAATTTGGAAAAGGAACCCAAATATTCAATAATAGGAGAATGGTTTAATAAAATTCATAATCATGCAATGGAGGTTTTAGAAATTGTGTTAAAATATACATAACATAAAATTGACCATTTTAACCATTTTAAAGTGTACAATTCAGTGACATTAAGTACATTCATGATGTCACATAACCATCACTGCTATCCGTTTCCAGAATGTTTTCATCATCCCAAACAGAAACTCTGTACCCATTAAAATAACTTCCAATTTACTCTCCCTTCGAGACGCTGGTAATCTGTATCCTACTTTCTGCATCTATGAATTTATCTAGTCTGGGTACCTCATGTAAGTGGAAAGATGTATAGTCATGAGTCACTTAACAGAAGGGCTGCATTCTGAGAAATGCATTGTTTGGAGATTTTGTCATTGTGAAAACGTCATAGAGTGTATTTACACAAACCCAGATGGTACAGCCTACTACACACGTAGGCTATTTGGTATGGCCTATTGATCCTAGACTATAAACCGTACTGTGCTGCATGTTACTGTACTGAATACTGTAAGCAATTGTAATGCAAGGGTAGGTATTTATGTACCTAAACATTAAAAAGGCACAGTAAAAAGACAGTGTAAAACAAAAAAAATGGTACACCTGTATAAGGCACTCACCGTGAATGGAGCTTAAGGTCTGGAATTTGCTCTGGGTGAGCGGTCAGTGAATATGAAGGCCTAGGACATTACTGTACACTACTGTAGACTTTATAAACACTGTACACTTAGGCTACACTAAATTTATGAAGAATATTTTTCTTTAAGAATAAATTAACCTTAGCTTATTATAACAGTTTTACTTTCTAAACTTTTTAATTTTTTTAACTTTTTGACTCTCCTGTAACATTTAGATTAAAACATACACATTGTACAACTGTACAAAAACATTTTTTCTTTATATCCTTATTCCGTAAGTTTTTTCAATTTTTTTCAATTTTTTTTTTTTTTTTACTTTTTAAACATTTTTGTTAAAACCTAAGACATAATCACACACATCAGGCCTACCCTGGGTCAGGATAATCAATATCACTGTCTCCCACCTCCACATCTTCTGTCACTGAAGGTCTTCAGGGGCAATAACACACATCTCCTGTAATGATAATGCCTTCTTCTGGAATACCTGCCAAAGGATCTGCCTGAGGCTGTTTCACGGTTAACTTTTTTTTTTTGATAAGTAGAAGGAGTACACCGTGAAATAATTATAAAAATTATAGCATAGTACGTATACAAACCAGTAACATCATTGTTTATTATCATTAATCAAGTATGATGTATTTTATACAAACGTGAGTAACATGTTGTGTTGCTGCATTATGATGGCTATGATGTCACTAGGTGATAGACATTTTTCAGCTCCGTTCTGATGTTAGGGGACCACTTTCATATATGTGAAACGTTGTGGGCTGAAACATTGTGATGTGGCACATGACTGTATATGTTTTTAAGGCATTTTATGCATACTGCCAAGTTTCCTTCAGGAAAGGTTGTTCACAGCAGTTACCATTCCTTTACATCTTTGTCCGACATGATCGTTGTCTTTTCATCTTTGCCAGTTTCGTAGGTGAACATTTGTATTTTCTCCTGGGAATTGGCCTGTTTATGTCCTTAGGTTTTTTTTTTTTTTTTTGGATTGTTCACCTTGTTCTCTAAATGAGCTGTAAAAGCTACTTATGTATCAAGAGTATTAGTATTTTATTGTTCATATATGTTGGAATCATTTTACCAGTTTGAAAATTAGCTTTTTATTTATGCTTTTGATACATAGATGGTTTTATCACCAAATCTGTTGCTCTCGTTCTTTGATTTCTATCCTAGAAAACTTTTCTCACTCCAAAATAATACAAACATTTACTATAGATTTTTTAATCATCTTACTGCTTTTTAGTTTTTCATTTAAACCTTTGACTTGTGTAGTATTTATTTTGGTAAACATTATAAAATAGACATACAACTTTATATTTTTTACAAGTGGCCTGAATACTATTAATATGTATTTACTAATGTATTCATTTCCCACTTATTTTTCATTCTCCCTTTGTCACATGCTGTACCAAATTCTTATGCATACTAGTTCTTACAGTCTCTTTGTTGAGCTGCCAGTATCATATGGTTGTAATTTTCATAAATTGTAAATATTTGATATTTAAATATCTGATATGGCAAATCCCAATCGTTTTTACTTGTCATTTTAAAAGTTTCTTGATATTCTTTGATCTTTATGCTTCCAGTCTTTGAAATCTTTTTGTCAGGTCTTCTACATAAATGTTACAGGAATTTAGCTTAGGCTCGTGTTGAATTTATATAATAACCTGGGAGGGAAAATCGATATCTTTACAGTGATATCAGTATTCAAAGACACATATTCCTATTCTCATCTATGAATATGTAATATGTTTGTCCTCTTTCTGAAATCTCCTGTGTTATGTAGCACTTTGCCATTTTCGAGTTTGTACGTTCTGCACAGATGTTCTTAGGCACACATCTAGGCCTATGAGAGCTGCTCTGTCTGATACAATAGCTGCTGGCCACAGGTGGTTAGTGAAGATGTGAAATAATACTGTTTAGTGTGCAAACACACAAACAGGTTAACTAACTACCAAAAACCACTAGAATTTGAAGACTCAGTATGAAAAAAATCATTTAAAAAATATCAATTAGATATATTGAAATAATAATTTGGGTTATTATGTTACATAAAGTATATTTTTGTATTTTTTTTAATGTGGCAACTGGGCGTATCTAAAATTACATATGTGACTCACATTACATTTTTATTGGAAAACACTAGAGAGATTTTTGGAGATGCTTACTTTTGTAAAGAGAATTTTAAATTAGAAATCTGCCTAATTTAGTCTGCAAAAAGCTGTTGATTCCTGTGTCTCTGGCATTGTGCCATTTTACTGAACTTAAAAAATCAGTTTTAATAAATTTTCATTTTAGTCTCTTGTGTTTTCTAGTTAAATTGCTATATCATTTGCAAAAATGATGATTTTATCTCTTCCTTTCTAGTAGTTATACTTTTAAAAATATCTTTTTCTTGTTTTATTACACTGATTGAAATTTCTGGGACACCATTGAAGGATAATAATAGTTGGTATTTTTCTCTTGTTCTTGATTCATTGCATATGGTTTTTGGTGGCTGTTGGTTTCAGAAGAATATTCTTTATTATACCAAAGCAATAACTTTCATACCTAAATTAATAATTTTTATCTTAACATTAATTGAATTTATAGTAAATGCTCTTTTAACATCTATTGATATTATTTCCTTTTTTAAAAATTTTAAATGACATTATAATATAGTCATATTGTCTCTGTTGAACCATCCTTATATTCCTGCCTGGAATTTTTTTTTTTTGGAAACAGAGTTTCGCTCTTATGGCCCAGTCTGGAGTGCAGTGGCGCGATCTCAGCTCACTGCAACCTCCACCTCCCAGGTTCAAGCTATTCTCCTGCCTCAGCCTCCCTAGTAGCTGGGATTACAGGCATGTGCCACCACGTCCAGCTAATTTTGTATTTTTAGTAGAGACAGAGTTTCTCCATGTTGGTCAGTCTGGTCTTGAACTCCTGACCTCAGGTCATCCGCCTGCCTCGGCCTCCCAAAGTGCTGGGATTAACAGGCTTGAGCCACTGCGCCCAGCCCTCCTGCCTGGATTTTATTTGTTTTTCTTAAATTACTGGATTTAAACTACTTATATTTTATTTAAGACCTTTTGTATCAATCTTGAAACAATTAGTTGGTTTTGTACCTTCTCTTGTCAGTTGCTGGTATTGGTTTCTGCTAATTTGTTCAAATTAATTGAAATCTTTTCCTTCCTTTTATTGTTAGAATCAGTTTGAAAAGCAAAGAAATGATCATTTACCTGAAGATTTTATCAATCTTGTCCATAAATTCACCTGGGTGCAGTATTCTTTTGGGGAATACCACTTTAACAACTTTTTTAGTCTGTTCCATTGTTTGTTGGTCAAATATATGTTAATGTCTGTCCCATGTAATTGTTTTTGTCTCAAGTTCTACTTTAATCTTATACGGCTACCCTTTTTAAATTTTTGCTTTCTTTTGTTTACCCTTTAATTTTTAAAAATCCATAGGACTACAGCAATATTCTCTCTCTCATCAATATCCTGTCATTTTCATTAAGAAGAAAACAACCCTTTCTTGACCCCATTTGTCTTTTGAATTACTGACTTTCCCAGTTCTCTGCTCCTTCTTAAAGTTCCTCAGAAAAACTTTTGTATGTTCTCTTTTCCCATTTCTTTCCTTCCTTTCTGTCTTCTACTCTGCCTCTGAGACATTCATCCCCACTACCCTCTAGTCCACCCTTGTCAAAGTCACCAGTGACCTCCTCATTGCTAAACCCAGTGGTCAGTTCTCAGACCTCATCTTCCTTGGCCTGTCAGCAGCCCTTGGCACAGTCATTCATTCTGCCCTCTTTCCTTTCTGGGCTTCCCAGACCACTCAGTCTTCTGTTTTTTATTCCACTTCATTTACCATGCTTTCTGTGTGTCCTTCATTGGCTCCTCCTCATCTCATTCATCTGTAAACACCATGTGTTCCAGACCTTAGTCCTTGCACTTCTCTTCTCAGTCTACATCTGGTCTCTGGGTGCCCTGTCTCGGTTTTATGCCTTTAAGGACCAAAGCTGATGACTATTGAACCTACATTTCTGGTTCTGGCCTCTCCAGATTCAAATATCTGACTGGCTATTGCTTTTAATTTTCCCTGTCCCCCTAAGAGCACCTCAGAATTCACACACCTGTAACTGGCTGCCTAACCACACTCCTCCACACCTACTCTTCCCTTACTGTTCCCATCATAGCTGCTCATAACCGCATCCTTCCCAGTGTTCTGGCCGAAAAACTTGTAGTCATCTTTGACTCTTCTTTTTCTCATATTTTACACATCCAAACATTAACTCATCTTGTCAACTAATCCTTCTAGTCCAGAGGAGTCCAACTACTTACTGTCTTCACTGCTACCACTCTTACCTAGGCCACTGTCCTTTCTTTCCTAGATTATTACATTAATTTTCTAACTGATCTCTCTGCCTCCACTCTTATTGGCCTTCATTCAATATTGGCCTTATTTTTATTCAATACAGCAATCAGAATAATCTTTCCAAAGAAAGGAAGTTTGATCACATTGCTCATACTCAGAGCCCTCCAATTCCTCACCTTCTAATTTAGGGTACAATCCAAAGTCCAGACAAGGCCTCAAAGGTTCTGTAGAATCTACCCCACCTGACCCAGTTGCCTCTCTGAACTCTCCTCTGCTTGCTGGCTTCACCACACAGACCTGATTACATTTCTTGAACATGGCGAGGGCTGTCCCAGCCTGAGGGTCTTTAACCTTCCTGCTGGATTGTGCTGCACTGCACAATGGTCAAAGCCTTTGTGTTTTGTTTCCTGACCATATCCTCAGATCCCAGAATAGTGTCTGGCACACAGTGAGCACCCAAATATTTGTTGAGTGAGTGAATGATGTGTCTTTATAAAAACAGCATACAGAATAGCTGCATTTTTAAAGTCTTATCTAAGGGTCTTTATTTTTCAACAGAAAAACTTAACCCAGCTTCAAGCATTATGATAACTGATATGTTTGGTGGTGCTTCTTTGAACCATTTCTGCTTTCTGTTCAATATAGCTATTGGCTTTAGTTTTTAATCTTTTTCTGTCTTTTGTTATATTTATCAAGTTTTTTCCCTTTATTATTAACAATAATGGCCAACACTCCACATGTGCCATGTGTCAGACAATGGGCTATATATGTATTTTTTATTTCAAAATAATCATATAACAAAGAAACTTATTCTTATTTTGTAGATGAGATCATGAAAGCTTCGAGATACTAATAATTTATCCAAATTCACATGATTTGTGATAGCTGAACCTTAAACCCAGTTTAGTTCATCTGAAACCAAAATCTTTTCTCTAATCTTCATTATATTTCTTTTTAATAATTATTGCCTTTAAATTCCAGTAGGACATCATTGTAACATTGATATTTCTCAATTTTTTGCCAAGAATTAAAGTATATATTTTGTTATCCTATAAAATAGGATACTACTCCTCCCTCAGCCAGTAATTTTTGTTTAAATAATCTGGGACTTAAAATCAGATTTTTAGCCCTTGGTCTTTCTTATCATCTTTCTTAAATTATTTTCTTAACGAACATCAGGATTGTGATAGATTGGCCACAATTATTTTTAATTTAATTGCAGGCATATTCACTGTTTACTGCTCATTTCTTCTGTACTCTCTTCAATTATTGGAATTGTGTTCTGACTTTATTGTCAGTTGTTGGTAAACATTGAGTAATTGGTTGAGGAAGGATATAAGTGGGTCATCTTCTTTATGAGTTCTTGCATAACTGAGAGGCTCCATTGCCGTTATGTATGAACATGACTAGAGTCACAGTCCTTTTGCTTAGAACTCTTTTAACCTTCCTTTTAAGTATTGTCATCTAGTTTTGAAGTATTGTGGAATAAAAGCTAATGCCAAACCCATTGTCTTTCTTTGTTGGAAACTTACTTGTTTCTTCTCTGTCTGGACAAAATGTTTCTAGAAAGTTTTCTCAATCTTTGAAATTCAGAAATTGTATCTCTGTTCAGTTGTAGTGTTTTTATTAGTATTTAAATATAATTGAGCCTTTACAATTGAAAATTCAAGTCTTAATTGAGCTCAGGAAAATTTTCTTCCTTTCTTTTTCTTTTGATATTTGTTTTTTTTTTTTTTTGCCAGACCGAAAGTGTATATTTTGTTGTCCTATATAATAGGAAATAGAGATTTTTTTTTGTACTTCTCCTCCCTCAACGAATAATTTTTGCTTAAATAATCTTGGACTTAGAATTTTATTCATTGGTCTTTCTTATCATTTTTTAGAAATTATCTTCTTAAAGTTAATGTAAACATATGTTGCATCTCCTTAATCTATTCCCCATTTATCTTCTCTCTTTAGATTTTTACTCTGAATTTTGGGAGAACATCTTATATCTTCTAATTTGCTGATTCTGTTTTCTGCAGCATCTAATATTCTGGCTTCTGTCTTTACTGAGTTCCTTTAAAATGTGAGAATTTCTGTTGTGTTATTTGTAAGTGTAATTTTACATGCTCAGATTGTTTCCTTTTCATGGCTACTAGTCCCTATTTTATTAATACAGGGTCTTCTTAAATCTTACTAAAATTTTAAAAGCACAAATTAGAGATTTTAAAATGTGTCCTTCTGTTTCTTGCAATAAGTCTGCTTCAGAAGAAGTCATTTGTTCTGCTCTGTTAATAACTTTTCTTCTTTTGAACTGTTGAATATTTTGTAATGTCCAGTTATTTTTCTTTAGCTCATCTGTAGAATAGAATGTCTGTTTAATATTAGGAGCTGAAATTGATCCTGAGTAAAAGCCTGAAGCTGTTTGTTAGATCTTCCAGGTATAGATTGAAGAAGGGGCAATGCATTTATTGCCATTTTACCAATGTGGAAATTCTGTTTAAGTTAGAGAGTTGTCGCAGATAGATAAGGAAGTAGTTTCTGAAAAAGGAGTGTTGACCTGGCATTGATGTGGCTACCCTCTCTGTCTCAGCAGCTAGAAACCAGCTGGGGCAGTGCTGGTTCCCTCACCTAGCACAGCAGCCTTATGCCCTCCTCCAGAGCTGGCCATGGTGATGGCCCACACTGTTCAGTGTGCCAAATACACCATGTGCTGGCTGGGAGGGCTGCCGTGGGATTCCTTCCTCCTAGACTCCAGCTGTGTGGCAACCTGTTCCCCAAAGAACTGCTCAAAGATCTGCTTTCATCTTTAACCCCATTTGCTCCAAGTTGGGGTTTTGATGAAGTTCCAACAGAAGCCTTGTTTATTTCCACCCCGGGTATCTTTCTTCCTTATGTGCTGATGGATGGCATGCCGGCTGGTGCTGCCCTTACTCCTTACCTGTCTGTGGCTGAAATATTTTAATATATAGTTGGCACCCTCCCTCATTTCTTGAGTTTCTCTTGTTTTCTTGTTCATATTAGTAGGTCAGGGAATTAAATATAAAGGCTTATATCACCCTATTGGTCCAAAATTCATGCTAAGAGTCTCTATAAAAGTGACTTTAAAACCACTTGCACTGAATAAAACTTTCAAACACATGAAGTTTGGACATAAGCCCAGTGGGATTTGGCCCTTTTTGCTCAGAGCTCAAGTGTACTCTATTAGTTTAGGTGAGGAAGGAGACTTTAGGAAAGCAAGTTGCAAATCTAATATTCTGGGAATTTGTGGAAGTTTTATCTACATCAACATAATGAAGAAGTAAATGTTTTGGCAGAGTTGCTAAAGAAGTTCATGGTTGTGAATAATTCCTGGATCTTTCATAATAATTTATGGTGCTGGAAAGAAAGTGGTGTTTGGTTCTAACACAGCTCTAGGCTGGGTTGTAGAGTTTTCAAAGCGTGTTTCCTTAGGAGCAGTGCAGGGTCAGTGGGGCACACATCTAATCAGGTAAATAGCCTAAAGCAGGGGTTGGCAAACTGCAGCCTGGCACCTGCTGGGTACAGCCTAAAGCTAAGAATGGTTTTTTACCTCTTTAAATGGTTGGAAAAAATTTTAAAGTAATATTTCCTGACATGTGAAAATAATATGAAAGTAAATTTTATTGCTTACCAATACAGTTTTATTGGAACACGGTCTGTTTTTTTGTTGTTGTTAAGTATTGTATGTGGCTGTTTTTGTGTTACAATGACAGTGTTGAGTATATGTGACAGAGACCATATGACCTGTAAAACTTAAGATATTTACTATATGGCCCTTTACAGAAAAAAGTTTTCTGCCCCCTGCTCCCACTGACCCACAGTGTTCCCCTTGAGACCCACATTCTGTAAGAGGAGTCACAGAGCAGACTAGGCTTCTGAGATAGAGGAGGACAGCTGCATCACCTCTGCTTGGAGGGATAGGATCCAGGAATACAGTGGTGCTTAGATGTATCTTAGTTCAACTGGGCTGTTATAACAAAAGACCATAAACAAGGTAGCTTATAAACAACATTTATTTCTTACAACTCTGGAGGCTGGAAAGTCCAAAAGCAAGGTACTGGCAGGTTTAGCATCTGGTGAGGACATGCACTCTGCTTCATAAATGGTGCCTTCTTGGTGGAAAGGGCAAGTAAGCTTCCTCAGGCTCTTTCATAAGGGCACTAGTCTCATTCATGAGGGCTCCACCCTCTCATCCTAGTCATCTCCCAAAGTCCTGACCTCTCAATATTGTCACATTGGTGATTAGGTTTCAACACGTGAATCTTTAGGGGACATAAATGTTCAGACTATAGCAGATGTCAGAACAAAGAGACAGAAATCAAGGAGTGTAAATTGAATTTTATTTCTGGAATATAGAGCAACATATTATAATATTATAATCCTGTAAAAATGGAAATAACTTTAATTATTAGTATGTGCTTTATTCTTTCTCACATATTAAAAAAATAGTAAAAACATATTTTAAAATTATATACTAAAGTGTACCCTGGTATTTTGATTTTAAACTTCCAGAATATAATTAATTGGTTTTCTAAGAAGTATGTATTTTGAAGTTAGAGTGAAATTTAGGAGTTACCTAGTTTATCTTTGTCATTATAATCACACAGCAGTTGGGGCCCCAGGAGCTCAAGTGACTTGCCCAGTGCCACACGAATAGTAGAAGACCTGGGGCTAGAACTCAGGGTTTTTTGCAACTAGTACTGGGATTTTTCAAAACAGTTGTTTTAAAATTTTTACTTTTGTTTATATATTTACAGATTTATAAATCATTAAAACCATAGTAAATCTTCAAGATTGTCTAATCCATTCCACCACGTCTTTGTTTTATAGAAGTTCTTTACTTTATGGAAGATACCAAAGCCCAGATATAGATAAAGAATCTGAATGCACAGCTTCTTGGGAAAGAAATAATTTTCTTTAAATCTTTTGCAAAGATAGACTTAGTATAAAAGTCTGCATGCATAAAATGGAAGCAGATTTGCTTGGTAGACAGATTAAAGTCTGCTTTTGGGCCGGGCGCAATGGCTCACGCCTGTAATTCCAGCACTTTGGGAGGCCAAGGTGGGCGGATCACCTGAGCTCAGGATTTTGAGACCAGCCTGACCAACATGGAGAAACCCCGTCTCTACTAAAAATACAAAATTAACCAGGCGTGGTGGTGCATGCCTGTAATCCCAGCTACTCGGGAGGCTGAGGCAGGACAATCACTTGAACCAGGGAGGTGGTGGTTGCAGTGAGCCAAGATCGTTCCATTGCACTCCAGCCTGGGCAACAAGAACAAAACTCCATCTCAAAAAAAAAAGTCTGCTTTTAAATAAAGTATGTTAATTTAATAAAATCAAAATCTATTGACAACAACAGTAAGAAAGAAGGAATGGCGTTTAACAGAACTAATTTTTTTCAAATTATAGAAGGGGTCACCACAAAATATTTAGTTAGCAAGATGTGTTTCTGCACTTAAAATGCTACTCATTTATCCACAGCTTTTTAGAGGAAGCATTTATTTTATAAAACCGTATGAACTGGAAGTGCCGGACCAGTGAGTCTGATGGAGTAGAGTTATTCACAATTAACTTACGGTTGTAAATTATCCTTCTTTTCTTGCTGTGTCTTTCCTTCTATCTGTGTATGAAGAATATTTGTTGCCTGCCTCACAGTTTACTGATGTTTATTTCTAAGCTGAGTAATCTGTACTTTGTCAGAATTTTTTATATGGTTGTCACAGCCATACAACTTAGAAAACTAAGCATAATAGTTTTTGGGTTTTTTCAGTGGTACAGTTTACTTATTTAAGTTTCTAATGATAATACAAAACCAGAAATGTATATTACTGAAAAGAAAAATCAGTAAGATTAAGTCAAATAATTAAAAATAAACTAAAGCCTAAAAGCTTTTTAAAAGATTAAGTTAGAGTCATTTTGTTTTTCCAAAATGGATTGTATATTTCAGTTCTCAAATTAAAATTAATGATTTATAATACCTCCTAAATTGTATTATCTAAAGTTTTCATTTATTAAATATTTCGTGGAAGTTACGAATATTGATACATTGTCTTCCAGTAATTTATAATATATCTGTATCAATCTTTAGAAAAATATTGTGACAAGGAGTTATTTACAAAGACTCAGTAAGATGTGATGTAAAAATGAACAAATTAATGAGCAAAAACAACATTATATATTTTGTTTTTTATAAATTATATTTGATTTTCATGGATTTGACATTTTCTCTTTGAACACAGTTTTGCCAGGTCTATATTTAGGAGAGAAAATGAGAATGTAAATTGAAATAACATTTAATATTAATTTCTTCTCTGGCATGTATAAGGAAGGAAGGTTTAAACAAAGCATGGCAAGTTATAGAGACTGGTAGTCTCAGTTTCATCTAAAATGATTATCATCATGTAAGCACCTTCTGGAACACATAATCTCAATGCTCAATAATAACAATAAAGATAATTTAATTTTGTTATCTATAAACATTTATTGAGCACTTATGTGTCAGGTACCAATTAAGCTCTCTGTGTATTAATTCACTTAATCTTAATAACTCTAAGAGCTTTATCATATTGATATCCTTATTTTACAGATGAGAAAAGGGAGGCATGAAAAAGTGGAGTAATTTGCCCGTGAGCACACAGCTGGCAAGTAGCTGGGCAGGGTTCAAGATATGCAGACTTGCTCCAGCAAACATGCCCCTAACCACTTCACTAGGGCAGTGATTCTCAGCAGCATCAGCAGCACCTGGAACATATTGAGCAACACCTTCTCAGGCCACACCCCAGACCTACTGAGACAGAAACTCTAGGATGGTGCTTGGCAATCTGTCCTTTGATGAGCCCTCCAGGTGCTTCTGGTGAACACTAAAGTCTGAGAACCCCTGCCTAGATCAAGAAAGTAGTAGTATTACTTTCAGTCAAGGGCCAGCAGCGTAGTAGTGGAGACAGACCTGAAAACGTATAATTGCCATCAATCTAGTAATTGCAGTAAAGGAGGATTGTATTAGGAACAATGGTGTTGCAAAGGAGAATGTGAGGGGAAGGGAAAGTTTTGCTTTTTGAGCATTGAGAAATTTGCACTTTAGTTTCAAAGCTAGAGGAAGGGCAACCAGTTTCAGTACTGATAAGAGTGCAGGTTTTGCTTGTCTAGAGGTTGAATAAGTAGTCCAAATGACTTCAAATGGTTCTGAATGTTTTGGCAGAGCAGGATAATCATTGTAGTGATCCTCTGTTTTGCCCATTTTCTGGCCGTGATTGTGTCTCTGACGTGTGTACCATTTCTGAAATTGATGGTTACAAAGTAGTCAGAGGAGATGTTTTAAAGATCAAAGAAGGTAATGATGCCCTTTTTTTTGCCTAGAAAAAATATTTAGCATTAGATGTTAGAAAGACTGACCTTCAATAAGAGTACCCACTTTATCTACCTTATTAAATCCAAAGTTAAGTCTACTAAAACTACAGTCTGTTGCATTGGGATGTGACAGAATTAGCATTACAAGATAGTGTCTTAGCTTGTGATACCTAAATCACTTGACCTGTTCGGTGAGCCATTCTCATTTTTCAGGGTACAGTATTTTAGAAATTCTCACAGTGGGCTTCCAGGCTAAACAGATTCTTTGCACTTCTCGTTCTGCTGGAAACAGGGATTAGACATAAAGTAAACATCATGGCCTGACTACTCTTTGTAACATCTTCGAAGAGATGGCCCTGATATGCACCACTGTTTTCAATCACTTAGGCAATAATTCAATTATGCCATCCTTTATATAAGAACTGCCATTGCTTTCAGTTCACTTCCAGGCCTAACACAAGTAAATCACTTCAATAAAATCCCTCTTTTCCCCTCCTAGAGACTAGCGTAAGTAATGATACCAGTGATCTAGCAAGGGCAAAATGAATATAATGTTCTTTCAGAAAAGCAAAATGTTTCACTGTGTTACTTGGGAAATTATTTGTCTTGTGTGTGTTATGTGAAAGATATTTAAATGATCTTATTAAGTGGGCTTTTTAGAGATGTAACTATTACACTCTTTTTTTAAAAAACAAATTAAGTGCATGAATTTAGCAGTTATGTGCAATTTGTGGGAAGAGGAATACACCTTAGAAAAACACCATCCAGAATTTGGGCCCATGGACAGCAAATCCTTTATAAATGTACAAAAAATATCTTCCAAGATATTGAAACAAGTTCTTTTGCATGTGAAAATAACCACCTAATTCTTTCCTACGTTCATGTAAAATTTTGTTAATATGACTTATGCTTCAGACTTAAAGGACATCAGCTTGAATGTATGTTATAGTTGTTGTTTTATTAGCGGTTGCTCAGCTCACTTGACTTTCTTCTTAATGACCTCAAAAGATGGTCACTCTCTAATATTGTAGTAAATTAAGCCTTTGAGTAAATAACATCAGCTGTTTAGGCTGCTGGGGTTCAACATTATCAGGTGTTTGTATATAAAGATTAAAATATATGGCAGCTGGTAAATTAATTAGGGTCCGTGTTATGCCAGATTATCCTCCCCATTAACTTTTGCTTTGAATATATTCACCAGTACCTCTCAGTGAATGATAAAATGTTTTCATTTCAACAAGCCTAACTCATGGGATTCAATAAGTCTGTTCAAGGGATATTTAAAAATAGGTTACACTTTTAAACAAGTGATAATGGACTCACTAGAGCTTAACATTTCTCTTTGATGTCAGATATAGTTTTATAATAGAACTGCAAGTAATATTCTAGTCAATTTCTCCACCGACTTTAGCATTCAGTCACTGAGAAAAATCCTGTTTGGACCACATTATTCTGAATTAGGATTATACAGACAGGCAGAATAAATTGGAAAAAATATAATCTAAGAGGATAAAATATTTTTACCTGTTTTAGATATACTTTTAAAGGCACTTATATTTACCATCTTCTATGTGCCAGACACTATTTTAGGGAATTCAAATGCATTTTCTCATTTAATCCTTATAGTAATACTTCTTATTGTTATTCTCTGTTTTATTTTTATTTTCCATAGCACTATTATCAACATCTAACATACTACATGTTTTTCTTATTCTCTCCCCCACTTTTCACCCCAACTCCCAGTCTTCCCTTTACCCTCATCACTCATTAGACAGGGAATTTTTTTTTTTTTTTTTTTTTTTTGCTATCTCTGCAATTCCTTGTTCATAGTAGTGACTCAATACTTCTTTGTCAATGAATGAGTGGCCCTGTGAGGCAGATGTTAGGCTCCCCAGTGTACAAATGAAGAGAGGTTAAGAAAGTAACAAAGTCAGAATGTGAAAATGGTTGTAGATGATCACCTACTCATCTATTCATTCATGCATTTGATAAGTGACATTAAAGCCCATGATATTTCCAATATATTGCACTGCTTACCATACATAAATTACATTGATAAATCAGCATAATTATATTTTTTAACCAACTCATTATAATGGGTTCCCAAAGTACCAATGTTAGACCAGCAGTTCTTTTGTTTTTGTTCATTGATGGGTTATCATAGTCTCATTTTGTAATGTGAAATTAATTTTAAATAAATAATACATACATCCAAAATTCAAAAGTTATACAGGAGTATATGGTGAAAAGTATCCATCCACACACCTATCTTCCATTTCTAAACTTGCCTGCTCATTGGAATCACCAGGGGGGAATGTTAACAATTACTGAAGCCTGTCTCCCACTCCCAAAGATTGTGATTTAATTGGTATGGGAGTGTGGTGTCAGCTTTGGAATTTTTAGAAGTTCCCCTGGAGAGACATTGCTTTTAGTAAAGGTAAAGCCACAAGGGCCAAATATACCCTATTTCCTGAAACAACTAAGAAACATACAAAATATGCAAAACAATGTTTTTTATGACACTGGATATCAGGCAACAAAAGACAATAATCTCTGAGGGATGGGAAACAAATGAGGTGAGCCCTGTGATGATGCAGCTTATTTCCTGAGGGGGTATAGACCATGGCAGTGGGGGAGAATACAGGCAGAGCCCACCAGACTCCCTGAGTTGAGAGGTCAGAGCTGAGTTTGCAGAGACCAAAACAGTGAGAATTCATAGGACAGACAATAGAAAAGGTGAAAGCTGCATGGAAAAAGCACTCAAAGATCTACAGAGGATCCCTAAAGAACTCCAAAGATTTATAGAGGATCCCTTTTGAGTGTTCAGCTGAGATTTGCTAAGGGAATCCATACGATGAAACTACCAGAGGCTGCAGGGAAGAGTATCTGAAAAGATTAGGGGGAAACAAACAGTAACTTGTGGTCACCCAGGGATAATGCCTGATGTAATCAGCTGGACTGGAAAACCTTGTGATTTAGAAGGCATTTGGTAGACTATTCAGAAGGGTTTTGCTTCAGTAGTGAGGAAGAATTAGCCCTCAACTAAATAGTGTTCCAGTCCTACTTAAAATATCTTGAAAGCAAACTCCCAAAGGATCAAATTATTTCCAGGTAACTTAACTATATCCCAAAAGAAACCTCAAGACATGTCTTATATTTATGTCCTTATAAATAGAATACAAACATATTCAGCACCTGACAAAATTCACAATGCCTAGTATCTAATTAAAGATTACCAGGAATGCAAAGATGCAGAAAAACATGACCCATAGTGAAGAGATAATCAGTTGAAACTAATTCAGAACTCACATAGATATTCTAATTAATAACAAGGACATTCAGACACTTAGTATGATTGTATTCCATACATTCCAGAAATTAAGGAGAGATGTAGAAGATTTACCAAAAATCAAAGTCACAATTCTAAAGATGAAAACTGCAATGTATAAAATGAAAAATATACTGGATGGGATTAGTGGCAGATAGACACTGCAGATGAAAAGATTAGTGAACTTGAAGATATAGTGATAGAAACTACCCAAAATGAAACACGAGGAACAAAGATAAATTTTTAAAAATTGAAAGAGTGTCAGTTGTGGGAAAATTTCAAGTGGCCTAATATCTGTGTAATTGGAGGCCCTAAAGGTGGTTGGGAGGTGGGACAAAAAATATACCCAAAGAAATAATATCTAAAAATTTTTCAAATTTAATGACAATTGTAAACACAATCCAAAGAAGCCCAACAAACCCAAGCTCAAAAAGCATGAAGAAATAATACCAAATTATGTTATAGTCAAATTGCACAAAACTAGTGATATAAAGAAAATATTAAAACAGCCAGAGAATGATAGACGTATTACATAAGAGGAACAAAGATAAGGATGAGTACAGATTTCTCATTAGAAACAAAGTAAATTAGGAGACAGTGAAGCAACATCTTTAAAGTACAGGTGCTCTTTGACTAACAATGGGGTTATGGTTGGATAAACCCATCATAAATTGAAAATATCATAAGTCAAAAGTGTCTAAGTCCAGATATAACACCATCATAAGCTGAGGACTGTATTGAATGCCTACTGCTTTTGCACCATTGTAAAGCTGAAAATTTGTAAGTTGAACCATTGCAAGTTGGGGATCATCTGTACTGAAAGAGAAATCAAGTCTGTTAACTAGAATTATTTACCCAGCAAAAATATCTTTCAAAAAAACAAAAGCAAAATAAAGACTTTTTCAGACATACAAAAGGCGAAGAATTCACCACCAGGAAACTGCAGTACAGATGTTTTAAAGGAAATCCCTCAACCAGAAAGAAAATTATACCAGATGTCAATCTGGATGTAAACAAAGGCATGAAGAGCACAGGAATAAGAACTACATGGATAAGTAGATTAATTTTTTATTATTTAAATATTTTAAGAAGATAGTTAACCTTTTAAACAAATATAATAATAATTAGAATGGAGTTTATATAAAAATAAAATGTTTGACAAGAATGGCACAATGGCTGGAAGGGAGAAATGAAAATATATTATTTTGAGGGCTTATACTAACTTGAAAGATTTAGTATCACTTGAAGGTAGATTGTGACAACTTAAAGATATTTACTATAAATCCTAAGTCATTTACTAAAATAACAAAAGAAAGTTATATCTAATAAACCAACAAAGAACATGAAATGAAATCATTTAAAGAAAACCCAAAAGAAAGCAAAAAAGAGGAAAGAGATAAAAAAGAACAGATGGGACAAATAGAAAACAAATAGCCAGACTTCAACTTAACTATATCAATAATCTCATTAAATATAAATGCACTACACATCTCAAAAAGCAGAGATTGTCAGTTTGAATTAAAAAGTAAGACCTGATTATATGTTGCCTACAAGAAATGTGCTTTCTATGTAAAGACATAAGTTGAAAGTAAAGCAATGAAAAAAAGTAGCATGTTAACAATAATTTTGAAAAACTTAAGAGTTGTATTAATATCAAAGTAGATTTCAGAGAAAAGAATTTTACTAGGGATAAAGTAGATAATTTCATACTAATAAAGAGCTCCATTCTTCAAGGGTAATATACAGTCCTACATCTTTATGTCTGATAGAAGTATAAAAAAACAGACAAATATACAATAATGGTTGGAAATTTTAATATCCCTTTCTTAATAATTGATAGAGCAAGTAGACAGAAAATGAGTAAAGACCCAGAAGATTTGAACAACAGTATCAACTAACTTGACCCAATTGATGTTTAGAAAATATTATCTAAAATTAGGCCAGGCACGGTGGCTCACACCTGTAATCCCAGCACTTTGGGAGGCTGAGGCAGGTGGATCATGAGGTCAGGAGATCGAGACCATCCTGGCTAAAATGGTGAAACCCGGTCTCTACTAAAAATACAAAAAAATTAGCCAGGCGTGGTGGTGGGCACCTGTAGTCCCAGCAACTTGGGAGGCTGAGGCACGAGAATCACTTGAACCCGGGAGGCAGAGCTTGCAGTGAGCTGAGATTGCGCCACTGCACTCCAGCCTGGGCGACAGAGTGAGACTCCGTCTCAAAAAAAAAAAAAAAAAAGAAAATATTATCTAAAATTAGCAGAATATGCCTTCTTTGCAAGTATACACTACGCAAAAGAAGTCTCAATAAATTTAAGGGCATTCAAGTCATACAAAGTGGGCTCTCTGACCGTAATGGAATTATATTAGAGAAAATAACAGGAAGATATCTCAAAAGTCCCCAAATATTTGAAAGTCAAATAACACATGTCTAAACAACCCTTGGGGGAAGGAAGACATCAAGAGGGAAATTAGAAAATATTTTGAACTGAATAAAAATGAAAATACAACATATAAAAACTTGCAGGATTCTGCTAAAACATTACTTCCAGAAAATTTATAGTGCTACATCTCTGCTTTAGAAATGAAAGGTCCCAAATCAATAACCTCATCTTCCATCTCAAGAAACTAGGACAATAGTGAATGAGACCCAAAGCAAGTAGAAGAAAGAAAATAATAAATATCAGAGTAGAAATTGATGGAGTAGAAAACAGGGAAGAAGTAGAGAAAAATCAATGAACAAAAAGTAGAGATTAATAAAATTGACCATTTGGTGGCCAAACTGACCAAGAAAATAAGGGAAGAAAATATAAATTACCATAATCAAGAATGAAAGGAATAATATCACTACAGATTCTACAGGTATTAAAAGGAAAGATAATAAAGGAATATTATGAATACTTACAATTAAAATGTTAACAATTTAAACAAAATGGACAAATTTCTTGTAGACAGAATCTACCAAAGCTCATTCAAGAGAAAACAGATACTCTGATAGTTTTGAATTTGTAGTTAAAAAACTTTTATAAAGAAAACTCTAGGTCCAGATGGTTTCACTGGTGAAAGATACCAAACATTTAAGGAAGAAATAATGACAATTCTACCTGAAATCTTCTAGAAAATTGAAGAGGAGGGAAGAGTTTTAACTAATTCTATGAGACTAGCCTTATCTTGATACTAAAACTAGAGAAAGACCAATATTCTTCATGAATATACATGGAAAAATTCTAAACAGAATTTTAGGAAATTGAATTAAAAAAACGATAATATGTCATAAATAACTAGGGCCTAGTTCAGGACTGCAAGGTCGATTTAACATTTGAAATTCAATGGATGTAATGACCATGCTGACAAACTAAAAACAAAACTATATGATTGTCTCAACAGACACAGAAAAAGCATTTAGCAAAATTCAACCTCTATTCTTGAAAACTCTCAGCAAACTAGGAATAGAAGAGAACCTTTAGTCTAGTAAATTGTATGTACAAAAAACCTAGAATGAATATTATATCTAATGGTGAAAAATTGAATGCTTTCTGTAAGATAAAGAACAAGTTATTGATGTCTGTTCTTTTTTTTTTTTTTTTTTTTTTTTTTTTTTTTTTTTTTTTGAGACGGAGTTTCGCTCTTGTTGCCCAGGCTGGAGTGCAATGGCTCAATCTTGGCTCACTGCAACCTCCAGCTTCTGGGTTCAAGTGATTCTCCTGCCTCAGCATCCCGAGTAGCGGGGATTACAGGCATGGGCCATCATGCCCAGCTGATTTTGTATTTTTAGTAGAGACGGGGTTTCTCCATGTTGGTCAGGCTGGTCTTGAACTCCCGACCTCAGGTGATCCGCCCACCTTAGCCTCTCAAAGTGCTGGGATTACAGGCGTGAACCACTGTGCCTGGCCCATTCTTACCACTGCTAATTCAACATTGTACAGGTAGTTTTAGCCATTGCAATAAGTCAGGAAAAATCAAAGTCATTGTGATTGAAAAGACAGAAGTAAAACTATCTTTGTGTACAGGCATCGTGAATATCTATACAGAAAACCCAAATCTCCAAAACCCACTAGAACAAATAAGTGTTTGGCAAGTTCACAGAATACAAGATCAATATACAAAATAAATTGTATTTCTATCTATTATAAATGAATATCAGAAATTGAAGTTAAAAAGCAATATTTACTATAATACGAAGTAGGGAAAATCTGGAAAGGATATGCAAGACATATATACTTAAAACTACAAAAACATTGTTGAGAGAAATTAAAGAAGACCTAATGAAACAGAAGGATGTACTGGTTCATGATTTGAAGGATGCAATATTAAGATATCAGTTATGCACAAATTGATATGTAGATCTAAAATAATCCTGACCAAAATCACAGGAGTCTTTTTTGTAGAGATTGACAAAGTAATATTAAATTTCATATGGAAATGCAAAGAACTAGAATAGCCAAAACAACTTTGAAAAAAAAGATAGAGTACTAATACTACCTAATGTCAAAAGTTCTAACACTTTTATTCAGCTACAATAATCAAGACAGTATAGTTTTGGTGTCAAGTTCCACGAACACATCAATAGAATAAAGAGTCCAAGAGTAGACCCACATGTATGTGATGGAGAAGGGACAGTCTTCTCAACAAGTAATGTTGAAATAATGGGATATTCATAAGCACAAAAATAAACAATTCATAACTCATTCATATATAAAATTAACTCAAGATGAATCATAGACACAAACATAAAACCTCACACTATAACACTTACAGAAAAAAACTAGGAGAAAACTTTTGTGGTCTTGGGCTAGGCAAAGATCTTAAAATATGGCACCAAAAGCGTGATCCATAGAATTACAAATGGATAAATTGCACTTCATCAAAATTAAAAACTCTGCTTTTGAAAAGAAACTGTTTAGGAAAGAGAAAACGCAAGCCACAGCCTAGAAGAAAATATTTGCAAATCATATATTCTATAAACACCAGTGCCCAGAATATAAAAAGAAATCTCAAAACTCAGAAAACAAATAACCTAATTTTTTAAACAGATTATTAACAGCTAGAAATATGGAAGCAAATAAGCACAGAAAAAGATGTTCAACATTGTAGTCATTAGGGGAACACAATTAAAAGTATGATGGAATACCAGCACATGCATATTACAATAGCTAAAATTAAACATTGACCATATCAGGCATCAGTGAGAGTATAGAGGACCTGGAGTTCTCATACACTGATGGTGGGAATGCTAAATTGTATGACTACTTTGACAAATAGTTTGGCAGTTTCTTTAAAAATTGCACATATATGCAATTTAGTCATTTCATCCTTAGATGTCTTTCCAAGATAAATAAAAGTATATGTCCATTTGTTAAAAAGTATGCATGAATATGTGTAGCAGCTTCATTTTAACATTCAAAAACTAGAAACAAGTCAAATATCCATCAATAAGTGAATAAACCATAATATATCCATGCAATATAATGCTACTCAGTACAAGAAATATTAATGTATGCCCCAACATGATAAATCTTAAAATATGCTGAGTGAAATAAGCCAGATAAAAAAGAATATATTAGCTAAGATTTCATCTTTGTAAAAGTTTAGAAAATGCAGACTAATCTGCAAGAACAGAAATTATATTAGTGGTTTCCTTGGAAAGGTTTGTTGCGATGGGGACCATGGAGCATAGGAGCTTGAGGAAGCTAGCTTTTGTAGGTGTTAGATATTTTTGTTATTGTGCTTGTGGCAGTGGTGTCAGTGGTGCGTACATATGCCCAAACTGATCAAACTATACACTTTATTTCTATTTTTATTTTTTTAAGATGGAGTTTCACTCTTTTGTCTAGGCTGGAGTGAAGTGGCACGATCTCGGCTCACTGCAGCCTCTGCCTTCAGGTTCAAGCAATTCTCCTGCCTTAGCTTCCTGAGTAGCTGGGTTTATAGGTGCCCACCACCATGCCTGGCTGATTTTTGTATTTTTAATAGAGACAGGGTTTTGCCATGTTGGCCAGGCTTGTCTTGAACTCCTGACCTTGGGTGATCCACCCGCCTGGGCCTCCCCAAGTGCTGGGATTACAGGTGTGAGCCACCGGCCCCGGCTCCGGCCCCATACACTTTAAATGTGTGCCACTTTTTGTATTTTAATCATATCTCAATATAGTTTGTTTGTTTCAAGATCCCTAGTTGATTCAAACATACACACAAATTTGAGAATCACTACTCTAATCCTTCAAGTCCCTGATTTCACCCTGCAGAGGCAACCTCTTCTAGGCAGTTTCTTGTTCTGGAAACTGGAACATTCTAGAAATCCTGTGCACATGCAGGCATATATGAACATACATATCCTGTGTTCTAACTTCACAAATGGTAGCATACTTTACATAACATTCTGTATTTTACTTTTTTCACTTACTATATCTTGAAAATTATTCCATATCTATACATATGGAATGACCTCATTCTTTTTGACACCTATGTGTTAATGCAGTGGATCTGGATCCTAATTATTTTGACTATAAGAGGTGGTACTTTATTCTTACTCTAAAATAATTTGAGAATAGAGATGTAACTTAAATAGTTGCAGAGTTAATTTTCCTTTTAGGCATATCCTTAAGTCCTCATAGTCATAGTCATACTATATATTATAAAATGCCTTCATCTATGTGGGTATATAAGCTTTCTACAACACCAAATTTACTATGAATTAGGTAGTAATTTTTCACAGGTAAAGTTTGCATATTTATGTGAAATGTTGACAAGTGTTAACATTTTAAAAAGTTATTATGACATTTTATTTGCTTTGCTTATTCCCTCAATATGAAATGTGGTGTTTGGTTGTCCTTCCTCATTTAACACATATTTTATAAGTCTTCTTTTGTCCTTTGCTGGTCAATTTGGCATTGGTCTTTGGGCCACAGCTGTTCCAGAAATGTGTGCCATGCAGACTAATCTGTTATCAGTATGCACTTTTGGCGAACAAATTGGCTAAAATTGTACTGGCTTTTTTTTTTTTAAAAGCAGAAGGTCAAATTGTCCAATGCCAAATTTTTTTTTTATTTTTTAAAGTTAACCTCACTGTTTGGTTGATAGACTATGTTACAGGAGGAAGACCATCTACAAGACAATGTACCAATTTACCTAGAGGCTAAAACTCCTTATTGGTCATTTGTGTTTTCTTCATGGGTTTTTTGTAATTTTCAGTCTTACAGCAACAAGGATCTTAGTGTTCATTACCCAAACTATCTATATTGTACTATAATCTATGAATTTGTTTGATTTCTTGGTGAATATTAGAGTCTTTCGCTGACTAATGATAATTTGAACTTTTTGCCAACATTTCATTGGTTGTTGGATCAGTGCAATTTGTATCAACTGAGTATTTGTTTTGTATTTGTTAGCTGATGAAGTCAGTAAGAAGAGTCATTGCAGCTCCTTGCAGTAAATTCATTCACTCATTATTTTTCACATCATGGAATTTCATATTCTTGTGGTCAGGTTTCATAGCTCCTGTTCACCCCTTTGTCCTTCATTTTAAAGTATTTCAGGGGATTGTCCTTGTCCTAGTCAGTCATGTTTGCTTGCAGTCATACACCTGAGGTCATGTCTCTGAGGAGTCACTGTACAACAGAATAAATGTACATGTTTTGAATTTCATCTTTCTGTGCAGTGGTTGCTTTTTGGCTGAGAAAATGGTTTTACTGATTAGTGAGTTACCTCTAAGACCTCTCTGTATCTCTGAGTCCTTTACATTTTACTTAACCTGTGATATGTCACTCTAACCTAGGGAAAGTGTGGAGAGCCTGATTCAAAAGCATTCCTATGCACGCTCACCCATCCGTACCTACGGAGGAGAAGAAGATGTCTTGGGGGATGAGAGTCAGACAACCCCAAATCGAGGTAAGGTAGTTTCCAAGGCCATGGAATTGCTGGGAGGCAGAGCACCTAAAGGAGAATGGGGGCAGGTCGTTGATGAGATGGCCAGTCCTCAGAGTACACGATGCCGGGAAAGGATTTCAGGAGCCTCCTTGGGAAGGGAGAGCCCCGACACTGATCCTCACAGATTTCATTATTTTGCCTTTGAATCATAGGCGATGATGCTGCCTGCAGGTTTCCTATGGTTTGTTTTTTTTTTAAGTGAAAGAATACTGAGCCTTTGAGTCAGGGATCAGGAGTTACTTGTCCATGACTTAGTACATAAGAGCTGTTGAACTTTGGGGGCAGTCACCAAGTCCTTCTGAACCTCAGTTTCATAATCTGAAAGTCAGGGAATATATCTGTTCCATCTATGTCAGGTATAATTTGTTAGAATCAAAGACCAAAATAGAAAACACTTTTAAAAGAGGATTGTCCTAATGAAGGATATTACATAGAGGAAGTGGCCCCAGTGTTGACAGCAGGAACTGAACAAAGTTTCTCTGTTCCCAAGGCTTAGAGAGCAGCCCTCTGCATCTGGGAAGAGAGTCCAGAGAAAAGAGCCCAGAGGGGCTCCATTCTGGGAACAGTAAAGTTCGTATGGGGAGAGAGTCCTCTGCATTGTTTTATGTCCTTAATATGAAATTATATAATCTGTGAAAACATAGGACATTTCTTATTACTCAGTCCAAGTGAACCACTAGTATTACAGTTGACTCTTGAACAACACAGTGGTTGGGGAACCAACTCCTGTGTGGTCCAAAACGTGCATATAACTTTTCACTTCCTAAAACTTAACTGCTAATAGCCTACTGTTGATCAGAAGCCTTACCTGTAACATAAACAGTCAATTCACACATATTCTGTATGTTACATGTATTACATTCTGTATTCTAATAATCAAGCTAGAGAAAAAGTTATTAAGAAAATCATAGAAAGGAAATATATTTACTATTCCTTAAGTGGAAGTGGATCATCATAAAGGTCTTCATCCTCATCTTCACACTGAGTTGGCAGATGAGGAAGAGGAGGGGTTGGTCTTGCTGTCTCGGAGGTTGTAGAGGCTGAAGAGGTGGAGGAGGTGAAAGTGAGGCAAGAGGGGTCAGGCCTACTCAGTGTAAATTGTAGTGAAAAATATCTGCATGTAAGTGGACCCGTGCTGTTCTAACCCCTGTTGTTCAAGGGACAACTGTATACAGTCAGAAAATTCATTGTCAACTCTATTCTAAATTTCTGGATGCTGTGGTGGGAAAACTTACTTTCTTAGGTTCTCACAACAGTTTTGGAAACCAGACAGCTTGGTAGATATTTCTTACATTCAGCCTTCCTTAGGACACTACAGAGGTCAGAACAGATATCAGGTATTTGCAGCTTTTTTTAAGAGAATCAGGTCATTACCTGCAGGCAGGGTATTAATGTTTTGGCCAGTCTGTGGGAGTGTACAGGCTATCCAATGAGTTGTCTTTTTCCATTTAGTAAATTCTCTATTCCATGCAAGGTGTAAATATCATCTTCTTACCTAGAAAAGTAGATTTGCCTCGTGACAGATCTCATATGTGTTTGTCTTTCTAAATTACAGACGTATTAAATATTCTTAAACACAAATTGATCTTTACAGATAATTTAATTCTTGATCTGTACATTGACACAGTGTTTCCAGTCTAATGAGTGTTTTTCCTTACAGGGTCAGCCTTTACAACATCTGATAATTTGTCTCTCAGCTCCTGGGTATCATCTTCTTCCAGTTTTCCTGGGTTTCAGCACCCACAGTCCCTGACTGCTCTTGGCACCAGCACAGCATCCATAGCAACACCCATTCCTCACCCCATCCAGGGTTCTCTGCCACCATATAGCCGACTGGGAATGCCTCTGACACCATCGGCCATTGCCAGCTCCATGCAAGGGAGTGGCCCCACATTCCCTTCATTCCACATGCCGCGATACCATCACTATTTTCAGCAGGGGCCCTATGCTGCCATTCAAGGACTACGCCATTCCTCTGCTGTGATGACGCCATTTGTATGACTCTTCTAAAAATGGGAGAATCCAGATCCAGAATGTGCAAGTGGGTATGGAAATATAGGACAGGGCTGGGTGGGTGGGATGTGGGGTATCGGAGCAGGGGCTTTCCAGGAGACACAGGACCTATCAAAGAGGAGAGCCAGACTCACAATAAAACCTACCACTGAGGGAATGCACCACGGACCAGGATTCATCTGAGGGACAGCTCTTGGGTTCAGGAGAGAATCCATGTAAAGTTCTCAGCCAGCCTGAAAGTTTACTAATACAAGGCTGATGAATCTTAAAGTGCATTATTCCTCATGGTTAAAACGCTGTGTTCATGCAGTAATGTATAAAATCATTGTGTGTAGGGTTTCTTCCTGCTTTTCACAGGATAAAAGAATCTTCAAAGAGGCCATACTATATAGCATACTGACCATAATGACTAACTGAAGTCAATTTATCCCTGTAGAAAATGGGAGCCAGTAGAGAAATATTTGTAGTGCTGTAGCATAAGCATGTTTAGTTTTCTTTTATGTTAGTCTGCTGGGGAAGGAGCTGAGATAATGCTAATGCATCCTGTTTTGTGGATGAATACACGGTAATGACCTCACAAAGTTCTGTTTGTAATATTGAAGGGCCAGTAACCAATAAGCTCAGTTTTCACAGTCTTCTTTCTTCCTAGTTCTCTTTATTGCAAATACTTGCCAGAGTTAGGGTTGGGGCTAGAGTTATGGAGGAAAAATCTTCCATATACAGTTTTGAAGCAAGAGCCTCTCTATATTACACGGTAAAACTGAAGTTTGATTTTTCTGGGCTGCATTCTAAACACACTACTGACTAATTCACTGAGGAACACTCCAAAGCCTAGGCATGATGTTATGTGAGGCTCGCTTTCACTTACAGCTGCAACAGAAGGATGGTTGTTCTATTCCAGAAGGATTTCTCTGCCGTTGGTGCCAGAGATCCCTTCATTTTCACTTCAGTTTTGGAAGACCTTGTGGATGTTAAAATGCATCTGGACAAATTCTCATTTTCAGTAAATCTGCTTTGTTGTTGCTGCCGCTGATTGACAAGGATTTGAGAATGACCATTCTAAATGCCAGGATAGCCATGATTTAACTTATGTTCCTGAGTGGAAATGTGTCCATACATCTAATTTGGCCTTTTTCCTTACTGTGTTACATTTAGTGACTCCTTTACCATTTTGCTAGGTCTGTAATCTTAAATTGCTTGATAATGGAATGGCTCCATAACTGAAATGTTGGCAATTCTTATAAGTAATCTAAAGCATTCTTCCACTTTATTTTCAACTTTTGCTATCTTCTTAAGCCTTCCTTTAATGTTTATAATAGTAACAAATATTTTAGTTATATATGACCTGTATATTGTTTTTGAACAGCATATATATATATATATATATGCATTTACAGTCAGGGTAACACATTTGGCATTTTGCAACAATTTATTTCCCTAATAACATAGTTTTAATGAAATTAATAGTTTTTCAACTTTAGATTTAATGCACTTCAACTACAGGATGCAACCTGTCGTCTTAGAAAATTTCTCCAAAACTCTAATTTAATTTTTATATGTAATATTCATTCTACTCTTCTTGCTACAAAAGTATTGAATCTGTTAAAAGGGATGGGAAATATTTCTACTGACAGTAGAAGTGTATTTGGGGGGAAATGCAATATACTTATCACATCAGACTCCCGTGGGATTTTATTTGGTGGTTTTAATGTTAGCCTTTTTCATATCACATGCCTTTCTGGGCACTTCCAGCTTGTGAAACAAGGCATCATGGCACAGCCTGTCTAGGTGATGCTGTTGTTGGATTTTGCCCTTGCTATTCTCCACTGTACTCCAAAGTTTACTTACAGAAAAGCATGGGCTGCGTTAACAAAGCATCTCACGATCCTACAGCAAACACTGTGGGCCAATTTTTAACTTGTTGCATGTTATGCTGTAGTATCCATAGGTAGTTTGTTTTCAAACAAAGTACAGGTGTGCATTTCTTTAAAAAAGCAGTTATGAGTAATGTTTAAACTATCCATAGAGCTAGGATAGGGGTTTACTATTTAATAGCTGGCCTGTTGCCAGTGCTCCTTTGAATATAGAGTACTGCTGCTTAAAGCAGGAATAACAAAAGATGCTGTTTTACATAAGGCTACTCAATACCCTGATAAATTACTGGTCTACTAAGGTGAATCTGTATCTGAATTTTATTTTCAAAGAGGATGAAAAGATTGTTTTAATACATACTGTTTTGACATTTCTACCAATCTGTGTGTCTCAAAGAGATTTGTGTGTTTTTGTTGAATATGGTTTTACCTAGTATTTCCTGACTTCATAATTTTATTTTGTAATTAAGCAATATAAGACTATAAATAAGAGTGCTTAGAGAAAACAAAGACTAGTCAGACCTAAAATTCTAAATTGGGTATATATTTTTAAGTATTATTCGAACCAGAGAAAAGAAGCACAAGTGAAATAGAGCTTAACCTCATCAGAGTCACTTGATCCATGGAAACCAAGGGGTAGAAATTTCCCCTCCCTGGGCCTTTCTGAGGTATCCTGGTCATTGATTCTTATTAAACCCTTGGGAGTTTAGTATTTAAAATTCCAAAGCCCATTCTGGCAAAAGTAATTTCAAGAACTACCTATTTAATGGGAAAGCCAATTGAATAATAAAGGCCATGAATTATAATATATTTAGAATATATTCAGGGTTCCTCCCACGACTCCCCCCGCCCCCCGAGTATATTATAGTGTCAAAAAGCATGGCTAATGGGAAGTGCTGCTAAAAAGAGGTCCTGCCAGACCTGCTTTATCTAATCCTGAGGAATTAATTCAGAACTTAATAGGTTTTGCAGTTGTGGTTTGTTTTTAAAATATCAATAATTCTGAGTAGATTCAAGGTCTTTTTTTTGTTTTGTTTTGTTTTGTTTTGTTTTTGAGACGGAGTCTCACTCTGTTGCTAGGCTAGAGTGCAGTGGCATGATCTCGGCTCACTGTAACCTCCGTCTCCTGGGTTCAAGCAATTCTCCTGCCTCAGCCCCCTGAGTAGCTAGGATTACAGGTGTGCGCTACCATGCCCAGCTAATTTTAGTATTTTTAGTAGAGACAGGATTTTACCATGTTGGCCAAGATGGTCTCGATCTCTTAACCTTCTGATCCACCCACCTCGGCCTCCCAAAGTGCTGGGATTACAGGCATGAGCCACCACACCCGGCCTCAATTTTTTTTTTTTTTTTTTTTTTTTTTTTACTAACTTAGTCTTCTCCTCTCCTCTGTCTACCCTTAGCAATATATAGGTAAACATATCCAGCTTGTCTAACACATCACAGATTATTAGTTAACAAGGTGTAGATTAATGAGCTTATATTGTATTGCTGGATCTTTTGAGTTAATAACAATGGTAACTTGTCCAGAAGGCCTATCATCATTCCTAGTAGGTGGGCACAGAGTAAGAGATATTAAGAAGCTTCCTGATGAGTCATCATCTAGCGAAGGCCCTGTGTAGGGCTTTATTATAGGAGTTACATTGACTTCTGGGGCATTCAAAGGTCTCCCCTCTTATCCATATCTCTGTCATTTTGCTTCTCCAGCCACGACAACACACTTTCCTCTCCAACTGCTCCCTCCCCACCAAAAAAGAAGACCCTCTAAAAGGCAAAGGAATAAATATTCTTAGAAGTAAATTATCTTCATCCCATGCTGCCTTTTTCAAAGAGGTGTTAGGATATTTATCCTATTTCTGTATTTCACAGTAGCTTTTCAGGCTGTCCTGCTTATATATAAGCTGATTTATATTGAGAAAAATCACTTTTGAATAAAGAGGATGAAATGACTTTACACCCCATTAAATACTCAGTCAAGCTTAGCCATGACTCAGTAACTAAAAAGTTCAAAAAATCCAGTTATGTAATGTGCAGAGTAACAAATTGCAAGAAAAACAACTTAATCTTCCAGTGACTAAGTAAGAAAAACTGTTGTCACTATTAAACATGTAGGAAATTGATAATTATTACAAACAAAGCAATACTCTACCCTAAATCTAGACAAATCACTGGACAGATGATAAGATTTTCAGCTTTCTCCTTTAAAGAGCTGTGCCAATGTACAGATTTTTTTGTAAACATGCAAAGGGAAGGTTACAAACTCCTTAAACTTTAAAAAACCATAAATCCTTTCTTTGCTACTTATATTCTATGCCAATTATAATATTCCAAGACTTACCTTTCTTCAGAATGCTTACATATGGAAAGGTTTATTTATAAATATTTGATAGGTAAATATTCCATATGTATTTTCTAGCCCGTCTTTCTCTGTCCCTCCCTCAAATAACTTCATTACCCTCTCCTTTTTAAACGAAATATCTTGATAATAAGAAAACAAAATCATTTTTTTGTGAAATAATACATATGGACAAAAAATACAAGTTGTATTTTACTTCTGGTTCATTAAAATATTGTGTTTAGTTGGATTTTTTCCTCCTTTATTTTCAGAAACATAAAAGAAATTGTTTTATTTCCTAAAGGATAAAATTGGATATAGCCTCTTTAGTAGACACTATCACAGTTCTGTTGTTTGCTGTGTTCATTTGCTTAATGAATTGCGTGAGAACAGTCACTGTAATGAAATATGTGTGCTGGGGGTGGGGGGAAGGGCATGGGAAATGTTTTATGAAAAAAAGTTATAAGCCTAATACTATGAAGTAACATCTAATGCAGTTCTTTTTAAGTGCAATATATTTATTTCTGCTAGAAATATATTATCAACCTTATGTAATATTTGAAGCATTACATATTATTTGTAAACAGCTTAAAATTATATATTACCCCAATTGTACATAAGTACAAATGTGTGGATATTAGTTTCTTTCATTAAAAGTGGTGTTTTTTTAAAAATACATTTGCACCCATTTACACCTTTCATTCACTGACACTGTTTTATGATGTTTGGTACCTGTTTCCTCACCTGACAAAAAGGATTAGATAAGATTGTGGGTCCCAGCTGGCCACTCACAGGCTGGACACAGCCCGGGATTACTGCATAGTATTTTGAGTTTGTCTTTAGTTGCATTTGAAAGCCTTGGAAAAGACATTGCTCTCAAGTTCCCACTATTTTCCATTTTCTGCACCCAGTCCCCTTCATTCGTGTATGCTACCCAATGAACCCTCAGAATCACATGATTTTGCACCTCTCTGTACTGAATTATACTGAAGACTCCATAAAACTTAAAAACGCCTGTATCTCATTTCAGCCATGAGCACTTGGATATGCTGTGATGATATTACACAAAGCAGAATGACACCAAATAAGATTAGCCAAATTATAAGTCTTAATCCTCCTTCCACATGACAGTCCTTCAAAATATTTGATGTTATCATTACCCCCTGCTTTCAAAAGTCTACTCTATTACCCTTAATTTTTTTGTGCATGCCTAACACCAACCTTTTAGAAATCTTTTATTTGGAAGGATTTCATGCTTAAGGAAGAGTTGCAAGAAGACCATAAAGAAACTCTGTACACCCTTTATGCAGATTCACAATTGTTAACCTTTTGCCCTATTTACTTTATCATGTGCATTTACAGTGAGTAGTGTGTGCATAAACACACATGCACATGCATGTGTAATATATACAAATTATTTTTCTGAACCCCTTGAGAGTAAGTAGCATGTCATGCCCCATTATCTCTAAATAATTGAAAGTGTATTTCCTAAAAAAAAGATTCCACTAAATAATCACAGTAGGGTTAGCAACTTCAGGAGATTTAACAATGATGCAGTACTTTGACGTATCATCTGTATTCCAGATTTGTCAAATTACCCAGTAATGTCATTTGTAGCATATCTTTTCTTCAGTACAGATCCACTTCAAGATCACATATTGCATTTAGTCTTCATGCTACTTTAGTCTCCTTAAATATAGTATAGCTCTTCAGCCTGTCTTTGTCTTTCATGGCAAAAGGATTCCTATTGTATTAGAAATCATGAATTCATACTGATACCTCCAATTCCAATGCACTCCCACAGAGTCCTCTTTTCTTGCTTTGCCCCATTCGATATCTGTATGGAATACAGTGGAAGAAGGCTCAACAATTACCTCAACGTATTTATTTACTCAACTCTACCATACACTTAAAACTAATTTCAGATTGCTTCACCTGTACAACTACAATACACAAACCTTCTAAAAAGAGGTCAGGGTTTGTTTGCGTTGTTTCCGTGCTACTCAACTAACAGTATATAGCCAAATGATATGTTCAGCAGTTACTTTGATTAATTCATTTTTTGTCCTCCTGGATAGTTATGTTACTCATGCGCAATACAAGTGGGTTTATTTGTTCGGTTTGTTTGGAGTTTTAATGGATCTTTTCCTTCCTATTTTTATTGATATTTTTAAAAAATAGAAAATAATGTGCTTTCAACAAACTCATAGATCTAATAAGTGATTATGGCAAGGTTGAATTATAGCAAGGTTAGAGGATACAAGATTAATACTTTAAAAGACCGTTGCTTTCCTATATACCAGAAATGAACTGTTGGAATTTGAAATCAACAGTTATATCATCACTAAAGAAGGAAAAAACAACAAATAGATATAAACAAAATATTCACAAAAGCTATATAAGGTAAACTACAAAACTTTGATGAAATAAATCAAAGAAGATCTAAATAAATGGAGAGATAGTCCATGTTCATGAATAGGTAGACTCAATATTGTGAGGATGTCTGTTCTTCCCAACTTGATCTATATATTCAGTGCAAACACAACCAAAATTCCAGCCAGTTACTTGTGGCTAAGAACAAACTGATTCTAAAGTTTATTTAAAGGCAAAATACCCAAAATAGCCAACACAGTATTAAAGAAGATAAGCAGTCAGAGGACTTACACTACCCAACTTCAAAACTTACTACAGAACTATAGTAATAAAGAGTGTACTATTGGCAAGAGAATAGACAATTAGATAAATGGAACAGAGAGCCCAGAACTAAGCCCACATAAATATGGTTAAATGATCTTTGACAATGGAACAAAGGCAATTCAGTGGAGAAATAATAACCTTTTCAACAAATGGTACTAGAACAACTGAATATCCACATGCAAAATAATAAGTCTAAACACAGACTTTAAATCTTTTGCAAAATTAACTTAAATGGATCATAGACTTAAATACAAAATGCAAAACTATAAAATTTCTAGAAAGTAACAGGAGAAAATCTAGGTAGTTTTGGTTTTTTAGGTACAACACCAAAAGTACAATCCATTAACAAAAAAATTAACATGATGGACTGCATGAAAATTAAAAACTTCTGTGAAAAACATTGTTAAGAGAATAAAATGACTAGCCACACTCTGGGAGTAAATATTTGCAAAAACATATCTGATAAAGGATTCGTATTTCAAATATACAAAGAGCTCTTAAAACTCAACAGTAAGGAAAAGACAAATTATGGGCAAAGGATCTCTCTGAACAGATACTTAAAGATATACAGATGGCAAATAAGCATATGAAAAGGTGCTCAACATCACATGTGATTAGGGAGTTGCAAATTAAAACATGAGCTACAACTACATACCTATTAGAAGAGCTAAAATTCAAAACACTAGCAATGCTAATGCTGGTGAGGATGTGGGGCAATAGGAACTCTCATTCATTGCTGGTGGAATGCAAAATGGTACAGCCATTTAAAAAGAAAGTTTGTCAATTCCTTTCAAAACTAACAAAGTCTTATCATATGATCTAGCAAGTATGTTCCCGGGTATGTACCCAAGTGAGTTAAAATTTTATGTCCACTTAAAAATCTGCACATGACTCTTGACAGCAGCTTTATTCATAATTGCCAAAACTTAGAACTAAGATGTCCTTCAATAGGTAATGGATGAACAGTCTGTGGTACATCCATTATCCATACAATGGAATATTTTTCAGCAATAAAAAGAAATGCACTATCAAGCTGTGAAAAGACTTGGAGGAATCTCAAATACATATTGCTAGTGAAAAATGAGCTATACACTGGGCGGTTCTAATTATATGACATTCTGGAAAAGGCAAAATTACAGAGATGGTAAAAAGATTGGTGGTTTCCACGGTTTGGGGGGAAAGAGGGAGAAATGAAGGGATGGCGCACAGGTGATACTTAGGCCAGTGAAATAACTCTGTGATGCTACTGTAGTAGTAGATACATGAAATCATGCATTTGTCAAAACTCATACTACTGTGCAACTCAGAGTAAGCTGTAATGTAAACAATGGACTTTTTGGTCAATAATGCACCAATATTGGTTCATCAATTGTAACTAATGCACTACAATAATGCAGTAGTTTAATAATAGGGGAGACTGCCAGTGTGGGGGAGAGGGGATATATGGGACTTCTAGATTTTCTACTCGATTGTTCTGTAAACCTAAAACTGCTCTAAAAATAGCCTCTTAGTAAAACAACAACAACAATGAGATACCGCGTAAGAACCACTGTGATGGCTATAATTATAATTACAATAACAAGTTGGCAAGGATGCGGAGAAATTGGAACCCTTATATATTGTCGGTAAGAATATAAAATGATGTAGTCTGGCCATTCGTGAAAAGGATAAAAAAAGGTTACTTACTATATGACCCAGCAATTCCACTCCTAGGTGTACACCCAGGAAAAATGAAGAGGTATGTCCACACAAAAACCCGTACACGAATGTTCATAGCAGCATCATTCATGATAGGCAAAAAGTGGAGACAACCCAAATGCCCATCAACTGACAAATGGATAAATAAAATGTGGCATATCCATATAATGGAAGATTATTCAGCTATAAAAAATGAAGTATGATAAATGTTACAGCATGGATGAACCTTGAAAACAGGATGCTAAGAGAAGCTGGTCAAAAAGGATTACATGTTATATGATCCCATGCATGTGAAATGTCCAGCATAGAAATATCCATAGAGATGGAAAATGGATTAGTGCATGCCAGAGGCTGGAAGGAGGGAGGAATGGAAATGACTGCAAGTAGGTATGGGGTTTCTTTTAGGAATAGTGAAGATTTAAATTCTGTTAACACTTATAACTAAGACACTGCACTAGCCCTTTAAATATTTCCAAATTTTAATTTTTTAAAAAAAAGTCTACCTTGCTTTTTTTGAACCCAGGCATACAGCCTTAATTAAGAAATATGAAAGCTGCAAAACTCGATGGTTTTTCTACTAATGGATTATAAATTCTCACTAATAAGTATCTCAAAAAGGGTTTCAACGGATGGTACCAAAGATGAGAGCATTTTAAAGTTTCATATTTATCTTTAGGGGATGGGTCCATACTTATGCGAAAGCAGAGCTCTGCTGCCCCCAACAAGTCTGGTGGTCTTGATGTAAACACTTATTATTTATTTAGGGCTGTCTCACTCTCCTCCTTATTCTCTAGTTGCCATTTAGGCTACTAGTAGATAGAAGTAATTAGAAAATAGGAACAAGGAGGCCCACCCTACTTAGAGACTGGGCAGTGCAGGTGAGAAGGAATCAGAGGAATAAAGTTCAGGGATAAGGGGGAGGCCAGGTTGGGGCTGGGCCGAAGAGATGAGAGAGAGATGAGCTCAGCCCTCTGGGTGGGCAATGACAAGTGTAGGTACTAGAGGACAAACTGTGGGATAGATTGCAGAGTAAGACCCTCAGGGTGGAGTCTGAACACATAGCTGGAGGCAGAGGAGGAGGGAAGGAAAAAAGTGGTAAAAAGAGATCTTAGTACAGGCCACTGTATGACTTAGCAGGTGCATCTACCTAAATATTTGTACAAATACCAACTAGAATCAAGTAAGTTTAAAAGACCTTATTTAGGCCATGTCATCCAAAGTATTTTATAGTTGAGGAAATCAGAACTAGAGAAACAAAGTAAATTGGCCAAAGCATACTGGGCCTAGTCTAGTGATATATCTTCAACTCTATATTATAATCAAAGTTCAATCTTAAATCAACCTAAAATATTATATTATGTAAAATACAGCACACAGATTCATTATGTATCATTGGCACTTTTACTATGTTTTGCATTTAATCTGCCCATAAATATTCTGAAACTCATTCTTTAAATCATTTCCTGTTTGCCCCAAAAATACTCATCTCTAATCCTACTGTAACATCATCATCTACATTTCTGTTACATTAGGATTAGAGACAAATTCTGTTTATAAATAACTCTAAGAACAGTTTTTATATTTTATTTTCATGTTGAAAATCAGTCAGATTTGCTTCAGCCTCAAAGTGTTTATGTAAAATTAAATGAGCACTGGCAGCAAGCTGCACTTTTTTTTTTTACTAAATGGGGAAAATGGACTAACATAGTAGAGGCTTTTGCTTATTAATATTGAATGTAGTAATTCTTACATTAGTTACTTTGGTGGTAAATAAAAATAATCTCAATATGATGGAGTTTGTACATGGTATATTACCATCAAATCCAGGGAAAAATGGATTTTGTAGATTTGGGGATGTGGTACATGTATATAAGTATTGTTGTGTATATGTTGGTTAAGTCATTTAACAGTGATAACTGAGTACCAATCTGGTTCAAATGAATGTGCATATACTATTGAATTGTGCAGTCTCTCTACTTGGAGCTGAAAGAATCTCCCAGTTAATTTATGGATCACCTCCCTCCCTTTGAATAAGACACGCCTTTATAGGCATGTCTTATCTGATAAAGGCCTGGAGTTGTTTATAAGGTATGTCGTATCTGACATAGGCCTGGAGCACTACACGACCGGGGCATGGGTGGCTTACAGAGCTCTAGTTTTTTGGTTTTGGGGTTTTTTTTGGGGGGTTAGGAGTGGGGAGTGGATAGCCCCCTCATGGACACAGAAAATAGATTGGAACTCTTGGAAATTCCAACTTGTTATTACAGATGCCTTTCTTCCATAGTCCAAAAGACAGCATTATGCAAAGTATCACTTACAGATGCATTTACATCTAAGCTTGCTGTATGCTTCACGGCAAGTTGGTGTCTTTCCACTTTCTCCTTGATGAAGACCTGCATCCAATATGAATTTAAAGAGGCTCTGTAAAGTAATTCGACAGCAGCAAATATGCTATTTAAAAATGAGTCAATCCAAGATATGTAAATCCAAGAAAGGTTTTAGACTGAAGCAGTTGTTTTATAAAATACACACGTCCAAAGACACTTTTTTTAGTGGAGGCAACTTGCTGAAGAAGAATTTGAAAGGATCTTTTAACATTTATAAGCAGACCAATTTGAAATTACCTAGAGAATAAGTAAGCTCCAAGAAGAACATACCTATGGCTATCCTATTTTTGAAGGCAAAAATGGAGCTACAAAATTAAACAAAGGATGTATTTCATGTTTGAATTTGTAGAAAAAGTCTTAGAAAGGTATAATGAAAATAAATAAAATTACTAAATAAAATAACTATGAGATCCTAAGAATTTTGCCACCATCTTTGGGAATAACTAATGCTGATAAAGTACAAACTAATACTTTGGTGCCAATTCCAACTCCTTGCACGGTACAAAGGGGGAAAAGTATCTTAATGCATAAGAAATTATGAGACAGCACAAATAAAAACCAATCTTTTATGCAGAAAGTTTCAATTAAAGTGAAATTCATATTTTAAATTACGAAATTATAACCGGAAAAGTTTGTAATGTTTTCAAAATGGTCTTCGCTAAACCACCTCTATCTAGCCTGGAGGCTAGAGATGGAACTTAACTATCCACTTAAATTATATCTATGTATTTGTGCAAAGTTAAAACTTTAAATCTAATAAATTATTCGAATCAATTAAAACAAAGTCATTATTATTTGGAAAACTAAATCTTGGCCATGATGAATATGTTAATTATTTTGACATATGAAATATGCAATGTAATTTTTATGTGGGGTTACATTTGGAATTTTCCTACATTTCATATTTAGTAAATGGATTTATTATAAGAACAGTGATTTTTTTTAAAGAATGAATTTAATAAGTAACTAAGTTTTGAAATTTTGATTTACAGATCATTATTGCCATCTGCTGGTTACATAGTTTAATTGCATTTTTTAAAATTCCCAATTGTTTTACTAAAAGACAAAGGAAAAACTGAGGCAAGTTTTAGATATCCATAACCGGATTAGAGATTTCTATGTAAGACAGATAATTTGCAGCCAGGTGCAGTGGCTCATACCTGTAATCTCAATACTTTGGGAGGCAGAGGCGGCAGGAGTGTTTGAGGCTAGGAGTTTTAGACCAGCCTGGGCAACATAGTGATACCCCATCTCTACAAAAATAAACAAATTAGCTGTGTGTGGTGGCCTGCACCTGTAGTCCTTGCTACTCAGGAGACTGAGGCAGGAGGATCCCTTGAGCCCAGGAGTTCAAGGTTTCAGTGAGCACCATCACACTTTAGCCTGTGTGACAGTGAGACCCTATCTTGAGAAAAAAAAAAAAAAAGCTAAATCATTTGCAGCCAACAGACACATGAAAAAATGCTCATCATCCCTGGCCATTAGAGAAATGCAAATCAAAACCACAATGAGATACCATCTCACACCAGTTAGAATGGCGATCATTAAAAAGTCAGGAAGCAACAGGTGCTGGAGAGGATGTGGAGAAATAGGAACACTTTTACACTGTTGGTGGGACTGTAAACTAGTTCAACCATTGTGGAAGACAGTGTGGCGATTCCTCAGGGATCTAGAAGTAGAAATACCATTTGACCCAGCCATCCCATTACTAGGTATATACCCAGAGGATTATAAATCATGCTGCTATAAAGACACATACACACATATGTTTATTGCGGCACTATTCACAATAGCAAAGACTTGGAACCAACCCAAATGTCCAACAATGATAGACTGGATTAAGAAAATGTGGCACATATACACCATGGAATACTCTGCAGCCATAAAAAATGATGAGTTCATGTCCTTTGTAGGGACATGGATGAAGCTGGAAACCAGCATTCTCAGCAAACTATCACAAGGACAAAAAATCAAACACCGCATGTTCTCACTCACAGGTGGGAATTGAACAATGAGAACACCTGGACACAGGAAGGGGAACATCACACACTGGGGCCTGTCGTGGGGTGGGGGGAGGGGGAGGGATAGCATTAGGAGACATACCTAATGTAAATGATGAGTTAATGGGTGCAGCACACCAACATGGCACATGTATACATATGTAACAAACCTGCATGTTGTGCACGTGTACCCTAGAACTTAAAGTATAATAAAAACATATATAAAAAAACATATATATATATAAATCATGAGGCATCTCTGTTTCAAAGATGATAAGATAATGCAAGAATATATTGCATCTTATCTAATTATAATGTGCTATTTTAATTGTCAATTAATCATAGATTAAATTATCAACCTAACTGCTTTAAGTTATTGTCATTGGTTAGTATACAGCTAAAATGTGACTCAAATAACCATTCAAAATAATGAGGTCAAAATAAGTGACCACTGTTACAGAAGCTGTAAAAACATGAAAACATCCATGATTCTATTCAACTGCACATAAAACTAAGTGTCATGATTTCCCTCTTATATACAAATCTACTCCTCTCCTTAGTAGGAGTAGATACATAATGATTTAGGCAACTATCTCTCAGTTAACTAATGAACCTAAAACATGTATTACTGTTTAATAATTACTAACATATCACTTGATGACAAAGAAACCAAGTGAGCAAAATATTAATTGGAAGTATTGGCAAAAATAGCAATTACTTTTGCACCAACCTAAAAATACTCACGAGTGCACTATAGGATGGCCGGTCTAGAACATAATAAAGGAACATTTGTTTAAGCATGTGGTGTGTTTTTGATGCTTTACAAGCATTAATTCATTCAATCATACCATCAGTAAGACAAATATAACTGTCTTCATTTTTCAGATGAGGAAATTAATCCTAGAGTGGCTAAATTACCAGCTCAAGGTCATACATTGGTAATCTTCCTATATGAGTCCCCTGTGTAAAAGATTTAGAGCAGCACATGGCACACAGTTAATTTTGTGTGTTTACTAAACATATGAATCATAAAATATATCCTGCTTCTTTTTTCCTTTAACATTATATCATGACTATTTTCCTATATCATTAAATATCCATGCAAAATGACTTTGGTGGCTGTAATGCTTCACTATATGAATGTTTCATAACTTAGTGTTTGATACTGAGGCCACTTCTATTTTTTAACGATATAAATAATAGCACAATGAACATTCTTATAAAAAGATTAATTTTTTAAATGATAAAAATGACCAGATTTGTACTTTCATGGGCTAGACCATGGGTAAGAGCATTTTGTATCCCACCAGGACACCAAGTGATGCAAAAGGCAATTGGAAACTCCAGAAAAAACAAACTGACCAAAAAGAAAAACAATAGCTCCACTTCACTTATTGTTCCAAAAAACATTAAAACAGTCATATTTTAAAATAAGGTGCTTTATTTTGAGTTTGCCTAGCCATTCAAGAATATATTCTCATCAACCACAGTAAATACTTTGTATTTTAAATGCAGTATTGGACAGATAGAATTTATTAGCTGTTAAAACTTGGGCAAATAACTACATCCTGATGCTTGATTTAAAATTTGCATACAGTTATTGCATGAATTGAGAAAACATTTTGAGCACCAAACACAATGCCAGGAATGTAGAAATGCTCCTTGAAAAAAATCTCCCAAAACAAAAAATGAGCAGTAGTAGCACTTACTGAATTTAACTGAGTGACAAGATAAATAGTACTGTCGGTTAAGTGCTCTAGACCTTCAGAAAAAGCATAATTAATATGGGCTGGAGAAATGGGCTGGGGCTTGGAAGGTGACAGCTTTCAGATGGGCAGGGAGAAAAGGATGTAAAAGCCAAGGGATGGCTTTTCCACATGAATAAAGGAATTCAGCAGTTATGATGTCTCAGGCTGTGGACTTCACCTGAAATGACTGAGATGGAAGATTTTGTGCCCGAGGAAGTGGGAAATTAAAGTTGAAAAGGTATATTGGGCAAATATTGAAGGCATTGGTGAGCAAGCCTAGGACTTGATTTGTGGGCCACGAACATTTTTGTGCTGTGTTGCATCAGGAAAAATTAACCTGGCCACAATGAGCCATGCTTTAGACTGGTGAGTTAGGATATGGGAGTTCAATGTGATCCATCATCAAACAGATGGCAAGTGAAGCGGTGTGGGCTCCAGCATGTGGCCCGTGACAGAGGACATGGAAAATGTCAGTGGCCCCAGTGCATCTGTGCCAGCCGCTTTGGCCTCTTGTAGGGCTGCGCGGTGACTGGGAGGTAAGCGCTCCCCTCTTAGTTGGTCCTGGCTGGTGCTGAAAGCGCTTGAGCACACCGCTCCTAGGGCCGATGACTTCTGAGGAACCTCATTGGAAAAGCATTTTGCTCTAAGATTCAGTAAACGCTGTTCCGTGCCAAGGAAGTGGCGTCAACCTGAGGCTCTGGGATCAGACCCACCGGACTCACGCCGGCTCTGCCACGTGTTGCCCGCAGTCTCCGCCCGTTCCCTCCGCGTTGGCAACGGGCACTGACTGCCCGATACCTCAGCGATCGTAGAGACTTTCCTAATGCCGGGCGCACCACCGGCGGGCCAGCGGTTCCGTTGGCTTCCCTGACACACTTCCTACAGTCATTTCTTTCAGCTGAGATCTTCCCCTTTAATACCTCGTTAATTAACGTGTAACCTTTTGGTTAAAATGTCAGAGCTAAGACTAAACCTGAAGAAAAGAATGAAACCACAGGAAGTTCTTCAGACTTAGTCGCCAGCAAGGTTATGGCCCGAAGCGGTGCAGGGGCGGCGCGCCGGGAAGCTACTGGCAGAGCTGTGCGCACTGGGGGGTGCTGCAAGCGCTGGGGAGAGTGTGGAGAGGCTGCGTGGAGCTGCGCGCTCGGGGTGGGAGCTGCACTCCCAATGAAGCGCGTGAAGGGCAAGCGGTGATGGGTTCTGCGCCAGTGGGGCTGGGAGCGTGTTGGGGGCTGTACGTGGGGCTGCGCGCAAGGTGAGAACTGCGCATGTGGGCTTGGGGACTGCGCGCACCGAAGGCTGCAGGCGCTGGGGAGGGTGTTGGGGGCTGTGCGTGGGGCTGCCCTCACCGGAAGCTGCACGCTCGGGGAAGCGCAGAGGCGGGGTGCTGCGCGCGCTGGGGAGCACGTGGGGGGACACGCAGGGGGACACGCAGGGACTGCCCGCGCGAATGGCTTCGAACGCATGCGCTCCACCCTACATTTCACAGTCGCCATGACGACCGGGAGGTCCGCTCGTCAACGGCTAGTCAACGGCTGCGGGGACAAGTCCGTTGAGGCTGCCAGGCGAGTCAGGCCTTTCTGGACCTCGCCTGACTCGGATGGGCTGTGCCTGAAATTGACCCAGCTCCACTAGGGATTATGAAGAAACAAGGAGTAAACCCAAAGCCGCTGCAATCTTCCCGCCCCAGCCCGTCTAAGCGGCCGTACGGGGCCTCCCCCGCCCGGGAGCTGGAGGTGGAAAAGTCGGCCCTAGGCGGCGGGAAACTGCCAGGGGGCGCCAGGAGGTCCTCCCCGGGGAGGATCCCAAATCTGAAAAAGCGAAAAGGCTTGGAGCTAAAGGTGGTGGCCAAGACCCTTCTCGACCCCTTCCAGTTCGTCCGTAATTCCCTGGCGCAGCTCCGGGAAGAGGTGCACGAACTGCAGGCGCGGTGGTTCCCCAGCAGAACCACTCTCAGCATCGGTAAGGAGAGGGCAGGAGAGCCCTAGGAGGGAGCCGCATGGCGCTTTTCTTGAGTCTTGAAGGAGATCAGTTTAACAAGCAAGGGTTTGTGGGTGCCTAGTAGGAAATAATAGCAAGGTCTGAGTAGAAAGAAGTTGGCCAAAAATCTTGTCATTGAACCAGAGGAGAGAGAGAGATAGGGAGTATATTGGTTTGAAGGGCTGTCAGATCGCAGAGAGTGTTTTAAGGTCTAGGAGTTTTAAAGGCTGGGGGCAAGGATCAAGGGAAGAGGATGAGATTAAGATTCCAAGAGAGGAAATAATTAGTGGAGCAAGTCTTGGAATATTTGGAGGGGTAGAGTTAAGGGCACAAATTTGATAAGCTAACTGTGGAAAAGAGGAGAGAGACTTCCTTTTCTGAGATGGCAGGGAGTAGAAAAGCGAGAATTACTATATGGAGAAATGTTAAAGTGGAGATAAAAGAAGTTGGGAGTGCTGGCGTCTAATGGTCTTTGTTTCAGTGAAGTATGAGGCTGGGTCACCTTCAGAGGTGAGATTGATAGGATGCCGGGGTCCGGGGGACATGCTTCTGTCACAGCTTGGAAAGGGCATGTGATAAGCCCTTCAAGCATTTAGAATACTGGCATCGTTACACCATATCATTTTTTTCAGATGTGGTATGTGGGTTAAGGGAGGGAGTGAGAGACACAGAAAGATTTTGAGCATCTTTGGAAAGCTAGATGAATTTGGTACTATATTTGACCTTTTCCTTATATATCATCTGAAGAGTTTTTTCAGTGTATATAATTGTTAGGAGAATTAGAAATAGGATACAAATATAGTTGAACAGGATAGTCTCTGTATATTTTAAAATTAATGAAGCCTAATAAACAGTTATGAGCATCTTTACAACCATTTAAAGTTTTCAACCTTTTAAAAATTATAGCAACCGTGCTTGCAGACAGTCCAAAAATACACCATGGGCCATACTTTGCTTATCCTGGTATAAAACAAGTAAATCTTCCGGGAAGTGTTTAAGATAAGCCCAGGACAGTTAGTAATATAGGAAAAGATCTGGGTAAGCATGGTTGAGAATTTCAACATTGCAATTTTTTAATTTTTAAAAATTTAATTTCTTCAATAATTATTGAATTAATTTGCATTTATTTTGTTAGCCAAGTGAAGTAATTTTTGAATTTTTAAGAGGCTATTATTGGTGGTTTATAAGATGACTTGCCAAGTATATTTGGGATAACCATAAGAAATACTATTATAAAATCTCAGAAGGGAGGTAGGACTTCTGGAATAGCCAAGAAAATGCACTCCTCCATGACGACAATGAAAATACTTGGAAAATTATCAAAATCATTTTCTTCAAACTTTGGAAATTAACCAAAGGTTTACAACAATCTAAAGGGCATTAATTCAAGAAAAGCTGCTGAACCTCTATAAGAACAGCAGAGTTTGTGGTGTTTTAACTTGTTCTATTCCCCACTCTTCTCTCTCCAGGGGAATTGAAAACAAGCAATTCCCCAACCAAACAGGGGCACAGGCTGCGTTTGCAGCTCCTGTAAAAGCTCCATACCCAGAGCAGTGTCTCCCAGCTCCCAGGTGAAGTCTTATGTATACATGGGGCGTTGGCCCACGTGACTCCAGACTAGTCTCCTAGGCCATCTAGTAGCTTCTAGGTCTGGGCTCTTGCAAAGAGCTTGCAATTCATCAAGGGTTGAGCTGCACATTGGGGCTTTTAGATGTGCTGCTGAGGAAGTGATTTCCTGCGTTTAATCATCTTCTGATGAATGGTAGAGAAACTGATCTAGAGTGGCTCCTCTTGGTTAGAACTAGCTGAAGCATACTGTATATACTTACTTCTTTTAAAAATTTCTTATAAAGGAATAGAAAATAATACTGAAAAAAAAACAAAAAAGGTCACAATCTTCCATAATTCCATCACTCTTACCAATTACCTGAAGTAAAAAAACCCTCTCAAGTTTCTCCCTTTACTTGTCGAGCCCTGCTGCAGAGAGGTAAGCTCTGTTCAGAATTTGCTTTGTGTCCTGGATTTTTTCCTATGCTCATAGAGACAGGATTAGCTGGCTGTCTTGCTTTGTGTGCTATCTTTCTAGACATGTAAAATAATACATTTGAAATACTTGTTTTAATGGTATTTTATAATAAAGCAGCTATTAATAACTTTCCTTTTTTTTTTATTCCAGCCATCTTTGTGGCAATTCTACATTGGTAAGATTTAGTTTCAGTTTGAAATATTTAAAAACTTTTGAATTAAAAATCGCCATCACTCTTTGCATACAGTAAAACAATAACTTCTGGCTATATTTGTAGAACATCTTTATGTGCACCAATTTATACATGTATTTTGCTTTTTTACAAACCTCATATGTGAAACAGCATTTACAAAATAGATGCATTAGGGGAATAGTAACTTACGAATTAAAATATTTTTGCTTTACCAAATAATTCACCACACGTTTCTTTAAATATCTGGCTTCTCTAGTGTATTTTGCATGTGTAGTTCATTTAAAACCTTCCTTTATTTTATGGTAATTATATGTTGCTAGTGAAATAACTTTTTTTTTTTTTTTTGAGACAGAGTCTTGCTCTGTCTCCGAGGCTGGAGTGCAGTGGCGTGATCTTGACTCACTGCAACCTCTGCCTCACAGGCACCAGTGATCCTCGTGCCTCAGCCTTCCAAGTAGCTGGGATTACAGGTGTGCACCACCACACCCAGCCAATTTGTTGTATTTTTGGTGGAGACAAGGTTTCACCATGTTGGCCAGGCTGGTGTCAAACTCCTGGCCTCAAATGATCCACCTGCCTCGGCCTCTCAAAGTGTTGGGATTACAGGCATGAGCCACCACACTCAGCCAGTGAAATAACTTTGGTGATAAAGTTTTAGTAACACCTGCCAATTGGAAATCAGGTAAAAAAGAAGATAAAGATTCTGCAGTGGTTATATGGTTAAATGGCTCTGAGTCTTTCAGTGTGCAAGTCTGTGTACATTATTTTACAAAAATGTTTATAAAAATTTGTAAAATAATACTTCCTTCTGGAATATTTTCTTTTTACCTGTGCTCAGTGATTTCTACCCTTGGAAGGTATGAGATCTGCTCCTATGTTCTGTTGACACAGTGCTGCTCTAGACATTTAGTCTGCAGGGAGCTTTTGATGTTAGAACTGAGGCTGCAATGGTAGGGAATATTCCTGCAGTTTTTGGTAACCTGGCATATAGCCTACATGTAAAGAAGGGTTAGTGGAAAACAGGGTTAATATATGGAACTTTGCTTTATTTTCAACTTCACTGGAAAGTACTGACTACATAAGTTAGCTATAGCATAATTGTTGGCCACAGCTAATTTTGTTTATCACATATGCTCCTTTCTTCACTGCCGACAGCTGTTGAGTTTCACTACTAAAAGGTCTTCAAGTACACACCTGTATTCTTTGGCACTTGAAAGTTGATCCCTTATGTGATATTATACTTATTGTAAGTCTGCTTTGATCTAAGGTAATTTTATTTAAAATTATATTCTGAACCCTTTTCAACAGTTACGGAGGTATTTCCCAAGGCTGGTACATTAGAATCACTTGAAACTTAAAAAACAAACACTAACCTGCCTCTGTTCTGATTTAGAGGCCTGGGATGGAAGGAAGGGTGAAAAAAGCCACAAGAATTTTAGATATACAATTAAGGTGTTTTTTTTGTTTGTTTGTTTTTTTGAGATAGAGTCCTCTATCTGACTCCCAGGCTGGAGTGCAATGGCATGATCTCTGCTCACTGCAACCTCCACCTCCTGGGTTCAAGAAATTCTTCTGCCTCAGCCTCCCTAGCAGCCAGGATTACAGACATGCACTACCATGGCTGGCTAATTTTTGTGTTTTTAGTAGAGACGGGGTTTCACCATGTTGGCAAGGCTGGTCTCGAACTCCTCACCTCAAGTGATCTGCCCGCCTCGGGCTCGGGCTCCTAAAGTGCTGGAATTACAGGCATGAGCCAACGCACCCGGCCACAATTAAGCTTAAAAACCACTGAGTTAAGGAGTTTCAGGTGTGTGCCATACTGGATTATAAATGCCTAAAAACATACAAGTTAGTAGGCAAATTATAAAATTAATATTATAATAATTTATTGTTTTCTTTTTTATGGCTTTCTTATTGCTTATTTTACTGTTAGTTTTGAAACTTGTTCTTATTGTAATATGATACTTAATTTTTTTCTAGGTTACATTTAGTAACACTTTTTGAAAATGATCGTCATTTCTCTCACCTCTCATCTTTGGAATGGGAGATGACTTTTCGCACTAAAATGGTTAGATTTCTTCTTCTAACGAATTAATTTGTGGTTTAAGAATAGCGAGACTATGAGGTAGAAATGTATTAGGAATTGAAATGAACTTTTGGTGAATTGCACTGTTTCATAAGCTATAACCCAGGTTTATTATTTAAATAGTAAAGTGTTTGAGATTATTTTTCTTTTACTTCATTATCTCTCACCCTTTCCTAATGCAGACTTCTTTTTAAGATAATAAAGATGAATTATAATAGCTGAGGAAGGAGGACAAAGAAAGCACTGAAGAAGTGATAAAGGGGAATGAAATGAGATGTTATCAGAAATTGCTTTCTCTTTGGCTACAGTTAGGAGATCCCATGTTTTACCTGGGCCTTTTAATGATGACGATTATTATTTGGCTCTCTTTTGATTTCAAGATAATCTCTTCTAAGAGATAACTTTTGATATAATTTTTAAATAATTTTCTGTTTTTCAATACTTAATCTTTAAAATGGAGTTTTCTGCCGTACATATCTCACATAATTATTGTGAGGAGTAAGTGGGATAGCAAATGCCAAAATTGCGCAATTTTACATTTAGAAGACACCACAACCGTCCATCTTCCAGATCTGCTCACAGCTGGTCGGGCGCCTAGTGAAGCATTGAAACTGGCTCTCCTCAGTCTAGCCATTGCTTTTTGTTTAAATTATGGTAAAACTTAGATTTAAATTTGTAATAAAAAATTTCAATGTTTATCCTTTAAGCATACAATTCAGTGAGATTAAGTACATTTATGTTGTCTTGCAACTATTACCACTGTCCACATCCGGAACTTTTTGCTATCCCAAACAGAAACTCTACCCACTAAACACTAATCACACCCAGCTCTATTTTCTGTCTCTATGATTTTGCCTATGCCAGGCCCCTCAGTCACTGCTTTTTAATTTTCATCCCTATATTGCCCCTATAAAGTTTCAAAGCATTGGATACATTAACATATGTATGACATTTGAACATTTTAAAGGTATTTCCAAAGACAGAATATAAAATATTATTAAATAAAGAGCGTAACTGTGGCAGAGTCTGGACTTTGGTGACAGATCGCTGGATTCTAATAGCAGTTCTGTGCTTTATTGTATGATGGCTAGTCAGGTCACCTCTCAGATTCTCAGTAATCTCGTCTGCTCAATAGAAATAATGCCAACCTTAGAGGGGTTTAGGGAAAATGAAGGGAGATAATGAATGGCAACACATAGCAGAATACTTAACACAAAACAATAGCTGTTATTAGTAACTTATTTATATATTTAATATTTCCCTAAATATAGTCTTTTGCATATTAGATATCCTTTAATTGTTGTATTGCTTTGTTATCCTCCTAAGCAGAAAGGAAAATTCTTTATGAATTCATATTTTGCCAATCAACTATGAGGTAATGGCCTTTCAGACATCAGCTAAAACAGACCTGTAATTTAGTAGTTACTCGTGTTGGATGAGGCAGATATGATTATAGCATATAGCATTTTTTAGGGAGAATGCATTTTAAACAATGTGGCCCTTTTTTGCTTTTAGATTTTAGGAGTGAAAGCAAGAAATTGTTGGGGAAATAAGACACAACATGCTGTTGTTAATCCATGAATTTTAACTCAACAGCACTTTTACTATCCCAATGAAGCCTTTATTTTATATGCTGAAGTATAAGACACTAAAATAAGCTGCTTTTTAGTACATAGCATTTGTGAGCAACAATAGTCAATTGACATTGAGCTTTCACTTTGCACAGAGGATTAGATGGAGCTATGAATTAAGCTAGAAGCACTGGATTCCTTGCTCGTGATGCTTATGGTCATTATATTTTATTTCCTAAGAGCATGGGAAAAAAAGTAATTTTCTATATGCAAAGTTGTACAGAGGCATGAAGGCATCCCTGTTTATGATAGAATTAATCAGATATCAACCTTCAAGCATCTCAAATGTGGGGGATAAAACCAGATTTGGGAAAATCAAACATATACTGTCTACACATTTTAAGACATTATTAGAGAAACTCTTTAAATTGTTTGACCATCCCTCCAACTCTTTAGTTTGAAAGCCTATAGAAAATTTGAAAGAATAGTACAGTGATCACCTGAAAATACGTGTTCTTTAAAGTCCAAGAATGCAAAATAGCGAGGAGTGATTAAGAAGTCTTATTATTAACTTTTTTTTTCAGAAAAAAAGTTCTAAAGAAGTGATAAAAATAAATATTTTAAAGTTTTAATTCCATTGACAATATGTGCCTTTTTTTTTTTTAAAAAGGGACTTTATTATTCCTACTTCAAGACCATCATTGAAGCACCTTCATTTTTGGAAGGACTGTGGATGATTATGAATGACAGGCTTACTGAATATCCTCTTGTAATTAATACAGTAAAACGCTTCCATCTTTATCCAGAGGTGAGTCATAATTTGAGACAAATAATATTTGTAGAGTGATCCTCTTTGTCAGATAAAAATAGTAAGCACAATCTTGTTAAGAAAGGGAGGGGACGTTTCAGGTTTACTAATTGTATGTATCCTTATAGTTGAGTAGAGTATCATAAGTTCCTCTCTTAAAATTTAAAGACCCCAGAAACTGTTCTCTCATGAACTCAAAGAATGAAACTTAGTGTGTAAATAATGGCCAGGGTAATAGACAAGCCAAATGGAAAAGAGAGTCATGGGAGCCAAAAAGTTCTAAATAGGGATGGGCTTTTGGCTTTGGACACCTCATGGGTGAGCACGATGACCACGTGAAGGGACAGTGAGAGTGATGAGCTTGAATAGTGATCTTGGAGTTACGTTAGTAAAGTAAGATTTATTTAGTCACACAGCCAGAAATCTATTACTATTTTCCAACACTTAGCCTAAAAGAGTATGGTTGTTATAGTAGTCTATAAATGCTAGAAATTTGAAAAACGGAGACAAAATTAGTGAACTCAGTTTGTGAACTCAAGATAAATGCTAAATTTGACACCATAGTAAATACTACTGTTGAGTTTAAAGTTGTCTCAGAATCCAGCATATTAATGAAAAGTTACTGCTTTCTAGTCCTTTATTCATATTTTTATAGCTTTTAAAAATTATTATTCTTTAGATTTTGAAATGCTTAAAGCTACAGACTTAGAAAATAATATTCAAATATGTGTGATCAACCATTTAAAATAAATAAATGCTAATCTTTGTCATTTTTGCATCAGCTATTTTAAAATAATTAAAATATTATAAATACAGTTAAAATCACCTTTGTTCTGCTCCTAGTCCAACTTATACCTTTATTAAAATTTGGTGTGTGTATCCATCCAATCTCTGTTTTCAGAGATTGTTTTATTATATGCTTTTAAGTCCACATAAATGATCTCATACTGAATGTGTCACTGTAGGATTTTTTTCTTCAAAATTGCATTTTTGAACTTTCTGTATATATATATTTCTTTAATTTTAACCGTTTTATGAATTGTAAAGTTTATGTATTTCCCCATCTTAATATATTATTTCCAAATTTTTGATTACAAGCAATGTAATCTAAAATGTACATTTTTGTATGGTTTTCTTCTGTATATGTGCAATATTTTGTCTAGGATATATACCTAGAAATGGAATTGTTGTTATACAGTGTGTGCTTTTTCAGCTTTACCAGATATTGGTAAATTGCTGTCTGAAGCAAATGTGGCAGTTCACACTGCTGTCTAGAATTTTCTCATATCCTTATTAGATTTTGAGTTGTCAGACCCTGTGATTTTTACTCTTATGATGGCTGTGATATGCTTTTTTGTTTTAATTTGTACCTCCCTTATTATTTATGGGGATAAATATATTTCCATGTTTAATAAACATTTGGATTTGTTCTTCTAGCAACAACATATATAAATCTTTGTCACCAAATCAGCTTTTTTGAGGTATGACTTACATGTAATAAAATGTGCCAATTTTGAGTGTACCATTCTCTGAGTTTTGACAAATGTATGAAGCTATATATCCATGACCACAATTGAGTTACAAAACATTTTCGGAATGCCAAAAAATGCTCCATTGTGGTAACTGTCTTTTCCCCCATTGAATTAATTGTCTCGGTACAATCGTTGAAAATTGGTTGACCACATTATATGTGAATCTGTTTCTGGACTCTGTTATTCTCTTGATCTATAATTATGCCAATACCACACTGTCTTGATTACTGTAACTTTAGAATAAATCTTGAAAGTAGATAGTTCTCCAACTTTTTCCTTTTTAAAATTGCATTTCTATCTAAATATTAGGGTCAGCTTATTAATTTCTCAAAAAAAACCTGCTGTGATTTTGATTGGGATTATGTTGGATTTGTACATGTATTTGGGAAGAATTGACATCTTAACAATATTGAATTTTCCAATCCACGATCACGGTATAGATCTCCATTTTGTTGATTATTTTTAATTTGTCTCAGCAATGTTTCGTATTTTTTCAATGTACAGTCTTCCCCAGTACTCTTTTATTATAAATGGTATTATTTTAAAATTTTTATTTTTCCATTTTTTGTTGCTTTTGAATAGAAATATAGTTGATTTTGAATATTAACTTTGTACCTGCATCTCGATGAAGTCAGTGGTTCTAGTAGCTTTTTTGTAGAATCCTTTGGATTTTTCTATGCACGTGATGATATATTCTGTAATTAAAAGCAGTTTTACTTTCCAGTAGATATACCCTAAATGTTTTTAAACAGCTTTATTGAGGTATAATTGACATATGATAGCTGGTCATATAGATGAAGTGTAAAGTTTGATTAGTTTTGGCCCACCTGTAACACCATCACCAGTCAAGACAATGAGCATATCCCTCATCCCAAAGTTTCCCTGTGCTCCTTGGTAATCCCTCCTTCCTTCATCTCTCTTTGCCCACATCCCATCCCTAGGAAACCACTAATATTCTTTTTGTCATTATGGTTTAGTTTGCATTTTCTAGAATTTTATAGAAATAGAAACAGAGTTGTTCTGTGCCTAGGTCTTAATGTATGCAGTTGACTGAGTGATGACACAGATAGATCAGTGCCGCTAAAGAAGAATTTATGAGTAATAATTTCTTGGAGAAGAGGACAAGTCACATCACACAGAGCCACAGGAGAAAGACAGTTTGGTCAGGCAGAAGCAGGACTGAGGGTAAAGCCTAGACCATCACTTTTATTGGGGTTTCTATGGGAAAGGCAAAACCGGGCAGAGTTTAAAAAAGAAAAGAAATAAACAAAATCAAAAGACAGTTGACAAACTGGGAAAAGATATTTGTTTGGTTTCTTTTTGTTTGTTTTGAGACAGAGTCTCACTTCATTGCCCAGGTTGAAGTGCAGTGGCGTGATCTCGGCTCCCTGCAGCCTCTGCCTCTTGGGTTCAAGCGATTCTCCAGCGTCAGCCTCCGAATAGCTGGGATTACAGATGTGCACCACCACGCCTGGCTAATTTTTATATTTTTAGTAGAAACGGGGTTTCACCATGTTAGCCAGGCTGGTCTCAAACTCCTGGCCTCCAGTGATCCTCCTGCCTCGGCCTCCCAAAGTGCTGGGATTACAGGCATGAGCCACCATGCCTGGCCAGGAGAAAATATTTGTAATATATCTCACAGATAAAGGGCTAATACACCTAATATATAAAGAACTCTTAATTCTTTATATATTTAGCTTCTGGAGGCTTCAGGTGTCAATTTGGTGATGAAGAGAGCTGGAATGATGGCACTCTCATTCCTACAACAAGGAAAATAGCTGGACAAACTGCAATATAACACCTATTCTTGAACCCTTCAGAAAACTGAGGTCAGAGGACAACCAACGCAAAATTTCAAGAAGGACAGTTGCCTGCAGAAAGCACAAAGAACTGAGCATTCTGGAATAGGAACTGCTTGACTGAGATAGATGCTTTTGAATGCCATATAAGCTGGTACAAAGATTAAACCAGAAATTTTTTTAATGAACTGCTACAGGCTTATTGTGAGCTGGTATGAAATGTGAAGGTGAGCAGACTCTGTCAGGGAAGATTGGGGAAGTATTTAGAGAAAGCTTTCCCTATGGTGCTGGCTAGGGGACAGGAAAAGCAATCATTGCTCGGACTCTACTCACACCCATGTTGTGAAATCTCTCCTAAGGAAAAGAAAGCCATGATCTGCAGGGAGAACGGTATCAAACCCATTGTCTGAGGACACTGGTGGGTATCCAGTGAAGCTGGTGAAAGAGAACAGGCAGGAAAAAAAAAAACCTAAATGTTAAAAAACAGTCACATTCCTTGAGGAGGGAACACTTATGAAGGGTACAGCCCCCAAATAACAAATTCACAGTACCTGTCTAAGATTGAGGCTTAATTGGAACATCAGAAAACCTGTCACTCTTCCCCCATTACATTAACAAGCCTTTGGTAAAAATCACAGTGGAATGTGACTGAGTGAGTTTTGCAAGGCATTTTCTTTCTAGGGAGCAGCAAAAAGGAAAACCCAAAACCAAGTTCAAAACAAGGTACCACTAGAGGAATTTGAAATCACTAGCGTCCATAGCGGCAACAAACTCCAGCTTTGCTAACTATAGCAATTACAAACTTCAAATCCAGCCCACCCTAACTAGATTAACACAAATCCCTACAATAAAGACCTAACGGTAAGAAAGATGTTCTTAATTTCAAGCATAAAAATACTGACCTCTATGTCTACTGTCTTATACAACATGTCTAACTTTCAGCAAAAATTATGAGGCATACCTAAAGGTAAGAAAAAGCACAGTCCAAAGAGACAGAGCAGTCATCAGGCGGACCCAAAGAAGATACAGATACTGGAACAACTGGACAGGAGATTTAAGTAACTATGATTAATATTTTAAACACCCAAATGGAAAAGACAGATGATATGCAAGAGCAGATAGATAATTTTAGCAGAGTTGGACACTGTAAGAATCAAAGGGAAATGATAGAAATAAAAAAAAATGAAGTAAAAATTGCCTTACATGAGCTCATCAGCAGACACAGCACAGCAGAAGAAATAATCAATGAGTTTGAAGATAGGTCAATAGGAATGCAAAGAGAAAAAAAAGTGGAGGAAGGAAATGATAGAACATCTAAGAGCTGTGACACCATATCAAATATTCTAATATATGCATAATTAGAATCTCAGTGGGAGAGGAAAGGATGAGGAAGAATAAACATTTGAAAAATAAGTGACTGAGAATTTTCCAAAATTAGTGACAGATACCAAACCACAGATCCAAGAAACTCAGAGAACATCAAAAAGGATAAATATCAAACAAATGCATGAATGAATAGATAAACAAACCAAACATGCATATGCAAACCTAGGGGTAAATGTAAACACATTAAAGAGTATGAGACAGAGACTATCTCACAAAGCCTAAAATACTTATCGTCTGGCTCTTTATAGGAAAAGCTTGCTGACCTCTTATCTAACAGAATGAATAGACTAGGGATATAATGTGAGTTTCTTGGGCAGCACCAAGGGCTTCATTTGAGGTGGATGGTCTTGAATTGAGAACAAAACCAGCCAACAGAATTGTGTTCCTCCAGCTATAATCAGATTCCCAAGTATAAACATGGAGAAAATGGAGAGTTGGATTTAATCATGTCAGGTCAGCTTTCCCTTGGATGTAGAAAGCCAAAAAGAACATTGCTCGTGGCCTTCCAGCAATGTCAGCAGCAACAACAACAAAAGCCAGACAGTCTTCAAATTTACAACTTTTCCTGAAGCAGTCAGGGAGCTGAGGTCACAGGGCAATCAAATAACCCAAAATAAATTAAAAAGATAAAGCATGTGCAAGGAGAACAGAAACAAGCATTTAATTACATGGGTCATGCCACTAGACACAATGGTAAAGAATTCAGCTCAAATTGTTCACCAGTCAGTCGGTAAATGCCTAGTGTGGGTTAGCAAGGGTATTTGCAATTGCTTACAGACATTTTTACACAGACCTCATAAGGTGCTGACAAAAGATTAGCAAGAGTGCTCAGAAAGCATCCTCCATGGTAAAGCCTGGGAGAACAGGAGCCACTTAAAGAAAGGCAGGAAACCCACCCACCCCCCTCTTCCTTATCTCCCCTATAAGTCTTACACTCTATTATCTTAAACTGCTGGGGGGAAGGTAACAATGTCCTTTTCACATTACTGGTACAAAAATAGGCCACAGGCCCTGATATGGTCCTTGAGCCTTTTGCTAACCCCTTGATGCCCGTTTCCATATCTTCTCTCTCCAGTTATCCCAAACCTCCTGTCCCCCTTTCACTCTCAGCAAATGACCTTGTTTTCTACTGTTTTCCCGGGCCTATTATGTATTTCCTAGCTGTATCCCAGGTGCCTACTTCCTGGAATATGGAGTTGATTCAATATCATATTTGTTGAATGAATGAAACTATGCAAATTTCCTTGTGCTACATACTCAGTAGTCAATAGATACAACCTAAGCACAACCAAAATTAGGTTTATCTGTATCCTTACCTGCATTTGGTATTGTCACTATTTTTTATTTTACTTATTCTTACACATATGTAGTGATGTATCATTATGGTTTTAATTTGCATTTCCCTATTGGCTAATGATGGTGTACATCTTTTTGTGCTTATTTGCCATCCGTATGTGAAACGTGTCTTTATGTATTTTGCTCCATTTCTATTTGAATTGTTTGTTTTATGAATTTTGGATCTTAGGATGTTCCTTACATATTATAGATGCTAATTATTTTTCATATATATGGCTTGCAAATATATTTTCCCAGTCTGTAGCTTGCCTTTTCATTCTCTTAAACAGGGTCTTTTGTATAGTGTTGTTGAGTTTGTCTCAATTTTGGGGGAATTTCTGTCTAGTTCTTCTATCAACTAAAAGAATTAGTTGAAAATACTAATTCTAGTTTTTTGGCAGAGGGATTCTGAAGTCTGCTAGTAAAATTAGGTATATGTACATTTCTCCATTGACACCTATCTGTTTTTCTTCACATATTTTGTAGCTCTATGTTTGGCGCATATGCATTTAGGATTGCAGGGTCTTCTTGTTGAATTTTTTAAAAAATAATTTAACGATGACTTTTTCTTCCTTCTCTGATAATTTTGCTTCCTCTGAAGTGTGCTTTTTTCTGATAATGACATCGTCACTTCTGCTTTCTTTTCATTACTGTATGTATGATAAATTCATCATTGTCCATCCTTTCACTTTCAGCCTGACTTTATTATTATATTTGAAGCAAGTTCCTTGTAAACGGTTGGGTAATATTTTTAAATCCAATTTGTCAGTGTATCTCTTAATTGGTATGTTTACCAATTGACCACTTACATCTAATATAGTTATTAATATGTTAGAGTTTAAGTCTGTGATTTTATTTTGTGGTTTCTATTCTTGGTTTTCAATTTCTGTTTGCTTTTATTTTAACCTTCTTGTGGCAGAACATTTCATTTGAACATTGTTTAGAGTTATATTTTGATTTATCTATTTTTTAAATATATCACTTTACAAAGCTTTTTTTAGTGGTTCTAGCGATTGTATTAACACAATTTATTACAATCTGTTGCTGCTGTCATTTTACTGTATGTTTTAATCATCAAACTTATTTTAAACTCAAGTTTTACACACATTTTATAAACTCAGGAAGAAAGTGAAAGCCTGTTTTATTTTATCCATGTTTTTTATTTCTTCCTCTTTGATGTTCCAACATTCCTTCTTTTATCATTTCATTTCGGTTTAGGGGATTTTCTTTAGCTACACTTTTAGAATAGATGTCTGTTGTAAAAGTTCTGCTGGCTGCATTTTTTTTTATTATACTTTAAGTTTTAGGGTACATGTGCACATTGTGCATTTTTTGTTTAATTTTTAAATTTTTTTAAAATTTTTTTTAGTTTTTCTTAACTCAGAGAATGCAGTTGCTTTTCATTACTGAAGGATATTTTTGCTGGAGATAGGATTCTGGGTCGATAGTTCCTTTCTTTCAGCATTCAGCAAGTGTTGTGCCATTTTGTTCTGGCCCTCCATAGTTTCTAATGATAAATCTGCTGTTAGTTGAATTCTTTTTCTCCTTTAGGTAAGGTTTTGTTTCTCTCTTGTTGGTTTCAGTATTTTTTTAAATTTAGTCTTCAAAAGTGTATCAAAGTATAATGTTCAAAGTTCAAATGTTTTCTAAAGTATGTTGTGTTTTAGTGTGGATTTGTTTAGATTTTTTCTGTTTGAGATTTGCTCAGCTCCTTGAATATTTAGGTTTATATCTTTTGCCATATATAGGAAGTCCAGTCATTATTTCTTTTTCTTTCTTTTTTTATTTATTTATGTATGTATTTATTTATTTATTTTGAGACAGGATCTCACTCTGTCGCCCAGGCTGGAGTGCAGTGGTGAAATCTCAGCTCACTGCAACCTCTGACTCCTGGAATCAAGGGATCTGCCCACCTCAGCCTCCTGAGATGCGCAACCACCATACCTGGCTAATTTTTCTTAATTTTTTGTAGACATGGGGTTTTACTATGTTGCTCAGGCTGGTCTCGAACTCCTGGGCTCAAGCAATCTGCCTGCCCTGGCCACCCAAACTGCTGGGATTACAGGCATGAACCACCGGGACCAGCCTCAGTAATTATTTCCTTGAATTCTTTTTCAGCCCTGCCTCTTTCCCGTCTCCTTCCAAGACTCCAGTGACATGAATGTAGGATCCTTTGTTAAAGTTCCACAGGTCCCTAGGGCTGTTTTGTTTGTTTATTCTGTTAGCATCTGATTTTTCTCTTTTGCTCAGATTGAGTAATTTCTATTTTTCTGTCTTCTAGTTTACTGGTTATTTTCTTCTATCTCTGCCATTCTCCTCTTGTGCCATCCATTAAGGTTTTTTATTTTGATTATTTTATTTTTGAGCTCTGAAAATTTTGACTTTTCTTTATGTGTTCTATTTTTCTGCTGACACTTTTTCTTCTTCCAACTTCTATTTTAGGTTCATGGGATACATGTGTGGGTTTGCTGTATAGGTAAATTGCATGCAGTGGGGGTTTGGTGTATGGAGTATTTTGGCACCCAGGTAATAAGCATAGTACTCAATACGCAGTTATTCAGTCTTCACCCTCCTCATACCCTTCACCCTCAAGTAGGCCCCAGTGTCTGTTGTTCCCTTCTTTGTGTCCATGTGTACTCAGTGTTTAGCTTCGCTTATAAGTGAGAACACACAGTATTTAGTTTTCCGTTCCTGCATTAATTCACTTAGCATACTGGCCTCTAACTCCTTCCATGTTGCTGCAAAGGACATTATCTTGTTCTTTATAATGGCTGCATAATATTCATGGGGTATATGTACCAACACATTTTCTTTATCCGTTCCACTATTGATGGCATTTAGGTTGATTCCATGTCTTTGCTATTTGCTATTGTGAATAGTGCTGCAGTGAACATACATGTGCATGTGTCTTTATGGTAGGCTAATTTATATTCCTTTGGGTATATACCTAGTAATGGGGTTGCTGGGTCAAATGGTAGTTCAGTTTTAAGTTCTCTGAGAAATTTCCAAACTGCTTTCCACAGTGTTTGAACTAGTTTACGTTCCCACCAGCAGTGTATAAGCATCCCCTTTTCTCCACAACCTCACCAGCATCTGTTATTTTTTGACTTTTTAATAATAGCCATTCCGATTGGGTTAGTGTGGTTTTGATTTGCATTTCTGTAATGATCAGTGATGTTGAACACTTTTTCATATGATTGATGGCCACATAAATATCTAATTTTGAGAAATTTGTGTTTATGTCCTTCACCCACTTTTTTTTTCATGTTTTAAAAAAGTGACATTGTATTATTACTATCCACAGGTGGGGCCTGCATGATGTGGTAGGTATGCTGGGCTCAGGGGACATGTGGGCTGTGAGGAGGAGATGATGACAGAAAGGCTGGAAGGAAAGGGGGTGGGTTTGAAGGCCAGGCCCAAGGGGTCCTCAGGTCCACTTCTGGGAAGGGACAGCCTTGAGGAAGGAGTCATGGCAAGCCACAGCTAGGCCACCAATCAGATTAAGAAATTTTGGGAAATCTAACTGCCCATCGCTGCTGACATCCAGTTTCTTCATGCGGTCAAGGACACCGGGGTCCTTCTGGTTCTTTGTAAAGGCAGCCAGCTCTGTATTCATGAAGCTTAGGAACTCCGTCTTGGAGAGATTGCAGTTGTAACCATCCTTTCCAGCATACTTCTGGAAAACAGCAATCAGGGACTGAATGCACCGCACAGTCTCTGTAGGGCTGGAGATTTTTGCCATGTTGGAGCTGAGCAAGGCATGGGAGGCTGTGACTGGGAGTGGCACGGAGTACCCATTTTTTAATGGGGTTTTTTTTTTTACTTTCGATTTGTTCCTTATGGATTCTGGATATTAGACCTTTGTCAGATGAACAGTTTGCAAATATTTTCTCCCTTTCTGTAGGTTGTCTGTTTACTCTCTTGGTAGTTTCTTTTGCTATGCAGAAGCTCTTTAATTTAATTAGGTTGCATTTGTCAATCTTTGTTTTGTTACAATTGCTTTTGGCATCTTCGTCATGAAATTTTTGCCAGGGTCTATGTCCAAAATGGTATTTTCTATGTTTTCTTCTAGGGTTTTCATTGTTTTAGGTTTTACATTTCAGTCTTTAATTCATCTTGAGTTGATTTTTGTGTATGGGGAAAAGAAAGGTGAAGTTTCAGTCTTCTGCATATGGCTAGCCAGTTATCCCAGCATCATTTATTGAATAAGAAGTCCTTTTTCCTATTGACTTGTGTTATCAGGTTTGTTGAAAATCAGATGGTTCTAGGTGTGTGACTTTATTTCTGGGCTCTCTATTCTGTTCCATTGGTCTATGTGTGTGTTTTTGTGCTAGCACCATGCTGTTTTGGTTATTGTAGCCTTGAAATATAGCTTGAAGTTGGGTAGTATGATGCCTCTGGCTTTGTCCTTTTTGCTTAGGATTGCTTTGGCTATTTGAACTATTTTTTGGTTTCATATGTGTTTTATTTTATTTACTTATTTATTTATTTTAACCTTATTTACGTTGAAGGAGTATCCATATAAGTTTTAGAATAGTTTTTCTAATTATGTGAAAAATGTCATTGGTAGTTTGATAGGAATAGCATTGAATCTGTAAATTGCTTTTGGTAATATGGTGATTTTAACAATATTGAATCTTCCTATTCATGAGCATAGAATGTTTTTCCATTTGTTTTTATTGCCTCTGATTTCTTTCAGCAGTGTTTTGTAATTCTCATTGTAGAGATTTTTCTCCTCTCTAATTAGCTGTATTCCTAGGTATTCTTTTATAAGTTTTTTATTACTTTTCTGTGGCTATTGTGAATGAGATTGCATTCTTGATTTGGCTCCCAGCTTGGACATTGTTGGTGCATAGAAATACTACTGACTTTGGTACATTGATTTTACATCCGGAAAGTTTGCTGAAGTTTTAAAAAGACACATCTAGGAGCTTTTAGTCAGAGACTGTGGGGCTTTCTAGGTATAAAATTGTATTGTTTACAAAAAAGATAGTGTGAATTCCTGTCTTCCTATGTGGATTTATTTTCTTTCTTTCTTTTGCCTGATTGCTCTGGCTGGGACCTCCAGTACTATGTTGAATAGGAATGGGGAGAGTAAACATCCTTTTGTTGTTCCAGTTCTCAAGGCAAATGCTTCTAGCTTTTGCCTGTTCAGTATGGTGTTGGCTATGGGTTTTTCATAGATGGCTCTTATAATTTTGAGGTATGTTCCTTCAATGCCTACTTTGTTGAAGGCTTTTAAAATGAAAGGATGTTGAATTTTATCAAAAGCCTTTTCTGCATCTATTTAGATAATCATGTGGGGTTTTTTTTTAGTTCTTTTATGTGATCAATCATAATTATTGATTTGCCTGTGTTGAACCACCCTTGCATCCTAGGAATAAAGCCTACTTGATTGTGGTGGATTAGCTTTTTGATGTGCTGATGGATTCAGTATGCTAGTATTTTGTTGAGGATTTTGCATCTATGTTCATCAGAGATATTGGCCTGAAGTTTTCTTTTTTACATTGTGGCTTTGCCACATTTTGGCATCAGAATGATGTTAGCCTTATAGAATGAGTAAGGGAGAAATCCCTCAAGTTTTTGGAATAGTTTCAGTATGATTGGTATCCGCTCTCCTTATATGTCTGGTAGAATTTGGCTGTGAAGTCATCTGTTCCAGGGCTTTTTCTGGCTGGTAGGCTTTTTATTGGTGATTCAGTCTTGGAACTTGTTATTGGTCTATTCAGGGTTTTCATTTCTTCTTGGTTAAATCTTTGGAGGTTATATATTTCCAGGAATTTAGCCATTTCTTCTAGGTTTTCCAGTTTGTGTCCATAGAGTTGTTCGTAATAGTCTCTCAGAGTTTTTTGCTTTTCTACAGGGTCAATGGTAATATCTCTTTTGTCATTTCTGATTGTGTTTATTTGGGTCTTCTCTCTCTTTTTCTTTATTAGTCTAGCTGGTGGTCTATTAAATTTATTCTTTCAAAGAACCAACTTGTGGTTTTGTTGATCTTTTGTATGGTGTTTTGTGTCTCAATTTCATTCAGTTCATCTCTGATTTGGTTATTTCTTGTCTTCTGCTAGATTTTGGGTTGTTTTGCTCTTATTTTTCTGGTTCCTCTAGGTGTGATGTTAGGTTGTTAATTTGAGATCTTTCTAACTTTTTGAAGTGGGCATTTAGCTCTGTAAATTTGCCTCTTAACACTGCTTTAGCTGTGTTCCAGCGATCCTGGTATGTTGTATCTTTATTTTCATTAGTTTCAAAGAATTTCTTGATTTCTACCTTAATTTCTTTGTTGACTCAAAAAGTCATTCAGGAGCAGGTTGTTTAAATTCCATGTACTTATGTGTTTTGAGAGATGTTCTTAGTATTGATTTCTGTTTTTTTGCTGAGACTATTTCTCTGGTAAACTTTTCAATTTTTCCCTTTGTTTTAAGCATGCTCATTAGAGTATATTTATGATTGTTGCTTTAAAATCCTTGATAATGCTAATATTTCTTTCATCTCAGTATTGGAATCCATTTATTTCTCATTCAGTTTGAGATCTTTCTGGTTCCTGATGAGTGATTTTCACTTGAAACCTAGACATTTTGAGTATTATGTTATGAGACTGGATTTTATTTAAACCTGCTATTTTAACTAGATACCTCTGGTATCACTCAAGCAAAGGAAGGGGAAAAGGGGGAAGGCACCATCTTGTTGCTTTCAGGATCACCTGAGGTCAGGAGTTTGAGACCAGCCTGGCCAACATGGTGAAACCCTGTCTCTACTAAATATACAAAAATTAGCCAGGCATGGTAGTGGGCACTTGTAATCCCAGCCACTTGGGAGGCTGAGGCGGGAGAATTGGCTTGAACCCAGGAGGAAGAGGTTGCAGTGAGCCAAGATCACGCCACTGCACTCCAGCCTGAGTGAAAAGAGTGAGACTCCATCCCCAGAAAAAAAAAAAAAGCCCAGGGAAGGTGGAAGTCTAGCTTCCCCACTTGGCCTTTGTTTATACGGTAGGGGTAGAGCCACATTTTTTTTACTTTTGACTTTTTGGGTACTTTTTGTATATTTGTCTTAGTCTGTTTTGTGCTGTTTGAACAAAGTATCTGAGACTAGGTAATTTATAAAGAATAGAAATTTATATCTCACAATTATGGAGTCTAAGAATTCTGGAGTCCAAGGAAGTCCAAGATCAAGGCACCAGCAGATTTGGTGTCTGGTGAAGGCTGCTCTCCGCTTCCAAGATGGTGCCTTGATGTTGCATCTTCTGAAGGAGAGGAACACTGTGTCCTCACATGGCAGACAGTAGGAGAGTAAGACAGCTTTAATCTCACTCATGAGGGGGGAATCTTCATGGTCTAATCACCTCTTGCAGGTCCCATCTGTTAATACTATCACATTGGCCATTAAGTTTCAATACCTGAATTTTGGATGGGACACATTCAAACTATAGCAGTGCCCATTGGCATTTCTGGATTGCCAGCCTCTTTAACTCCAAATCTGAGAAAATGAGGCACAAAGAGAGCCCACGGAACTCATAACCATATGAGTTATGGTACATTTCTAAATGTACATTTCTGCTTCTGGGCTCTACTCTATTGCAGTTATCTATTCGACTATTGCTATGCCAATATCATAGTGTCTTTTTACATTAGCTTTATAATACAGCAACAATTGATAGTGCAAATCCTCCTTTTTCAAGAATACCTTGACTATATTTGGCCCTTTGCATTTCTGAATAACTTTTAAATCAGCTCATCAAAGTCAACAAAAAATATGTTGGAATTTTGACTGGTAGAGCATTGAATCTATAAAGCTTTTTAATATCAAAACATGCGGTGTTTGGTTTTTTTGTCCTTGCGATAGTTTGCCAAGAATGATGGTTTCCAGCTTCATCCACGTCCCTACAAAGGACATGAACTCATCCTTTTTTATGGCTGCATAGTATTCCATGGTATATATTATTATTATTATTATTATTATGAAGAGAATGTATTTACCTCAATTATCTCTTTGTTTTTATCTTTTTTAAGGTAATCATAGCTGCCTGGTATCGCACATTCATAGGAATAATGAATTTATTTGGACTAGAAACTAAGACCTGCTGGAATGTCACCAGAATAGAACCTCTTAATGAGTTCAAAGCTGTGAAGGCATGTTTCCTCCAAAAATGCTGTCATTTGTAAACATTCATAAACATTTAATAATATTATGATTCACTTTTAAGAATTATTGTAAAATTCTGTTGTTGATTTAAAAAACATTAGAACTGACTCACCTCAATGAGTATTTTTACATTTTAAAGTAGTTTTCTGAGAAGGCTGTGTACTTAAAAATTTGAGTATAAATTTTGGAATTTGAGTATTAACGTATCCCATTGTAAGGCAATCTTGACTATAAGTTAGTCTTCTATTTCAGAATGAGAAGATACAGAAAGATGTTTTTTGGGGTAGCTTCAATATATAAATTTTGAGGATACATTAAATAGTCAAATATCTATTTGTAATAGCTAATGTATAAATTTAATTATGCATACATATTTGAAAATTGGATATGCCATAATAGATTGATTTAGAAATATTACTTTTTTATATATGCTCATAGTCCATGAGTAGTATTAATAAAACTCTTCCTATTTATCTTCTACGTTGGTTTCTTTGTCAAAGAACCGCTTTTGGAATCATCTAACAGCTTTCCAGGATACATAGTGGTCACTTCCATTTAAGATGTTTGCATTTCAGTACTTTTACAATTCAAGTATGGTGCTGTCCCTTGAGACTCCCGTTCAGAGCCACTTGTATCTATTTTCATAACACTAACACTGTTGTTTTTTCTTTATTTCTTCAAATTCTTAACAACATGACTTACTATATTTTATGAATAAATTTTTAGACTTGTTTGTAACAACATTCAACTCTTGGGACATAAACTAAATCTATTTTCCTTACATTTTTTACTGATTCCCTCAGTAAAATAGAATTGATGAGGATGTTTGAGGGGCAATTACACTTTTTTGTGTACAATGTAAAGGTTTGGAGAAAATGCCTCATAAAATGAAAGACTTTGCAATGATTCAGTCAGCTAGAAGGTGTGACCCTGTCTGAGTGGTGAAAATGATCACCTAAGTATGGTATTAGTTACATTCCCAATAAGTGATAGGTTAGTGTTTGGCACTTTGGACACAGAGAAGAACCAGCTAGACGTGGGGCCTTATCCTCATAGAGTTTATGCTGTAAGGGGGCTGTTAGCAGTTACAATTGTGATGGATATTACAAATAAGAAAATAAGGTTACCGACACTAGGAGTAAGAGAGGATAAGTATTTTAAGAATAGGGAATAATGTATTCAAATATGCTGAAGCAAGAGAGAACTGAAAAAAGGCTAGAAATCCTAGAAGCGATGGAGAAGAAAAATGATGTGAAATGGTGCTGGGAATATAAGCAAGGATCAGATCATGAAAGGGGTGCACTGGTGAAGGATTTTATACTTTATCCATTGAAGAATTTTAACAGAGTTCCATTTTAAAACATTATTTAGTCAATGGTATGGAAAAAATATTAGTAAAGGAACAAAAGTAGGTTAAGGGAGGCCAGGTAGGAGACAATTATATTCTCAGCAAGTGATTGCAGGAAAGATAATGTGGAAATGCCTGGATGTGAGAGAGATTTTGGAAGCAGAATGGACAAGACTTGGTAATTGTTTGGTAAGAGAGGAGAAGGTGAATGAAGAATCATGTGAAACACAGTTTGGTTTCTAGCTTAAGTAACTGAGCTCCTTTGAGTGATAGGAAACATTTGAACAGCAGCAGGTTTGTATTGTTATGTTTCATTGTGTATTCATGAATTTGAGGTACTTGAGAGACCTCAGAGTGGGGACATCAAGTGGCTATCTGGGTATAAGAATAAGGAGAAAGTTCTGGATTAAATGTAGAGTTGGAGTCATCTGTATATAGATCATTGGAGCCACGGATGTAGAAGAATTTCCTTATGGAGAATATGCAGATGGAGAAATGAAGGGGGGATATGACAGAGCCTAAGGTGTTCCAATATTAAAGAGTGGTACATAAAACAAGAGAAGTTACTAGAACTGACTGAAAGGAGTGATCAGAGAGGCAGGGGGAATCAGAAGGCCAGCTTTCAGACCTTGGCTCCAGCCAGTTAAAGTGAAATAACCTTTGACAAGTTGAATATCTTATGTTCTGTTTTCTCAACCGTAAGAAAAGTATTTTTATACCAGCTAATATCATAAACTTGTTCGGAGAAAAATGTGGGATGATTGTTAAGTACATATTGCCACACACACACACACACGATCTTCTATATGGAATATACTAAGATTCTAGCTATACATAATAATGGATCAAATGACTGGATCATTTCATATAGACTAAAGCTGTACCCTAAAGTCAAAACCATATCTTAACTCTTCCTAGAACCTAGAAAAAGATAAAAATAATGTAATGGATTTTCTTTTGTATTCATTAAGTGGTTCTACAGACAGTTCCAGACACTGAACACTAGCAGCATCACCTAAATAAATGTGAATCCCCAACAAATCATTACAGTATAATAGTAATTCATTAGAGGAAAGTATAAATGCAATTATAAAAAGTATAAAGTATAAGTGTAACTATATAATTGCTCATTAGGGTGAGCTTACATATGTGTATGTGTATATATACACACACATATATATACACACACACATATATATGTGTCTGCAAGCACACACACACACAAACTGTTATAAGGGTAAAGAATTAAACACAGTGGCAATCTGGAAAGCAAATGCTTTCAGCAAATTCATGAGCTCTTGATTGCAAAGCACTGAGATAATTATGCCCAATTGCTTTAGAGTCATATATTCATTAAACACTGATTATCTGTATCTTTTCAAAGGATTGGGAGATCCTGCTTGCTTTTATGTTGGTGTAATCTTTATTTTAAATGGACTAATGATGGGATTGTTCTTCATGTATGGAGCATACCTGAGGTAAGACTACTACTGAATTAAGGGACCTTTCAGTGGGCTTTTACAGACTGGCTGATATTCGTTGATTAAATGAAAAGGAAAATTAATGAGATTGATTCATATCAGGAAAGTTTGTGGATTTACTTGATTTTTCAGAAGCTTAACCAATATCATGTAACCAGAAACTGGAGATGTCACTAAAATTCTATCTCAAAGTCGTCCCTTTTATTCTGTTGTTTAAACAGATTTCCTAACAAAGTCTTTAATGGAATATCTCCTAGTTCATGTGTAAAATTAATAAAACATTGGAGGAGATCTTTGGTTAGCAGTAGTAGCAGCTTATTTCTAATTGTATTCTCTAAGGATGAAATTAAGAAAGCAGTAGGAAAAACTGTGAATCACATGTGGCAGGCACTTACATCTGCTAGCATGTCTGTCTTGATAAGAGTACCACGATGAAGCAGCAGCGAGACCAGTCTCAGGTGATAAGTTGAAATTAATCTCAATGGTCATGTGTTTTGCCCCCACACTTAATTGCTCCCTGAGATAGCCATATCAGCTAGTTTTTGCCAATGAAAACTAAGTTGAAGTCAGTTTTGGTTACATCTAATAAAGTATCTGCCTTTCTCACAAAAGGACAGACTTAGCTGCCCCTTCTCTGTTTCTTCCTGCTTTTATTGCACTAGGATGTCATGCCCAGAACTGTAGCAGTCATCTTGTGACCATAAGGGAAAGGTCATAAAAATAGCAGATATATCTGGCCTACCATCCTTCTGCTGCTGAACCAATGCCAACAGATACTTATCTTTCATTTTCTTGTTGGATGATACAGTAAACAACATCCATATTGTGTAAGCCACTTTTGTTAGGTTTTCTGTTTCTTTCAGTGGAGCATATTCCTAGCTGAATCATCAGATTTCTTTACAATGTTATTCTTATCGTGCAAAATATTTAAAATTAAAATTAAAATTAATTGATAGCTTTACTCTTTCAACAAATATTTATTGAGTTTTCATGGGGCTTATGTCAATATAGAGATTAGTAAATATACACACTCTTTGTTTTAGGAAGTTTTCAGCATAAAAAAAGACTAGCATAGAATCAATGAAAACTAGTGACATAGTCAGTATTGTGCCAGGGATACTATCCAGCATGGTATATAAAAAGAAAAGTAGTAATAAGTATAAGGATTGGAAAACTTGAAAAAAAAGAAATGTGTTCTTAAAAGTAGATTACATCATGTATCTAGAAAAATGTTAAAAGTTTATGGATACAGTATTTGCAATAATAAGAAAATTTACAATGTTACTAGATGTAAGCATTAATATTAAAATTCAAAATTATAAATTTTATACTTTAGCATCAAATAGAAAATGAAATTTTGAAAGGATGCTATTTAGAATAGCATTAAAAGCACGATATTCCTCAGAATAAACCCAACAAAAGATACATATGACAGCTATGGGAAAATGATTAAAACATTCCTGAGATATGTCTAGGAAAATCTAAGTGGAGAGATATTCCACATTCATTGATTGAAGACTCGATATTAAAAAGCTTTATAGATTCAGTGCTCTACAAGTCAAAATTCCAACATATTTTTTGTTGACTTTGATGAGCTGATTTAAAAGTTATTCAGAAATGCAAAGGGAGAAATACAGTCAAGGTATTCTTGAAAAAGGAGGATTTGCACTATCAATTGTTGCTGTATTATAAAGCTAATGTAAAAAGACACTATGATATTGGCATAGCAATAGACAAATAGATAACTGCAATAGAGTAGAGCCCAGAAGCAGAAATGTACATTTAAAGGCATTTGATATATGGAAGAGTGGGTATCGCAGATTGGTGAGTAAGGACAGGCATTTTAATAAATAGTGCTGAAATAATTGGGAGATCATATGGAACAAGGAGAAATTGGAACTATATAAGTAATAAATCCAAGTTGGATTAAACACTCAAATATGAAAGACAAATTTATAAAGTGTTCAGCATATAATATAGAAAAAGTCACTTAGAATAAGAAATGATTTCATAAACAAGATAGAAAAATCCAGTCATGAAGAAAAACTGATAAATTTGATGAAAGGAACTTCAGTTCCTCAAAAGAACTGTAGGATAAAAAATAAACTGCAAAGTGAGTGAAGATATTTACAAAGTGTATACCCCACCTACTATCCAGAAATTTCATTCATTAATTTGATAAATATTTATTGAAAGACTGTTGTGACCAGGAGCACTGTTCTAGGTGCTTGGAATACAGGACAGAAATCTCTGTCCTTGTGAAGTTTATATTAGAGTGGGAAGATAAGGAAGAAAGACAACCTGATAGAAAAATGGACAAATTGTTTATGAACTGATATTTCCCAGAAGAATACCAAATGGTCAATAAACATATGTAAAGTTGACCACCATCATTAGTCATAAAGAAAATACAAATTCAACCACAGTGAAATACCAGCTCACATCTAATAGATTGATAAAGGAGCTTTCATCCACCACAGGTGGACATATAAATTGGTACAACTATTTTGGTAAACAGTGTACATTATCTGATAACGTTCAAGATATAGATACCTTGTAACTCAGTAATTCTAATTTAAAGTATATATTCCCAAAAAAGTGTTGCACATGTGTACTGGGAAGTACATGCAATAATATAGTAGCATTATTTGCAATAGCTTCAAACTGGAAACAACCCAAATATCCATTAACAGAGAAATGAATACATTTTGGTTTATTAACATGGTGGAACAGTATACAATAATGAGAATGAATGAACTATGCAGCTACACACAACATGGTGGAATCTTACAAATATAATTTTGAATGAATGAATCCAGGTACGAAATTAAAAAAAATACTCCATACTTCCATTTGTATGTTGTTTAAAAACAGATTAAAGTAAATCATAGTTTGATATGTATATAGAAATGGTTATGTTGATGATCTCAAAAATCAGGTCAGTAGCTGATTCTTATCTTGGAGGCTGGCAAGTGGAGACTCAGTATAATAATTTCTCTATTTCAGTTAATTATATGGTGACTACATGGACGTTCCTTTTACAATAGTTCTATAAGCTAGAAATGTTATGCACTTTTCTATATGCCATATAGAAAAAATATAAGCTCATTAAAGTATTTTGAGGGAAAAGGATTGCTTTGAGATTGTGTGGGCAGCTTTAAAAATGTTCTTTTTTTAAAAAAAGTTCTGTTTTTGGGCTGGGAGCAGTGGCTCACTCCTGTAATCCCAGCACTTTGGGAGGCCGAGGCGGGCGGATCATGAGGTCAGGAGATCGAGACCAACCTGTCTAACAAGGTGAAACCCTGTCTCTACTAAAAATACAAAAAAATACAAAAAAAAAAATTAGCCGGGCGTGGTGGCGGGCGCCTGTAGTCCCAGCTACTCGCAAGGTTGAGGCAGGAGAATGGCGTGAACCCGGAAGGTGGAGTGTGCAGTGAGCCGACATCGCGCCACTGCACTCCAGCCTGGGCGACAGAGCGAGACTCAGTCTCAAAACTAAAAATAAAAAAATGAATAAATGAATAAATAAGTTCTGTTTTTGAAAATGGTTTGTATTTCTTATCTTTTTTGTTTTTTCATATGGAAAATGTTACACAACAATGACTAAAACTTTAAAAATCAGTATATTTCATTAGGAGGGCTACCGAAGAGGTGCTAGTCTCTCTAAATTGGTTATATAGTCCTGGAATATAAAATACAATATTAGGCTCTATCTAGGCTTTAATAAGGATATACAGAGTCAACGAATATTGACTGAAGAGGTGTCATCAAAACTGTGAGGAGATTGGAAACTGGCATTCGAGGAGCAAAATAAATAGAAATTTGGGGAAAACTTTTGTATTTGTTACCATGGCTACCCTCCCCACTGACACTAACTGGGAAGGTAGATATGCTACTTCTATTCTTTTGGTGGCTAACCATAAAATTTTAACATACAGATATGATTTGTTCAAGTATAAAATACATTGATATCTTTCCCCTTCTTCCAATCAAACAAGGAATCTTGGAATGCTTTTCTTCAAAACATCCTCTTGTATCTTTTTTTCTATTATTATTATACTTTAAGTTTTAGGACACATGTGCACAACGTGCACGTTTGTTACATATGTATACTTGTGCCATGTTGGTGTGCTGCACCCAATAACTCGTTATTAACATTAGGTATATCTCCTAATGCTATCCCTCCTCCCTCCCCCCACCCCATGACAGGCCCCGGTGTGTGATGTTCCCCAAACTGTGTCCAAGTGTTCTCCTTGTTCAATTCCCACCTATGAGTGAGAACATGCGGTGTTTGGTTTTCTGTCCTTGCGACAGTTTGCTCAGAATGATGGTTTCCAGCTTCATCCATGTCCCTACAAAGGATGTGAACTCATCATTTTTTATGGCTGCATAGTATTCCATGGTGTATATGTGCCACATTTTCTTAATCCAGTCTATCATTGATGGACATTTGGGTTGGTTTCAAGTCTTTGCTATTGTGAATAGTGCCACAATAAACATGTGTGCATGCGTCTTTATAGCAGCATGATTTACAATCCTTTGGGTATATACCCAGTAATGGGATGGCTGGGTCAAATGGTATTTCTAGTTCTAGATCTTTGAGGAATTGCCACACTGTCTTCCACAGTGGTTGAACTAGTTTACAGTCCCACCAACAGTGTAAAAGTGTTCCTATTTCTCCACATCCTCTCCAGCACCTGTTGTTTCCTGACTTTTTAATGATTGCCATTCTAACTGGTGTGAGATGGTATCTCATTGTGGTTTTGATTTGCAGTTCTCTGATGGCCAGTGATGAGCATTTTTTCATGTGTCTGTTGGCTGCATAAATGTCTTCTTTTGAGAAGTGTCTGTTCATATCCTTTGTCCACTTTTTGATGGGGTTGTTTGATTTTTTTCTTATAAATTTGTTTAAGTTCTTTGCAGATTCTGGATATTAGCCCTTTGTCAGATGGGTAGATAGTAAAAATTTTCTCCCATTCTGTAGGTTGCCTGTTCACTCTGATGGTAGTTTCTTTTGCTGTGCAGAAGCTCTTTAGTTTAATTAGATCCCATTTGTCAATTTTGGCTTTTGTTGCCATTGCTTTTGGTGTTTTAGTCATGAAGTCCTTGCCCATGCCTATGTCCCGAATGGTATTGCCTAGTTTTTCTTCTAGGGTTTTTGTGGTATTTAGGTCTAACATATAAGTCTTTAATCAATCTTGAATTAATTTTTGTAAAAGGTGTAAGGAAGGGCTCCAGTGTCAGCTTTCTACATATGGCTAGCCAGTTTTCCCAGCACCATTTATTAAATAGGGAATCGTTTCCCCATTGCTTGTTTTTGTCAGGTTTGTCAAAGATCAGATGGTTGTAGATACGCAGCATTATTTCTGAGGGCTCTGTTCTGTTCCATGGGTCTATATCTCAGTTTTGGTACCAGTACCATGCTGTTTTGGTTACTGTAGCCTTGTAGTGTAGTTTGAAGTCAGGTAGCGTGATGCCTCCAGCTTTGTTCTTTTGGCTTAGGATTGTCTTGGCAATGCGGGCTCTTCTTTTGATTCCATATGAACTTTTAAGTAGTTTTTTCCAATTCTGTGAAGAAAGTCATTGGTAGCTTGATGGGGATGGCATTGAATATATAAATTACCTTGAGCAGTTGGCCATTTTCACGATATTGATCCTTCCTACCCATGGGCGTGGAATTTCTTCCATTTGTTTGTATCCTCTTTTATTTCATTGAGCAGTGGTTTCTAGTTCTCCTTGAGGAGGTCCTTCACATCCCTTGTAAGTTGGATTCCTAGGTATTTTATTCTCTTTGAAGCAATTGTGAATGAGAGTTCACTCATGATTTGGCTCTCTGTTTGTCTGTTATTGGTGTATAAGAATGCTTGTGATTTTTGCACATTGATTTTGATTCCTGAGACTTTGCTGAAGTTGCTTATCAGCTTAAGGAGATTTTGGGCTGAGACAATCGGGTTTTCTAGATATACAATCATGTCATCTGCAAACAGGGACAATTTGACTTCCTCTTTTCCTAATTGAATACCTTTTATTTCCTTCTCCTGCCTGATTGCCCTGGCCAGAACATCCAACACTATGTTGTATAGGAGTGGTGAGAGAGAGCATCCCTGTCTTGTGCCAGTTTTCAAAGGGAATGCTTCCAGTTTTTGCCCATTCAGTATGATATTGGCTGTGGGTTTGTCATAGATAGCTCTTATTATTTTGAGATATGTCCCATCAATACCTAATTTATTGAGAGTTTTTAGCATGAGGGATTGTTGAATTTTGTCAAAGGCCTTTTCTGCATCTATTGAGGTAATCATATGGTTTTTGACGTTGGTTCTGTTTATATGCTGGATTATGTTTATTGATTTGTGTATGTTGAACCAGCCTTGCATCCCAGGGATGAAGCCCACTTGATCATGGTGGATAAGCTTTTAGATGTGCTGCTGGATTCGGTTTGCCAGTATTTTATTGAGGATTTTTGCATCATTGTTCATCAGGGATATTGGTCTAAAATTCTGTTTTTTTGTTGTGTCTCTGCCAGACTTTGGTATCAGAATGATGCTGGCCTCATAAAATGAGTTAGGGAGGATTCCCTCTTTTTCTATTGATTGGAATAGTTTCAGAAGGAATGGTACCAGCTCCTCCTTTTACCTCTGGTAGAATTGGGCTATGAATCTGTCTAGTCCTGGACTTTTTTGGGTTGGTAGGCTATTAATTATTGCCTCAATTTCAGAGCGTGTTATTGGTCTATTCAGAGATTCAACTTCTTCCTGGTTTAGTCTTGGGAGAGTGTATATTTCCAGGAATTTATCCATTCTAGATTTTCTAGTTTATTTGCATAGAGGTGTTTATAGTATTCTCTGATGGTAGTTTGTATTTCTGAGGGATCGGTGGTGATATCCCCTTTATCATTTTTTATTGCATCTATTTGATTCTTCTCTCTTTTCTTCTTTATTATCTTGCTAGTGGTCTATCAATTTGTTGATCTTTCCAAAAAACCAGCTCCTGGATTCATTGATGTTTTGAAGGGTTTTTTGTGTCTCTATCTCCTTCAGTTCTGCTCTGATCTTAGTTATTTCTTGCTTTCTGCTAGCTTTTGAATGTGTTTGCTCATGCTTCTCTAGTTCTTTTAATTGTGATGTTAGGGTGTCAATTTTAGATCTGTCCTGCTTTCTCTTGTGGGCATTTAGTGCTATAAATTTCCCTCTACACACTGCTTTGAATGTGTCCCAGAGATTCTAGTATGTTGTGTCTTTGTTCTCATTTGTTTCAAAGAACATCTTTATTTCTGCCTTCATTTCGTTATGTACCCAGTAGTCATTCAGGAGCAGGTTATTCAGTTTCCATTTAGTTGAGCGGTTTTGAGTTAGTTTATCAATCCTGAATTCTAGTTTGATTGCGCTGCCATCTGAGAGTCAGTTTGTTATAATTTCTGTTCTTTTACATTTGCTGAGGAGTGCTTTACTTCCAACTATATGGTCAATTTTGGAATAAGTGTGGTGTGGTGCTGAGAAGAATGTATATTCTGTTGATTTGGGATCGAGAGTTCTATAGATGTCTATTAGGTCTGCTTGGTGCAGAGCTGAGTTCAATTCCTGGATATCCTTGTTAACTTTCTGTCTCGGGGTTCTGTCTAATGTTGACAGTGGGGTGTTAAAGTCTCCCATTATTATTGTGTGGGAGTCTAAGTCTCTTTGTAGGTCCCTCAGGACTTGCTTTATGAATCTGGGTGCTCCTGTATTGGGTGCATATATATTTAGGATAGTTAGCTCTTCTTGTTGAATTGATCCCTTTACCATTATGTACTGGCCTTCTTTGTCTCTTTTGATCTTTGTTGGTTTAAAGTCTGTTTTATCAGAGACTAGGATTGCAACCCCTGCCTTTTTTTGTTTTCCATTGGCTTGGTAGATCTTCCTCCATCCTTTTATTTTGAGCCTATGTGTGTCTCTGCACGTGAGATGGGTTTCCTGAATACAGCACACTGATGGGTCTTGACTCTTTATCCAGTTTGCCAGTCTGTGTCTTTTAATTGGAGCATTTAGTCCATTTACATTTAAAGTTAATAGTGTTATGTGTGAATTTGATCCTGTCATTATGATGTTAGCTGGTGATTTTGCTCATTAGTTAATGCAGTTTCTTCCTAGTCTCGATGGTCTTTACATTTTGGCTTGATTTTGCAGCGGCTGGTACTGGTTGTTCCTTTCCATGTTTAGCGCTTCCTTCAGGAGCTCTTTTAGGGCAGGCCTAGTGGTGACAAAATCTCTCAGCATTTGCTTGTCTCTAAAGGATTTTATTTCTCCTTCACTTATGAAGCTTAGTTTGTCTGGATATGAAATTCTGGGTTGAAAATTCTTTCCTTTAAGAATGTTGAATATTGTCCCCCACTCTCTTCTGGCTTGTAGAGTTTCTGCCAAGAGATCAGCTGTTAGTCTGATGGGCTTCCCTTTGTGGGTAACCTGACCTTTCTCTCTGGCTGCCCTTAACAATTTTTCCTGCATTTCCATTTTGGTGAATCTGACAATTATGTGTCTTGGAGTTGCTCTTCTCAAGGAGTATCTTTGTGGCGTTCTCTGTATTTCCTGAATTTGAATGTTGGCCTGCCTTGCTAGACTGGGGAAGTTCTCCTGGATAGTATCCTGCAGAGTGTTTTCCAACTTGGTTCCATTCTCCCCGTCAGTTTCAGGTACACCAATCAGACGTAGATTTGGTCTTTTCACGTAGTCCCATATTTCTTGGAGGCTTTGTTCGTTTCTTTTTATTCTTTTTTCTCTAAACTTCTCTTCTCACTTCATTTCATTCATTTGATCATCCGTCACTGATACCCTTTCTTCCAGTTGATCGAATTGGCTACTGAGGCTTGTGCATTCGTCATGTAGTTCTTGTGCCTTGGTTTTCAGCTCCATCAGGTCCTTTAAGGACTTCTCTGCATTGGTTATTCTAGTTAGCCATTCGTCTAATTGTTTTTCAAGGTTTTTAACTTCTTTGCCATGTGTTCGAACTTCCTCCTTTAGCTCGGAGTAGTTTGATCATCTGAAGCCTTCTTCTCTCAACTCCTCAAAGTCATTCTCCATCCAGCTTTGTTCCATTGCTGGTGAGGAGCTGTGTTCCTTTGGAGGAGGAGAGGCACTCTGATTTTTAGAGTTTCCAGTTTTTCTGCTCTGTTTTTTCCCCATCTTTGTGGTTTTATCTACCTTTGGTCTTTGATGATGGTGACGTACAGATGGAGTTTTGGTGTGGATGTCCTTTCTGTTTGTTAGTTTTCCTTCTAACTGTCAGGACCCTCAGCTGCAGGTCTGTTGGAGTTTGCTGGAGGTCTACTCCAGACCCTGTTTGCATGGGTGTCAGCAGTGGATGCTGCAGAACAGTGGATATTGGTGAACAGCAAATGTTGCTCCCTGATCATTCCTCTGGAAGTTTTGTCTCAGAGGAGCACCCGGCTGTGTGAGGTGTCAGTCTGCGCCTACTGGGGGGTGCCTCTCAGTTTTGCTACTCTGAGGTCAGGGACCCACTTGGGGAGGCAGTCTGTCTGTTCTCAGATCTCTAGCTGCGTGCTGGGAGAACCACTACTCTTCAAAGCTGTCAGACAGGGACATTTAAGTCTGCAGAGGATTCTGCTGCCTTTTGTTTGGCAATGTCCTGCCCCCAGAGGTGGAGTCTACAGAGGCAGGCAGTCCTCCTTGAGCTGCGGTGGGCTCCACCCAGTTCGTGCTTCCTGGCTGCTTTGCTTACCTACTCAAGCCTTGGTAATGGCAGGCGCCCCTCCCCCATCCTCGCTGCCACCTTGCAGTTTGATCTCAGACTGCTGTGCTAGCTATGAGGGAGGTTCTGTGGGCATAGGACCCTCCGAGCCAGGTGCGGGATATAATCTCCTGGTGTGCTGTTTGCTAAGACCGTTGGAAAAGTGCAGTATTAGGGTGGGAGTGACCCGATTTTCCAGGTGCCTTCTGTCACCCCTTTCTTTGATTAGGAAAGGGAATTCCCTGACCCCATGCGCTTCCCAGGTGAGGGAATGCCTTTCCCTGCTTCGGCTCATGCTTGGTGCACTGCACCCACTGTCCTGCACCCACTTTCCGACAATCCCCAGTGAGATGAACACAGTACCTCAGTTGGAAATGCAGAAATCACCCGTCTTCTGCATTGCTCACGCTGGGAGCTGTAGACTGGAGCTGTTCCTATTCAGCCATCTTGGCTCCACCCCCAACCAACTCATCTTACTTTGATTTATCCACATTTCCCCAGTTCCTCAATGTACAACTGGTCGTTGCTGCTCACCCATTCTTTCTTTCAATTTCTTCCTCTTTGAAGTTCATCCTTTGTATTTTCTCTGTGAAACTTTATTAAATGGTAAATCATTTCCCATGAGCTTTCCTCTGCTGTTTCCTTCCTTTCTTTCTTCATTAATTCAACCAATATTTATTAATCTTCCAAGTGTGAAGCTGGGGATATAGTAATGAACAAGACAGATAAAGAACCTGTCCCTGTCCTCATGGTGCTTAGAATGTGTTAGACTAGGGAAGTGGTGTATGGAGGGAAGATAAATGGAAGCATAGAAACACTACACAGATGTGGGATTGAGCATCTGCATTCTCATACACAGACATGATCACAAAAAGGCAATTTAAGAAATGGTTTTTGGCCAGGTGCGGTGGCTCATGCCTGTAATCCCAGCACTTTGGGAGGCTGAGGTGGCCGGATCACTTGAAGTCAGGAGTTTGAGACCAGCCTGGCCAACATGGCGAAACACCGTCTCTACTAAAAAATACAAAAATCAGCCAGGTGTGGTGGCATGTGCCTGTAATCCCAGCTACTCGGGAGGCTGAGGCAGAAGAATCGGCTTGAACCAGGGAGGCAGAGGTTGCAGTGAGCCGAGATCGCGCCACTGCACTCCAGCCTGGGTGACAGAGCGAGAGTCTGTCTCAAAACAAAACAAAACAACAACAACAACAACAAAGGTTTTTATCTTTCATCTGAATTTTGTATTCTGCGTTATTGCTTCTCTGGGACTCAAGTAAAGAATATTTGCAGTAGTTTAGACAGTTCTAAGTTAATGCTACGTGAAACTGTTAGAATCTTGTCTTCATCTCTCAGTCCCTTAAATCCAATTTCAAAAGATAAAATTTGCTTTTATTCAGAGTATTCAAAGGATGTGATCTAGACTCTAAAGTGCTAGCCTGCTTCTTAAAAATGATTTTATGTGGCCGGGCGCGTTGGCTCACAATTGTAATCTCAGCACTTTGGGAGGCCGAGGCGGGTGGATCACGAGGTCAAGAGTTCGAGACTAGCTTAGCCAACACGGTGAAACCCTGTCTCGGCTAAAAGTAAAAAAATTAGCCGGGCGTGGCAGCATGCGCCTATAATCCGAGCTACTCAGGAGCCTGAGGCAGGAGAATCGTTGGAACCCAGGAGGCGGAGGTTGCTGTGAGCCGAGATTTCGCCACTGCATTCCAGCCTGGGCAACAGAGCAAGACCCCGTCTCAAAAAAAAGATTATGTTCACACCTTATGTATTTTATTTAGAAAGTATTTTAGCTATAATAAATTATACAATTGAGATTAATTTATACATACACTTTTTAGAATTGTACATTCAGAATTTAAACTTCAACCACATGGGTATGGTTTAGTACTATTATGTTTTAAATATAGAAAACTGTGATTTTAAATTCTGAGTTAATTTTGTGAAAAATTCACTGTATTTTACATGAATTTTGATTGTATACTCTATTTTTTTTTTTTTAACAGTGGGACTCAACTGGGAGGTCTTATTACAGTACTGTGCTTCTTTTTCAACCATGGAGAGGTTTGTTTTCTAGAAAGCAATTTTTAAGAAATAGAAGAGGCTGTAGAGGAACAAGGAAATATACTCATCAAAACAATATTTAATTGTATACTACTTATGACTTCACAATATTTTAAAGACCCTCGTGTTGTAAGTTGATATTTTAATCATGTTGATTGAAATGTTTAAATAGCTAGAATTTCAAACATGAAATCTCTTGCCTTAATTTTAGTAAATATGTACATATACATATATTCTGTAGAGAAAAGGAAATATTGTACTTGTTGAGTTGAATCATATTATGCACATTATCTGATTTATTCCCACTAAACTTTTTTTGTGGGTGGTGGTAGCCTCACCATACAAGTTATGAAATTTGAATTTAGAGAAAGTTAAGTTACTTATCCACATTCCACATTTACTACATGATGAAACTGGATTTCCCATTCTATGTCTGTCTGCCTCTAAAACCTCACATATATATTAATTTATATTTTATAAATTATAAAATTATAGTTATATTTTATAAAAACTTATATATTATATATATAACATATATATTCAACTTTTTTATTGTGGTCAGAATAAGTAACATATGATCTGCCCTCTTAACAGATTTTTAAGTGTACAATATAGTATTAACACAAAGTTGTATAGCAGATCTCCAGAACTTATTCATCTTGCCTAACTGAAACTTTGTATACATTGCACTCCCCTTAACAACAATGAAAGAGGCCTCAGGCCTGACAGCAGGGATACAGTTAAGACACTGCCACCTGCTCCCTCACTGCTTTCTGTTACATCATGCTGTCTGTTCAGTAATGCAAAATGCTGAATTCAAAATAGACATTAACTTACTAATTCAGCCCAATGAAACATAGTCCACCTAAAAAAGAGCTCATAGAAGCTTATTTCAAATACAATGGATTCATTCAACAAATTATTGAGTACATAGCATGTCCATGCTCTGCTAGATGCTGAGGATATGGCAATGAAAAAGAGAGAGATTCTGACTACTAGCTCTTGGGAGCAAAACATTTAATATGTTATAACACAGGTTACATAGGGTAGAAGTACTTTTTTTTTTTTCAAGATGGAGTCTTGCTCTGTCACCCAGGCTGGAGTGCAGTGGCGCTATCTCAGCTCACTGCAACCTCTGTCTCCCAGGTTCAAGCAATTCTCCTGCCTCAGCCTCCTGAGTAGCTGGCATTACAGGCATGTGCCACCATGCTCAGCTAAATTTTTGTATTTTTAGTAGAGATGGAGTTTCACCATGTTGGCCAGGCTGGTCTCAAACTCCTGACCTCATGATCCACCCACCTTGGCCTCCCAAAGTACTGGGGATTACAGGCGTGAGCCACCACGCCCAGCCAGGGTAGAAGTACTTTTATCCATTGCTTTTGGGTTAATTTTTAAAAATCAGTTAGGTAAAGGAATCATAAAAATTATACATAAAAGCCTTATATATATTATTTTAAAGCAAACAAATGCATTGTCACTCAACAATGTGCTGTCATAAAGACAAAGGTTTTTCTCTGAGTGTTCCAGACAACTGTTGGTATAAGTTGACTTTCTTATATGTATCATAATTCCTCTTCCAACATTTACAATTTTGGTATCTTGGAAGAGAAGCAATAACTTTTAAGACTCTTGCAAAATAATAAGAGTTCACATTCTTTCTAGAATTTCAGAATTTTTGATGGAAAATTTTTCCAATACTCTGACCCATATGTCTTAGAAGTAATTTTAAAGTTTGTATGAAAATTTAATACTTTCATTACATGCATCACATTTGTAGTTCCCAAATACTTCTAGTTGTTTTTAAAATATATACTTAACCTTTTTTAAGGTACATTTTACAAATTCTGAGGCAATCATAGCTATTCGAAGTGTGTATTTATATTCATTCATACTTGTTATGTAGAAACTCTCTCAGTGCTTGCAAATGACCTAGGTGACATTTGTTTAGCTATTTGTCTTGGCATGCATATATCCCAAAGCCTGGGATGCCAAGAATCATATGCCAGGATCATACTGCGGGGCTGGGCTGTGGATCTAGTTGGTCAGTCCCAGAATTCTCACAACTCTTATACGTACAATCTTATTTGTCCCTTGGGTTTCCTTTTGCTCGGTCTGATATATCTGTTGCTGGTTTCTGGACATGGTAGTTAATTGCTCTCTACATAATGGCCTCATGAGTTAAGAGAGCTTCAAAAACTGAGAAGCTATGCCAGACACTCAGAAATGGGATCTAGTGAGCCTAGTATTAAAATTACTAAAACAAACTCACCCCTGGTTTTTTAATATGTTTGTTGTAGTAAACAGGATGTAAAGTGGGCATTTTGTTGATTGCAGGCCACCCGTGTGATGTGGACACCACCTCTCCATGAAAGTTTTTCCTATCCTTTCCTTGTACTTCAGATGTATATTTTAACTTTGATTCTCAGGTAACTTTGATTTGTAAAACAAAGGCAAATAAATTATAATTTAAGTTTCTTAAAATATACTTCAATTCAGCACTTTGGGAGGCTGAGGTGGGTGGATCACTTGAGGTCAGGAGTTCGAGACCAGCCTGGCCAACATGGTGAAACCACATCTCTACTAAAATACAAAAATTAGCCAGGCATGGTGGTGTGCATCTGTCATTCCAGCTACTTGGGAGGCTGAGGAAGGAGAATTGCTTGAATCCGGGAGGCAGAGATTGCAGTGAGCTGAGATTGTGCCACTGCACTCCAGCCTGGGCAAGAGAGCAAGACTCCCTCTAAAAAAATGTAAATATATATATTACATATATATACTTCAATCTATGAAGTTGTAATTACCAAATTTAGACCACTTTTTAGTTATTTTAAAAGTAAATTGAGTATAGAGTTAAGAAAATAATTCAAAATTGCTATGTAAAAATTGCTCTCCATTTAAGAGTGTAGGCTACAGGTTTTAGATAACTACATTATGTTTTAATAAACCAAAAGGTATGTGTTTGTATATAGTTTGCCAAGATTCAAAAGTTTTTGAGAAACAATTACATTTTCTCTTCACAGTCTAAGTACTCTGACATTGTTTTCTAACCTGTGGTTTTGATAACTGTGCCATGAAAAAAATGTTCTCTGGGCAAATGAATTTGGGAAATGCAGAGTTAGATGGATAAGGAGTACATATGTTCACATATTTATGAAGCATTTCTGAACAACCAATGTTTCTAACAGGACAACCAGTTTCATTTCAAACTTTTTTTTTGGATACACTTTTTTTGTAGGGATTACATTTATAAGCACTTTAGATATTTAAGAGGTCTGAGAAATGAACAAAAAACCCCATAAGTGGTAGAATAGTATAAATAACCTTATCAGAGAAATAAGTTTGATAGAATACTAATGAGAACTCTCACTGAATGAAATAATGATCACTATCTCCTCCAAACTCCCAGAGGACCCCATTCTTCACCTACTAGTCCCTGGCAGATTCTGCCTTATATAAAAATCATTTGTTTGTCTTCCTTGTTTTTTAAAACAGTAAACTTATGAATCTTCCACACATACACAAATCTTTATATATTTATTTAGAGATGAGGTCTTGCTCTGTCACCCAGGCTGGAGTGCAGTGGCACGATCGGCTCACTGCAACCTCTGCTTCCCGGGTTCAAGCGATTCTCCTGCCTCAGCCTCCCAAGTAGCTGGGATTACAGGTGCACGCCACCACCCCCAGCTAATTTTTGTATTTTTAGTAGAGGCAGGGTTTTACCATGTTCGCTAGGCTGGTCTCGAACTCCTGACCTCAAGTGATCCACCCACTTCAGCCTCCTAAAGTGCTGGGATTACAGGTGTGAGCCACTGTGCCTGGCCAATTATATGTATTTAAAAGTACTACTGGAAACAGGGACCATGCCATATTTATCTCTTTAACCACAGAACACTGCACACGTCCATGCAAATATTTGTGGCATTCAGATAAAGCTAATTGAAGAGTGGTAAATAGTAGTGTACTGGGGTGGCACAAACCTTGAGAATGGAGCAGGCTAACTTCTGATTTCTTACCAACCTGACAAGTATATTCTGGGGTTGAATTTGGATTTAGGAACCTCTCCTCATTCAGATTTCTATAGCTTTGCTCGGCACTTTGCCTTCTCTCAAAGATTAGGTGATGGAAGCTGCCCATTCTTCATCACCCCTTGCTATTCATTCCCAGTTTAATTCCTACGAAGGTGGGTTATTTTTATTTTTTTGAAGTGATATCAGTCTGGTCAGTCAGGGGTTTCATGGAATAAAATGTCTTAATGAGAACATTTAGGGTTGTATCATTGAGGGCATGTGCTATACTCTGTGTCTTAGTCAAAAGTAATTTTTGTCTGAAAAATATAAGATTACAAAGTACATAATGAGTATTTTATGATAATATTGTAAACAATATGAACATTTAGAATTTTGTTTTTGAAAATTTATATATGATTGTACAAAGATTCATCAAAATCCAATACAGAATTTATAAAAGGAAGAGTTACAGTTTTATTATTTATGTAAAATGTTTGTGTTTCTTTTTTCATATCTAAAAGTTACTGTAATTCTCTGTGGTAAAAGGTATTGGTTCCCAATACATCTCAGTAATGCAGAATGGACAATTTAAACTTCCACATGCTTCAGCTGAATTCTAGAATGATTTTTTAATTTTTTAAGATTCCTTTTCCTTAAATTTTTCCCATAGTTTTTAACTTATTACTTTGTCAGCACTTATATTTCTCTTCAATGTTTTTTGAAGCACAAAAGTGGTGGTATACAAAAGTTGTTGCTACACATACAGGAGAAGCATGTTGAGGTGTGCAGGGGTAGCGCCGCATCCTATTTTCTGACCTCCTTGCTGGAGTAATAAATTTCTAATGTCATGCATATGTAGAGGAAAAAGAGCTTTTGTATTTAAAATATTTAATGGTAAGTTACAATGTTAATTTTAAAACTCTAATTTTGATTGTTTCATGCAAGGAATGAAGTATTTCAAGTTCTTTTTAGTATACTTTAAAAAGTTAACTATATTTTGTTGTATTATAGTAAAGGTAATGGAATAATGTAGATTTTATCATTTTGCAATTAGTCTTTCTTTTCAGTGACAGCCCATTTTTAGGGTGAAACTTACTGGTATCAATTCTCTCTATTAAGGACCTCAAGCAATGATAGAAGGCCCTTCATTGCACTCTGTCTTTCCAATGTTGCTTTTATGCTTCCCTGGCAATTTGCTCAGTTTATACTTTTTACACAGGTAAGATGATTTTTTTAAATTAATTTTTATTTTTATTTTAAGTTCTGGGGTACATGTGCGGGATGTACAGGTTTGTTACATAGGTAAATGTATGCCATGGTGGTTTTTGCATCTATCAACCCATCACCTAGGTATTAAGCCCAGCATGCATTAGCTGGTTTTCCTAATGTTTTCCCCACCCCATCCCTTGACAGGCCCCAGTGTGTGTTGTTCCTCTCCCTGTGTCCATGTATTCTCATTGTTCAGCTCCCACTTATAAGTGAGAACATGTGGTGTTTGGTTTTCTGCTCCTGTTGCTGAGGATAATGGCCTCCAGCTCCATTCATGTCCCTGCAAAGGACCTGATCTTGTTCCTTTTTATGGCTGCATAGTATTCCATGGTATATATGTACCACATTTTCTTTATCCAGTCTATCACTGATGGGCATTTGGGTTAATTCCATGTCTTTGCTATTGTGAATAGTGCTGCAGTGAAGACATGGGTGCACGTGTCTTTGTAATAGAATGATTTATATTCGTTTGTGTATATTAATTAAGTTGAATGCAAGATGTACTTGGTTGTTTCCATAGAAATTTTTAAATATGGTTACATTTACGCCCTAAAAGATTTTCAAAATAGGGAATAAAGTTTACTTAAAGGTATGATTTTTATGAAATAATATAATTCCACATTCTTTTACTGTATTGGTTAGTTTGACAGATTTTAAGGCTCGACATGTGAAAGACTTTTTCTATTATTTTTATTCACAAATGTTATTTTTGGTGTTTGAGATAATATCTGTATATATCTACCTATAGATTTTCCTTTTGTCCTGAGAATCATTCTGGGTGCCAAGCTACGCAGCATGCTAAGGGCCAATCCTACTCTTCACAGCAGGACGTTCTGCTTCTAATTCAGCTAAATGTTGGCTGTTTTGTCTGTAGAGCAGAATTTTACCTGGAACCATTTCTGCGAGCTTTAATCATAAAGCTCATCATTGCTTAAGTGAGCTGAGCCCATATCCTGTTTCTAAAGCAACTACATAACTAGTAACAAAAAACTGAACTGGGGAAGCAGAGAGTAAATGGAGAATTTTGATGACATTTCATGATACTAAGATTTTCCATCAGAGCTCCTTCCTACATAACAAATGCTGATGATAATAATAATATTCTATATTGGAAGTGAGAAATTCTGCCAAGAAGTCTCATGCTGCCAATAGCCTACAAAGAATGAAATTATAACCCCAGCTCAATTGGTGCTTCATGTTTAAAGTATTCCCTCTGTTTTACTTCATAATAGTTGGCCCCTTTCAGGTTATAACACAGACATTATTCTATGGTTTTCATTATTTGCACATGCCAACAGAGTAGAATAGATTTTTAATGAGCATCATTTCATTGCAAGCAAATTTATTAATCCAGTGATACTGATGAAACTAAGAAGCTCTTTGGGGCCGGGCGCGATGGCTCACGCCTGTAATCCCAGAACTTTGGGAGGCTGAGGCGGGTGGATCACTTGAGGTCAGGAGTTCAAGACCAGCCTGGCCAAGATGGTGAAACCCCGTCTCTACTAAAAATACAAAAAAATTAGCCGGGCATGATGGTGGGCTCCTGTAATCTTGGGAGGCTGAGGCAGAGAATTGCTTGAACCCAGGAGGTGGAGGTTGCAGTGAGCCGAGATCGCGCTACTGCACTCCAGCCTGGGTGACAGAGTGAGACTCAGTTTCAAAAAAAAAAAAAAGAAGTTATTGGGTAAGTTTGATATTGCTGTTAATGATTTTCTAGTCATTCTCTGGATATATACTAGTCTTTTATTTTTCTTTACTAGTGTATATAGTTTTGTTTGTATGTGTGTGTTTCATGCTTACAGAGGGATAATTCAATGTTATTTTCTGGGAGTACTTTAAGATTTTATTCTTAATTGTGTTTTTCATAGATTAAGGTTAAAATTAGTTCATTGTGCAACCACATCTGGCTAATTTTTTAATTTTTTGTAGCGATGAGGTATCACCATCTTGCCCAGGCTGCTCTTGAACTCCTGGGTTCAAGCAGTCCTCCTATCTTGGCCTCCCAAAATGCTGGGATTATAGGCGTGAGCCACCATGCCTGGCCCAATTTTTTTTTATGACTTCTGTGCTCTCCTGGAATTTTCAATCCTATCAGTTACTTCCTTGAACATTTGAAGCATAGTTTAAAGATATATCTGATTATGCCAGAGAAGTGTTTGAGTGATCTCCAAGCTAAGAATAGTTTTTATATATTTAAAGGGTTATAGAACAAAAGTAGAAAAAGAATATACATACAAGAGACTGTATGTGACCAACAAAGCATAACATATTTATTATCTGGCCTTTTATATAACAAGTGTGCTGATCCCTGATCTAAATCTTTTGTGGATCTATTTCTATTGTGTTAGTGATAGTGTCTTATCTCCATCTATGCTGGGTTATTTTTGATGTGGTGCTGGACATTATACATGAAAAATTGGAGAGGCGAGTAAAAAGCACTAATAAATCTTGAACCACTTTTATGCAATCAGATTGAGATGATCCATAGATGGGTTTCAGTCTTTCTGAGGGCTGCTTGATTTCTGGTTCACTATTATAGTATGGACTTTTGAAACTCCAAACTAAAGCACCCTTCTTGGTGCACTCTGACTGCTGAATCTGCTGAAATGCCTGCTCAGCTTGTTGGTCTCCCAACTGCCTCTCAGCTGGCAGGCATCTGCCTCTGTTGAAATTGGCAGATACCTCTGGGAGAAAAGTGGCCCAAAATGTCATGCTCATCGGTATAGATTGCCATCTATCTTTTTAATTCCTCATTTGCTTTGTTAATAGTCTGTGGCTTTTATACATATTTTTAAAATATTTTTATTTATATATTTATATTTTTCCTAGCCATTCTAGTTCTTAGTGGGAAGGTTGGTTCAAATTCCTTTGCTTACCATTATTAGAACTGTAGCCCTCCTCTTATATTTACTTTGCCTGTGAATAGTAAAGTGTTAGTTTTCTATACTTTTTTTCACTTTTGCTTTTTTATATTATTTCAGATAGCATCATTATTTCCCATGTATGTTGTGGGATACATTGAACCAAGCAAATTTCAGAAGATCATTTATATGAACATGGTAACATTTTTAATATATATAAGTCAAATATTAAGATAGGTTCTCAGAGTTTATAAAATCGAAGTGATTCTGTTTTATAGGGTACCTCCTCTTTGGTAATATTTAATACATATGGTATTGGTGATATCCCGAAGGAAAACTGGAAATGTATATTATAGATGACATATTATAACAGATTATACTTTCAACTGGACTGTAGATGTGTTTTATTCTCTAGAACTTTTATTTTTATGTTTTACTTATTATTATTACTACTTTTAAAACTGCCTTTTCTTTCTCAGACATGAGATTTTTAGCATTTTGCCTGAATATGACACTCTAACTGAAATTTTATATTCTTGCAATTTTGTTTTGGGCTTAGGTCCCAAACATAGCTTCCTTAAAAACATAAAAAGTTAGTAAAGCTTCATAAATAATAGAAGTCCTGAAGTCTAACAAAAATATGATTAGTAAAACTGGTATTTATAACTAAGTCTTTCTTATTATATTACTCCATTGTTAAAACAATAGAAATCATAGACTTATTTTTCATTGTTCCAAGTAGCAGATGGAGAAAAAGTTAAATTCTGCCAGATAGAGTTTATGGTCTTGAATTTTAATACTTAGAATCTAGCAGTGACTTGAAATTCTATTATCATTTGGCCAAGAGTCGTTCATCTTTATGCAAATAAATTTGCATTAGAAATGGCTATATACCTACAAAATATGCATTATGCCAATATATGTAATAACCATAAAATGTATTTTTTTCTTTTTTTTCAGATTTCAGTTACCCTTAGTTTCATTTTGATGTTTGGAAATTCAATGTACTTATCTTCTTCTTATTCTTCATCTTTGTTAATGACGTGGGTAAGTGTTTAGTTCATAAAGTTGGGTTTTTTTAACCTGCCAAATAGCATGTTTTCCTGTCTAAAACAGGTATAAGAGAATAAATAGGCCCTTTCCTGATTATCACTCAACATGACAAAATTCTTCCCAAGCAAAGCTTTTTATCTATCTTATCCTTGAAAAATATTATAGTAGGAAGTTTTTCTTTTTAAGACAGTGCCCAAGTAAATATTTAAAAATGATCATAAAGTAATAAGACTTACTTTAATCATATCCCATTTTATGACAAAAATGACTTCTTTTCTCCTAAGTCACTTGAGGATGTTAAGTACTCATTGCAGTGACACTGCCATTGCCCAGAACATTTTTGGAACTTCTCTGAGTTTCCTTCACAGACTATGGCACATTCTTTAGTATGTCTTGCCTTTCAAGAGTGGGTTTGATCTTTGGAAATGACCAAAATTTTCTGAATATTTTGTGTGATTGGGCTGGGTAATACAGATCTTGCTGAAACGATGGTGTGACAGTAAAGTCATAAGACCGATTATTTTGCACCTATAACTAAATTATTTCTGAAGGCAGTTTAGAAAGTGTAGTTCCAAACTACTTTGAGCGATGGCAAGATAATTAGAATAAATGTGCAGTCTCTTCATGGGAACTACATGGAATGACACTCTTTTGGATATGTGTTTGGAAGGGTGGTTTAGTAAATCAGTTCTATTACATTGTAGTTATACTTCTGATATCTATAAGCCAGAACCTAGAATATTGTCCTGTACCTCCCATCTCCACACTGATCAGAAATGATACCAACTACGGTAATGCCAAAATATAGCACTTTTCCATGTATGGTGCAGTGATTTAATCTTTTGGGATTGCCCTTATGTTTTAACATTTTTGCTTTCCATATCCTTTTTCCCTCATAGTAATCCCTCCTCTTTCTCTCCCAGAAAAAATGCTCTTTCTTTCCAACATTTTGTCAAACTATTTCACCATTACAGAGTAGAGGACTCCTAATAGTGTGCTCATCTACCTCATTTAATGAAAACTTTTTTATTTTGAAATATAGTACAGATAAAACTGCATAAAGCAAATGTTTTGTGTGCTGACTTAGAGCTGGCTAATACTGATGAGTACAATGTCCCCTTCGTGTCTGCAGGGATTGATTCCAGGACACCCCCAACCCCTGTGGATACTAAAATCTGCAGATGTTCAAGTTTCTTATATAAAATGGTGTGTTATTTGCATATAATCTATGCACTCTTCCTATATACTTTAAATCATCTCTAGATTACTTATAACGTCTAATGCAATATAAATACTATGCAAATAGTTGTATACTGTATTGTTTTTTCATTTGTACTTTTTAAACTGTTGTATTATTATTATTTCAAATATTTTCTATCTGCTGTTGTTTGAATCTGCAGCAACTGGAACCCATGGATGTGGAGGGCTGACTGTGTTATGTATTATGTGGCAAACATTCTTAAACTACCATTATATCAAAATTATAACTTTCTAAATGAGTGTAGAAGCCTCCATGTGACCTGTCCCAAAGCACTCCCTTGTACTGCCCTAAAACGATAATGACTATCTTGACTGCTATGATAGTAACTTTCCAGCATTCCTTTATAGTTTCATCACTTAAGTTTCTCTTTTTAGCTACAAGTTTCCTGCATATCTGCCTGGTTTTATCCTCATGAAGTTTATTTGTTGAAGAACCACAGTCATAGAACATGTGGAGGATTTCATGGTCCAGATTTTGCTTTTTGAGTTCTTGTGGTATAGCTAAGCATGTTCCTTTGTCTCATGGTATAGCTTGATCTATTAGAAATTGGATCTGAAACTTGGATTGCTTCAGGCTTGATCACTTTTGCAAGTCTTTAGTATTGTTCTTTCATTAAAAGGCACATAATGTCTCTCTTTATGGTACTAGCCTTCAGTGCCTTATGCTGGATCTGTTAATTCATTAGGGATTGCAAAGTGGTCACATTCTAATCTGTCATCTAAAGTTCATTTAGGAAAAGTAAAGTAAATGTTGATTTACCTCTTTATTTGCAAGTTTTAAAAATAATGAATTGATTCCCTGTCATCTTCCAAATGTGGGCTCTTTGGGCTGTGTATGTGTGTGTTTAGGTTTCATTAGGAACATAGGGATTTAAACATTTTTGATGTATTTCAAGTTAATTGAAATTAATATCTTTACTCATTCTCAGATTGTTTCTCTGTTGACCAGGGGAGCCTCTTTATATTTCTCCTAAGTTCTCTGACATGACACTGGTGGTCTGATAGCATACTTGTGTCATGTATGACAAGTTTTTCCAGGTCTCTCTTGTGTACTCCTGCCCAAAACCTGGAGGAAGCCATTCCTGCAAGGCACCCTTCTTGCCTTTATTGGGGAAATGGTGTTTTAAGACTGCAGTCTGGGACCCATGGATGCTCATTGCTACTAAGTAGGTCATTGTTTCTAGGCCTTATTAGTGGGCAGAGCTAGGAAATATTATAGGTTGCAGGCTCGCTCTCTTTCTTTAAAAATATACCATGAAAATATGTGTGTGTGCATGTGTGTGTGTGCATGCATTTATGGTAAACTAGCTCACAAGTTCTGATGGGTATTTCCAAATCAAATTCAAGAATATAGGGTTTTTACTTAACTCTTTCTATCCTGTATTTGTTTTTTTGTTTCGCTTGGGTCTCAAGAAGCCAGGGGATGATAGAATATCATATATCCATTTGCCTTCTCCCAAAGTGTATGCATGAGAATTGCTATACTGCACCACGCACATGATTATGAGAAATAAAGAATTTTTTGCATATCCTTCTTTCATTCTCTTCACCCATTTTTTTTACTAATTCTGTATCTATATTGTCAGAACATAGAGTATTGCATACTGTATTTTCTGCCTTATCAATCTTATTTCATGTTTTTATGTGAACAAATATGCATTTATTTATCACCAGTCTTTATGTCGTTATCTCCTAGTTATCTTGGTTATTTTAGTCTTGTTCTACAAGAGAATTCCTTCAATTCTGATGTGTTTGTCACAGTTTGTTTTGTCGCCTTTTACTTGAAAGTGAAGTTGGCTCTATGTAAAATTCTTGTCTCTTTTATTTTTACTTTTTCTTTCTTTTCTTCTTCTGTTTTTTTTTTTTTTTTTTGAGACGGAGTTTCCCTCTTGTTGCCCAGGCAGGAGTGCAATGGTGCAGTCTTGGCTCACTGCAACCTCCAACTCCTGGGTTCAAGAGATTCTCTTGCCTCAGCCTCCCGTGTAGCTGGGATTACAGGCGCCTGCCACCACGCCCAGCTAATTTTTGCATTTTTAGTAGAGACGGGGTGTCACCATGTTGGCCAGGCTGGTCTCGAACTCCTGACCTCAGGTGATCTGCCCGCCTCTGCCTCCCAAGTGCTGGGATTACAGGTGTGAGCCACCACACCTGGCTGTCTGTTTTATTTTTTGCTTTGAGTACTTGTTTTACTTCTGTCCAAAAGGGTTGTTATTAAAAGTGTTACAAGTTTTGATACATTATAAACGTATCGCTTTCTCTTGAATACTTTTTATCTTATTTCTTTTTTTATTTCTAAAAGTTTCTTCTCTTCACCTTTTATAGCTCTTAAGGCATTATTATTATGTTCATTTCCTCATATTCCTTCTAGTTTTTTATGTCTGAAATTATTTTTGTTTTATTTCAAATTATTTGATTTCTGTCAGCTCATTTCTCAGTTTTTCTAATTTTGATTTGTGTCATTCTTTCACATATTTTAGTATTTTTAAATATCTTATTTTAAATGGCTCATTTTGAAATGTAAGTTTTGCTTAATTGTTTAGTCTTTCATCCTTAAGTAACTGCGTTAGCTATAGGATTTTTCAGAGAAGCCCTTTATCAGGTTAAAGAAGTTCCCTTCTGTTCAGCTTGCTGAGTTTTTTCAAAAATGAATTTTGAAGATATGATATCATATAGTTTCTCTTTTCTGTTTTGTTAATGTGCTGCATTATATTGGTTGATTTTCAGATGTTGTGGCATCTTTGCATTCCTTGAATAGACCTCACTTTGGTCATGCTGTTTTATTATTTTTTGTTGGATACAGCTTCCTAAAATTGTACTTATGATTTTGCACCTAAGTTCATGACAATAATTGGTTCATAGTTTTCTTGTGACATCTTTGTCTTATTTGGTATCATGGCAATGCTGGCCTCATAAAATGAGCTACGAAGTGTTCCCTCTTCTCCAGTTTTCTGAAGAATTTGTGTAAAATCCTTATGATTTCTTCCCTAAATATTTGGTAGAATTTACCAGTGAAACCATCTAGGACTTTCTTTGTAGGAATGTTTTTAACTACAAGTTCCATTTCATTAATAAGGTATAAGGCTATTCGTGTTATCCATTTCCTCTTGAGTGAACTTTGGTTGTATCTTTCAAGGAATTTTTTTATTTACGATGTCAAATTCATTGACAAAGGCATAATATTTTATTTCTTTTATGTATCTATAGTATCTGTAGTGATAGTTCCTCTTTCATTCCTGGTATTAGATGTTTGTGTTCTATTTTTTTTTTTCTGATCAGTCTGGTTAGAGGTATATCAATTTTATTAATTTTCTCAAGGAACCAGCTTTTGTTTTCATTGATTTGCTCTACTGTTTTTGTTTTCTGTTTCATTGATTTCTACTCAATCTTTATTACCTCATTTCTTTTGCTTACTTTGGGTTTTGCTCTCCTTTTTTTCTAGTCTTTTTTTTTTTTTAAAGGTATAAAGCAAGGTCATTGACTTGAGACCTTTCTTGTTTTTTGTTTTTTGTTTTTAAACACAGGTGTTTAGTGCTATAAACTTTTCTCAAAGTACTGCTTTATCAACATCCCACATATTTTGATAAAGTACATTTTTAAATTTATTTCATGTTGTCATACATTTTACTTAAACGTGATATAGAAATCTCAATAAATTTTTGTTTTTATTTAAACAGTAAATTACCTTTTAAAAGTATTTGAAATTTTTAAAATGTTATATATTTACCCTGTAGTTACCATTTTCGGTGCCTTTTACTTGTGTACAGCCAGATTGACTTACTGTATTCCTGCTGTCTGAAAGACCTCCTTTAACATTTCCTTTAGTGCAAATCACCTGGTCATGAAGTCTTTATTTTGCCTTCGTTTTTGAAAGGTATGTTTCCTGGGTGTAGAATTGCAGGTTAACAGCACTTTTTTTTAAGAATTTAAAAGATGCTGCTTGACTTGTCTTGTTGTTTGCATTTTTTTCTTATGAAATCTGTTGACATCCCTACACTTTTGTCTGTAAATAATATGTTACTTCTCTAGCTATTCCCAGCTAGAGATAAGATTTTCTCTTTACCACTGATTTTGAGCAGTTTGTTTATATAATGTGCCTTACTATAGCTTTCTTTATGTTTCTTGTATTTAGGATTAATTGAAATTCTTAGATCTTTAGGTTTACAATTTTTATCAAATTTGGAAAAATTTTGGCCATTATTTCTTCAAATATTTTTCTGCCTCCCCACCTCACTTTCATTAAGGGACTCTCATTACATGCATATTGGGCTGCTTGAAATTGTTCAGTGGTTCATGGAGCCTATGTTTATTTTTGTTCTTTATTTAATTTTGGATAGTTACTATTGCTGTGTCTTCAAGAGTTCACTAGTTGTTTTTCTGCAGTATCTAACCTGTTGTTAATCACATCCAGTGTATTTCTCTTTTAAGTCATTGCAGTTTTCATACTAAAAGTTCATTTTGGATCTTTGAAGTATTTTTGTGTGTCTAGTTAACATGTTCTTTCTCTGTTACCACTTCTTCACCATGTGTAATACAATTATACTAACTGCCTCAGTGCCTCCACCTGCTAATTCTGTCATCTGTGTCAGTTTCAATTAATTGTTTCTTCTTCTCATATCAGGGTTGTGTTTTCTTAAGTGTTTGCATGCTTGGCAATGTTTACTTTGATGCCAGGCTTTGTGACTTTTACCTTGTTAGCTGCTGGATTATTTTCTTATTCCTATAGATATTCGTGAGCTTTTTTCTGTGATGCAGTTAAGCCACTTGAACATAGGCTGATCTTTTCAGGTCTTGCTTTTAAGATTTGTTAGCTGGAATTAAAGTACTGGTTAGTTTATGGCTAATATTGCTGCTCTCTGAAGCAAACTCTTCTGTGTAGACTACCTGATGTGCCCTTTGGCTGCACTATTTTATATTCCCACCAACAGTGCATAAGCATTCCAATTTTTCTACATTTTTGCCAAGACTTGTTACTTCTGGTTTAGTTTTGGTTTGTTTTGTTTTATAATGACCATCCTAACAGGTTTGAGGTGGTATCTCATTGTGGTTTTGATTTACATTTCCCTGATGATAAGTGATGTTGAACATCATTTTAAATACCTGTTGGACATTTGTATTTATTCTTTGGGGAACTGTTTATTCAAGTCCTTTGCTCATTTTTAAAAGAAATATTTGTGTGTGTGTGTGTGTGTGTGTGTGTGTGTGTGTTGCTATATTCATCAGAGATACTGGCCTGTAGTTTTCTTGTAGTATCTTTTTCTGGATTTGGTATCAGAGTAATGCTGGCCTCACAAAATGTGTGTAGAAGTGTTCTCTTCAGTTTTTTGGAAGAGCTTGAGAAGGATTGGTGTGAATTCTTATTTAAATGTTTCATAGAATTCTCCAGTGAAGCCATCTGGTTCGAGGTTTTCCTTTGTTGAGAAATTTTTTATTACTGATTTAATCTCCTTATTATAGATCTGTTGAGTTTTTTTTGTGTTTTCATAATTTACTCTTGGTAGGTTGTATGTTTCTAGAAATTTATTTCTTATAAGTTATCTAATTTGTTGGCATATAATTGTTCATAGTTGTCTCTATAATCTATTTTGCTTGGTATTTTAGTTTTTTAGGGTAAGAAAGTAAATGTGGTTCCTGTTATACAAACTTGGACAGAAGCAGAAGTTTCATTCTGATTGATTTTAGTTACTTTGGGTGAAACATTACCATGTTTCAATGAGGAAGATATATATATATATATATATATATATATATATATATATATAAAATTATACTCAGAAAATACTTCCCACTATTCCTTCCAGCACATTCTCTCCACCTTTCTTTTCACCCTGTTACTGTCTATTCCCTGTAGGTAAGAAATCTCATTAGTTTTCTGGTTGACCCATTTAGTTGGCTTTTTAAAGTACTAATAACTGTTACATGTATATTTTTTATATCTCCTCTTCTTATATTAAAGATAGTCTTTTGACTTTTTTTTTTTTTCATTTAACAACCTATCCTGGATATCAGTTCATAGAGATTTTCCTCATTCTTTCTGGTAGTTTCCTAGTGTTCTGCTTTGGATTTACTGTAATTCAGTCACTCTCCTATGTCTGGGCATTTAGGTTGTTGCCTAACTTTTGCATTTACAAACAATGTTGCAATGAATAATCTGATACGTTTATATTTTCCTATTGGAAGTTTAGTAATCCTGGCTAACTTTGGGAATTTCTGCACCAACTAAATGATAGAAAATTGGAGTCCAAGTCTAAATAATACCCAAGTCCGAGAATTCAGTTTCTCATGAGAGCACTGTTTTCACCCCAAACTTGGGAATAAACAAATAACCTATCAACTTGTAGAGATGGTAGGTGAAGTATTCTTAGTCACTGTGTGTCTTAGTCAGTTTGGGCTGTTATAACAAAAGTACCACAGACAGGGTGGCTTAAACAACAGGAATTTATTTCTCACAGTTCTGGAGGCTGAGCAGTTCAAAAATCAAGGTGCCAGCTGATTTGGTTCTTGGTGAAAGCCCTTTTTGTGGTTTGCAGACAGAAGCCTTCTTACTGTGTCCTCACATGGTAGAGAGAGACATCAACTCTCTAGTCTCTTGTAATACAGGCACACTAATCCCATTCATGAGGGTTTCACCCTCATGACTCAATTACTTCCCAGAGGCCCACCCTCCAAACACTATCACACTGGGGATTAAAGATTCAGTCTGAATTTGAGGTGGACACAAATACTCAGTGCATAGCACTGCAGGTATAGTTTTGAGGACCCTAGCTTTATGTATTAGTCTCAATTCCAACTTCTTACCTTGCATAGACCCAAGGCCTCTTCTGCTGCCCTCCCCCTTACAATACAAGGCTATAGTTGGAACCTTATTCTACAGGCCTTTATAAAGACTGCCAGGGGTGGTAGTTCTCTGCTGATTAATACTGTATTTTTTTAAAAATAATCTTTTTTCTAGCATCGGAGAAGTTCTTTCTCTTTCACATGAGTATACATTTTTTAAACATGTTTAAATATTTTATTCGGCAATTTGGAGAGGAAGGATTTTCATGTTAGTTTAGTTCACGAACGTTGCTGGATAACTGACATACAGACTTGCATGGATGCTCTCATCTGCTCACATACCATTTATCTTTGTAGAGGAATTATCCTGCAGAAAATGGACAGGGTATTTAAGTGAGGAAATAACGAGGCAACTTTTTGACACACAAACCATTTAACTTTCACCTCAAGGGAATTTGCCAAAATTTGTCAAAAATTTGAAAAATCAACAGTTAAGGAGGAAAATGGCTGGTGATAGCTGAGATGGAACAGGGTGGCTATATAATTTTTGAAATGTACCATTTATACAAAATATAAATGTTAATTGTATTGAATTGTTTCATTTTCCCTTATGTGCATTTTAGGCAATAATTCTAAAGAGAAATGAAATTCAAAAACTGGGAGTATCTAAACTCAACTTTTGGGTAAGATTCAATGTTTTTAATGCAGTTTATTTAAATTCTACTTTTTATTTCTGTAAACTGAACACAGTTAATATGCTTTAAAATGCTAATGATTTATAGTTAATAAATAGCTACTGTCTTAAAAATAGTTACTATCTAAGGCAGATAGATATGTAAAGAAATAGTCCTTAGCAAGGACTAGAAATCATTTTCAGGAAGTTAGCTCACATATTTCACAACTAACTTTCAGGCCACTCTTCCTTTATGTTTCATTCTGCTATATCCATACAGCCTTGCTTTTTAAAATTTGTTTGTCTTGAGTTTCTCTCTTTAGCTTCAATTAACCTTCCCTTCAACATAACTCAAGTTTGTAGTTTCTTGCCAGCTTTCTCCTTTTCTTTCCTCTGCATCTGTCCATCATCTGTCTCTCTTTCCTTCTGCTTCCAACTTCAGACTCCATTACTTTTGTCCTTTTAACATTTTCCTTATGGTCTCCCAGCCCCTTCTAATTTGAACTCAGCCACTACCTAATTTTTGTTTGGCTTCTTCCCAAATATGCAGATGGATGGCCCATATTACCTCCATGGTTTCCTAGTAAAATAAGTTATTAGGCAGGTAGTGGAACTCCTAAATTCTCTTAATATGAGACAGACAATATTCTTTTTCTCTGGTCTGTGATGTTCTTCTATTAAAAAATAAACCCTGGGCCACACACACTGGCTCACGCCTATAATCACAGCACTTTGGGAGGCCAACGTGGACAGAGAGCTTCAGCCCAGGAGTTTGAGACCAGCCTGGGCAACATGGCAAAACCCCGTCTCTACAAAAAATAGAAAAACTAGTTGGGCATGGTGGCATGAGCCTGTGATCCCAACTACTCAGGAGGCTGAGGTGGGAGGATCGCTTGAGCCCTGGAAGGTTACAGTGAGCCATGATTACCCCATTGCACTCCACCCTGGGTGACAGAAGAAATGAACTGTATGTTTACATGTTATATATTGAAAGGATAAGTCTGGAAATGTTACAAGTTGAGGAGATAGGTTCCTACCCACAATACAAGAGAACAAAATGGAAGGAGTTGCTATTTTCTTCTTGTTGGAGGCATTCTCCCATCCTTTATGGTGAAAATATAGAAAGATTTGTCCACTAAGTTGTTGAATGAATGGCATGATGCTTTTTTTGTCTTTTTATTATTCTTTGTTGGTTCTACCAATTTGACTCTTTACCCAGGCCACCTGTCCTTAGGCAGGCAAGCTTTGTAGAAATTCACATATTGACATTACACTTGTAATATATAATTCTTTCACTTCAGAAAAATTGAGCAATTTAATAACTCAAAAGGAGGTCAGAATTTCAGTTGCAAACTATTGAAAAATGACAATAAATAGAAGAGTGTCCATAAACATCAAAAAAAATTCTGCCAAGGCTGCACTCAAAGGAAAATTAACTGTCTTCATTTTCAACAACATTTTCAGTAGTAGACTGGAAAGAACATGAATTGACTAAGTTTTAAAATCAAGAATATCAAAGAAACAAAAAATCTAAGGAGGGAAAAGTTGAGATTTAACCAAATGTTCAGCTTACATGTTTTTTAAGCCCCCTAGGTATTATTTTCTGTTTTTAGCTCTGTATATCTTTGGCAAAAATAAGTATTTATTACACACAACCTGAACAAGGTATTTTTAGATCTAAGTGATTCATTTTAGAGTTTAACGTCAATAGAAGCAAATTCACTATTTAATGGGAGACTCCAGTTTTTGGTAACAAAGTAATTATTGAATTGAGCTCATGCTGAAATTTACAAAATTTACAAAGGGGAACTTTGTGTGCATCATGAGGCATGAGAATCATTACAAGAAGGGAAATGGAACCTCCAAGATAATCTGAAGCTCAGTACTAAGGCCAGATAAGGATAGTATGAGAAAGGATATTCTTACTTGTGAGCATAGATTCAAAATTTCACCTAGATTAAAAACATTCCTTACACACAAAAGTGTAAAAGATTAGTAACTCAAGAACAGCCATATATGTGATAAAGATAATCCACTTGTGATAAATCTGGCTTATTCTAGGAATCCAAAGACGTTTCTGGAAAATCCAAAAATGTAAGTTATCACACTAACAGATTAAAAGAGAAAAAATCTTATGATCATCCCATTAGATGCAGAAAATAAAATTGATAAAATTGAACACCCATTTATAATGAAAACATGTAACACGATAGAAATAACAGTTTTCTCAACCCAGTAAAATTCTTCAGCAGTCATTAGTCTTACCGATAATAAGGTATTTAGAGTGTTCTGTTTAAAATCAATATAAAGATAAATGTGCTTTTTCACATTTTATTAAAGGTCCAAACTAGCCTAGTAATGCAAGAAAAGTAAATAACAGGAAAAGGAAAGAAACAGAAAGAAGCAAAATTTATTATAGTATTATATTTACCTAGAAAGAATAAAATAATTGACAAATTATTAGAAATTAGAAGAATTCAATACCATGGCTAGATATAAGTTTAATATTAAAAAATCAATTGCATTTCTATTCTTTGGCAACACACAGAAAACATATTTTTTTAAAATATGCCTTATGTATTAGGAAGAAAAATGCATAGGATCTGAATGAATCTAACAAAATACATACAGTATTTGTATGGGGAAATTTATTTTAAAATTTCTAAGATATAAATAGAAAAATAAAACACATTTATATGTATGAAGGTTCATGTAATTCAGTTCTCCCCAGTTGATGTTCAGATTCAAAGCAATTTCAGCAAGATTGTCTTGCAGGTCACTTTTCACTAAATGATGCTGGAATAGTCTATCTATATGAAAAAAACCAGATGTTATACACAAATATCAGTTCCAGGCCTAGCCATTTTGAATGTTCCTAAGCTGGATGTCTTTTTGACATGTCTTTATAAATTTATAATGCTCCAGGCTTTTCTTGATTTTCCTCGTGCTAGCCTTGGAATCAGCCATTTTTCCAAGGAGCCCTGGTTCCTTTTAGAGGAGAATGGTATTTGGAAACCAAGACCTGAGTGGTATGTGCACTCATTACTACCAGTGTGTCCTTGTTTCTAGGCCCTTTCACTGCACGTATGTGCACACGTGTGTGTGTGTATGAAATAATTATTTCATAATTATAGCTCCAATCCCAGCCTAATGCTATAGAAAGGCAGACTAGTTAGGTACCTCAGAACTCACAGAAAAACACTACAGGCTGCCATCTCCTGAAACTCCATCCAGTGGCAGAAGACACTCAGAAAGAGGGTCCAGGGAAATGCTCTCCATGCTGTGGGTCTGGTATCTACTATTCCCTCCAAGAAGGCTGCCCATGCAGGTAGCAGCAGCAGGGATCTAACAGATGCCCTGCTAGGACTAGGCAGCCCAGGAAAGAGCCCTCTGCTCTTTACCGACCTCCTAGCCCACAATCCTGGTGTCTCTCAACCTCCACCTCATGGCAACAGGACATGGGAAGTACATTCTTCCTACATTGGTAGCATGATTTGAGGCTGAGACGGAGCACCAGGGCACCAGATGAATCAAGCTGACCAGAATAGCACTGGTACTGCAAAGGCTCTGAAAACTAAACTGTCATTGTAACTATAGCAAACAGAAGTAGGCCAGGACTTGCATGATAAACCTAAAAACAAAGTGACTGTCTGCTGAAATAGAAATTTAAAATAGGATCCACAGTCTCTAACATAAAAAATGTACTGGACACAGTAGAAAAACCACTCATCATAGCAAGAATGGAGAAAATAACAACTTGAATGAGAAAAGACAGTCAACAGATGTCAACACTGAGATGAATAGGATGTGGGGATTATGTGACAAGGGTTTTAAAGCAGTCATCATAAAAACACTTCAAGGAGCAGTTTTAAATACTCTGGAAGCAAATGAAAAGGCTATAAAATCTCACCACAGAATTTTTTTTTTAAAGAACAACTTGGTGATTATAGAACTGAAAAATACAATAACTGAAATTAAAATTTAATAAATGGACTTGGTAGCAGAGTGAATATTACAGAGGAAGCAATCAGTGCTCTTGAAGACAGAACAATAGAAATCTCCCAATCTAAATTGAGAGAAAATCACAGGAAAAAGGACAGAGCCTCTGGGACCTATGGTGTAGTAACAAAAGATCTAATATTTGTATCATCAAAATTTCAGAAGGAATGGAAAAAGAGAGTGGGGCTGAATAGCATTTTAAGAAATAATTGCTAAAACTCCCCAAATGTGGTGAAAGACACACCTGCAGAGTGAAGATACTGAGCGATTCCCAAGTAAGACAAACCCAGAGAAATCCATGCCAAGATACATTATAAGTTAACTTTTAAAATGAAAAGAAAAAAATCTTGAAAGCAGGTATGGAGAAATGACACATCACCTACAGGGCAAAATTGAGTTGAATTGTAGCAGACTTCTCAGGTGAAAGTAAGGAAGCCAGAAGGTTGGGGCAGAACATTTGTCAAGATGAATTACATATCCAGTGGATGTTTCCTTTAGGAATGAAGGGGAAATAGACATTCTCTAATCAATGAAAATTAAGATAATTTGTGGCTAGCAGAGAACCTTAAAGAATGGTTAACTGAAGTTCTTTTGTAAGGTTTGTGGAAGACCAGATGGTTGTAGATACGTGGTTTTATTTCTGAGTTTTCTATTCTCTTCCATTGGTCTATGTGCCTGTTTTTGTACCAGTACCATGCTGTTTTGGTTATTGTAGCCTTGTAATATAGTTTGAAGTGAGGTATCCTGAGGCCTCCAGCTTTGTTCTTTTTGCTTAGGATTGTCTTGGCTGTATAAACTCTTTTTTGATAGCATGGAATCAACCCAAATGTCCATGAATGATAGACTGGATAAAGAAAATGTGATACATATATACCATGGAATATTATGCAGTCATAAAAAGAAATGAGATCATGTACCTTGGCAGGTACATGGATGGAGCTGGAAGCCATTATTCTCAGCAAACTAATGTAGGAACAGAAAACCAAACACTGCATGTTCTCACTTATAAGTGGGAGCTGAACAGTGAGAACACATGGACACAGGGAGGGGAACAACACATACTGGGGCTTGTCAGGGGAGGGTAGGGGAAGGGAGAGCATCAGGAAAAATAGCTAATGAATGCTGGGCTTAATACCTAAGTAATGGGTTGATAGGTGCAGCAAACCACCATGGCACACGTTTACCTATGTAACAAACATGCATATCCTGCACATGTACCCAGAACTTAAAATTTAAAAAGTTCTGGAAACAAAAAGGAGATGCAAGAAGGAATCCTAGAATGTAGGGAAGAAATATAAAACAGCAAAATAGATACACAGAGGGGTAGATATAATAGACTATTCTTCTCATGAGTATTTCCTTTCATGTACTTTTTTTGCTTTATTTTGTTATTCTTTATTTAGATTTTTAAGTCAAGGATTTAATTCATTTATTTTCACTCTTTCATTTTTATTGCTAAAGCTTTTGAGGCCATGAATTTGCTTCTTATCCTTGCTTTAAATGTCTTCCTTAGTTTCCATATGGAAATGGCATTTGCCTGCCATGCTGCTGCCATCATTCTATTTTTCACCTTTCTGAATCTGTTTTTGTTTGTCTTCCCTGTGTAGCATAAATGGAGTCTGTCTTTGCTTTGTGAGATAATGTGAAAACCTTTGTTGTAAGTTTTATGTGTATTTGACTATATTTGCTTTGTTTCTGTATATGATTCTCCTTTATTTTAAACTTTTTGAATTTAGGAAAGTTACTGTTATTTCCTCAATTGTTGCATATTTGAAACTTTTTAAAATAACGTCTGTACTTGAATGACAGATTGGCCAGATATAAAATCCTTGGTTCTCAATTTTTAAAGTTTCTTAAAAATGCATCTACACCACTGCTTTGGTTTGTATGTTTCTTTTAACAAGTCTGATGCTAGCCAAATTCTTCTGTCCCTTATAAATTATGTGACTTTTGTGCCTGGAGGTTCTGAGGAATTTTTCTTCATTTTTCATAGTTCTACTGAAAGATGTCTTGAGTTAGTTTACCATACCAGATTAATTTTTTCCAGTACCCCCTGGATCCTTTCCAAATGCCGATTCAGGTCTTCTTTTATTTCTGGAAAGTTTTCTTGGATTATAATTTAAACACTAGTTTTGATTCATTGCTGTGGTTTTCTTTTTCAGGCACTCCAGTTATAATTATGTGCCTTTCTTCTATTTCTACCACTTTCTCTGATACTTCTCACTTCTTTCTCTGGTACTTCTCACTTCTTTCTCTGGTATCATTTTCATTCTTCATCATTGTTTTAGTGCCTTTACTTCAATTCCTTCATTATTTGAATTTTTCTTTTTATCATCTTGTGATTCAGTTTTTATTTTTTTTTTTTGATAGTATTCTCCTTTTCTTCCATTCCCTTTCTATGTCTAATAAACTATTTCTTTCTTTCTGCTTTTTTCCCCATTTCTGTTCTTGGTTTTTGAATTTCTTGTTTAAATTGCTTTTTTAATATTTCTGAATGCTCGTTTGAGGATATTTAGTTCAACTTTTAATTCTGCATAATTTTCTTCTGTTTTGTGAGATTTTATCGTTCAGTGGTGTGGATTTCATTAGCTGAAATATTTGACTTTCATGTTTGTTATCTTTTTAAAGAAGCTTTGGATATTTATATAGGCATTTTTTCATCTATTAATTATTTTGTGTTTTCTAGTCCAAGTGCAAACCTCTTCTGAAAATGTAGCATAGTGTGATTTTTTTCAATGAATAACTTTTTTCTTTTTTTGTGCATGATGGCAGTAGTGATGGATAGTCTTTTGGTTTGGGTTCTCATTTTTCCTGCTGGATACTTTTTCCTTCTTGCACTCCCCTTTTTATCCTCCTTTCTTTCCAGAAATGATGCCTTTCTAACATCAGTGTTTTTGTCCCTACTCACTCTTAGGCCCTGCTCTGTACTCCCATTTACCAATCTCCCAGAGCTCTTTTTACACATAGGATGGACTTTTCTCTTTCTTGGGTTATTTTATTTCCAATTTTGACCCCTGTCTTTCCTTTTCTTCTTTATCCTTCTATGGGTCTCCCCTCATTCTCTGCAAAGGCTTAGGTCAGGGACTTGAGGTATAACTCTATAGATTCGTTGCCTCCTTTTCGATTCATAGGTAATTTGAAGTTTTTTTGCCATGTATGTGGTTGTATTGCTCTACTTGTTGGTTGATATATGCAGAGATTTGAATTTAGGCTGCTGTAACTTTCCCCAGGCTAACCAGAAGTACACAATTGTTCCCTTTTTAATCAAGGCTAGTCAAAAAATAAACAACAACAACACAGAAGCCTCATTGCCGTTCTAGTTCATATTCCTCTTTCTTAAAGGAAAGCTTAAGTTTTCACATTTCAAACTGTTATTTCTTGAAGATGGGCTCATATATTTCCACAGGAGTGGTAGAAGAACTTTTAAGGTAGTGTTTTAAAAAATGGATTTTCAGCTGAGAAATAATATTTGGAAACAAACACATAAACACTCCCTTTTCTTAACAGAAATCAAAAGGAAGTAACCTTTTAAAACTTCCTTTAGATTGGCTGGGTGCAGTGGCTTACGCCTGTAATCCCAGCACTTTGGGAGGCCGAGGTGGGTGGATCACGAGGTCAGGAGATCAAGACCATCCTGGCTAACACGGTGAAACCCCGTCTTTACTAAAAATACAAAAAATTAGCCGGGCGTGGTGGCGGGTGCCTGTGGTCCCAGCTATTCGGGAGGCTGAGGCAGGAGAATGCCGTGAACCCGGAAGGCGGAGCTTGCAGTGAGCAGAGATTGCGCCACTGCACTCCGGCCTGGGGGACAGAGCGAGACTCCGTCTCAAAAAAAAAAAAAACTTCCTTTAGATTTGGGATACGTATAAGCAGCCACTTTTCCGACGCACACGGGGTTTTTTCTTTGTTCAAATCCCCCCTTCCTCTGTCTCTGTACGGGGAGCTGTTTTCTTCTTCCTTCTTTCTTTCTTGGCTATTAACCTTTCACTCCTTAAGACAAAAAAAAAAAAAAAAAAGATTTAGGATATATAGAATTCTAGTGTTGCTATATATTTTATACCAGTGTCATCAGTTTTAATTCTTTGCTTTTAAACAAGATTTTCTAAAGGAACTTTTTTAAAAAAACTTCACCATTTATACCTCACATAATTAAATTTTTTCTATGTCATTTATAGATATAATTGAATACTTTAGCTGGGTGATTTGTAGGTTTAAATACTGGACTTCTATTTTATTTTCTAGCTAATTCAAGGTAGTGCCTGGTGGTGTGGAACAATCATTTTGAAATTTCTGACATCTAAAATCTTAGGCGTTTCAGACCACGTAAGTACTTTTTAGGTAAAACATAAAAGTTCTTATAAATATGTAGCTGAATGAAAACTTTGAAACCATCTATTCCTATCTCTTCATTTTACAGAGGTTAAGTGCCTTCTTTAAGGTCTCTAGACGAGTTATTGGCAGAGTCAACAATAAAGTCTTGCAGTTCAGTGATCTTTGCAACCCACTAAAAAGAAAAAATATTCATGAATGCTGACTTGCCCTTTTAGTAAAAAAAATACTAATAGTTTGTTAAGTAGTTATTTGTTTATATTTCAGTTAAAATACAAATAATTAGTTGTTTACATCATAAGTTATCCATTTATTGCAGATGTTAACATATGGGAGGCTGTCCCCAGCTTTGAAAATATAGAACTCTTAAAATCTCAGTATTGTTTTATTTATTTATAACTATGGACTAAAATCAATGTATGATTTGATGTTTTAAGGCCTTTCTTGTTATATAAAAAGAGAATGTTAAAAAATTTTGATCTTTTCATTTTCTAGGAAATAAATGCAGAGCATTTATCTCTCATGTAGTATTTCTGTTTGTTAATGTTTTAAAGAGTAGCCCTTTTCAAGGCCTAAGTCCCTGCTTAACTAACTGGTTTAGGGAATAGAAAACAATGCATGAATCTACTTTTTATTTCTAGCACTTTCTGTTTAGAAATAAGCATACATGAGTATATCATACAATAATCAATTTTGAAATTTACCTCATTTAATGCTATCCAATTAGGGCCCTATTTGATGCTGAAATTATGTACTTTGGCAAGGGATTATAGTATTACTTCTCTAAAAGGTCAAATGCTGTCTCTATGCAATATAACATGCAACATGTTTATATTAAATAAAATTTCTAAATGTAAACATTTGCCATTTATTGCTAGTTTTGCATGGTGGTTTATTAGTTTATTTGTTGCTGCTGTTCTCTGGCATGTCTGACACATTTCCCCATTCTCCTTTCCTTTTTATTGTTTTTAACTTTATTATATATGTCTTATGATAAACTTTATTTAGACCTTCTAAGTTATTTATTTGTCTGTTAAGTTTGTTCATGATTATGTTTCTTGCCTTACTTCACATTGACCCCCAGCTCTTTACAAATCTAAATCTTTTTTTTTTTTTTTTTTTTTTGAAACACAGTCTCACGCTGCCACCCAGGCTGGAGTGCAGTGGCCAATCTCGGGTCACTGCAACCTGCACTTCCTGGGTTCAAGCGATTCTCGTGCCTCAGCTTCCTGAGTAGCTGGAATTATAGGCACGTGCTACCACACCCGGCTAATTTTTGTATTATTAGTAGAGATGGGGTTCCAGCATGTTGGCCAGCCTGGTCTCAAACTCCTGACCTCAAGTGATCCGCCTGCCTTGGCCTCCCAAAGTGCTGGTGATTACAGGTGTGAACCACCATGCCTGCCCTACAAATTAAAAAAAAAAAAAATGCAAACACACTTCCTTGGTAGTCCTGAGTGACTTCCTTTATGTGACAGTTAGGAGGAATACCTGAAATTATAGTGGTTTGGTTAAATTACTGTTAGTCACCAGGCCTATTCTAAATTAGAAAAATAAAGTGCAACTCTAAATTATCCTTGAGTAGTGGTAGATTAGGAAAAATAATTGAATGAAAACCACTCATAATCATCAAATTTGTTATAAAATAATTTCTGTCACTATAAAATAATTTGAATTAAGAGTTTACTTGCCAAATATTTTCCTTTTTCTGGCCTTCTGAGGATGCTGTGGAAAAATAATTGTCTCACCAAGAGCAGGTTGTAAATAATCAGTAGAAAAATAGAAGTTCTGCATTGGGTTTGGTTGTTAGTATCTACTTTTAGCCTTGGAGATCAAATAGCTAAGTCAAAGATAAAAGTGGTATGTATAATTGTTGTAATTCTTATGAGGATCAGGTCTCATATTCAATGGTTTGAATATATGTCTGTAAAACATCAAGAAGTACCAAATATTGTAATCAGTCTGCGAGGCTTTGTGAAAATGACAGTGCACAGAAAGCTTATGACCTACAATGTATGTTGAAAGAGATTAAGTAAAATAGTTTTTCATGATAAATTGTCTTATTATAAAATGTAATTAACTACATGGTGGTTTCTTCTCAGCAGATATTGATTTTAGCTCACTCTTTATCATCTTCTCTTTATTTTTTCTGACTTCTTTCTACTTTTCATTTTTCATGATATTTCTCTTTATTTTCAGTTATCTTGAGAAGTCAGCACATGGTATATTTGGTTCACTGTAGTTTTTTTCTTAGAGGGATGTCTAAATACATTGGATTTATCTGCTCTATAAACTTTGTTATTCTTACATCAATAAAGTATTACTGGCTGTAGGCTATAATCATTTGTGTAATTTTAATTCATTTTACTTTATTTTCTCCCAGATTCGCCTGAGTGATCTTATAGCAGCCAGAATCTTAAGGTATACAGATTTTGATACTTTAATATACACCTGTGCTCCCGAATTTGACTTCATGGAAAAAGCGGTATGAATGTTTCCTTTTTCCTTCTTTACTAATATGAGTTTTTGCTCTAGGTTTTTTTAAAATCTGAAACTCAAAATTTTTGCACAGAAACAGTCAACTTATTTTATTTTTTTTACTGTAACTTTTGCTAATCTACCTTCCTCACTTGTTTTTTTGTCTGTTAAAAAAAAAAATAGCCTCTATCTTATAGAGTTATTGATGATGGTTAAATGAGATAATCGGAGAAGAGTGTTTAACATACTATATGACCCATAATAATTACTATTATTACAAATCAATTACTTTTAATAATCTAGGCCACTTGGAAATATGGGACCATTCAGGAAAAAGTCTAAATTCTTGTTTCTGTTTTTAAGAAATTCAGTTTTATTACAGTTAACACCCCAAATATTATAACATTTTTAACAAGATGTTATCAAGAAAGGTATGCTACTGATGAGTTTTAATGAACATATAAAAATTCATTTTAAATTATACAAATGCAAGGTATTATTCTTTTTAAAAAGTTAATGTTATAAAGCTTTAAAATATAGGCTGGGCGTGGTGGTTCATCCCTGTAATCCCAGCACTTAGTGATGCTGAGGCGGGTAGATCACTTGAGGTCAGGAGTTTGAGACCAGCCTGACCAACATGGTGGTAACTCCATCTCTACTAAAAATACAAAAATTAACCAGGCATGTTGGTGCATGCCTGTAGTCCCAGCCTGAGTAGGAGGCTGAGACAGGAGAATTGCTTGAACCCTGGAGGCGGAGATTGCAGTGAGCTGAGATTGCACCAGTGCACTCCAGCCTGGGTGACAGAGTGAGACTCTGTATCAAAAAAAAAAGAAAAAAGAAAAAAGAAAAAAAAATTGGCCTCTTTGTAGAATCATGGAACACAAGATCAGGAAGGGCTCTTAGAGACCATGCCATATAGTTCTTTCATTTGCAGATAAAGAAAAGCTTAAAAGATTTGCCTAAGGCACACACAAGCCAAGATCAGGACATGGATTCTAATGGATTCTAGAACTCTCAATCCAGGGCTGTTTCCTCTATTTGTAGCTTAATTTTCTTCATAGAACATAACAAAGTTGCTACTGGATTGATTATTCCTTGTGTAATCATTATGAATTCTGAATTAGTGGTAAATAATAAAATTTTACATCCTTCTCTTATCCATCCAACCAGTCATCCCATTCATTCAAAAACTATTATTGACCACTAGTTATCCATGAGGCAGTTTGCTATAGCACGACAAAGAGGAAAATGAACTGGTTTCTTGCTTTTAAGAAATGTATAATTTAGTTACCTGGTAAATTACTCCTTATCATCACAATAACAGGTCATCAGAATTAGTTAGCCAATGTTATTTCTGTACTTATTCATAGTTTTAGTCATTAACTTTGATTAGCTTTCTTTCTTGTTAGCTCTAGTTTCACTAATGAAAATAATGGAGCTGTGTAGTACAGAAAGTTACAATGTAGGACCCAGGGATCGGTAAACACACATTTTAAAACTTAGTATTATGTAAATAAAAAAAGAAAAGAAAAAATAGATATAGCAATTCTAGTTTTATTAAAATAATAAATTTTTCATTAAATTTTTGGAATACTTTTTATAACTATTTTTATAATTTTAATTATTTTATTAAGGCATGGAAGATAATAAATATATATTCTGCTGATGACAAAGAAATTTAACCTTTTACTTTTAAGGAATGTTATCATGGCACTTAGTTTGACATAGATGTTTACTAATTTAATGTAAAAATTGTAAGTAACTATTTTGAATAATTTGGTATATTTCAGACTCCACTGAGATACACAAAGACATTATTGCTTCCAGTTGTTATGGTGATTACATGTTTTATCTTTAAAAAGGTATTTTTAAACAAATTATTATTTGTTTTTGGCATCAATATAAGGACTATAATAATGCAAATTGCTCAGAATTCCATGTTATTTTTAGGATGAACTCTTTCTGTCTCTAAAAGTTTGCTTTTTGTTTAGATCTTTCATCATCGATCTTTTTATAAAAAGCCATGATAAAAGGTATTCTTATTTTTTCTCTCAAAAGATATATACCAGTCACCAACTGTGTATCAAGGACTACATTAACATTGTAGGTACACCCGGACAAATAAAACGTGGCCGCTCCTGTCTTGGAACTTACAATCCTGGATTATTGGGGGTGGGGGTGCAAACATGAAGCAAATAATCACACAAATGTCTAAAGAATTAAAATTTTTATAGGTGCTATGATAGAAAAGTCCAGGGACAACAATGTTAATATCTTTCAAATATAAAGCACGGTGAAGTCTTGATCTGTTTTGAGTGGGCCTGCGTAGAAGAAATTTGTATAGCTAATTAAAAAATACTTTTCTACATGTTCACTGTTTTCATGACAGAAGAAAAGAACATCTCAATGAAAAAAATAATCTTTAAAATACCACTGGTAGGTTTTCTTGGTCTGGGTGGAGTTTTAGCTAAAAGCATGGTTAAAGACAGTGGGTATTTTTTTAAACAGTCTTGAGCCATCTTTATTTATGTTACTTACAAGCTATCAAGTCTTAAGCCAGTATGTATTTATTGTATACTTTTAAGCAGATAACAATAACGCAATTTCCCTACCACCATACCAGTTGTGTTCTTGTTGAAAGTTTTCTGTATTTACAGTCAAATTGCATATCTTCTCTATGTAGTTTTAGTTGCCACACTTCTCACTCCTTTGTTTACACAGAGATGTGAATAATTTAGGAGTGAGAAAGGCATCTCCCTCGACACCTCTGTGGTTTCACCCTTGATCCAGTTCCCTGCGGACCACGTGGAAAGAGTCAGGATAAAGGAAACAAGGAGGAATGAGTAAAATGTGAGCAGGTTTACCGCCCTGCATCATTTTGGCCCATGCTGGCTTAGAATGAAGATTTTCTCTACTGGCCTGTTTCTTTTCCATCAAGGCAAAATGTCGAGTTATTCTTCTAAGGCTCCACTTAGAGGGACCAATGCATGAATTAACTATTCAGTGGAGAGTCAGCAATGTGAGAGAAACTGATAGCTAGATCCGCAACTCCTATATTTTAAAAAATTAAGATCCAAGACTTATAAATACATTCCTAGTTTCCAGACACACCACAACCTGAATTATGCATGTGCACTAGCAGGGGCATGTGCATACACACACACACACACACACACACATACACCCACACACACGTCCCTGCAGCCAGTCAAGTTTCATACACACACACACGCACGCACACACACACATACAAACATCCCTACAGCTAGCCAAGTTTCATACATGCATACACACATACAGACACACACACACAAATCCCTGTAGCCGGCCAAGTTTCATACACACACACACACACACACACACACACACACACACACACACTCTTTCTCTCTCTCTCTCATCCCTGCAAGCCAGCCAAGTTTCACTCCTTCCTTTCTGCTTTCTTATAAACCCCCCAGTCTTTATTTGTCCTATTGCGGCTTATTTTTCACCCCAAGGATACTTCTGATGGTCATTTAGTTTTCAATGATGTGAAGTCACTTCTCGGAAGGAGAAAAGGAAGGCATCTTATAGTATGACTGTCCTGTTCCTGAGGACTCCCTTAAACATTAAAAAATACTTCTTTCTTTGGCGGAGTGTTTATATAAATGAATCAGAGCATTTTAAATATTGCAGTATTCCTTACAAAAGTTTCATTGATTTGATTCTATTCACAGACTGTTCGTGATATTTCGTGTGTTTTAGCTACAAACATTTATCTAAGGTAATTATATCATCATTCTTTTTAAAACATACAGTATTCCATTATTAAATAACATACTATAACATTAATTTTTCAAATGAATATGCATTAAACTTTAGCATTATGATTAAGAAAGGAGATATGAACCAAACTTAAATGTTTCCTTAAAAATATTATTCTTACAGATTTCTTATATGTATTTGGACTTGTTTTGGAGATATTTATATTTGTGAACTAACTCAAAGTTTAAATTGATAAATTATAATATATATTAGAATTTAAAGTCAGTAAGCTAAAGATTTATTTATTTATTTTTTCATTATTATTATACTTTAAGTTTTAGGGTACATGTGCACAATGTGCAGGTTGGTTACATATGTATACATGTGCCATGCTGGTGTGCTGCACCCATTAATTTGTCATTTAGCATTAGGTATATCTCCTAAAGCTATCCCTCCCCCGTCCCCCTGCCCCACAACAGTCCCCAGAGTGTGATGTTCCCCTTCCTGTGTCCATGTGTTCTCATTGTTCAATTCCCACCTATGAGTGAGAATATGCGGTGTTTGGTTTTTTGTTCTTGCAATAGTTTACTGAGAATGATGATTTCCAATTTCATCCATGTCCCTACAAAGGACATGAACTCATCCTTTTTTATGGCTGCATAGTATTCTATGGTGTATATGTGCCACATTTTCTTAATCCAGTCTATCATTGTTGGACATTTGGGTTGGTTCCAAGTCTTTGCTATTGTGAATAGTGCCACAATAAACATACGTGTGCATGTGTCTTTATAGCAGCATGCTTTATAGTCCTTTGAGTATATACCCAGTAATGGGATGGCTGGGTCAAATGGTATTTCTAGTTCTAGATCCTTGAGGAATCACCACACTGACTTCCACAAGGGTTGAACTAGTTTACAGTCCCACCAACAGTGTAAAAGTGTTCCTCTTTCTCCACATCCTCTCCAGCACCTGTTGTTTCCTGACTTTAATGATTGCCATTCTAACTGGTGTGAGATGGTATCTCATTGTGGTTTTGATTTGCAGTTCTCTGATGGCCAGTGATGGTGAGCATTTTTTCATGTGTTTTTTGGCTGCATAAATGTCTTCTTTTGAGAAGTGTCTGTTCATGTCCTTCACCCACTTTTTGATGGGGTTGTTTGTTTTTTTCTTGTAAATTTGTTTGAGTTCATTGTAGATTCTGGATATTAGCCCTTTGTCAGATGAGTAGGTTGCGAAAATTTTCTCCCATTTTGTAGGTTGCCTGTTCACTCTGATGGTAGTTTCTTTTGCTGTGCAGAAGCTCTTTAGTTTAATTAGATCCCATTTGTCAATTTTGGCTTTTGTTGCCATTGCTTTTGGTGTTTTAGACATGAAGTCCTTGCCCATGCCTATGTCCTGAATGGTAATGCCTAGGTTTTCTTCTAGGGTTTTTATGGTTTTAGGTCTAACGTTTAAGTCTTTAATCCATCTTGAATTGATTTTTGTATAAGGTGTAAGGAAGGGATCCAGTTTCAGCTTTCTACATATGGCTAGCCAGTTTTCCCAGCACCATTTATTAAATAGGGAATCCTTTCCCCATTGCTTGTTTTTCTCAGGTTTGTCAAAGATCAGATAGTTGTAGATATGCAGCGTTATTTCTGAGGGCTCTGTTCTGTTCCATTGATCTATATCTCTGTTTTGGTAACAGTACCATGCTGTTTTGGTTACTGTAGCCTTGTAGTATAGTTTGAAGTCAGGTAGTGTGATGCCTCCAGCTTTGTTCTTTTGGCTTAGGATTGACTTGGCGATGCAGGCTCTTTTTTGGTTCCATATGAACTTTAAAGTAGTTTTTTCCAGTTCTGTGGAGAAACTCATTGGTAGCTTGATGGGGATGGCATTGAATCTATAAATTACCTTGGCAATTTTTGGAATTCCTCCCTCCCTCCCTTCCTCCCTTCCTTCCTTCCTGCCTTCCTTCCTTCTCTCTCTCTCTGTCTTGTCTTGTCTTGTCTTTCCTCTTCTCTTTTTTTTTCTTTTCTCTTCTCTTCTCTTCTCTTCTCTTTTTTCACAGAGTCTTGCTCTGTCACCCAGGCTGGAGTGCAGTGGCATGATCTCTGCTCACTGCAGCCTGGACATCCTGGGCTCATGCAATCATCTCATCTCAGCTCTGCCAAGCAGCTGGGACTACAGGTGTGCATCACCATGCCCAGCTAATTTTTGTATTTTTTTGTAGAGAGGGGGTTTCACCATGTTGGTCAGGCTTTTCTTTTTCCTTCTTTTTTAACTTTCAGAGGGGGTATAATTATTTGTGTTCCTGAATATTTATGAATTTTCTTCTAAACTTATTGTTAAAACTATTTATTGTATAACATTTTTGGATGCTTTTAGTAATGTCACTAGCATAAGCAGATGCCAGCAAAATGTATCATATCAGTCACACATAAGTAAATTGCTACAAGACTCAAGAAGTAAATTGTGAAGAAAATTTCCTTCTGAGGGAAATATGATCTCAAATGACATGTTTTTTAGTGTTCAACTTTTATTTTAGATGCAGGGGGCACATGTACAGGCTTGTTACATGTGTATATTGTACCCAGGTAGTGAGCATAGTACCTAATAGTAATTTTCAAGTTACATTTTATATTTGTAAATAGAATATTTGATTTTATTTTGTGACTTCTACTTTATAGAATAGTTTTAGATTTATAGAAAAATTGTGAAGACAGTAGAAAGAATTTCTATGAACTCCATACTCCATGCTTGTATTTTTAATAAACAGCTGTGTATGGTTGTCAGAAGAGCTAATTAAGCTCTTAGGTGCATCTGTTGAAATTGTTTCCAAAATAAAAGGGATAATAGACCCATTCTATATTGTTCAGGACAGATGGAGCCCAGGGAAATGTGTCTTGGCATTCTAAAAAAGAATGAATGGGGAACCCTGGACACTGTTCCCATAAGGAGTGCATGAAGGGACTTGGGATATTTAATTGGATAATAGAAGATTGAAGGGTATGTGGCAACTGTCTTCATATATTGCAGAGGGTGTAATGTGGAAGCGACAGACTCGGAGGGGTCAGTGGATGGAAGATAATTACTCAGAATATGGAAGTCTATGTATTGATTACATATTTGAAAGTGACAGGCCTGTTGTGTAGGGGCAGAGGGTTCCAGGTTAAATCTCAAAAATAATAATAGCAGGGGCTAGTAGTAATACATTCTGAAAAACCAGTGTATCAGAAAGAGAGGGAATACTCCCCTCTCTTAGATCTGCTCCCCTGGGTGCTGATTGTAAGTAGCTTTGTATGTTTTATTTTAGAAAACACATATAGAAACACAATATTTTTAAAAAATAGAATTGTATTCTTCTTATTCTGCAACTTGTTACTTGTATTTAATAGTGTGTCTTGGGCCTCTTCCTTGATCTTCATTATATTTTATAATGGTCTTAGGATTTTATTGTTGACCATCATGCGTGACTGCCTTTCCCATATCAATGAAAGTTTAGATTATATATAACTTTTGTCATAAAAAAAACCAATGTTTTGAGGATTGAACATCCTGGTTCGTGTATCTTGGTACACTTATTCTAAGTATTTCTATAGTATAAAATATTTGAATTTGGACTGCTGATTATGAGGCCTGCATATTTTAGAATTTGTTAAAACTGAGAAATTATAATGATGAGAGTGTCCATTTCTCTGCAACTCCACCAACATCGTTATCAAGCTTTTAATTTTTTCTGATAGGTAAAAACAATTCATTTTATTGTGTAAATTCTTTGTCAGTGGAGTTTTGCAGCTTTTCATGTGTTTGTTTACTATGTTTCTTTTTGACCTTTAAAAGTTGTTTTGTGGGTTTTTTTTTTGTTGTTGTTGTTTTGTTTTGTTTTGTTTTTTTGTCTCGCTGCTGTGTATGCAGTGGCACAATCTCTGCTCACTGCAACCTCTGCCTCTGGGGTTCAAGCAATTCTCCTGCTCCAGCCTCTGGAGTAGCTGGGATAACAGGCACCCGTCATCACACTCAGCTAATTTTTGTATTTTTAGTAGAGACAGGGTTTTGCCATGTTGGCCAGGCTGGTCTCGAACTCCTGACCTCAAGTGATCCAGCCACCTGGGCCTCCCAAAGTGCTGGGATTGCAGGCATGAGCCACTGTGCCCAGCCATGTGTTATGTTTTTGCTTTTTCCATAGACGTAACATTTTGTCTCTTATGTGTATTACATAGTTTCTTCCAAGATGTCAACTTATAGTTCATTTATGGTCTCTGCTTTGTAGAACTTCAAAATTTCTGTACAATCACAGTTATATATTTTTTCTGGGTTGATATGTTGCTTAGAAACACTTCCCTAAACCAAAAACATGAAAATATTTTTTTCATATTTTCTTTCATAAGTTTCTATTCACATATAGGTTATTTATTACTCTTGCATTAATTTTGTGGTATAGTGACATAGAGGAGTCTACCTTTCCCCCTCTAATGAGGTATTGTCCCATCACAGTATTGCATAAATCTTTTTTCCAAAAGTCAGCTTTTATCACTTACCAGTTCTCATTGTACTTGAGTCTGTTTTAGATTGTCTCTTATATTGATCTTTTAGTTTATAGGAAAGCTGCTTTACTTTTTTTTTTTTTTTTTTTTTTTTTTTGCAACACGTTTTTATCTAGCCACGTTACCAAACTTTCTTTCTGGTTCTAATAGTTTTTCCATTGATGCTCTGGATTTTCTAGGCAGGTTATCATATAATCTACAAATAGTAATAACTTTCTAATATTTATACTTCTTTACTTTCTTGTCTTGTGTATTAGCTAGAACTTCCAGAACAACTTTGAATTGCAGTGATGATGGGCTTGCCCTTATTTTGTTTCTGACTCTAAAGTGAAGAATGCCTTTAGTGTCTCACTGTTTCATTTGCTGTTATTATATAATAGATAGCCTTTATTTCATTAAGAAAGTTTCCTTGGCCAGGCGTGGTGGCTCACACCTGTAATACCAGCATTTTGGGAGGCCAAGGTGGGCGGATCACGAGGTCAGGAGATTGAGGCCATCCTGGCTAACATGGTGAAACCCCGTCTCTACTAAAAATACAAAAAATTAGCTGGGTGTCGTGGTGGGCACCTGTAGTCCCAGCTACTCGGTAGGCTGAGGCAGGAGAATGGCGTGAACCCAGGAGGCGGAGGTTTCAGTGAGCTGAGATCACGCCACTGCACTCCAGCCTGGGTGACAGAGTGAGACTCTGTCTCAAAAAAAAAAAAAAAGAAAGTTTCCTTTTGGTTTATATAAACCAGGATAATTTTAAAAATTAAATTAAAGATAGATGTTGAAAGTGTATAATGTGTGAATTGTAACTCAATAAAGCAGTAAAAAATGAATGTTAAATTTTTAAAAAATGGCTTTAAAAATATTTTGGGGATTATTTTATATTTTTTCTCCTTATTAATAACTACACTTGTTTTTAAAATTTGGTAAGAATGCTTAACATGTGATCTACCCTCTTAATGATTTTTTAATTGTATAATACAGTATTGTGGACTATATGTATAACATTCTATAGTCTATCTCTCGAACTTATTCATCTGGCTTAACTGAAACTTTAAGCCTGTTGACTAGTAACTCTCCATTTCCCCTCGTCTCATCCCCTGGTGACACCATTCCACTCTTTCACTCTTTTATAGTCATTTGACTTTTATAGTCAAAATGACTTTGACTATTTTAGATACCTCATGTAAATGGAATTTTGCATTATATACCTTGTGGGGTTGGCTTATTTTGGTTAGCATAATGCCCTTCAGGTTCATCTATGCTGTCTCACATTGAAGAATTTCCTACTTTTTTTTTAGGCTGAACAATATTCCATTGTTTATGTATGCCACATTTTCATTATTCATCTGTTGATGGACATTTAGTCAGTTTCCACATCTTGACTACTATGAATAGCACTGCAGTGAACATGAGAGTGCTAGTATCTTGTTGAGATTTTGATTTCAACTGTTTTGGATAAATACCTAGAAGTGGGATTACTGGATTTTATGGTAGTTCTACTTTTAATTTTTTAAAGATTTTTTTGGTGAACCTCCATCCTATATTCCATAGCAGGTGCACCATTTGAAATTCCACCTGTGCAGGGATTTCAATTTCTCTACATTCTTGCCAACACTTACTACCTTTTTTTTTTTGGATAATGTCTATCCTGACATGTACATTAGAGTTGTAATCTTTCTGCTGGTAGAAGGTCTTGCTTCAATGGTGATAGCTTCTGACTGATCAGGTGGCCGTAGCAATTTCTTAAAATAAGACAATGAAGTTTGCCACATTGATTGACCCTTCCTTTCGTGAAAAATTGCTCTGTAGCATACAATGCTGTTTGATAGCATTTTACCAACAGTAGAACTACTTTCAAAATTGGAGTCAGTCCTCTCAAACCCTGCCATGCTTTATCAACCAAATCTATGTCATCTTCTGAATCCTTTGTTTTCATTTCAACAGTGTTCACAGCATGTTCACCAGGAGTAGATTCTATCTCAAGAAACCACTGTCTTTGCTTATCCATAAGAAGCAACTCCTCATCCATTAAAGTTTTATCATGAGATTGCAGCAATTCAGTCACGTCTTCAGGCTCTACTTCTAATTCAAGTTCTCTTGCTGTTTCCACCACATCTGCAGTGACTTCCTCTGCTGAAGTCTTGGACCCCTCAGAGTCACCCATGAGGGTTGGAATCATTTTTAATATTATATGAGAAGAAAACATTCTAAGAAAATGACAGATAAAGTAGAAAATAAGTTGGAATCAACTGCTTCCCATCTCTTATTGATGTCAGTATTTTGACCTCCATCCATGAATCACAAATATCCTTAATGGCATCTAGAATGGTGAATCATTTCCAGAAGATTTTCAATTTACCCAAATCCATCACAGGAATCACTATCTATGACAGCTATAGCCTTATGACATATATTTCTTAAATAACAAGACTTGAAAGTTGAAATGACTCCTTGATCCAGCCTGCTTTCCTGCAACCTTAATCTCCTTGTCAATCTCTATCAGAGCTCTTGGGTGACCAGCCGCATTGTCAATGAGCAATAATATTTTGAAAGGAATCTTTTTTTCTGGGAAGTAGGTCTCAAGAGTGGGTTTTAAATATTCAGTAAATCATGCTGTGACAGATGTGCTGTCATCCAGGCTTTGTTGTTCCATTTGTAGAGTAGAGGCAGAGTAGATGTAGCATAATTCTGAAAAAAGGCCTCAGGAATTTCAAAGTGGTAAATGAACATTGGCTTCAACCGAAAGTCACCAGCTGCATTAGTCCATAACGAGTCCATTCTTTTTTGGATTTTTCATAAAATCAGCTTTTGGTTTTATTCCTTATATTTATGAAAGTTGTTCTCCATTTTATTAATCTCTGCTTACATGTTTATGTCCTTAGTTTTTCTTTTGGTGCACTTTTGTTGTTTTTCTGTGTCTAAAGTTCACATCATTTATTATCAATCATTATTGTGTCCTAGTAAATACATTTAAAGTTATAACTTTTTCTCTGAAGAAAATGCACACTGTATCCCATGATGTGTGTAGCATTACCATTAATGTTGATTTCTGTGTAGTCTGTGATTTGAGTTTTGATCATTTAATCCAAAATCACTTAGAAGAATGTCTTAAAATGTCTAACTAGTTTTAGGCCAGGTGCGGTGGCTCATGCCTATAATCCCAGCACTTTGGGAGGCCAAGGCGGGCGGATCACGAGGTCAAGAGATCGAGACCATCCTGGCCAACATGGTGAAACCCCGTCTCCACTAAAAATACACAAATTAGCTGGGCGTGGTGGCACGCACCTGTAATCCCAGCTACTCGGGAGGCTGAGGCAGGAGAATTGCTGGAACCCAGGAGTCGGAGGTTGCAGTGAGCCAAGATTGCCACCACACTCCAGCCTGGCAACAGTGCGAGGCTCCGTCTCAATAATAATAATAATGATAATGATAATTTTTAAAAATGTCTAACTAGTTTCTTCTGTTGTATATTTTGCCTTTAAAATTAACTTGCTATTTATTGAGATGGATGTTCAGTTTTAGTAAATGCTCTGTGAGGATTTTTTAAATGTTCATTTCTTATTTAGGGGAAGTTCAAAGTTACATGTTATATCATGTTATTAATAGTGCTATTCTAAATGGTCTCTTATTTTTCTACTTTTTCTGTTTTCTTAGAATGCTATCTTCACATGCAACATTAAAAATGAATTTTTCAAAATTGTCTCATAATTTTAATAGTGTTTGCTTTATATAGATAGTGCTGTTGTTCATTGCATGATTATTATAGGATTGTACTTTTATTATAAAGGATATTCTTTGCTTTACTTAGTGGTTTTTTGCTGTAAATTTTTCTTTGTGTAAAATTAATATTGCCACCTCTGCTTTCTTTTTTATAGATTTTCCTGGTTTACCTGTATTTATGCTTTTTTTTTTAACATTTTTGTGACATTTTGGTTTAGGTATATTTCTCATTGTTAGATTTTTTCTATTCAAATTCCTCTAATACTCGTTTTCTAATTGGTGAATTTAACCCATTTTCATATTAACGGTGATAACTGCTGTGTTTGTACTTCTCCCTGCCATCTGATTTTATGTTTTCTATTCATCATGCTTTTCAAAAATTATTTTCTTGATACTTGCTGAATTGTTAGCTATATCCCATTTCTATATTTCCTGGTGGTTTCTCTTAAATTATTAGCAAATATATTCATCTTGATATTAAGAATTCATCAGCATCTAAAACCTGTTACCACCAACGATAGTAGCTAACAGTTATTATTTCCTGTGTGTCTGACAGTATTTTAAGCTTCTTACCAGTATTAACTCAATAAATCTTCACAGTCACCTTGTGAGAAGGGAGTCAGTTATTCCCATTATTTACAGATGAGGAAACCAGTAAGAAGGTAAGTAATTTTCTGAAAGGCACACAGCCAGTGAGTAGTGGAGGCAGAATTCATACTCAGGCTCTGTACCTAGAGACCTGCTTGCTTCAGCACTGAGCTGTTGGAATATTTCTACTTGTCCCTGCCTAGACACCCTCTCCTTCCAGGTTATGCTGAAATTTACTTTCTAGATTGTTGTCTTATCTGTTATGTTTTAAGAAGTCTCTAAACATTTACATTAAAGACACCAGCAATCTTTGGACTTGACTTCAAATTTTACTGATTTATTTTTCCTTGACATGTAGAATTGGCATGCTTTCTGGGTGCTTTCTTACCTGAAAAATGGCTTTATTTTGCCCTCATATTTGATTGATAGATTGGTTAATAGATATTTGTGAGTTTCATTCAACATTTTGTTGACATTGCTTCTTTGTGTTCTAGCATTGAGCATTACAGATGAAAATTCCTATATAGTTTTTCTCTCTGGAAATTCATAAGGTTTGGAGGGGTGATGTGTGTGTTGTTGTTGTTCTCTTATTCTTTCACTTTAGCCTCTCTTTTTTGAATTTCTGTTATTGCTTTTATCATATTATCTATTTCTTTTCTTTCTGTGTTCTCAGAGAATATCATCACTGAGTCTTTAATACTGTCAGCTTCAGCTGTGTGCATTTTGCTCTTCAACTTTCTTTTGAGGCTTTAAATTAGGCAAATATATTTTTCTTAGAATTTCTGAAAACTCCTTTTCACTGGAGCTTATTTTAATTATATGGATGCATTATCCTCTTAAACTTCTGTGAAAACAATAATTGGAGTTTTCATTTGCATTAGCTGTTTCATGAAAGGTCAAGTTTTTTGCTTATTTATTTTGATGTTTCCTTTTCATGATATTCGTGTCTTGGGATTTGGTTGTATATTCACATTTTTAATTAGCTACTTGATTTAAATAAAGTATCAGTAGTTACTTTCAGGGTTCTTGGTGATTATAATAATTACTCACCTACCAGGCTTCTTCCTTGCATGCAGCTCACTACAGGAATCTGTTGTGCCTAGAAGATTTCGGGACAAGTGGGGAAACCACACTCCGTTAACTGCATACACAGGGAAGGAGCTACGAGGGAGATAGAATAATTTGGTCTCTACTATTACCTTAAGAGACCTTCCCCTGTCTTCGATTTAAAAAAAAATTACTGCATACAAAGGGTAGGAGCTACAAGGGACATAGAATAATTTGGACTCCACTACTACCTTAAGAGACCTTCCCCTGACTTCTCTTTTAAAAAACCTATGGGTCTCTGCACCCCTGAACTTACTTTCTACACCTATTTCTCTCTTCACCCCCAAAATCCATATTAGAATGCCCCTGCAGGCTATAAAGCCTTTCATAAAAGTAAAATACCCAGTCTTTTCAAGAGAACAATAAAATAGGCAGTCTCCTACCTCTTGTCTTACTCTAATATAAACTCCATGAAGATAAGTATTGTCTCCATACTGTTCATGCTGCACAGCAGTTGCCCTTATCTGCAGGGCGACGCATCCCAAGACCCCCAGTGGATGCTTGAAACTGCAGAGAGTAACACACGTGATTGCCACCATCGGAACACATTTCTGTGCACGTCTTCCACCCACAGATTTAATGCCTTTTCCGTCTTAACTAAGCACTCATCATGGACTGTGGCCATAACTTTTGCAGTTTTAGATGCAACAGCAAAACTAACATTAATTTTTCCTTCTTCTTCACAATTTCATGGGTAGATTTGTTCTTACCGTAGATCTTAGCAACCTCAGCATATGATGTTTTTTCTTTTGAGAACTTTCACCTTTTCCCTTAAAGAAAGCACTTTACAGCTTCTCTTTGACATATCTCAACTGCCATCATCACTGCTCTTGAACTTTGGGGCCATTATTAAGTCAGAAAAGGGTTACTTGAAAACAAGCACTGAGATACCACCAGAGTCCATCTGATAACTAAGATGGTAACTACATGACTAACAGGCTGGTGACGTATACAGCATGGATATGCTGGACAAAAGGGTGAGTCATGTCCCAGGTAGGATGAAGCAGGGTGACTTGAGATTTCACTATTCAGTGTGGTGCACAATTTAAAACTTAGGAATTGTTTATTTCCTGGAACTTTTTTCATTTAATATTTTTGGACTGCAGTTGACCACAGGTAACTGAAACTGTGGAAAGTGAGGATCAGAGGATAAGCAGGGACTGTGGTATTCATTTCATTGCACAGTGCCTAGAATACAGTAGGTGTACTATAAATATTTTGTAAAGGGACAACTTTGCTGAAACTGAAAATATTTATGTTTTACCCAATAATTTTTCTTCTGGAAATTTATGCTACGGAAATATTCAGAGATGCTTACAAAGTTTTATGCATGAGTGTCCGTGTTATTTGTAATTGTGAAAAATGAAAATAACTCAAAAGTTTAACAGTGGTCATCTAAAGTACTGTATACACTGTATATATAGGTCGAATAGAAGGTCATCCTATTCATTTATTAATGAGAGGTACAATCTCCAGGGATCTGTAAAATCTATTTTGTCTTAACCAAAGAACAAATTTTTGACATATCTTGAATAGGATGACTATAAATTATGACTATAAATTATGACTATAAATTATGACTATAACTTTTAAATTGTTATAATTTTTGTACTATTATCTGATATTTTTATTTTTATGTATGTTCCTAAGTAGTTTAGAGATAGTCACATTTTAAAAATCTAAGATCAAACAAATGAAGCTTATTTTTATGTATTCATAGTATAAAAGACCTTCAGTAAATAGATAATATTTTTGTTTTATTCTAGAAAACAGCTCCTTGAACACAGTGAGGTAAAGCTTTCATTTTAATCTCTGGTAGACTTGTGTATTAAATTCTAGTTTGAGGGTAATTGACAAAGGTATAACCTTGCTGCTGATGCACCATCAGTAGTGAGTTGTTCAGCATTTGTGATAAATTTCTGCCGATCCTTCTCACTCTTTCATCTGCTGTTACTTTTGAATAGTAATAAGGATTTAAAAGCTAGAAGGCTGATTTATGACTATAGTACAGAATTAAATTAAATTGCATTCATTTAACAATAACAAGCATTTGGTTTCTAGCCTGCTGAGCTAATCAGCTACAGTCCATTAGGGCAGGCACCCTTCGCCCTGTGACTGGTGGCCATCTGCCACCATGTAGATTTGCTGGTCAGTAAGTGACAAGCTCAGAAGTGTTGAAGGATACAAAAGATACTAAAGTCATGTTCCTGCCCTTCAGTATGTGTAATTTTACAAAGGAGACAAATAAGACAACATTTTATATGGTGTAAAATTATTTTGTGGCATACAAAGGAAAAGATCAGTGTGGGCTGGAAATATTTCCTATTTGATAGAACTTTAAGTGGGTCTTGAGGTAAAGGTCAAATTTACAGGAGTGGGTAACTGAATTTGAACTTAATAGAGATAGTTTATGACACATGTTGAGTATCCCTTATCCAAAATGCTTAGGACTAGAGGCGTTTCAGATTTCAGATTTTATTGAATTTTGGAATATTTACAATGTAGTTACTAGTTGAGCATCCCTAACCTGAAAATCCAAAATCCAAAATGCTTCAATGAGCATTTGTTTTAGCATAACCTTTGAACATCATATTGGTACTCAAAAGTTTCAGATTTTGGAGCATTGTAGATTTCAGATTTTTGGATCAGGGATGCATTAGTAACTTTGTCACTTTACAGTGAGGCCCACTGTGTTGGTCCTCCACCTCCTCACACCACCTCCTGCTCTCCCTAGCTCCTCTGCCTGCTCCATTTTCTTGCCAACTGCACTTATTGCCTTACAGTAGACTATGTAATGGATTTATTTATTTGTTATTTCTATGTATTGTCTTTCATTACTAAATGTAGTTAAATGTAATACAAGGACAGAAATTGCTCACTGCTGTATCCGAAGCACCCAGAAGAGTACCTGGAACATAGTAGACATTCAATAAATTATTGTTGAATGAATACTGATAGGCTTATTACTTAGAAGATCCTTGTCTTAATGAATAATATAGTTTTAATATACTTCATTAATTTAAAAATATGAAAAGTAACAATGTGATTTTGTCTTATTTGTGTTTTTATAGCTGGCTTTTCACACATTGCAGTTGTTAGCGTTTACTGCCCTTGCCATTTTAATTATGAGGCTAAAGATGTTTTTGACGCTGCACATGTGTGTTATGGCTTCCTTGATATGCTCTCGACAGGTAAGGGATTCATTCTTGTATAACAATACTATAAAAACTATAGCAGCTATACTTAGTAGTTACCGTGGCTTTGCTGACTAATTCAAAATATAAACACACTAAGTGTTTTTAACTTAACTAAGTTAAATGATTTAAAATATTACTTCATGATTCACTATAAGCAAGAAAAGCAATTTCAAGTGGCTTTGAAAAGTATTTCTGGATTTTAATTGATATTTCTATAACAAGTGATTAGGCAAACATTTCCCCTCTGTTAATATCCTGTCCATGAACACAACCTTTTAGAGTTCAGGTTTGTGTAAGAGTGCCTGGCACAGTGGCTCACACCTGCAATCCCAGCACTTTGGGAGGCCGAGATGGGCAGATCACTTGAGGCCAGGAGTTTGAGACCAGCCCGGCCAACATGGTGAAACTCCATCTCTACTAAAAATACAAAAATTAGCCGTGTGGTGGCGAGTACCTGTAATTCCAGCTACTTGGGAGGCTGAGGCAGGAGAATCGCTTGAACCTGGGAGGCAGAGGCTGCAGTCAGCCAAGATCGCACCACAGCACTCTAACCTGGGTGACAGAGTGAGACTCTGTCTCAAAAAAAGAAAAAGAAAAAAAAAGAGTTTCCTGGTGGCCAGGCACAGTGGCTCACACCTGAAATCCCAGCACTTTGGAAGGCCTAGGTGGGCGATCATTTGAGGTCAGGAGTTCAAGACCAGCCTGGCCAACATGGTGAAACCCTGTCTCTATTAAAATACAAAAATTAGCCAGGCATGGTGGTGTGTGCCTGTAATCCCAGCTACTCAGGAGGCTGAGGCAGGAATATTGCTTGAATCCGGGAAGTGGAGGTCGAAGTGAGGTGAGGTTGCACCACTGCATTACAGCCTGGGAGACAGAGTGAGACTCTGTCTCAAAAAAAAAGAGTTTCCTGGTTCACCAAAAGTACCCTGAAATACTCATCCAATACCAGAGTAGATGCAGAGTAATTGCCCTAATATGGTCCTGTTTGGCTTGAAGAATCTATAAGAAATTCTGGGGTTCTATCAGTGTTATCTAACATACAAAAGAACTAGATAAATTGCTAGAATATTGGGCCTAAGGTACTTCTACAAACACCTCACTTAGTTTTTATTATGAGTGTATAGCCTTAAAATATCATAATGCCTGTTTTCCTGAGAAGAATCTATATATATCATGCTAATAGGGCTTCCCTGTCTACTAACCATGTCCACAAAAGGCAGCCAAGGATGAAAGGATTTAGTTCTAAGATGTTTCACAGTTGTGATTTGTTTATTTTAATCCTTAGTAGTAAATTAGTACTAGAAGGATCAGGTATATCTTCCTTAATTCTTCCCAGGGGAGAGAAAGTCCCATTTTCACCTGGGCCCTGTAATGCCAATATATCCGTTGCTTTAGAAACAATCGGAGATGATAATTCTGTATACATGTGTGCTGATATCAAAGGGTAATTCACGTTGGTTTGAGTAACAAGGTGAGAATTTATTGTTGACCCTATAGTACTCTTCATATAAGAACTAGAAATAAATGGTTTCTTTCGTTTCAGCTCTTTGGCTGGCTTTTTCGCAGAGTTCGTTTTGATAATGTTATCTTTGGCATTCTAACAGTGATGTCAATACAAGGTTATGCAAACCTCCGTAATCAATGGAGCATAATAGGAGAATTTAATAATTTGCCTCAGGAAGAACTTTTACAGTGGATCAAATACAATACCACATCAGGTGTGTAGGTATTTGGTTATATGCTAGTTTTATACAAACATACAGACACATTTGTGTATACTATATATAATTATTGTCATTTCTGATATATGTATGTATGACAGATTTACAGATAGGCATTCATACTCTCACAGACTTTGAGCAGACTATTGCAATGTCAATCAATTAAACCCTTCCAAAAGGCAATTTTGCACCCCCTTTAAGCCCCTCCCAGATAATTATCAAAGAATTTAAATCAGCACCAGGAAATTAATGATTTTTCACAAGTTATGTCCTTTAACTCTCAGACAGCATTATAGCATTTTAACCATAACAATGACAAATCAAAGAAGTAAATCTTTAAAAATGAAATTTCACACCTTGTGCCAGACTACAGCAGAAGATACTTTTGATGGTGGGGAGTTAACCGGCACCGCTTCTGTCACTCCCATCAGTGCTGTCTCCTCTAATTCTGTAAAACAGGTCATTGGCAGAAGAGTTAAAATCTTGGATATTCTATTTTCTTCACTAAATCATCTCACAGAGATACTATACATCCTACTTTTAAATACTCCAAAATTTTCTTTTTAGCTTACCTTCTTTTCTTCCTGTCTTTATTCAGAACTACCTCAAGCAGATAGATATTTTTAAATACCTTTCCAGAGAATAAGTCTATAACATTTTCTGTAACTAAATTTGTAAATCAAAGATTATTTTTGATATTTAGAAACTTACTCTGGCACAAGTTCTTCACTATGATTTATTTAAATTTTCTTATGACTCCTGAGCTTGTTTCCTTTTATTTCTTATTTGATAGCCACTTTTTTGCTAATTAACCTTCATTAAGGTAAATCTTTATAAGCTTTAAGTAAGATATTTGGTCTATAGCTTTCAAAGGGTGTAGGTGACAGTGCCTCATTAAACTGCCAAGCCAGTTTAATTAGAATTTTAAAAGTAATCCCCAGCTGACTTTTTCCACATAGGAGCTCAAGGTAATCACTCCCTTTCTTTACTCTCCCTTGCCTGCCCCTCCCCAGTTATAGCTATTTTTCCCAAGCTTTTAAAAATAGCTGCCCTTTTAATCTTTTCTTGTGTCTTTCTTTGTTCCGGTGTTTGTATTGGGTTCCTGACAGAGAGCCTACATTTGGCAACTTATCCTTCTAAGATAACTGCCACAAACCCCTGTCTCACTTTTAGATGCCTCGTCTTTGATCTTCTTTTCAATCTGTCTTATTCTCCTTTTAATTACTCTTATTGTGAGTTATCTCATGGTTACCACATATTAAAAGCTGTAGGAAGTTTTGTAGTATTAGTGGAACTAGTGCTTATATTGAGGTCTGCCATATACGGTTGTATAGTTTGTGCACTGCACAAAGGTGACCAATTGAGAGGATAAGTGAAAGCTTAAATCCAGCTTGTGGTCCACTCATCAAGCCAGGTATAATGGGGCTCTGTCAAGTCAGGGGAATACCTTTTTCTAATCTGTGTAGTAGGCTAAATGGAGACTTCCATACAGTGATAGGAAAATATCTGATTTTTCCTTGTTATGCTCATTTACTTCACAGCCAAAAAGATAGAAAGTGGAGTGGGAGGGTATTTCTTCCTCTCTGTCTGCCATAGGTGACAACTCACTGGGTCCAGCTCTTGCTGGACAGGTGTGCCTAGTTTTTTTTGGAAGACCCTGGCCCTGGGCTTTCAATTCTTCTTACTCAGCATTTCCCAACCTTAGCACAGTTGACATTGAGGCTGTCCTATGTATTACAAGAAATCCTTGGCCTCTATCTACAAGATGCCAACAGCATCTCCTCCCTCCTCCCCATAGCATGACATCGAAAAATGTCTCCAGAAGTTGATAGTGCTCCCTAGGGAGCAAAATCATGCCTGCCTGAGAACCACTTCTCTAGCTTAACAGCTTGTCATCATTAATTATTGAGTCTCCAATAATAAATACACATTCTTTGACTAGCTTACATATTTTCAAATTTGAGGCATATAAAGAAATTTTCATTCAAAGTTGCATTTAGAATGCTTAGTTATACTGGAAAGTAAACTCTCAGGGTTCTCAAAGTTTTTAATTTATGTGGGTACAGAGCAGGTGTATATATTTATGGGGTAGATGGGATATTTTGATACATTGATACAGGCATACAATGTGTAATAATCACATCAGGGTAAATGGAGTATCCATCACCTGAAGCATTGATCCTTTGTGTTACAAACAATCCAGTTATACTCTCTCAGTTATTTTTAAATGTACAGTAAAATTTTGTTGACTACAGTCACCCTTCTGTGTTACCAAACACTACATCTTATCCATTCTATTTTGTTGGTGCACATTAACCATCCTCACTTCCCCTCCACCCCCTCACTATCCTTCCCAGCCTCTGGTAACCATCATTCTATTCTTGATCTCCATGAGTTCAACTCTTTTAATTTTTAGCTCCCACAAATAAGTAAGAACCTGCAAAGTTTGTCTTTCTGTACCTGGCTTATTTCAATTAATGTAATGACCTCCAGTTCCATTCATGTTAATGGATAGGATCTCATTCTTTTTTTTATGACAGGATCTCACTCGTTTTTATGTCTGAATAGCACTGCGTTGTTTCTATGTACCACATTTTCTTTATCCATTAACCTGTTGATGGACACTTAGGTTGCTTCCAAATCTAGGCTATTGTGAGAAGTGCTGCAATAAACATGGGAGTGCAGATACCTCTTCTAAATATTTATTTCCTTTCTTTGGGGTATATATCTAAGAGTAGGATTGCTGGATCATTTGGTAAGTCTATTTTTAGTTTTTTGAGGAACCTCCAAACTCTTCTACATAGTGGTTGTACTAATTTACATTTTCACCAAAAGTGTATGAGAGTTCCCTTTTCTCCACATCTTTTCCTGTCTTTTGGATAACAGCCATTTGTTATTGCCTGTCTTTTGAGTAATAGCCATTTTAACTGGAGTGAGATGCTATTTCACTGTAGTATTGATTTGCATTTCTCTGATGATCAGTGATGTTGAGCACCTTTTCATGTACCTGTTTGCCACTTGTATGTTTTCTTTCGAGAAATGTCTATTCAGATCCTTTCCCCATTTTTAAAGTGGATTTTTAGATTTTCTTTTCCTACAGAGTTGTTTGAGCTCCTTATATATTCTGGTTATTAATTCCTTGTCAGATTGGTAGTTTGCAAATATTTTCACCCATACTTTGGGTTGTCTCTTCACTTTGCTGATTGTTTCCTTTGCTGTGCAGAAGCTTTTACACTTGATGTGATCCCATTTGTTCATTTTTGCTTTGGTTGCCTGTGCTTCCCAGGTATTTACTCAAGAACTCCTTGTCCAAACCAAAGTCCTGGAGAGTTTCCCCAAAGTTTTCTTGTAGTAATTTCAGAGTTTGAGGTCTTAGATTTAAGGTTTTTTTAAAATAGATATTTAAGTCTTAATAAAGTAGATAATTTAACTTTAATAGGTGAATATAGCAATAACAATGTAGTATCTACTAAAAAAGAGTAACTTCCCTCCAAAAAAACATTTACAAGCAATGGACTTATAGATTTCCTTCAATAATCAAGAAATGTGAAATATCAACAAAATGTTCAATGACATAGAAAAATGGGGGGGAACGAAATTTTTAACAAAACTTTTGTAAATCTGATATATAATCTGATAATGGCAACAGTGAAGAAAATTACAGAACTTCTTTCAGATAAACATATGGAAAATCTTAGAAAAACTTACCAATATATTAATAGAAAGTAATATAAAAATCAGAATAAATATCATAAAATTATTGAACAAAACTCAAGATTGATTTCTGATTAAAAAGAAAAATACAGTTATAGGGAAAAGTGGAATTACTAACATCTAACTAATGTATTAAGGATGCCAATCTAAAATTTGCTAATAGCATCATATTTAAAAAATAATAACTATTAACATGAGAAGGAATGTAAGATTTTTTTTTTTTTTACTTTTTTTTTTATTATACTTTAAGTTTTAGGGTACATGTGCACATTGCGCAGGTTAGTTACATACGTATACATGGGCCATGCTGGTGCGCTGCATCCACTAACTCATCATGTAGCATTAGGTATATCTCCCAATGCTATCCCTCCCCCCTCCCCCACCCCACAACAGTCCCCAGAGTGTGATGTTCCCCTTCCTGTGTCCATGTGATCTCATTGTTCAATTCCCACCTATGAGTGAGAATATGCGGTGTTTGGTTTTTTGTTCTTGCAATAGTTTACTGAGAATGATATTTCCAATTTCATCCATGTCCCTACAAAGGACATGAACTCATCATTTTTTATGGCTGCATAGTATTCCATGGTGTATATGTGCCACATTTTCTTAATCCAGTCTATCATTGTTGGACATTTGGGTTGGTTCCAAGTCTTTGCTATTGTGAATAATGCCACAATAAACATACGTGTGCATGTGTCTTTATAGCAGCATGATTTATAGTCCTTTGGGTATATACCCAGTAATGGGATGGCTGGGTCAAATGGTATTTCTAGTTCTAGATCCCTGAGGAATCGCCACACTGACTTCCACAAGGGTTGAAATAGTTTACAATCCCACAAACAGTGTAAAAGTGTTCCTATTTCTCCACATCCTCTCCAGCACCTGTTGTTTGCTGACTTTTTAATGATTGCCATTCTAACTGGTGTGAGATGGTATCTCATTGTGGTTTTGATTTGCATTTCTCTGATGGCCAGTGATGATGAGCATTCTTTCATGTGTTTTTTGGCTGCATAAATGTCTTCTTTTGAGAAGTGTCTGTTCATATCCTTTGCCCACTTTTTGATGGGGTTGTTTGTTTTTTTCTTGTAAATTTGTTTGAGTTCATTGTAGATTCTGGATATTAGCCCTTTGTCAGATGAGTAGGTTGCGAAAATTTTCTCCCATTTTGTAGGTTGCCTGTTCACTCTGATGGTAGTTTCTTTTGCTGTGCAGAAGCTCTTTAGTTTAATTAGATCCTATTTGTCAATTTTGGCTTTTGTTGCCATTGCTTTTGGTGTTTTAGACATGAAGTCCTTGCCCATGCCTATGTCCTGAATGGTAATGCCTAGGTTTTCTTCTAGGGTTTTTATGGTTTTAGGTCTAACGTTTAAGTCTTTAATCCATCTTGAATTGATTTTTGTATAAGGTAAGGAAGGGATCCAGTTTCAGCTTTCTACATATGGCTAGCCAGTTTTCCCAGCACCATTTATTAAATAGGGAATCCTTTCCCCATTGCTTGTTTTTCTCAGGTTTGTCAAAGATCAGATAGTTGTAGATATGCAGCGTTATTTCTGAGGGCTCTGTTCTGTTCCATTGATCTATATCTCTGTTTTGGTACCAGTACCATGCTGTTTTGTTTACTGTAGCCTTGTAGTATAGTTTGAAGTCAGGTAGCAAGATGCCTCCAGCTTTGTTCTTTGGGCTTAGGATTGACTTGGCAATGCGGGCCCTTTTTTGGTTCCATATGAACTTTAAAGTAGTTTTTTCCAATTCTGTGAAGAAAGGCATTGGTAGCTTGATGGGGATGGCATTGAATCTGTAAATTACCTTGGGCAGTATGGCCATTTTCACGATATTGACTCTTCCTACCCATGAGCATGGAATGTTCTTCCATTTGTATCCTCTTTTATTTCCTTGAGCAGTGGTTTGTAGTTCTCCTTGAAGAGGTCCTTCACGTCCCTTGTAAGTTGGATTCCTAGGTATTTTATTCTCTTTGAAGCAATTGTGAATGGGAGTTCACTCATGATTTGGCTCTCTGTTTGTCTGTTGTTGGTGTATAAGAATGCTTGTGATTTTTGCACATTGATTTTGTATCCTGAGACTTTGCTGAAGTTGCTTATCAGCTTAAGGAGATTTTGGGCTGAGACAGTGGGGTTTTCTAGATATACAATCATGTCATCTGCAAACAGGGACAATTTGACTTCCTCTTTTCCTAATTGAATACCCTGTATTTCCTTCTCCTCCCTTATTGCCCTGGCCAGAACTTCCAACACTATGTTGAATAGAAGTGGTGAGAGAGGGCATCCCTGTCTTGTGCCAGTTTTCAAAGGGAATGCTTCCAGTTTTTGCCCATTCAGTATGATATTGGCTGTGGGTTTGTCATAGATAGCTCTTATTATTTTGAAATATGTCCCATCAATACCTAATTTATTGAGTGTTTTTAGCATGAAGGGTTGTTGAATTTTGTCAAAGGCCTTTTCTGCATCTATTGAGATAATCATGTGGTTTTTGTCTTTGTCTCTGTTTATATGCTGGATTACATTTATTGATTTGCGTATATTGAACCAGCCTTGCATCCCAGGGATGAAGCCCACTTGATCATGGTGGATAAGCTTTTTGATGTGCTGCTGGATTCGTTTTGCCAGTATTTTATTGAGGATTTTTGCATCAATGTTCGTCAAGGATATTGGTCTAAAATTCTCTTTTTTGGTTGTGTCTCTGCCCGGCTTTGGTATCAGAATGATGCTGGCCTCATAAAATGAATTAGGGAGGATTCCCTCTTTTTCTGTTGATTGGAATAGTTTCAGAAGGAATAGTACCAGTTCCTCCTTGTACCTCTGGTAGAATTCGGCTGTGAATCCATCTGGTCCTGGACTGTTTTTGGTTGGTAAGCTATTGATTATTGCCACAACTTCAGATCCTGTTATTGGTCAATTCAGAGATTCAACTTCTTCCTGGTTTAGTCTTGGGAGAGTGTATGTCTCAAGGAATTTATCCATTTCTTCTGGATTTTCTAGTTTATTTGCGTAGAGGTGTTTGTAGTATTCTCTGATGGTAGTTTGTATTTCTGTGGGATCGGTGGTGATATCCCCTTTATCATTTTTTATTGTGTCTATTTGATTCTTCTCTCTTTTTTTCTTTATTAGTCTTGCTAGCGGTCTATCAATTTTGTTGATCCTTTCAAAAAACCAGCTCCTGGATTCATTAATTTTTTGAAGGGTTTTTTGTGTCTCTATTTCCTTCAGTTCTGCTCTGATTTTGGTTATTTCTTGCCTTCTGCTAGCTTTTGAATGTGTTTGCTCTTGCTTTTCTAGTTGTTTTAATTGTGATGTTAGGGTGTCAATTTTGGATCTTTCCTGCTTTCTTTTGTGGGCATTTAGTGCTATAAATTTCCCTCTACACACTGCTTTGAATGCGTCCCAGAGATTCTGGTATGTTGTGTCTTTGTTCTGGTTGGTTTCAAAGAACATCTTTATTTCTGCCTGCATTTCGTTATGTATCCAGTAGTCATTCAGGAGCAGGTTGTTCAGTTTCCATGTAGTTGAGCGGTTTTGAGTGAGATTCTTAATCCTGAATTCTAGTTTGACTGCACTGTGGTCTGAGAGATAGTTTGTTATAATCTCTGTCCTTTTACATTTGCTGAGGAGAGCTTTACTTCCAAGTATGTGGTCAATTTTGGAATAGGTGTGGTGTGGTGCTGAAAAAAATGTATATTCTGTTGATTTGGGGTGGAGAGTTCTGTAGATGTCTATTAGGTCCGCTTGGTGCAGAGCTGAGTTCAATTCCTGGGTATCCTTGTTGACTTTCTGTCTCGTTGATCTGTCTAATGTTGACAGTGGGGTGTTAAAGTCTCCCATTATTGTGTGGGAGTCTACGTCTCTTTGTAGGTCACTCAGGAGTTGCTTTATGAATCTGGGTGCTCCTGTATTGGGTGCATATATATTTAGGATAGTTAGCTCTTCTTGTTGAATTGATCCCTTTACCATTATGTACTGGCCTTCTTTGTCTCTTTTGATCTTTGTTGGTTTAAAGTCTGTTTTATCAGAGACTAGGATTGCAACCCCTGCCTTTTTTTGTTTTCCATTGGCTTGGTAGATCTTCCTCCATCCTTTTATTTTGAGCCTATGTGTGTCTCTGCACGTGAGATGGGTTTCCTGAATACAGCACACTGATGGGTCTTGACTCTTTATCCAATTTGCCAGTCTGTGTCTTTTAATTGGAGCATTTAGTCCATTTACATTTAAAGTTAATAGTGTTATGTGTGAATTTGATCCTGTCATTATGATGTTAGCTGGTGATTTTGCTCATTAGTTAATGCAGTTTCTTCCTAGTCTCGATGGTCTTTACATTTTGGCTTGATTTTGCAGCGGCTGGTACTGGTTGTTCCTTTCCATGTTTAGCGCTTCCTTCAGGAGCTCTTTTAGGGCAGGCCTAGTGGTGACAAAATCTCTCAGCATTTGCTTGTCTCTAAAGGATTTTATTTCTCCTTCACTTATGAAGCTTAGTTTGGCTGGATATGAAATTCTGGGTTGAAAATTCTTTCCTTTAAGAATGTTGAATATTGGCCCCCACTCTCTTCTGGCTTGTAGGGTTTCTGCCGAGAGATCCGCTGTTAGTCTGATGGGCTTCCCTTTGAGGGTAACCCGACCTTTCTCTCTGGCTGCCCTTAACATTTTTTCCTTCATTTCAACTTTGGTGAATCTGACAATTATGTGTCTTGGAGTTGCTCTTCTCGAGGAGTATCTTTGTGGCGTTCTCTGTATTTCCTGAATCTGAATGTTGGCCTGCCTTGCTAGATTGGGCAAGTTCTCCTGGATAATATCCTGCAGAGTGTTTTCCAACTTGGTTCCATTCTCCCCGTCAGTTTCAGGTACACCAATCAGACGTAGATTTGGTCTTTTCACATAGTCCCATATTTCTTGGAGGCTTTGCTCATTTCTTTTTATTCTTTTTTCTCTAAACTTCCCTTCTCACTTGTTTCATTCATTTCATCTTCCATTGCTGATACCCTTTCTTCCAGTTGATCACATCGGCTCCTGAGGCTTCTGCATTCTTCACGTAGTTCTCGAGCCTTGGTTTTCAGCTCCATCAGCTCCTTTAAGCACTTCTCTGTATTGGTTATTCTAGTTATACATTCTTCTAAATTTTTTTCAAAGTTTTCAACTTCTTTCCCTTTGGTTTGAATGTCCTCCCGTAGCTCAGAGTAATCTGATCGTCTGAAGCCTTCTTCTCTCAGCTCGTCAAAGTCATTCTCCATCCAGCTTTGTTCAGTTGCTGGTGAGGAACTGCGTTCCTTTGGAGGAGGAGAGGCACTCTGCATTTTAGGGTTTCCAGTTTTTCTGTTCTGTTTTTTCCCCATCTTTGTGGTTTTATCTACTTTTGGTCTTTGATGATGGTGATGTACAGATGGGTTTTTGGTGTGGATGTCCTTTCTGTTTGTTAGTTTTCCTTCTAACAGACAGGACCCTCAGCTGCAGGTCTGTTGGAATACCCTGCCGTGTGACGTGTCAGTGTGCCCCTGCTGCGGGGTGCCTCCCAGTTAGGCTGCTCGGGGGTCAGGGGTCAGGGACCCACTTGAGGAGGCAGTTGGCCCGTTCTCAGATCTCCAGCTGCGTACTGGGAGAACCACTGCTCTCTTCCAAGCTGTCAGACAGGGACATTTAAGTCTGCAGAGGTTACTGCTGTCTTTTTGTTTGTCTGTGCCCTGCCCCCAGAGGTGGAGCCTACAGAGGCAGGCAGGCCTCCTTGAGCTGTGGTGGGCTCCACCCAGTTCGAGCTTCCAGGCTGCTTTGTTTACCTAAGCAAGCCTGGGCAATGGCGGGCGCCCCTCCCCCAGCCTCGCTGCCGCCTTGCAGTGTGATCTCAGACTGCTGTGCTAGCAATGAGCGAGACTCTGTGGGCGTAGGACCCTCCGAGCCAGGTGCGGGATATAATCTCGTGGTGCACCGTTTTTTAAGCCGGTCCGAAAAGCGCAATATTCGGGTGGGAGTGACCCGATTTTCCAGGTGAGTCCATCACCCCTGTCTTTGACTGGGAAAGGGAACTCCCTGACCCCTTGCGCTTCCCAAGTGAGGCAATGCCTTGCCGTGCTTCAGCTCGCGCACGTTGCATGCACCCACTGAGCTGCGCCCACTGTCTGGCACTCCCTAGTGAGATGAACCCGGTACCTCAGATGGAAATGCAGAAATCACCCGTCTTCTGCGTCGCTCACGCTGGGAGCTGTAGACCAGAGCTGTTCCTATTCGGCCATCTTGGCTACTCCCACTATAATTGTTTTTTATACAAAAGTACCAGGAAGTAAGCATTTGGTCTTCTGATATTTCAAGAGATGAAATGGAAGCCAGATAGATTTTGATGTATGTCTAGTTATGACCAAATTTATACATGTTATTACTCCAAAAAGTACTACTAGCAAGTAGTGAAATGATTTCATGACATGTATAAATGGTGTCAAGTCAAATGGTAACTCTGAGAACTTAATTAAAGATGATCTGAGGGAAGAAAACAATGTTTTCCTTTTTTTATGGCACATCCACAGGACTACAGTTCACCAGCCACAAAAGTCATTGGAAAAAATGTCCCATGAGACTTGCCCTTCATGGCAGTCTCTCAGCTCCTGGCATTTCACATTCTTGGAACAGATGTGACATTTTACATTCTTTTTGTTTCATGTGTGTCTGTAGTCCTGCTGTTAGCATGGTGCTCTAGCATAGCAGGAAGCTTTAGTGAAACAGCTAAGAGGGCAGGCTCTGGAACTTCCTAGCTGTGCAGTCTTGGGCAAGTCACTTAACTTGGCTGTGTCTCTTCATCATCTACAACAGCAGTCTGCAACCTTTTTGGCACCAGGGACTAGTTTCATGGAAGACCATTTTTTTCCACAGAACTGGGGGGTAGGGGGTGGTTTCTGGATGAAATTGTTCCACCTCAGACCATCAGGCATTAGATTCTAATGAGTGCACAACCCAGACCCCTCACATGCTCAGTTTGTAGATTCTACAAAGTAAGAACAGAGGACCTACCCCTTAGAATTGTGAAAATTAAGTTATTTCTTGTTAAAATATGGAGCACAATTTCTATCACCAAGATAGCATTTAACAAAAGTCAGCTATTATTGTAGTAGATAATGAATAACTATTGAGTTAATAAAAAGAATGAGGTCCATGGTCATGTAAATAGGCATCATCCTTCTTAATTTGGGTTCACATATTAGAGGTAAGTTTAACTTCTGAGTTTCTTTAATACATTTAATTGAAGAATATATCCTTTTTTTTCAGATGCTGTCTTCGCAGGTGCCATGCCTACAATGGCAAGCGTCAAGCTGTCTACACTTCATCCCATTGTGAATCATCCACTTTACGAAGATGCAGACTTGAGGTTGGCAGCTGATGAGTATTTCTTCAAGACTCACTTGGCGACTCCCAATTCTTAGGAATTGGGAAAATTTTTACACACACACAGACACACACACACACACACAAACTCATCCTCATTTTCGTACTGGAAGTTAAAAAAAAATGACAATAACCATCCAGAAATGACAATATGTACCTGTTGCCTCTGGAGCAAGCAGACCTCTGAAAACTGAAAAATGCAAAAGCCAGTTTTTTCCAAAGTGACAAATGTGTCACATATTTATGATGTGTGCGTGTATTCCAGTAAAACTACTAGGTAGTTGGAAGAGTAGGTAGGATGGATTTTACTCACAGCCATGGTTTGCCAACCCCTGCTCTACACCACAAGCCCCACTCTGATTTAAGAAATGATTTCTAGATCTTACTGGTGGCCAATGACTAGCTTTTTGTGACAGGTAGAAAAAGTACATGAAAGTTGCTATTATATAGTACGTGCTTTCATGAAAATTTAGAGTATTTTTGCTAGTCGATTATGAGAACTCTAGTTTCCATTGATGTCTAAAAGTTTTGCTTTCCTTAAATGGCTGGTTTAAAAAATTATTTTGGTTATTCTAGTAGTTGTCAGGGTAATCATTTTTAAAAGTGGATTTTTGGCCTATTGTTAGAGGCAAATGTTTAAATTATTTAAAAGTTTTAGGTCTTCTGTCTAGGAGCCAGGGCTTGGAGTCAGACACCTTAGAAGTGTACCTGATGCTCTCTCTGTTCTACTGTGGTGAACTGGCATGGAAACCACTGTGGTGACTGAGCATCCCATATGCTTGAAATTCTAAGCAACATCCAATGCATAAGTGATAGTTTGTCAGGATTTTGTAAGAATTCCCACTACGGTCAAATCACCTATTGTACCATATTTTGGTGACCATCCCCATTTCTCAAGATTCTGTGAAGGTGCTTTTCCTACCTCTTCTGATACCGTGGATGTCCATTGTCTAAGTGTTCTACTTGATACACTAAATTTCAATTCATTTATTTGTCAGAGCTTCTTTAGATGAAATTAAGCATTGAAAGATGTGTTTTCACTACATTCAGTCTCTGTCAGAATATATTCTCTGAAAACTGTGTGAATTATGAGAAGAAAACTGTATATCCTAAGCTGCTCTCTGCTACCCAGTACAACTTTAGACTATCTTATACAGTAATGAGCAGTATATGCAAAATTAAATTGCTGTAAGTTTTATTACATTCAAAATATAAGTAGGAATGTGGAAACTGCCATCCCCAAAATAGTTGATGCTGTTTTGAGTCATGTATATCAGTGTTCCATCCAGTGAGTATTGAGATTTCAATTTGCTAGTAAGATTTTTTTAGTCTATTCTATTATCATTTATTTTAAAATCTTTTAAACTATTGTTTAAATTTAAAGGGCTCGGACAAAAATAGTTTATTCTACATATAGTCGAAAATCTGCCAAAGAAGTAGGAGAGAAATTGTTGGAGTTACATGTGAATTATTATGTTTTAGAAGAGGCATGGTGTGTTGTGAGAACTAAGTGAGTATTAACCCTATGCTATCTGATATGGTACATTTTTGAGCAACAAATGTTTCACTTTATTACAGTAGTCCTGATTCTTTAAGAATTTTTATTTTAAATTTATTAAAATAATATCCTGGTACCTTAGTTTAAGTTATTTCATCTAGGGACGTAAAACTATACTATCAATGAAGTAGAATTTAATTCCAAACATTATAGTATATTTAATATCCTGATTTTTCAATTTAACATCTTCCACTTAGCTTTTTTCATAATTTTTGAAATATTTATGAAAATTTTTATTAGATATCTGAAATATGGATTTGAATTTACAGCAAAGTGAGATATTGGCATTCTGTATTATAGCTGAATTATATTGGATTTATAAGACTTAAAAGAAAAGTGACAAAACCCAAAATGACATAAGGAAAACATTCCTAATTAAAATTTTTTAATTTCTGAATTTTGAATCTCTAAAAATCATAAAATTCTAAGATGTGTAATTGATCTTATGAGGACTTTGTTTAGACTCCTAAGCACAGATATTAGCTGCTGCACATGACAGGAAATTCAGGCACATTAATTGTCTCCTAGAACGACACATTGGCAATCAGAAGAACAAAACAGGTTCTACAGTCACTTCAGTATATCATTTACAATGTGCAAAAGGTTTCAGAGATGCAAACTGAAATGAGAAAGTATGAACAATACTCTGAAAAAAATAAGTTAATAGAAACCGATTCAAGTAGGTCCAGATGTTGGATTTAGCAGCCAAAGACTGCAAAGCCACTATTACAAATACATTCAAAGGCTTAAGAAAAATGTATTCAATGAATTAAAAGAAAACATGGTATCCATTAGTGAAGAGCTATGGAATCTCAGCAGAGAAATAGAAACACTCCAGCCCCCACGGAAATTCTAGAGCTGAAAAGTATAATAAATGAAATGAAAATCATTTAAATGTACTCAACAATTCTGAGATGAAAACAGAACATTTGAACAGAAAATGCAGTGAATTTGAAGATAGATCAAGAGAGAATAGTTAATCAAAAGAACAGGAGCCAAAAAGATTGAAAAATAACCAAAGTCACAGACCTATGTAACATTAAGTAGTTCAACACATGCATAATTTTAGTATTAGATGTAATGAAAAAAAGAACATGACAGAAAAAATATTGAAGAAATGTTGGCCAAAAATTTCTCATTTGATAAAAGCTACTAACTGAGAGATCTGCTAAGCTCAACAAATCCAACTGGGTGAAGCCCAAAGAAAACCAAAGCAAGGAACATTATAGTCAAAACGGTAAAATCAAAGATTAAGAGAAAATCTTGAAAATAAGAGAAAAAAATTATATGCTATATAAACATCTGACTTCCCAACATAAATAGTGGAAATTATCAGACACTGGAATGATAATTCAAAGTGCTGAAGAAGAAAAATCAACAATTCTATATTTAATGAAAGTATCTTTTTAAAATGGAGGCCAAAAATATTTTTCAGATCAACAAAATCTAAGATAATTTGTTGGTAACAGATTTATACTTCAAGATGGACAAGAAGTTCTATCAGCTGATGAGAAATGATGCCAGATGGTAACTCAGGTATACAAGAAATACTGTGATGCGCTGGAAATGGTAAATATGTGGATATTAATCACTATACGTTTTTCTTCTCTGAAAATCTTTAAAAGACATTATTTAAGGCAAAGGTGATACCATTATATTTTTTAGTTTATGACAGAAATTAAATATACATGACAATAGCACAAAAATTGAGTAAACTGTGGAAATGTACGATTTACTAGAAATAACCCAATTTAAATGGTAAGTAAATCATGATATGTTAAAGATGCTTGTTGTCATCCCTATCAAAACCACTCAAAAAATAAATAAAACAGTGGGGAAAAAAAGAGCATAATGGCAAGCCTAGACATGGATGAGCCTGGATACATTAAGTGAAATAAGTCAGCCACAGAAAGATGAATAGTGCATGTTGTCACTCATGTGGAAGCTCAAAGAAGTAGCTCATAGAAGTAGAGTAGAATTGTGGTAATTAAAGGCTGAGTGGGAAGGGTAGGGAGGAGAAGAAGATACGGAGAGGTTGGTTAAGAGATACAAAACTACAGATAAATAGAAGGAATAAGTTATAGTGCTCTCTGGCACTGTAGAGTGAATATTAGTTAACAGTAATTTATCTTTATATGTCAAGAAAGCCAGAACAGAGGATTTTGAATGTTCCTAGCACAAACAGATGGTAAACATTTGTGGTGATGGATATCCTAATTACCCTTATTTGATCATTACACATTGTAATTATGCATTGAAATATCACTCTATACTCCATAAATATGTACAAGTATTACTTGTCAACTAAAACTAAAAGGGGAAAAAACCTAAACATATAACTAACTTAAGACCCAGCAGTTGTATTGGGCATTTTTTCCCAGAAAGGTGGAAAGTTATATTCACACAAAATTCTGTAGAAAAATGTCTATAGCAGCTTTATTTGTAATAGCCTAAACCTGAAACAACCCAGATGTTTTTCGCAAGGTGAATGATTAAATAATAGTGATCTATTCATACCATGGAATACTGCTCAGCAATAGGATCAAACTATTGATACACTCAAGATCCTGGATGAATCTCCAGAGAATTGTTTGAATGAAGAAAAGACAATCCCCAAAGGTTACATACTGTATGATTCCATTTGTATAACTGTCTTCAAATGACAAAATTATAGATATGGATGATTTGTGGTTGCGAGGGGTTAGGGTGGGGTAGGAATATGGGGGGAGTATAGTATGTGTGGCTATACAAGGGATCTCTGTGGTGATGGAAATGCTCTCTATCACCATTCTATCAATGTGAATTATCTGGCTGTGATATTATACAAATGTTGAAGATGTTACCATGGCGGAGGACACTGTCTAAAGACTGTACAAGAGCTACTTGTATTATCTCTCACTTAATGTGGATCTCCAAATGTCTTGAAATAAAAAGTTTTTTTAAAAAAACAAAAGAGCACAATAGCAAGCCTATATCAAACCATATCAGTAATTTCAAAGTGAAAGAGGACTAAATTCTTCCAAACAAAAGGTGGAGATTGGCAAACTGAATACAAGAGCAAAACCTATCTATGGACTGCCTGCAAGAGGTGCATTTTAAATACAGATAGATATGTATATTGGCTGAAGGAAAAAGAATGGAAAAGATATCATGTGAGTAAACATTAGAAAAGCTGAAGTGAAAAATGTATAAATATCAGAGAAGATAGATGTTAAGACAAAGAATATTACTAGAAATGACTATGTTTTATAATGCAAAATAGTTCAGTACAGCAGAAAGATACAATAATTTGAGTGCATATGAACTTAAAAGAGAACTTCAAAATATATGAAGCAAAAATTGACAGAATGCAAAAGGCAACAAACAAGATTAAAATGGAATTATAAAAATCACTCAATCCAAAATAAGGCAGAAGAAGTGGAAAAGGGAGATGAAGATCAGATGGAACAAAGAGAAAACACCGAGAAGACAGACTTAAATCTAACCATATTAATTATGACATTAAGTGTAAATGGACTTGTGGTAGGTAGGCTGAATAATGAGCCCCCCATGATGGCCATGTCCTAATTCCCAGAAATTGTGAATTACGTTACTCACATGGAAAAAGGAAATTTACAAATGTGATTAAATTAATGCTCATGAGATGTGGATATTATCCTTATTATCCAGGTAGGACAAATGTAATCACAAAGTCTTTATAAGGAGGAGGCAAAAGAGTAAGAGATCAAAAAGGCGATGTGATGGTAGAAGCAGAAGTTGGAGTGATATAAGGCCACAAGCCAAGGAAGGAGGCCAGCTTCTAGGGCTGGAAAAGGCAAGGAAGTGGATTTTCTTCTAGAGCCTCCTGAAGGATTGGAGCCCTGCCAATACCGTGATTTTAGACTTATGAGCTCCAGAATTTGAAAGAGAATAAATATATGTTGCTTTAAGCAACTGTTTGTGGTAATTTGTTATAGCAGCAATAGGAAACGAATATAGCTCTAAACACCACAAATGAAAACCAAGAATTGTCAGATTGCATAGCAAAGCAAGACCCTACTATAGGCTACTTTCAAGAAATTTACTTAAATATAAAGAAACGAAGAGGTTAAAAGTTAACAGATAGGAAAAGGACATGTGATGCTACTACTAGTCAGTGAAAGCTGGGGTGGCTGTAATAACATCAAAGTACATTTGAATGCTAAGAATATTATCAAGGTTAAACAAGGAATTTTAAATGAAGAAGGGATCTATATTTCAAGAGGATGTAGCAACTCTGAACATTTATGCACTTAGATAAGAGAGCTTCAAAAATATGAAACACAACTGATAGAACTTTAGGAAAAAATAGACAAATCTACAGTATAGTTAGAAATTTTAATAGCCATGTCTAAATAATTTGTAGAACAAATAAAAAGAAATTTGGCAAGAATGTGGAAGACTTGAATGACGCCATCAACCAATATGACCTAATTGACATTTATAGTACACACCACCCTAGAACAGCAAAATAGACATTCAAGCACACGCAGACTATTTATCAAAAAAGACCATTTTCTAGGCCACAAAGCAAGTATTGACACATTTAAAATACTTTAGATCATGTAAAGTACAATCTCTGACTACAATGAAATTAAATTAGAAATCAGTAACAGAATTCTATATGGAAATTCCCTCAAATGTTTAGAAACTAAGTAATACACTCAGATAATACATGGTCAAGAAGAAACAAAAGGAGGGTTAGTTTCAACGTATGTTGACCTAAGGGAAAATGAGAACACCATCCCGCTATTTGTGGGATGCAGATACAGCAGTAAGAGATTTGTTTTTATGTTGAATGCCCATAATAGAAAAAGAAGAAAGGCCTCATATCGGTCACTCAGCTTCGCCTTAAGGAACTAGAAAAAAAAGAATAACTAAACTCCAAAGTAAGGAGAAGAAAAGAAAGCATAAAGATCAGAATCAAAATCAGTGTGTATTTCCTCCCAAAACAGGGAAAAGTCAGTAAAACCAAACACTGATTCTTGAGAAGATTAATAAAATTGATAAATTCCTACCCAAACTAAAAGATTGAAGACAGAAATTACTAGTATCAGGAATAAGAAAGATTTTATCACTACAGGAATCTGAAGAAATGAAAAGGATAATGAGGGAATTTTAGGAACAACTTTATTCCACTAAGTAGGACAAAATAGATAAAATGGACAAGTTCCTTGAAAGGTGCAAAATCAAAGCTCACTTAAGAAATAGAAAATCTTATATCTATTACCTTATTATGAATGACCTTGTATCTATTAATAAAATTATATTTGTAGTAAAAAGAATTGTCACAAAGAAAACTTTAAGACAGATATCTTCACTGGAAATAATTCCAATTCTACAAACTATTCCAGAAAATTCAAAAGGAGGGATTACTTCCCAACTGGTTCTGTGAGGTCAGCATTATCCTGATACCAACATGAGAGAAACATTACAATAAAAGGAAACAACCAATCAAAATTTATCATGAACACATATGTGAAATTTTTAAGTAAAATTGCAACAAATGAATCCAGCAATATATTAAAGAAAGACAATATATAATGTGCAAGTGGAGTTTATCCCAGGAATGCAAAGTTGTCTCACTATTTGAAAACCAATCAGGTGAATTCACCATAGTAACAAACTGAAAAAGAAAGACCGCATCATCACGCATCATCCTCTCAGTACATTCAGGAAAAAGTATTTGACACAATTCAGTATCCATAACTGATTAAAAACCCTCAGCAAACTAGGAGTAGAAGGTAACTTGCTACTAAGAATCTAAGAATATAAAATTTCTAGGAGAAAATATGGAAGAAAATTATTGTAACCTTGGATTAGGCTAAGATTTCTCAGATACAGTAACATAATCATGATCCACAAGAGAACACATTGATAAATAGGACTTCATTAAAACTGTAAACCTCTGCTTTTTTATAAACAGTGTTAGGAAGAATTAAAAGATAAACCACAGTCTGGGAGAAAATATTTTCAAAGCCTATGTCTGATAAAGGACTTTCTCTAGATGTATTAAAAACTCTCAAAACCCAATAATAAGAAAACAACCCAATTAAAAATGGACAAAACAGGCCGGGTGCAGTAGTTGGCTCACACCTGTAATCCCAGGATTTTGGGAGGCTGAGGCGGGTGGATCACCTGAGGTCAGGAGTTCGAGATCAGCCTGGCCAACATGGCTAAACCCCATCTCTACTAAAAATACAAAAAGTTAGTTAGCCAGGCGTGATGGTGGGGGCATATAATCCCAGCTACTCGGGAGGCTGAAGCAGGATAATTACTTGAACCCAGGAGACGGAGGTTGCAGTGAGCCGAGATTGTGCCGTTGCACTCCACTCGGCGACAGAGCAAGACCTTGTCTCAGGAAAAAAAAAAAAAAAAAAGGACAAAAAGACAGATGGCAAATAATCACACAAAAAGATGCTTGATGTTACTAGTGATTTGTGAAATGCAAATGAAAATTACAGTGAGATGTAACTAAACACTTAATAAAATAGCTATAATTGAAAAAAAAACTGCCAAGTGTTGCTGACACTATGGAGGACTTAGAACTCTCATACACCAGTGGTGCAAAAGTAATATGGTACAACCACTCTGCAAGACAGTTTAGCAATTTTAGAAAAAGTTAAACATACAACTACTGTATTTATTAAAATAAAAGAAAGCATATATCCATCCCAGTAATTGTACACAAATGTTCATAGCACTTTATTTTCTGTATTAGCCCCAAACTGGAAACAATCCGCTTATTTATCAGCAGATGAATGTATAAACACACTATTAGAATATCCAAACAATGTAAATATTACTAATAAAAATGAACGGACTATTGTTACAGCAATATGGATGGATCTCAAAATAATTCTACTGAGGACAAGAAGCCAGACAAAAAAGAAAGCACACAATAATTAGAATTACAAAAGGGCAGAAGTAAACTTTTGGGAGAGATGGATATGTTCATGATTTTTATTGTGGCTGCTGTTTTACAAGTATATACCTATGTTAATATGTATCCAAGTGGATACTAAATATGTGCAGCTTATTGAGTAATTATTGAGCAATTACGCCTTAATACATCTGCTAAAAAAAATCTGGCAGACTTTTACCCAGAATATACAAAGAACTCTCACACCTCAATAAGAATCAACACAAAATTTGGCAAAATATTTGAATAGAAATTTCACCAAAGAAGATATTTTGAATCATCCATAACCATACTATAATGATTAAAATTACAAAAACTGATACAACTTAAACTCTCATGCATTGTTGGTGGAAATGGAAAATGGTGCATCTACTCTGGAAAACAGTTTTGAACTTGCTTATAAAGATAAATCCACACTTAATCATACATAACCATGCAACCCAGCAATTCCACTCCTAGGTGTTTCCCTAAGAGAAATGATAACATATGTCCACAAAAAGCCTTGTCCATGAATGTTTATAGTGGCATTGTTCATGGTCACCAAAAACTCAAAACATCTCAAATGTTCATTAACTTGCAAATGGATAAACAAATTGTGTTCTCTATATACAATGAAATATTATTTAGCAACAAAAAGGAAGGAACTACTGAACCACAACAGAAGTTGTAGGAACTACAGCTCAGATATGAGTATCAAAAACATGCTATGGTAAAGAAGCCAAAAATGAAAAGACTACATAATATATTTATATGAAATTCTAGAAAAAGAAAACTATAGCGCAGAAAGTACAGTAGTTGCCTGAGGCCATGTTTGGGGAAGATGGTAGATTGCAAAAGGGCACAGGGAACTTGTGGGAGTGATGGAAATTTTCTGTATTACGATTGTGGTAGTGCTTACACATCTATACACATTTGCCCATACCTGGCAAACTTTACACATAAAATAGGTGAAGTTTTATTGTGTATAACTTATACTTCAATATAGATGTTAAAAAATTAGAAATCAATTTTGTCTGACTCCTTCCCTTTAATGACTGCCATCCAGGATTACTCTCTAGGGAGGAAAGTGTCTCATTTAGCCCAGTCATAGAGCCACCCAAAATGGGAAAGCATTGAAGAAAACAAATTGCCATAAGAGTCTCCTGTCCCTGCCTTGGATCATTTCATGCTAATCCAAGGCAGTTTATGCTAAAAAATGTTAAATTTATCAGGAATTCGATTAGGTTTTAATTTGTCTATTTTACTACAAATGGGCCTTATGTTTAGATGGTGATGGCACTTGGAAATTATATTTATGTTTGTTTCATCTTGAAAGTGTGCTTTTACATATATATTTATGAATGTATATTGAAGCTTTATTATTAGGATATGTCTTTCATTTGGTTAAATGAGATGTGAAAATGCAACATGCTTAATTTCATTCTATTTTTTAAATTTCTAAACATTGAAATTGTTTTTTGAAATGACGCTTTAAAATATTTAACTTATGAAATAAATTTGTCTCTGAAAATCTAGATGTTGTGTTATGTATCTATTTTCTCTAGACAGGAATACATTTCTAATATGGATATATATGTCTGTCTTTTTTCAGGCCTGGTTGCAGTATGCTTGAAATCTGTGATGTGGAAGACCCTTCCAATGCAGCTAACCCTCCCTTATGTAGCGTCCTGCTCAAAGATGCCAGGCCTTACTTCACCACAGTATTTCAGAATAGTGTGTACAGAGTATTGAGGGTTAACTGAGAAGGAAACTACCCATTACACTATGGCACAATGTGGTGTGTCAAAAACAATCACCCTTTGGCTTATTTACATTAATAAAAATCACAAGCTTTAATAACAGACACTTAAAAATAAGATAAAAATGGATTGAAAGTTTCTCTGATTACTAAAAGGTAAATTACTTTTCTGTTCATTGAATGTCAGCCTTATTAAGCTTGTCATATAAGTTATTAAATCATTCATGTCATACTGCATAAACAAATGTTCATTTCAGAATTTTAAAGAAAAATGTATATAAAAGAACAATGAATTTTAATAAATCAAGGGTACGTAAGTCCTTTTTCATCCAACTAGGTGAATTGCTTCAGATTTTCCCTAGTACCAGAGTGTACCTGCTCAAACTCTTTGAACCACTTAAGGGAGAAGAACGCAAGCTCTGAAATGACATCCTTAAAATGCTGATACTGATCACAACCTCTTTACCTCTGTGAGCAAATTGTAACAGTGTGTCTTTTAAGGTGTTTTTATTTCACCAGCCCTTAAGAAAGATCTCTAATACCTTTTAATACTTTTTTTTTATAATTTCAAGTTGAAGTGTTTTTAAAAACACCTTGTTTTGTAACGTTTTGAATCTCTTGAGATGTATTTACCCCACTAGATACATATTTGCCACTGGTTAGTTCTCCATCTAAGCTCAAGAGGTTATTCATCTCTCTTTAGATTCCAATGGTTTTTCTTTTAACATCCAGGTAAAATAGAAACTGCTATGGTATACAACCAAATTTTGGGGTTAAACATAATCAGAAAAGAAAATCCAGTTAAATTTATGAAGTGAGATTTTCAGATCCTAGATCTTGAATAAAGCAAACGGCTTTTCATCTTGATGGCCCCAAAGCTTGTTGGTCATGGTCTTTATTTCTGGCCACTATCATCTTCTTAAATAATATATTTTTAAGCCCTCATTTATTTTTGGTTTTGGATGAGGAAAGTCATGTTTTCTAAGTCCTCTCCCCTAATAAAACCTACCCAACAATAGTGCTTTGAAAAGTGGTAGTTATCTTGAAGATAGATACTCTTGCCAAATGCAAAGATAAACATTCTTTTTGTCTGCTTTATAAATATGAAATATGCCAGATCTATAGTATTTTAATGTGCATCTACTTTAAATGAGTCATCTTGGGGTTTTTATAATTCCCTTACATTCTTGCCCCTCTACACTTGAAATAACAAAATGCCTTAATTTTATAGATTAGTTCTCTTATAGCAGACAGGCAGCTATATGCAGCAAAACCAATAAAGTTATTTTTCAACTTTAATAGTTGTAAAATGTTATAACAGAATACATAACAGCTAAGAAAACATGCCACATTTTATTTTAGCATTTTCAAATAATTTGTTTTTGGTGTAAGCACAGGATAAAAAAGGAGAGCGTCAAAGAAAAGAGACTTAAAAAAATAACATTCATAAAAATTAACAAAGTATATTTTGGATGATGTTTTTACAGGAAATAGTTTAAGTTGGTAGAATTTTTAAAATGGTACTGTATTAGCTAATAAAATATTCAGTACATATATATGTTTGGATTTATGCATTAAAAAACTAATAAAATTATTTCCAACTTTTGTATTTGTAAATTATTTTGGTACAGGAGACAAAGCATCTAAGAAAGCATGCCGCACATTTTACTTATTTTAGCATTTTCAAATAATCTGTTTCAGTGATGTGTGGGACAAAAAAGGAAAAGAGACGTAACACCTAACATAAAATTAAAGTAACACATTTCAGATGATGTTACAGTAGCAAAGACTTGTAACTAACCCAAATACCCATCAATGATAGACTGGATAAAGAAAATGTGTCACATACACACCATGGAATACTATGCAGCCATAAAAAAGGATGAGTTCATGTCCTTTGCAGGGACGTGGATGAAGCTGGAAGCCATCGTTCTCAGCAAACTAACACAAGATCAGAAAACCAAACACCATATGTTCTCACTCATAAGTGGGAGTTGAACAATGAGAACACATGGACACAGAGAGGGGAACATCACACAAGGGCCTGTTGGTGGGGGGCAAGGGGAGGGAGAGCATTAGGACAAATACCTAATGCATGCAGGACTTAAACCCTAAATGACGGGTCGATAGGTGCAGCAAACCACCATGGCACATGTATACCTATGTAACAAACCTGCATGTTTTGCACATGTATCCCAGAACTTAAAGTAAAATAAATTTTAAAAAGTCAGTAGAACTCAACAAAAAATGGATGAGCTGTACTAATAAAATGTTCCATACACATACGATGTTTTCATATATATTTATGTTATTTTCATGTACTAGCTGTGTTAAGTAACTGTAAAGCCCTTGAAGATCCTGTTTTCTGTCTTTTCTCATCCTTCACAATGCATACATTTTGAAATTGAAATTGTTCTCATATAAAGGGAGAAATAGGTTGCTGGGCTTACTAGCCATGTTTACACTGGCAGTGCTCTTTCTTAGCCATTTAAAAATGATTCTGTATAGTCTTACACAGAAGGCAATATACTATGATGGAAATAGTGTGAGCTGTGCAATGAGATGTATCGAAGTTTGAATACTGCTTCCATTAGTTAGGTACCTACCATGTATTCAAAAGATATTCATTAAACACTTACTGTATGTCAGGCACCATGCTATGGTTGGTCATGTTACTTAACTCCATGAGCTTTCTTCACCTGTAAAGCAGAACTCACAATACCTACTTGGCGGAGTCATTATGAGGATTAGTGAAACAAAGTTTTGAAGTACCTGGCACATAAAGGCACTCAACAAACATTAGTTTCTTCTGCACTACCCACTACAACTCACTAATAACCATTTCAGTAATATCAAGTTGCAGAGTGAGGTTAGCTCATTTCAGAATTCCAAATAGTCTCCCCTTTATTTGATGTCAACAAATAGGAGTACTGGGCTGCAGCTTGTTCTTATACAAATTGTTCTACTGAATTCTTGCCTGTATAAATTTTATTTTTTATTCTTTTGAAACATGAGGAGATTTTCACTTAATTCAATGAAGCTTTTTCCATAGTTTCTAGGATCCTATGTTTGCACACTAATCTGCAACTATGGCTAGAAGTGAGGTGCACACAAGCTGCAACAATTCCTTCATCTGCTTCATCCGGTTGTCAGAAGCAAATGCACAGCTTCAACAGTATCTGTGTTCTACCACTTTGCTGCTGATAGACACCAAAAATCTGAGTACTTTAATAATAAAATTATGTTTATATTTTTATACATTACATGTTCCTATTATACACGAAGGACAAACTCACAGAAAAATTAGTTTTGAAAAAAACAGGACATTTTAAAGAAGGGGACAATTATATATATACATACACATAGCAGCAAAAATGGCAATAGCTCAAAAGTGGTTAAGATATACATACAGACACTGCAATGAACATCTTAGTGCATACTTTATGATTTTAAAGTTATTTCCATAGGAAAGATTTCATAAAGTTAAATTTCCTTAAAAAAACTGTGGACACCCTTAAAGCCTTCAATGCAGTTAGCCTCAAATTACCTTTGCAAAGGTATGTGTGCACCTTTTGGATTGTATGCACCACCAAAAGTTAGTGTGTATAACAATGCTCATTTTACAACACTCTCACTGGGATTAATTAGCCTTATTAAGAATATATTTTGCTAATTTGTGAGGCCCAAAATAGTATTTGTTATTATTCTCATTTGTATTTGTTCTATGTCCAGAAAAACTCACCATATTCTTTAGAAAGTGTATGTCTCTGAAGCTCTGTATGGGTTCATATTCTTTAATTCATCGAGTCTGTTCATAAAGGATGGGGATTGAGATAAGGGGAAAGAAAAATCTTTGAAAATTCTTAATAAGAGAAATATAAGGACATTTTCAAAAGGACAGGTATATATATATAACTTCATGCACAAAAGTCAAATTTAAATGGGTCAAGGACTTAAATGAAAGTAAAATGTTTAAAGTCTTAGAAGAAAATAGGGAAATACAGATTAAAACCACATGGTAATATTTACATTCAGATAAGAATTGGTGAGGACAGGGTGCCACAAGAACTCTCATGAAATTATAGTAGGAGTGTAAATTGGTACAGCCACCTTAGAAAATAAGTTGTTAATTCCTAATAAGTTTTAAAGTATGTAGTCTCTGCAATTTATAGTGTCACCCTAAAGAAATGTTGTTACAAATATACCAAGGAAACCAATTACAAGAATCTTCATGGAAGCATTATTTGTACCTGAGGAAAAAAAGCTGAAAACAACTCAAAGGCCCACCAACAGAATGGATAAAATGGATATTTCCATACAACGTAATATTGTAAAGGAATGAATGTGATCTACAGTGACAAGCATCAGTGGGAACCAATGTCAAATAGACTGTTAAAAAACTAAGTCATCAAAGGGGATGTGTGTGCATGTCAATATATATGCCATTTACATAGGGCCTAAAAGCAAACAAGACAATATTATAGAAGATATAGTGTGGCAAAACAGCGAAAGCATAGGCATAATTAATTCAAAACATAGGCTGGTGATCACTTCTAGGAAAGAATGCAATACAGGAGAAGCCCTGGGTGCTTCAATGTTAATATTCAATTCCTTGGTGTTAAGTATACAAGTGTTCATTTTATAATTCTTTAAAATGTGTGTGTATATATGTATATAATGCTTAATATATATTTATACTCTTCAAAGTAGGGCTTTGATTCCTCATCAGTGGTTCTTAAACCTCATGTTCTCTTTAGGTAACTCTGGGAGCCTAAATAAGCATCAAGAGTTGTTCTGATGACACGTCCAGCTATTCAAATAAATGTTCAAATTGTAGATTTTATTGTTTCCATTTGTGCAATGTATTTTTTTCCTTCCAACTTCTATTTTAGGTGCAGGAGTACATTTGCAGGTTTGTTATATAGGTAAATTGCATGTCATGGGGTTTGGTGTACAGATTATTTTGTCACCCAGGTAATAAGCATCGTACCTGATAGGTATTTTCTCAGTCCTCGCTCTCCTCCAACCCTCCACCCTCAAGTAGGCCCTGGTGCCTATTATTCCCTTCTTTTTGTCCATGTGGGCTCAGTGTTTAGCTCCTACTTATAGGGAGCACATACAGTATTTGGTTTTCTGTTCTGTGTTAGTTCACTTAGGATACTGGCCTCCAGCTCCATCCATGTTGCTGCAGAGGATGTGATCTCATTTTTTTATATGGCTGTACAGTATTCCATGGTATATATGTACCACATTTTCTTTATCCATTCTGCCATTGATGAGCATTTAGGTTGATTCCATGTCTTTGCTATTGTGAATAATGCTGCAATGAACATACATGTATATGTGTTTTTATGGTAGAACAATTTATATTCCTTTGGGTATATATCCAGTAATGGGATTGCTGGGTTGAATGATAGCTCTATTTTGAATTCTTTGAAAAATCTCCAAACTGCTTTCCACAGTGGCCAAACTGGTTTACATTTCCACCAGCAGTGTATAAGTGTTCTCTTCTCCACAACTTCACCAGCATCTTTTTTTTTTTTTTTTTTTTTTTTTACTTTTTCATCATAGCTATTCTGACTGGTGTGAGATGGTATCTTACTGTGGTCTTGATTTGCATTTCTCTAATGATTAGTGATGGTGAACATTTTTTCATATGCTTGTTGCCTACATGCACGTCTTCTTTTGAGAAGTGTCTGTTCACACTTTTTGCCCATTTTTAATGAGGTTGTTTGTTTTTGCTTGTTGATTTAAGTTCCTTATAGGTGCTGGATATTAGACCTTTGTCAGATGCATAGCTTGCAGGTGTTTTCCTCCATTCTGTAGGTTGTATGTTTACTCTGTTGATAGTTTCTTTTACTGTGCAGAAGCTCTTTAGTTTTATTAGATCCCATTTGTCAATTTTCGTTTTTGCCGCAATTGCTCTTGGCATCTTCATCATGAAGTCTTTGCCAAGGCATATGTCCATGGCCTTTCTTGTTTTCTTCTAGGGTTTTGATAGTTTTAAGTTTTACATTCAAATCTTTCATCCATCTTGAGTTGATTTTTGTATATGGTGTAAGGAAAGAGTGGTACGGTGTCTTAAAAATTACCAGATTGTGTTTCATAGGATTTTGAAAAAAAGATGTCATTCATAGAAATTGCATTAAAATTCACATCTCTCAGGATGTGTTTCTTCATCTGTACATAGGTGATAATACCTACCTCATAGAATTACGAGGATCAAGCCAAGTGTTCCATGTCAATGTGCATTATTAAGGGCTACACATGTGATCCACTTTAATACCACCAGACAATAGGCCAACTTTGAATTGGATGTTAATAAAAAAGCTATGATGTATTCATAATCCAAAAGAGCAAATAAGATTATTTATATTTGACTTAGAATAATTTTTTGAGGAGCTTTTGCAGCTACTGACTTCTTTAGTATGCTTGCCTGAGATTAAAATAGATATTGACTTCCTTATTGTGCTTTTCTGAGATTAAAATTCTTTCATATCCTTTGAGCCCATATAGATAATGGCTTTTACTTTTAAAATTTTCTTCCAAGAGATACATATAACTCATATGTAAATATTGAGATTATTCAGATGAAGCTGCAAAGCCAGTTCACAGACTATACTGGATTGAATCATATCCAAGAACCTATGAATTTTATTTAAAAAGCACCTCAGCTATTGAAAAGAGCAAGACTGTTTACACAGCTTCATACAGACCTAAGAAATACAATGGAGATCATACATGAGAGTTATTTCTTTAACAAGGATGGTGTGGCAGCCACAAAAGTACACCACCTTTAGGGTACTCCTCTGAGAACCTGCTGTCCAGCTGCAGGGAGCAGAGGTAACTGACAGCCTTCAACTGTAGCGCCATCAGCATGTGCATGGCATTCACTCTGGGTCACATTCTTCCTGGGTAACCCCCAGCCAATGACTGAGCAAGGAAGATATACTAGTCTGTTCTCACATTGCTATAAGGAAATACCCAAAACTGGGTAATTTATAAAGGTAAGAGGTTTAATTGACTCACAGTTCAGCATGGCTGGGGAGGCCTGAGGAAACTTACAATCATGGCAGAAGGTGAAGGGGAAGCAAGCCACCTTCTTCACAAGGTGGCAGGAGGGAGAAATGAGCGCAGGAGAAACTACCAAACACTTACAAAATCATCAGCTCTCGTGAGAACTCACTACCACGAGAACAGCATGGGAGAAAACACCCCCATGATTCAATTACATCCACCTGGCCTCTCCCTTGACATGTGGGTATTATGGGGATTACAATTCAAGATGAGATTTTGGGTGGGGACAGAGCCAAACCAGATGAGAAGGGTACTGTAGGGCCTGGCTGTTTCAGCCCAATGCTGAACTGCTTCATCAGGCAATCTTTGCTCTGAAGCTGCTCACTGAGCAAGCCAAGCCCTGGTCAGCCGTCCTTTGCAGCTGGAGGCTCTCCCGCTTTCTTCCTCTTTCATAGATGTCAACGGGCCTCACAGCTGAAGGCTTTACCCACCCAGTCCTGCTCCCCATCCTCTAACAGCTATGACACCTTCCTAGTTTCACCCCTTCACCCGTTCCAGTTTTACATAAGTTTTCCTCACTACACAGAGATGGTGTGGTGCCACCAAGATCATTATTCATTTTACAACCTTACTGGGATCCCCTGATGATATCCCTCTGAGACTGCAGCACAGTAGACCCTGGCAGAAGACAGGACCCTGTACCTATAAGATGCCTTTTCTATCTCACAGATCCAAACCATTGTCAGATTTTAGAGTTCCTAGTATGGAGAAAAGTCCCTTGGGAACAGTAGAGCCTGGATTGAACTCTTTTAAAATAAGTAGGAGGTAGGCGCTTGTGGTCCCAGCTACTCGGGAAGCTGAGGCAGGAGGATCGCTGGAGCCCAGGATGCAGAGAAACACGATTGCGCCACTGCACTGCAGCGTGGGCAACAGAGTGAGACTGTCTCAAGAGAAAAAAAAAAAGTGAGTGTGCAAAATGTTCATTTTATGTATACTTAGTGCCATCTGCTGGCTATGAAATATGATAGCATTTGTCATGAAATTACAAAAAGTGTTAAGGTGCTAGTTTGCACGTTTTCATGGAAAATGGGAGAAAGCAAGAGAACTCAAGGACATGCACTACATTTTAGTTTTGTTTGAGTTGTGATGATCTCAGTGGCTCTTCTCTCCCTCACCCACCCACCTCTCCTATTTGTTCAATCTCTCTCCCTCCTCTGGTGCCTTAAAAGGGTCTCCATGCTTTGCATCCCTCCTCCACTCCACGATCAGGGACCCGCCCGGCATCACACGTTCTGCTTCAGCAACAATGAATTGCTGGAAATTTCCAGCAACTCTTTTTCCTGCCAGTGCTCACACTGTACCCTTGCCTGTTAAGGTCTTACATGTCTTCCTCCCACACCCCTGCCTCTCACCTGCTCAGATGTCCCCTCCTGCCAGCAGCCAGTCCTGACCATCCCCTCTGTGCTCTGCTAATGCCACTCCACCTGTCACATAGTTCGATCATTTAAAAATGATCTGTTTTCCTTTGAAGTCTTTCATTGAACTCTGAATTACTTAATAAAAGGGTTTGTATATTATTTATTCCTGTTTTCCACCCGACACCGTACCTGGAACATAGCAGATGCTCAGCAAACATTGCACAAAAGAATAATGTGGAAAATAAATGGTTAAAACATAGAAAAATTTTAAAGATAGGGTATTTGGGTCACTTTTACTGTTTTCTGTCCCTACAATATGGCTGAATCATCCCCCATATGGCTCAACATTTTCTTAGTTCTTTTAAAAGTACCCAACACTATATTGAGTGCTCTGGGGATCAAAATAATAGTATATATATTAAGGCTGGGTTTGAATCCCTGCTCTACCATTTACTAGCTGGGCAATTTATATAACACTTTAAAATTTCATCATCTGTAAAGTGGAAATATTAAAGGTATCTTCTTCAAAAGTGACATTTGGAAAAAAAAATAAAGTAATACATGTAAAGCATATGAGATTCAGTAAGCACTGGGTTAGTGGTGAGTTGTTTTTGTTGTTATTGCTAAGACCCAGGAACCCATTGTTTGAAGATCAGCATAGAGCACTTACTGGTTGGGTGGGATTTCTGTTCTCTACTCAATGGTTTGTTTATTCTTTAGAGACTGTCCCCTCTAGAGTCTATTATTAATATTTTCTTATGCCAATTTATGGGAGTTTTACTATTGTGCTGTTTCTCTAATAATAGCTAATTTATATCTTTAATTTTTAAAAGCCATTATGCTGGAAACAGAACATTCATACAAACAATACATGAATGAATGTAGGTTATACTGCAAAATAGCTGGTTACTATAATGTAGTGGTATTCCATGGCTTTAAGTTTAAAAATAACTTCACATTTACTAGAGTGGACTTACCCTCCAGGCATAAAATTTTAAAACCCAACAACTCCAGGCCTCCAGAGTCTTTACTTCCCACTAACTTCTCACCAGTGAAGGCGAAGCTAATGAAAAAGGATAGATGACTGCTTCTCAATTGGAAATGGATCCAAATACCATCAAGGGAATTGGTGTTGGGTATACAGATTTTACCTACTGTCACAGGCTGGCTGGGTGGAGGATGGGGAAGGTGGTGGTATCGGTCTACTTTTAGAGTTTTAAATGTTTCTCTGAATTCCTGTAGCAGATAATTTTGAGAAAATTTTGCCTAGAGAAAGAGTCTGAAACCAAAAAGCTAATCAGAAGCAAAGGTTTGCAGCTTGGATCTTTAACATTAATAAGTCTATTGCTTTTTCCTACCTCCCACTCCTGCTACCTGAAGAAGGTGAGTAGGAGGGGAGGGATTTTGAAAGAAGAGGGATGTGGAGGGAAAAGGACATAAGTGGTGGTTGGGTAGATGACAGATAGTGGTTGTCTGCCTGCCACCCATCTAGGTATGTCTCCACGGGTGGCCTCTGCTTTTGCCCACAGGGGACTCATTCACGCACAAAGGAAGATGACAGACAATTGGCCAGAACATAGAGCACTGAAATGAAACACAAAGGCCACTCTTGGGCCTCTGTGTTTCATCACAATTATGTTAGTTTGCTAGGGTGCCATCATCAAGTACCACAGACAGGTGTCGGAGATCAAGGTATCTATCAGGAGGGTTAGTATCTTCTGGGATCTTTCCTCTTGATTTGCAGATAAGTGTTTTCTCCCTGTGTCTTCACATGATCTTTCCTCTATGCCTGTTGTGTCCTAATCTCCTTTTCATATAAATTCACAGTTGAGCACATAACTCGTATTTAATACCATATGTTGGAATAAAAAGCCTTATAGCAATGCATAGGATAGAAATTCTTTTCTTTAAAACTTAGTTTGAGTATTTTGCAGTAATGAAAAATGGTCCTGACATACAGAATGCCATCTAGCTTACACCTGCATGGGGCATGCATGGCATGAGGCATGCAGAAGAAAAAGATGAGCAATCCTTACCTGAAAAGAGACCACCCTCTCCTTTAATGGGAGGGGAAATTAAAGAATAATTTAATGGGAGGGGAAATTAAAGAATAATGCCCATAGTTTGCTGCAAACACTATTGCTCAATTTAATACTGTAATGGAATCTACAATGTGTGTACAATCATTGTTAACTATACCTTTATTATCTTTATAATGTTGAGGTAAAGAGCTTTCTGCTATTATGCATTAATAACTCCATCCCTAATGCCATCATGGTTCTAGTGTCCAGGGAAGGAGTCTGTATTAGTCTGCTTTCACACTGATATAAAGAATGCCAACAGAGACTGGGTAATTTATAAAGAAAGGAGGTTTAATTGACTCACAGTTCTGCATGGCTGGGGGGCCCTCAGGAAATTCACAATCATGGTGGAAGACAAGGCACATCTTACACAGCAGCAGGTGAGACAGAGAGAGAGAGAGAGAGAGAGAGAGAGAACGAACCAGGAAGTGCCACACTTTAAAACCATCAGCTCTCATGAGAACTCACTCACTATCATGAGAACAGCATGGGGGAAACCACCTCCATGATCCAATCACTTCCCACCAGGTTCCTCCCTTGACATCTGAGGATTACAATTTGAAATGAGATTTTGGTGGGGACACAGAGACAAACCATATTATTTCACCCCTGGCCCCTCCAAAATTTCATGTCCCTTTCAAGTTTCAAAACCAACCATTCCCTCCCAAGAGTCTTAAAGTCTTAACTCATTCCAGTATTAACCTGAAAGTCCAAGTCCAGAGTCTCATCTAAGACAAGGCAAGTTCCTTCTACCTATGAGTCTGTAAAATCAAAAGCAAGTTAGTTACTTCCAAGATACAATAGGGGGCCAGGTGCAGTGGCTCACACCTGTGATCCCAGCACTTTGGGAGGCCGAGGCAGGTGGATCACCTGAGGTCAGGAGTTCAAGACCAGCCTACCCAACATGGTGAAACCCCATCTCTACTAAAGATACAAAAATTAGCTGGGTGTGGTGGCCGGCGCTTATAGTCCCAGCTACTTAGGAGGCTGAGGCAGGAGAACTGCTTGAATGTGGGAGTTAGAGGTTGCAGTGAACCGAGATCACACCAGTGCACTCCAGCCTGGGTGACAGAGGGAGACTCCATCTCAAAAAGAAAAAAAAAGATACAGTAGCGGTACAGCCATTGGGTAAGTATTCCCATCCAAATGGGAGAAATTGGCCAAAATAAAGGGCCCACAGGCCACATGAAAATCTAAAACCCAGCCGGGCAGTCATTAAATCTTAAAGCTCCAAAATGATCTCCTTTGACTCCATGTCTCACCCAGGGCACGCTAATGCAAGGGGTGGGTTCCCATGGCCTTGGGCAGCTCCACCCCTGTGGCTTAGCAGGGTACAGCCCCTCCAGCTGCTTTCATGGGATGGCATTGAATGCCTGTGGCTTTTTCAGGTGCAAGGTGCAAGCTGTTGGTGGATCTACCTTTCTGGGGTCTGGAGGATAGTAGCCCTTTTCTCACAGCTCCACAAGGCAGTACCTCAGTGGAGACTCTGTATGGGCGCTCCAACCCCACATTTCCCTTCTGCACTGCCTAACAGAGGTTCTCTATAAGGGCTCCACCCCTCTAGCAGACTTCTGCCTGCTTTTCCACACATCCTCTGAAATCCAGATGGAGGTTCTGAAAGCTCAACTCTTGTCTTCTGAATACTCACAGGCCCAACATCATGTGGAAGCTGCCAAGGTTTTGGGGCTTGCATTCTCTGAAGCAATGCCCTGAGCTGTACCTTGGCCCCTCTTAGCCACAGCTGGAGCTGGAGTGGCTGGGATGCAGGACGCCATGTCCCAAGGCTGCACAGAGCAGCAGGGCCCAGGGCCCTGAGGACATTTTCCCTCTTAGGCTTTTGGGCCTGTGATGGGATGGGCTACTTTGAAGATCTCTGAAATGCCCTGGAGACATTTATCCCATTGTCTTGGTGATTAACATTTGGCTCCTTGTTACTTATGCAAATTTCTGCAGCTGGCTTGAATTTCTTCCCAGAAAAATTTCTACCACATAGTCAGGCTGTACATTTTCCAAATCTTTATGCTCTGCTTCCCTTTTAAATGTAAGTTCCAATTTCAAACCATCTCTTTGTGAGCGCATGTAACTGAACGCTTTCAGAATCAACCAGATTACCTCTTGAATGCTTTGCTGCTTAGAAATTTCTTCTGCCAGACACCCTAAATCATCTCTCTTAAGTTCAAAGTTCCATAGATCTCCGGAGCAGGTGCAAAATGCTGCCAGGCTCTTTGCTAAAGCATAGTAAGAGTGACCTTTACTCCAGCTCCCAATAGGTTCCTCATTTCCATCTGAGACCATCTCAGCCCGGACTTCATTGTCTATATCATATATCACTATTAGCATTTTGGTCAAAACAATTCAACAAGTCTGTAGGAAGTTCCAAACTTTCATTCATCCTCTTGTCTTCATCTGAGCCTTCCAAACTGTTCCAACTTCTGCCTGTTATCCAGTTCCAAAGTTGCTTCCACGTTCTCAAGTTATCTTTATAGCAGTACCACACTACCTTGGTACCAATTCTCTGTTTTAGTCCGTTTTCACACTGCTATGAAGAATACCACCAGAGACTGAGTATTTATAAAGAAAGGAGGTTTAATTGACTCATAGTTCTGCATGGCTGGGGAGGCCTCAGGAAACTTACAATCATGGTAGAAGGTGAAGGGGAAGCAAGGCACATCTTACCTGCGGCAGGCAACAGAGAGAGAGAGAGAGACTGCAAGAGAGAGAGAGAGACAGAAAGCGAGTGAGCGAGAGCAAGCGTCAGGAAGTACCACACTTTAAAACCATCAGCTCTTGTGACAACTATCATGAGAATAGGATGGGGGAAACCACCCCCAAGATCCAATCACCTCCCACCAGGTTCTTCCCTTGGCACCTGAGGATTACAATTCAAGATGAGATTTCAGTGGGGACACAAAGTCAAACCATATCAGAGTCTTCCTCTTAAAATTCATGGAAAGGTCATCTCTATCTAATCTCTCTCTGATGCTTCTTTTGGCAGTATCACTAAAGACATTTCCATCCCAGAGAGTAGATGTGGAGGATGTCAGATTCAAAAAGAAAAAATTATTTGTCATTGGTTACAACCACAAAACCATTTACTATAGTTTTAATATTGTGAATATCTGTTCTGATCCCAAGAGATCATCAGTCAAGTAGAGAAAAATAGAACAAACTATTTCTAGAGTGTCTAAAGCATTCATTCTATCATTTTAGTAGATGATATACATGAACATCAACATCCAGTCATTTCCTGAATAAGACAAGACATTATAATTTACCTTAGAGTGAAGCTGTTCTCATAGAATTTACATTGTGCAATTTTGCTTTTTCACATGAATAAATTAGGGGCTCAGGAAGTAGAAGGACAAATAAGGCAGAGAACAAGCAGGAAAAATAATTGAGGTAGGACCAGTAATCCATGGAGGATCCCCAAGTTCAGGTGAAAGCATAGAATATATCTGAATGTGAGAGTTGAGCCAAAGATAGACTCATTTAGCCATGGACTCACTGATGTGTGATCAAAGAAAAATAAGTCTGAAGAGCACTGGAAACCCAGGCAACAGTCATGGAGGAAATGGATAGTCAAACACTAGTAAAAATAATAATAATAGCCATCATTTACAGGCTTACTCTTTCCTAGACTCTTTATATATTATATAATTTAATCTTCAGGACATCTTAGTAAAACTGTTTTGCAGATGAGAAAATTGGGTCTCAGAGATGTCAAGTGCCTTTCTTAAGGCCCTCCAACTAGACAGGGGCAAAGCTTGCCATTAGATTTGGGCCTGTCTAATCCATTAATACAATCAAACAAAACCACTGTGTCCTGGATGGAAGTCATTAATTTAAAGGGAAGTAGAACTAGACACCTAGAAACTAAGAGATCCAGGAGTTCTCATTGTATATTTGGGACTAGGTGGTAGAGGACATGAAGAACAAGGAATAGCTGGCTGGGAATGAAAGCACTGACCCTCCTGCAAGAGAAAAGTAAGACAGAAACCGTGTAGTTGAAGAACCCAGATTCCAAAGGTTATCTCAAGCATTGTTTCAAAAATTGTTGACCAAGCAAATTACTCAGCTCTTCTCATCCAGAACCTTCTCGGGCTTGGTGTAGACCTGGAATCCAGGGCAGGACTGAACCTCAGGGATGGGGACCAGTGTCCACCAGTGCACACAGTGGAGAGGGGAAGGGAAGAAAGCCAAAAGGCCATTAATTAAACCCAGGGACTCCTGGCTCCCAGCAGGATCCTATTCTTTCTCTTCCCACAGTAAGAAGCTAGTGGGGAGATACAGACGCCAGGTGAATCCCTCAGCTGACTAGTCAGCTGTAGGATAACTGGGAAAGTGAGAGGATCCTGCATCCTCTTGAGGAAGTGCAGCTTTCTGCTGTCCAGGCTCTGGAGTCCCTGCTAGATTTGCTCACACACAGGACTTGCACTGGGCAGAAGTCTGTGGCACATGCCTTCAAAGCATTCCATTAGCTGGAATTTAAAATTCTCTGACGGAAATCAGAATCCTGTCTGAAGGCAATTTTGCAACAGTGTGAGATGTGCATGAGGCTCCTGAGGGCCATGGAGCTGTTCCAGGCAATTCGATGAATGGAGCGTTCAGCCGGACAGGGCAGGCACTCAATTTAAAACATGCAGGTGAATGACTGATGGGACCTCTTGCTCAAACATCTCGAATGCATTTTGCCAGGCTCTCCAAGTGTGTAAAAGTCTTGGAAGATAACATGAAATTGCCTTGACTGCACTCATAAAATGGCTGGATGTAAATGCCCTTTAAAAATAAAAAAAATAAAAAAACTAAAGAGCATTTTTAAGGCTTTTGCTTCACAATAGGATGAAAATGATTTGAGCTGGGAGCACGATGATGTCAGTGAAGTGTGGCTCAGCCACGCTTTTGGTAGTTAATGCAGTCAGAGACACAGAGAAAGTCAGAAAACCTATTCTAAAATGATGTCTTAATGCAAAAAGAAAAAGCAGTGATGTGTAAATAGATACTGAGTTGTGTATTCTATTACGCAGTTGAAGGAAATTGAGATCAGAACTGCCATTCTAAGAAAGAGTTGACACAGATTCTCCATTTCAGTTTCTTTGAGGTGCTTAATAATCTGAGTTTGAATACAAAGACACCTGACTTTCCCATGCCTTGATTTACCTATCTCTGAAGCAGAGAAGACACAGTGTGGCCACTCCATGATACTCCTGTGTGTAGTGTTTACCTTTCTCAGGCATGAGATGGCTGCAATTACAAGATGGTTCTCAGAGATGTGTTGGGTATTTTTATCATACTTGTTTAAGACAAGAAAAATGTTATCCCTCATTCCAAGAGTATGAAATTCAATTTTAAAGCAAGGTCACAAATTTTAAAAAAATTATTATGTTCCTTCTATGTGCCAGAATTTGTGCTAGGAGCTCAGAAGGCAGAGAACATTCTCTGTCCTTAAGGAACCTCAAGGAGGAGACAGACATATAAACCAGCAATTACACTAAGTATTGTAGATATAGGTGGCAGTAGTAGTACATGTTTCCAGAGTGTGAACATAAAAATGGGATACCGGATCAACATGATTTGTGTGAGGTTGAAGCTACCAATATGCAAATGAGTCCCAAGTAGATGCCAGAAAACGCTTACCTAACAAAGCTGTTTCCACCTCTCCCAGTGAAAACAGAAGTCATCCCACAATGTCTCTAAAATTCCCACTATCCAGCATTCTTAAAAGCCCTCCTAAAGAGGGTAGGATAGGAGATGCGAGTTGTACATGGAATTCAATAATTATTAGATGTTAAATATTACTGAGACCGCCATTGCCGGCCAAGATAAAGTCAGCCCTCTATAGCCTGTCTCTCTCACAGATTACAGCTAAAAATGAATACAGAAAGAAACTATTTAAGGACTCTGAAAAGTAAACACCAGAAGATAGTTTGAAAGTCAAAATTTGAAGAAAAACCAGTATTAGGATGAGAATCCTGAGTTATTTTTGCTTTTGTATCTCACTGCTTTGAAATGAAAATGGCCCTAATTATGGAACTGAGCAGTAGGAGCAGACATCAAAACTCAGAGAAATCTCCTTTGTTGAACCAAACAGATACAGAGACCTCTGTAAGCTGAAAAGTGTAGAATATATTCCAAGGCTTTTTTTCTTTCTGTTTTTCCCCTCTTTTTTCCTCCTATCTCTAAGCGAGGAGTGGCCACAGTCTAGAGCTTCTCTGCAGCAGTTGTGGCATGAACACCTGAAACACTGAGAAAGCAAACAAACAAACCACTGTCTCTCTTGTCAGAGGATCTTCAAAAGAGTTCCCTAACATCCCAAGTGGATGGGGGAAAATTTTTGTTTTTGTTCTCTTTGTCTCTCCAGTTGTGTGGAACTGCATAACAGGGTGGTCATTATGGAGAATCAATATTCTCTAGAGGATTTTAACAGGACTCAGAGTCTCACAACATAATATCAGATTGTCTAAAATACAATCCGAAACTACTTAACATACAAAGAACCAGGAAAATGTGACCAGTAGTCAAGGGAAAAACCACTAACAGGTGCCAACCCACTCCAAAACAGCAAAACACATTCTTTTCAAGTACCTATAGAGGACACATTCTGAACCATTAAATAAACCTTAACAATTTTAAAATAATTGAAATCATACCAAATATGTTGACAATAATATGTATGACCATAAATGGTTAAAGAAAAAAATAAAAAATCAAGGATATCTAGAAAATACCTAAACATTTGGAATTTAAACAACAAAGTTCTAAATAACGCATTGGTCAAGTAAGTTTCAAGGGAAATAATAAAATATTTTAAAATAATTAATAATAAAAATACAATTTATAAAAAATTGTGGAAGTGCTTAGAGAGAAGAAAATTATAGCACTAAATGCTCATATTAGAAAAGGAAGTCTCAAATCAATAACTTAAGCTTCCACAGTGAGACATTAGAAAAAAAGAACAAACAGCTGAGCACGGTGGTTCACCCCTGTAATCCCAGAACTTTGGGAGGCCGAGGCGGGTGGATCACCTGAAGTCAGGAGTTTGAGACCAGCCAGGCCAACATGGTGAAACACCTTCTCTACTAAAAATACAAAAAATTAGCTGGGTGTGATGGCAGGCGCCTGTAATCCCAGCTACTGGGGAGGCTGAGGCAGAAGAATCTATTGAACCTGGGAGGCGGAGATTGCAGTTGAGCCAAGATTGTGCTATTGCACTCCAGCCTAGATGCTAAGAATGAAACTCCATAAAACAAACAAACAACAAAAAAAAGAAAAAAGAACAAACTAAACCCAAAGCAAGCAGAGAAAATGAATTAACAAAAATAAAAACAAAAGTCAGTGAAAATGAAAGCAGAAAAACAATAGACAAAGCCAATGAAAATATCAATAAAATGCATAAATCTCTAGTTATACTAAGCAAGAAGGAGAGAGAGAGAGAAGACAAAAGCTATCAATATCAGGAATGGAAGAGTGGATATCACTACAGAAAAACAAATGACTGTATTACCACAAATTTGTGTTTAAATCAGGGTTAAATCAGGAATTAAATGGACTAATTCCTTGAAACATACAAACTACCAAAGCTTGGTGAAGAAATTAGATAACTTGATTTGTCTCATATCTATTAGAGAAATTGAATTTGTAGTTAAAATACTTCAAAAAAGAAAACTCGACGTCCAGATGGTTTTACTGAGTAATTCTCCCAAACATTTAAGGAAGAAGTAACAAATCTATATAATCTTTTCTCAAAAATAGAAAAAGAAGGAAATACTTCACAACCCATTTTATTAGGCTAGAATTAGACCAGCATTAAAACCAGACCAATATCCCTTATGAACATAGGTGAAGTAATTCTGAACAAAATTTTAGTGAATCTATTCCAGCAATATTAACAAAGGATAATGTACCATGACTAAGCAGGATTTATCTTGGGAATGTAAGGCTGGTTCAACATTTGAAAGTCAATCAATATAATTAACTATATTAACAGGTTAAGAAGGAAAACCACGATTGCTTCAGTAGATACAGAAAACACATTTGAAATTTTCAATATCTATTCATGATACAAATTCTCAGCAAACTAATAATGGAAGGAAATTTTTTTTAAACTGATAAAGGGCATGTAGAAAAAACTGTATAGTTGATTTCACACTTAATGGAAAAAGACTGCATTCCCCTAAAATAGGAAACAAGAGAAAGACTTTTGCTCTTACCACTTTTTTACAACATTGTTCTGGAAGGCCTAGCCAGTGCAATAAGGCCAGAAAAAGAAATAAAAGGCATTATGTAGAAAATTCCAAGGAATCTCTAAGAAAGCTCTAGAGCTCATAATCAAATTGACTAAAAAGATCAATATATAAAAATTAATTTTGGCCAGGCATGGTGGCTCACACCTATAATCCCATCACTTTGGGAGGCTGAGGCAGGCAGATCACTTGAGGTCAGGAGTTCGAGACCAGCCAGGCTAACATTGTGAAACCCCATCTCTACTAAAAATAGAAAAACTTAGCCAGGCGTGCTGGCACACACCTGTAATCCCAGATACTCGGGAGGCTGAGGCACGATAATCACTTGAACCCAGGAGGCAGAGGTTGCAGTGAGCCAAGATCATGCCACTGCACTCCAGGCTAGGCAACAGAGCAAGACTCCATCTCAAAAAAAAACAAAAAAAACAAAAAAAAACAAAAAAAAAACAAATGTATTTCTATATACTACCAATAAATAATTTTATTGAACTTTTACATTATGCCATTTATAATAGTGCCATAAAATAAAATATTGAGAGTAAATGCAATATCCGCAGGATCTATATGTTATAAACCCTGATTTAAAAAAAAAAATCCCAAAGAAAGGCCAAATAAATGGGAAGATATACTGTGTTTATGGGATATTCATAAGATGTCAATTCTCCCCAAATTTATCTATAGGTTCAATGCAATCATAATCAAAATCTCCACAAAATTATTTATATATATTGGCAAGCTGATTCTAAAGTATATAGGGTAAAGCAAAAGAATGAGAATAGCAAAACAAATTTGAAAAAGAGCAAAGTTGGAAAACTCATACCACTTTATTTCAAGTTAGTGTAATCAAGCGTGATATTGGCAAAAGGATAAACACCTAAGTCAATCAAATAAAATAAAGTCCAGAAATAGACCTATATAAATATGGTCAACTGAATTTCTAAAAACATACAAAGGTAATTCAGTGGAGAAAGGATAGTCTTTTTAACAAAATTAATGCAAAATGAATCATAGAGCTAAGTATAAAATGTAAAACTATAAACTTTTAAAGGAAAATATAGGAGAAAATTATTACATCCCTAAATTAGGCAAAAATTCTTATATTAATAACACCAAAACAATACTTTCAAGGAAAAAAATTGGTAAATTAGAATTCATTAAAAATTAAGAATTTGCTTTGCAAATGACATTGTCAAAATAATGCAAAGAAAAGCCACAGACCAGGAAAAAACCATCTGTGAATTACATATATGACAAAAGACTTGTATCCAGAATATAAAAAGAACTCTAAAATGCAACAATAAAAACACAAGGAAATTTTTTAAAGAATCAACATTTTGAACAGACACTTCAACTAAAATACATATGTATGGCAAGTAAGCGCATGGAAAGACAGTCAACATCAATAGTCATCAGGGAAATACAAACTGAAACCACTACCTGCCAATTAGGAGGCTAAAGTTTAAACACAATATGACAGTACAATGTATTAGTGAGGATTCAGGCCACTGGAACATTTGAACAACAGTTTGGTAGTTTCTTATAAGAAACTTAAATACACACTTACGATCTGATCCAGCAATCTCATTTTAAGGTACTTATCCAAAAAAATGAAAACTTATGTTCATATAAAACCATTATGCAAATGTAATATAGCAGCTTTATCCATAATCACCCAAAGCTGGAAACAACTTAAATGTCCTTTAGTGAATGGATACACAATGAATAAGCAAATTCAACCATAAAAAGGAACAAACTATTGATACATGCAACATGGAAGATTCTCAAATTCATTATGCTAAATTTAAGAAGCTAGGCTCAAAAAGCTACATATGGTAATCCATTTACACGCTACCCTGGAAAAGGCAAAACTACAGGAAAGAAGAACAAATCAGTGGTTGCCAAGAGTTTGGAGTGAGAGAAGTTGCCCCAAATGGGGGACAGTTAGAAGGAACACTTTGGGGTCATAAAACTTGATTGGGGCCCAGGCGTGGTGGCTCACACCTGTAATCCCAGCACTGTGGGAGGCTGAGGCAGGCAGATCACGAGGTCAGGAGATCAAGACCATCCTGGCTAACACAGTGAAACCCCGTCTCTACTAAAAATACAAAAAAATTAGCCAGGCATGGTGGCAGGCACCTGTAGTCCCAGCTACTTGGGAGGCTGAGGCAGGAGAATGGCATGAACCCGGGAGGCGGAGCCTGCAGTGAGCCGAGATTGTGCCACTGCACTCCAGCCTCGGCGACAGAGCGAGACTCCATCTCCAAAAAAAAAAAAACAAAACTTGATTGGGATCCAAAATCATACAACTATACACTAAAATCAGTGAATATTACCTTATGTAAATTAAAAATTAGGAAATCAAAAGAAAAGCATACATATAAAAAAGTTTTTTCTAAGCATTTCTCATTTGTAGAGTGTCTTAAGTATGTTGTATGTTGTCTCATTTCACCCCCATAACAAATCTATGAAAGAGGTACTTTTATCCCCATGTTAACGTGAATAAACCCAGGTTTGGAAAAGTCGAGAAACATACTTACTGTCATATAGTTAACAAGTGAGCAAGCAGGGATGTGAAGCCAGATTCCTCTGACTCCAAGGTCTGAGTTCTTCCTCCTGCACAGTGGTCAATTGGCTAGATCCACATAAACAGCATGCACAAACTCACCACTCACACATACATACCCACAGACACACACCACACAGATGGGATACATCTCACAATCACATATATGGAATGAGTGATATGCAAATATAAAATTGCATTATTTTTATATTATTCTTATTTTATATAAATCCTACCACGAGGCATAGTCTGTCTCATTCATTCATTCATTTATCCATCCCTTCATTTATTCCCTCATTTCCTCAGGAAATAGCTTCCTTTGTGGCAGGTGCTATTCAAGACTCTGGAGATACAACAGTAAACAAAACAGAATAAACTCAAAAACTCTAAAATGCAACAATAAAAACCAAGGAAATTTCAAAAAGGATCAAAGTTTTGAACAGACCTTTCAACTGAAATACATATGTAGTTAATACACACAAAAAAACAAGTAAATAACAAGTGGGAGATCTGGTAGTGACAAGTGCTACACTAAAGCAAAGTAAGAAGAGTGAGTAAGAGGAGGAACTGTTTTAGAGACAGTGACCAGGGAGGCCTCTCTGCGAAGGGGAATTGAAGCAGAGAATGGATGGAAGTGAGGCAGGGAGTATTGGGAAGGTCTGGCGGAAGGTTTTTCCAGGGCACAGGAATAACCAGGAGAAGCCCCTGAGGCAGGAGTCGCTTGGCACGTTTGAGGTACAGCCAGTGGGCTGCTCGGCTTGGGTGAGCTTGCAGGGCTGAGAGTGGGAGGAAGCCAGGGAAGCTGTAGGACTTTCCTACTTACGGTGCGTACTTGTAGCTGTTCTTCAATTCTCCAGTATAAGTGTATCTCCCTGGTTAATTGCAAATTATTTACAGGACCATGCTTTCTATTTTTTAAATGAATCTCAGTCTGTAACTGGCACTTCACTGGGCATGGAGCTAATGCCAAATAAAAACGTGATGGTTGATGAGTGCTGTTCATACACATTTCCCAGTGGTTCTACCCCCGGGAGGCAGCTATGTGATCAATAAATAGGATGCTAGGAGAGTGGGAATTTCCAGCAGTGCTTCGTACTGTCACCTTTGAGACCTATAGAGAGTTCTGCTGAGGGCAAGGTTTTGTGGTATAGGAGGTCATCCTGATGAGGGTTTTGTTTTTGTTTTTGTTTTTAAATGGTGGCTTTTAGCGTAAATTGGCAGGGATTGATCAGGTGTTTCCTCTGGGCTAATGCTCCTTGGGGATCATGGGATGTGGTCTGCACCCTCATCTGAGAAGGTCCAGTAATGGCAAGGCAGTCACCAGGGGACCCATGTCCTCAGAGGACCTGGCCCCTCGGAGAAACTGCAGGTTCACTGGGGGAGATTATCAGGATTTTAGACCTCAGGATGAAGAGACACACTCCAGGAGGGGCTGTGGATAGTTACTACAGTGCCCCAGAAAGGTGTCAGGGTAGTGCATGGGGAAAGTCCCCCAGGGTCCTGGCCAGCTTAGAGGCAATGGGGAGGAGCATGCTGGGTGACTGTGCGGGGTCCAGTCATGATCAGCCTAGCTCCTGAGGGGCTTTGCGTGGCACAGGTGTGAGGATAAGAGCAAAGATTCCAGTAAGGAACAAAGAGACAGTGAGTCTCTAGGAAGCCTGGACTTTGATTTAGCCAGACTTGGGTTTGCAGCCTGGTTCCTGCCCAGGGTAGAGTAAGCTCCTGTCACCACCACCGCCATTACAGGGGAATCCTAACAAATCTATGAGAGCCAGAAGCTACACACAATGCCTGGTGCTTAGTGCTCACCATATACTTGTCCTTGGATAGCCAATATCAAGTTAAATTTGCCAGAATTGTCACTCTGGGCCAGAAAGAGCTGTGTCCTGGCAATGGTGGCAGGGAGTCACCAGCAGGATCGGGTAGGACCCATGGTCACCACAGTGGCTAGTGCTGTGAGGAGGATGGAGATGAGGGAGAGTTTGCTCCCATAGGGCAGCACCATGGTGGGGCCACTGAGACTGAGACCAGCGCACTAAGGGCTGGGCTGGCGGTGGCCCCTTTGCACAGGCAGAAGAGCCTCCTGGAAGAGGACTCAGTCTGGGCCCACTATGGGGGCTGACTTCTTGTAAGGAACGGAATAGAGCACCAGGGGAGAACACCTCCCACATGAGGTGGTGCCAGAGCAAGACGCTGGACCTGACAACAAAGCTTTCAGTGGTGAAGACAGCAGAGACTCCAAGCTCCCTGTGAAGGAAGTGACTCATCCCGTCCCTAGGCCAGCTCCTTTCCTAAGGAGGAAAAAGGTGAGAATTCCAAAAAGAAAAACTCTGTCAGTAAATTCTAACATGGGAGGTCTCAAGGAGCCCTACTCGGCCCCCGTCCAACAGCCAGTAACACAAAAAGCTGGCTGCTCAGAGACCACAGCACAGTCTGTTCTTAGGACAGAAGAGCAGATGGGTGGCACACAGGCCATAACCACCAACATGGAGTTGCTGTGCCAGGTGGAGCCAGGGCCTCACTCCTGCACCCCATGCAGCTGTGACAGCTGGTGGCGGGCATTCTGGTGACAAGTGAGCCATGAGCAGGCTTGCGTGGCACAGAGAGTGGGCTTGTTCTTACATACCCATGAGACACCCTCCGGAGAGTCCCAGAAATACTGGCCTGGAGCTTACAGGTGGAGGAGGTGTGAAGGTCTGCAGATGCAAATGAGGCCAAGCAGTCAGTGAGATTTAAATTGGTCCTGTTAACCTGACCTCATTTGTATTCTCAGTATGAAGACGCTTTGGGAAGATAAGGCAAGAATAGTGATGATCAGTAATAGCATCTATTTGTTGAGCACCTATTGCAGGCAGGCACTAGGCTTAATACTCTAAACGTATTTTTTTACTCTTTATCCCAACCCTGAAATAAGGACATTTGAGACAGGAGGAAACAGGCTGAGCATTCATGTAAAGGTTGCGGCAGCATCTGGGAGAGGTGTGGGAAAGCACAGGAACAGGACCCAAATGTTCACAGCAGAAGCAGTCCCTAGCAGGGGCCCTTCTCTGGCATGCTCGCTGCTCCCTCTGGACTCGGCAGGAGTCTCCAGGCTCCAGGAAGGACATGGGGCAAAGCTCTGCTTTTTGACCTGGGCATCTCATTTTGAGGGAGTGGTGAGTTAGCCAAATGGGGCATGGAAATGACTGTGAAAATGGAATGGCAGCTGGAAGAAGGTCATGATCCAGTAAAGGGCATGAGGAGGGCAAACTGCAAAAGCCTGAGGCACTGCAGGGATGGGAATGTTGAATGGTATAACGGCACATCAGGGTTTCCATGACTTTGATGCAACGGGAAAGCGATTTTCACCTCAGACTCAAACTGGAAGTTTTTCTCCCCACCAAAAGGCAGGATGCCAGAGAAACAGACCTTTTCCCTCCTGGGTAAGAGTTTGGTGTTTCTCCAGTGCTCCACTCTGACCTAGCAGGGAGCTAGCAGAGACCATCGCACAGTCACCTCATCCAGCAGAGGATTTTCCACATGTGCCATGGGCTCTGTTCCTCAGCGACTTCAATAACAGAGGTTTAGCATCTGGGGGGTGCCAGGCTAAAGGAAGTCAATCAAGCTTCTTGTTTTGTGTTTCATTTTGCTTTTACCCTAGCATTTTCCAGAGCCTTTAACATGCTAAAACGAATTTGTCACTCACCAGGAGTGGAGATGCAGCCGATCCTGAATTTATCTGAAAAATGAAAATCTTTATTTGGAAAATGCTTATTAACATCTTAGCGAATTGGCGTTCTGGGGAAGATGATTTAGGAAAATCTGCTCTATGCATGTCACTGCCTGCTTCATGATTGCTTACTGCTTAATTTGATGCAACTTTTTTTTTTAACCAAAAGTCAAATAATAACCCAGGTTTACCATTTGCAAAGCTTCTCCCTACTCCCAACACACACACCTTCCTCCTTCTTCCTCTTCTCCCTTTCCCTCTCCCTCTCCTTTTCCTGCCCTTTACTGTACAAGAATGCCTTGAATAAACAAAACCTATAAAAAAGGAATATAAATTTGGCAGTGATTATTTAATTGGCCTTTGATTTCATGACAGGCAAAAATAAGTTGGGCCTCATATATATATATATATTTTTTTGCAAAAAATGATACTTTAAATACTAAAGGATTTAAAGGATGCTTGGTAAATATTTGTTGGCTTAATTCATGAAACATGTGGATGTTATGTGAAAATACATTATCTGTATCCCAGGAATAAAAAAAAAAAATATCCTTTTTCTGGCCTAGAGCATAATACTTCAGCCCTGGGGACCCCGCTCACCTGCTATTCTATGTATATGGTGCCCCCTGCAGCAGCCCTGGGCTCATTACAAGTAACACTGATTCTTAGGTGTTTTTTGCCTTTTTACCAATCTCTTTAGAGGAAGCAGATGGAAATTTAGAATTTTAACAGGGAATGTTTACCTGAGGACAGAAGCTAGATGAAAAGATCAGCTGGCACCCAGAACACATATTTTTCCTGACAATCCAGCCAAATGTGAATCCAGGCACTCGGTGTAATTCATCAGAACAAAGCAACACTGCAGGCAGGTTATGTGGTACCCACTTGCCTTTGTAATACCGCCATGCTCAATTCCAAACACAGCCTGTCAATTCATCAGAGCAGGACTGGTGAGAAAGCCAAGGCTGGCAGCAGGTTTGGTGCCACCTCTTGGTGCCAGAGCCACCTGCACACAGCATGGAGCAGCGGAATAGCCAGGGTGCCCTGGAGCCAGTTCCTTCCAGAAGCCAGCAGCCCTAGGGCTCCTCTATCCCACTCCCAGCAAGAAGGAGCTGCCATGACTATGAAGGCAGGAAGAGGAAGCTCAGACCAGGGGAAGGCTTGGGCTGTGTCTTAATTCTTCTCTGGTCCCCAGGGCCCAACACAGTTGTCTGGTTAATACTGCATTAAATGCAGCGAATTGATTCTAGCCCCAGTTCCACTAAGAAATTCCTGAGTGATCTCAGAAAGTTACTTCTCTTGGAGCCTGCAGCACAACAAACCACTCAGAACTTAGTGCTATAAAACAACAGCAAGCATTTGTCATTACTATCTTTCACTTCTTTAGGGGTTGATGGGGCTCAGCTAGGCAGTTTTTGGTCCTCATGCAGTGACAATCAGACAATGGCTGGGGCTAGAGTTCTCTTGAAGGCCTGTCCATTCATACTCTCTGGTGCCTGACTTGGGAAGACCTAAATAGCTGGCGGCTGGAACAGCCGGGGCTCCTCAGGCACCTCTGTCTATTACAGTGTGCTCCCTCCATGTGGACTCTCTGTCAGGGTAGCTGGACTTCTTACATGAAGTCACCTGTCCCCGGAGACAGGCTGGTGGAAGTCAATAACCCATTGTGATCCAGCTTCACAAGTCAAGCAGTGTCACTTCCACCATATTATATGCATGCCGACAGTCAAAAGTGCTACCCATGTTCCAGGGCAGGAGATAGGTCTCTCTTCTTGATGGGAAGAATGTTAAAGAATTTACAGACTTGCTTTGAAACAGAGACTTAATTTCTCCATATCCTCTAAATGAGGATAATAATACCTCATGGGCCAGTTTTTTTTGGTGGGGGGGATGGAATGATACTTGGGGCTAATGCAGATGAACTCGTGTGGTGAAAATTAAGGTGCAGTCCAAACATAAGAGATGGACAATTAGAGCTGTCTGAAGTTTCAAATTCTTAAACCGGAACATGTTATAATCTTTCAGAGGCCGAAAAAGTTTTCTTGTTGGCATTCTTCTCTTCAATAAATAAATCACCTGAGTTGCAAAAATACAATTTTCCCCATAAGATCAACAATAAAGCCATTTTGAATGAGAGAGAAATATAGCCTGTAAGTAATTTTTGCTTTTTCCTAATTTTCTCTTGATCAAAATAAGGTTGCCCACCATTGCTATGCGTCTTGTTACACTCACTGCCAAGGCTCAATGTCTTGCAAATGTTGCTGTGTATAAATGTTTATAGTGGAAAGGATTTAAGAACGAAAATGAGTTGTCATTGGCCTATTTATCATTAAGTACAATTGACATCTGTACTCTATTTGTATAAGTAAGATAGGTTAAAATTTGTTCTGTACCCACTTCCATTACAATGCCAATGACAAGTTATTACACTCATTTATTAGTTGGAACTCTTGGTTGCAAAGAAAAAAAAATCAAGGCTAAAACCACAAAAAAGGAAATGTAGGGGGGCCTCAAGCACTGGGGTGTTGGAATGCGGCTGGAGGGTCTGGAACCAACAGCTGACGGGAAGCAAGGCTCTCCAGGATTCATTCAGTCATCTAATGATTCATTCTCTCTTCCTCCCCCATCCTTGTTTCTCACTGTCTGCTGCACTCTACTCTGCACACTGATTATTTCTATATTTCTACTTCTCAGCCAACATGACAAGCAGAAGTGGCTGCTCCATAATCTTCAGTTTTGAGTCTGTCATTCACCAGGCTTGCCCAGGCTAAATTAAAACTCTTAGCTAAAGGTTCAAATTCTTGGGAGAAACAATGTTGCCTGGTTGTGCAGGGGCCAGTATCCATTCAGGGCTATGTCACATAACACAATTGTGCTGCAGGCTCCTGGGCATAGAAGGGGAAAGAGTGCTGCTGGGGAGGGCCTAAGGGATTCTTGGTGAAACGGAGAGCCACTCCAGAGGGTGGCAGCTACAACGTATTTACACACACACTTTCCTGCTCTGCTAGACTTGTTTTGTTCTTCTCTATCCTCAATATCAAGCCCAATCCATAGTAGGTAGTCAATGCATGCTAAGCTTTATAAGTGGAAGTTCTTACAGTCACATTTCTTAAACAGCAAAAGCACCTAGAGCTCTGGCGCACTTTGAGAATCTTGTGGTAATTAGCACACTAAATGGTGTTATCTCTTTTAAGTCCATCTTCATAATTTGAAATGTAACCCAAAGGCACATGTTGATGTCTGAAAACAAACTTCTCTAATGTAATTATGCCTCTTTAATGAAATATCACAAAATGCATTTTAAGTGGTAATGGAATGGGGGAAAAGTACATAATGATCAGGGAAAGTATGCAAACACAGTATTTAGATATATAGATATGTCTTTGGCTTACAATTTAATAATGCTAATGTATGTCTTAGTGTCTGCGGACTAGAGATGCAGTAGGGCTCTACGAAAAGTCCATTCATTTGAAGTAATAAAGATTTGGGGGTAAATTATTGGGAGATAATTGAAGGCCAGAGGAAAATATGCAGTGAAAATCTAGCAATCAGAGCTAGACATTCTCAAAGGTAATCAGAATTTTGTACCAATCTCGTTTTATTCAAAGTATCCCATATTTTTTGAGTTGGAAGGGATTTAGGGAAACATGTATTTCATCCCCTCCTGGTAACAACCAGTGACTTGGCCAAAGTCACATCAATGTCTTGGAGGGTCAAGGGACCAAAATGCCTAAGTGGAGGCACACATGTCCTAGAAGAGTTGGCTCATTCTTTCCCCCATGGCTTGCCATTTATTCCTTTAAAGGGGGAAATTCTCAGCTTGGAGTGATTTAATCTTATGCAACAAATGCTGTGGCTCCTGGGACTTATGTAGTCTTGGGAGGCAGCAGAATGCCCCAGAACGTATCTCTACAGGCTCACCCACAACACTGATGTGTTTGCTTTGTCACCATCTATTTTTCCTGCCCATTTTCCAGGAAGGCCCTAAGCTGGAGCACCTGACACACACTGCCAATGTCTAGCTTGATGCACCTTCCAGCTACCTTCTTCAACTCAGTTACATAAATATCTTTCTGCCTAGGTCTGTTTTCCAGGCCAATGGTTCCCAGCCATGGTGGTATCACAGCACACTGGGGTGTTGCAGTGAGCTGGGGTGTAAGCCATTTGTTACTAACAACAGAGTTCCAAAGTCTGCTAATGACTTCCTTTGTGATATATAAAGAGAATTCAAGTTAATCCCCATAATTTGCCACACTCAATTGCACCGAACATACTTTCTTAGGATGGGCTGTGATTCTTAGCATGGGCTCTTAGCATCTTTATTTTCAAGGAAGCAATTTTTAGCTTTTCAGGGAAAAAAACTCATGTTGTTATCTTTTATGAATTGTCCATCTCACAAGACAGTGTAGTGTCAAGGGTTAGGAACAGTGGCCTGAGTTCATACCCCAGCTCCACCCCTAACTAGTGATATAACCTTGAGCAAGTTTCCTCAGCCTCTCTGAGTTCTTTCTCCTACAAATTGAGGATAATGAAAGGATGCATCTTGTAGGCTCCTGTGAGAATTAAACAAGGTAGTATATGTGATATCCTGAGACAGTCCCTAGAACTTGGTAAAGGCTAGTTTTGTAGGGCTGTTTTTATTTGCTATTGTAAGGCTTTTCCCTTTTCTGGGGGTTTTCCTTGATGGTGTATCAGTCTTCTTATTTTGGGGCATAAAGAACAAATGTATCATTAATGCTTTGTATCATGCCCATACACAAATCTATGGGCTGGCTAAGCCTGGATTTCTTTTGTTTTCTTGACTTTTAAAATTCCATGGGCCTGTTTCTTGGCTGGCTCCAGAAATGCATCTTGTGTTTGAGTAACTCCAGGAAAAAAGGGTATTTGAGAAAATTTTCTCCAAGATATTTCATGACTCTTCACCAGCTCTCACTCTTGCACCTTGATTCACTTCTCCCTTCCTCCATCCATCATCTTCACGCTCTTTCTGTTTCTCTTCCAGGGAGAGGGGAGATAGGGTGAGTCCTGCTCAGGTTGCCTGCGCTGCAGCCAAGCTGGGGCCGAGCAGAGGAGACAAGCGGGGGTCTGGGAGGCAAACCTCTGGCATCCCAGGTTAAAGTTTCAAATCATTTTCTAGCCAATACTGTATATCTACTGTGCCCTGTGGGATACATTAGCATTCATGAGCTAACCTAATTGTTGTAGAGGCTACAAAAGAGGAGCTCAAATAGAGATCAGTGCCAGGAACGAAGTCCCACCTTTGATGTGTGAAACCCACTTCCACATTTTGACTTGTGATCAGAGAGACATTCTGCATTATTTGTTACCTCATTAACTTTTCCTTTTACTGTACAGACCTTGGGTAAAGATAAATTTACTTTTAGATAGATATGTTAAAAATCTATCATATCATAAGGAATGAGCAAAGAGGTCATTTCTCTTTTCCCTAAAGCTGTGGATCTCAGGCTCCCCACTTGGCAGAATCACCTGAGAAACTTCTAAAAGGTACAGATGCCATCCTTTTCTGATTGCATTCGCCTGGAGTGACATCTGGGCACCAGCATTTCTCAGAGCCTCCTAGGTAATTGTAATGTTGCCAGAGCTGCAGGGATGAGAGGCAGCGGCCTATGGGTATCCACTGAGCGTGTCATTACTCCTTTTGTCCCCCACTTTCAGGTTCCAAAAAAAGGGTTAGATGACACCAGCTCTGAAATAGTGTAACTCCACAGATCCCAAAATAATATATCTGTGTAACCTCTTAATAAAGTTTTATAAATAGTACATGTTCTATTGTTACCTACCTCATTCTCTTGGCAAAAATTTTAAGACTTGTTTCCAAGATTCATCTTAAACTACTAAAACAGAATTATGATGGACATTCAATAGCTATTCCTCCAAAATATGACTCTAAAAAAAGGGGGGGGGTGCTGGGCACAGTGGCTCACGCCTGTAATCCCAGCACTTTGGGAGGCCGAATTGGGCAGATCATGGGGTCAGGAGTTCAAGACCAGCCTGGCCAAGATAGTGAAACCCCGTTTCTACTAAAAATACAAAAAACAGGCATGGTGCTGGGCGCCTGTAATCCCAGCTACTCAGGAGGCTGAGGCAGGAGAATCGCTTGAACCTGGGAGGCAGAGGTTGCAGTGAGCCGAGATCGCGCCACTGCACTCCAGCCAGGGCAACAGAGTGAGACTCTGTCTCAAAAAAAAAAAAAAAAAAAAAAAAGCAAAAAAAAAAGGATGAAGGATAAACTGTGGAAATACGACTCTTTTTTTTCCCACGATTTCTTAAAATTTTGTTTACTTTTTCTGAATGTGTCCTTCACAAGTGTATAGATTATTAAATATTCCTAATAGAGGAATATGAGAAAATATTTGTCCTCAAAAAATGGAATACAGGATCAAAAAGTTAAAAAAAATTGAAAAACCTTTGCCAAGTGCAGTGGCTCATGCCTATAATCTCAGTACTCTGGGAGGCTGAGGCAGGAGGATTTCTTGAGCCGAGGATTTTGAGGCCAGCCTGGGCAACATAGTGAGACTCCATATCTATAAAAACACACATACAAAACAAAAAAAACCCCTTAAGTTAGTGAGAAGTGTGACCTCCAAACACTCAGAACTGATTCCTTTGGAGTAATGACCCTTAAACCACCTTTCAGGCCAGCATTTTGCAAGGTGTGGTCAAGATCCGTGTGCATCACAGTCCTCTGGCTAGAAATGCAGACAAAGACCTCACCTGAAACTCATTCTCTAGGGACAGGAGCTGATGAAGCGCATCTTAAGCAAGCTTCCTAGATATTTTGCTTGCCTTTATTTTTTATAGCAGCATTGCCCTCTTTAAAATAAAATTATGCCTGGAATCCCAGTGAATAAACTAGGTGAAGGGATGATGCAGGCTTGGGGTTCAGCAGTGGCCTGTTCTGGGGCTCCAGAGAAGTTTCCCTGAGGCATCATACCCAGCCACACGAGGGACTCCAAACATCAGTGTCACCTCTGCCTCCAGCTTCCAATGAGCTGCCCATCCCTTAGCTTTCCTCCTCTCCCTCCATCATGTCTTCATTCCCTGGGCTGCCTTTGTTAAGGTCCTTGGTCCCCTGGTCTCGCTATACTCTTTCTCCTTTAATCGTCTTATTTGCTCCATGGTTTCTGGATTGCATGCATTTGTCCAAAATAGTCACAGCAGAAAAGAAACTCAGAATACATAAGGTTGGAGTGAGACAAATTAATTTTTTTGAACGTTTGCATTTAACACACTGAACAGTGGAAGTTTAGCATCCCATCATTTCATTGTTTACCCACTTTGGCTGGAGTGGGCTTCAAAGATAGCCAAGCATTCTCTGGCTGTTCAGGATTGCTATGGAGGGCTGAATCTTGTATTACATGGTTGTCTGCATTATGTAAAGTAACTAACATCAGATTCTCCATGCAAGTCTAATTCTCATGAAGAAAATAATATTGCAGATTAGAACTTTGAAGCTGACATTGAAGGAATTGTGTGTCAGTTCTTACAGTCCTAGTTGTGCTTTTTTTTTTTCATGAGAGATGAGGAAAGGAGAACAAACACCAAGTCTGCGTGTGAATTGCAGTGCTATGATAAGCATAGATTGGGCAGTTCCAACTAGCTCTCAAGGCTGTTTAAGATCCAAGTGTGACTAAATGCTGATCGCACAAAGCAAGACACATCATTTGAAACAATCACTGGGGGGTATTATTGTGGCATCTCTTTGGGGGAATCCAGAGGCCCAACTTAACCCTCTCTTACTTCCACACATTGAACAACTGAGTATTGAGAGAGGCTCAGGATGAGGAAAAGCACACTGGCCCTAAAATATCATTAATATCGTTACCCAGCCCCGCAACCCCAGTCACCCCCAACCAGAGGTGGAAACCCTCAAAACATGGGTGGAAGTCCATGGACCAACCATGGAATTTTGGGCTGTGTGCTTAGCTGATGCCACTTCTTCCTCTGTGTGCTTAGCTGATGCCACTTCCTCTTTTGTCCATTGCATCCATAAAAGAAGCCATTTTGGGTAGGCCAGAAAGGATGGGAATAAGCTCTTTTTTTTTTTTCTATCTTCTATCCTCCAATTCTCTCATTAACTCAGGGCCAATGGCAACTGGGAATCACTTGTTTTGATTCCTCCTGAGACTGCACAGAACACACATGGCATATTCCTCCCAAAGCTGCTAGAAATCTAGCATGGTGTACACTGCTCTGCAAGCAAGATGCCAATGCTAGAGCGCAATTTCACTGCACTTTATACTTCAGCTCTTGTCAGAGCAGCCTTGACTCCTCCAGACACAATGTTCATAGTTCAGGTGCAAAAATCAGGTGCTGGAATTCATGTCAGTTAGTTTTCTTTTAAAAGCAAAAGACTCCTTATCAGCAACTCCTCCCTAATCTGTTGCCTGCTACAAACTGGATACTGTAGTAACAGGGAGTTCTTGGCTGGCAAAAGTAAAAGTAGGGAGTTCACCCACTCCAGCATTGCTGAGCAGAGTGTGCTTCAGGTCATCTTGCCATGGCAATGAAATGTTTCCAGCTATTTCCTTAAGGTTCATTTCCTAAGAACAAACCATGATTCATGGCAATGGGTGGACGGGCGGGTGAATTGAATTAATGCCTGATTGGTAAGTAAAACAACTAAATCTCTTAGTTTTAAAATATATCTGCAAGATTACTCTAAAGTAACTATAGTTTAGAAATGTACAGTGAATACTTTGAAGGTCTAGACTTACACCAATCTGTTTCCTAATCATTAGGAATCTGTATTAGAGTTCTGTCAGTCAAGATTTGATTCACTTATTTATTCAACAAATGTACTATGCATGTAGTGTGTGCAGCTACTGCCCTAGGCACTGGGGATGCAGTATTGCCTTCAAGGAATTTACATCTAATCTATTACTTAATATATTCAAAATGGGAGAATCTTTGCTTGAACCTATTAATAGTAATGAGGTCAAGTACAATTATACATATTTTCCAGAGTTAACCTTTCAGCTGGTCTCATATTTGTCCTGTCATGCTCTAAACATTGTATTACAGGTGTGCCATACCTCATCCTTCCTGTTAAATCAGCAGCCTCCCAGCCCCTAGGATTTCTTCCCGTCCACATTCTTGCTGTCATCTCAGCCATCCACACCACCCACGTCACAAATTTACTCCCTCATAACATATCTACTTGCACAATGTTCCTCAAATCCTGTTTAAAATCCATTAGTGTTTTGCTCAAGAACCTTCACTAGTTTTTTATTTCTAAATAAAACATTTACCCTTCTTTAAGGCCCTAAATCTCGAGTCATTTAACGTAATTAAACTTGTTTTCTGTGATTTAATTAATTCATTTAATCACATAATCAATCATTAACCAACAAAGATTTAATAGGCACCTATGGTATATGTGGTGGCCCTGAGCCACCAAAGGTATTGGTAGCAGATGCTGTGGTGGCCACCCAGATTCCTCCTTCAGGTCTGAAGCCCTCCTCCCCTCAGCATGACAGGGGTGTTGGTGGCTGAGGGCTTCCAACTCAGTCCCTCTTTGGCAATTGCTCTTGGCTGAAGGGAGCTGCCTTCCCGCGGTTACTCCCGCTCACTGGAAGCAGTCAGCACTGATAATAGGTTGATGTGAATGTCAAAGGTTTGGGATCTTTACTGCAACTTGCAATGAGTTTGAAGGGGCATCCTAGCTCCAGAGTTCCCTATTGGATTGGACTGAAGTTCAACTTCTCTCAGCCCAATTCCACTTTCCTCACCCCATAACAGTCTCAAGAAGCTTACAGTCTAACAAGAAATCAGACAAATAAGTAGACAAATAAAACAGTGTGGTAAGTAAGGCTCATGCCTGTAATCCCAGCACTTTGGGAGGTCGAGGTGGGTGGATCACCTGAGGTCAGGAGTTTGAGACCAGCCTGACCAACATGGTGAAACCCTGTCTCTACTAAAAATACAAAAATTAGCTGGGTGTGGTGGTGCGCGCCTGTAATCGCAGCTACTCGGGAGGCTGAGGCAAGAGAACCACTTGAACCCGGGAGACAGAGGTTGCAGTGAGCCAAGATTGCACCATCACACTCCAACCTGGGGGACAAGAGCGAGACTTCGTCTCAAAACAAAACAAAACAAAAACAGTGTGGTAGGAGATATGACAGGGGAAGGTCTAGGTTACAGGAAGAGAAGAGTTCCTGCAGGATCTGAGTTCTAAGTGAGATGTGAAGACTGAGCCAGAGTCATCCAGGAGAACTGGCAGGGCCTGGGCAGGACAAAAGGGTGGCCATCCAAGATAACAATATATGTGCATGTCCAGGGAAGAGAGGGCATTGGGCACTGAGGAATGGTGAGAGGCACTGGGAAATTGTGAAGGGCACTAGGGAATGGTGAGGGGCACTGGGGAATGGTGAGGGGCACTGGGGAATGGTGAGAAGCACTGGGAAATGGTGAGGGGCACTGGGAAATGGTGAGGGGCACTGGGAAATGGTGAGAGGCACTGGGAAATGGTGAGAAGCACTGGGGAATGGTGAGAAGCACTGGGGAATGGTGAGAGGCACTGGGAAATGGTGAGGGGCACTGGGAAATGGTGAGAGGCACTGGGAAATGGTGAGAAGCACTGGGGAATGGTGAGAGGCACTGGGAAATGGTGAGGGGCACTGGGAAATGGTGAGAGGCACTGGGAAATGGTGAGAAGCACTGGGGAATGGTGAGGGGCACTGGGAAATGGTGAGGGGCACTGGGAAATGGTGAAGGGCACTGGGAAATGGTGAGGGGCACTGGGGAATGGTGAGGGGCACTGGGAAATGGTGAGAGGCACTGGGGAATGGTGAGAGGCACTGGGAAATGGTGAGGGGCACTGGGAAATGGTGAGGGGCACTGGGGAATGGTGAGGGGCACTGGGGAATGGTGAGGGGCACTGGGAAATGGTGAGAGGCACTGGGAAATGGTGAGAGGCACTGGGAAATGGTGAGGGGCACTGGGGAATGGTGAGGGGCACTGGGGAATGGTGAGGGGCACTGGGGAATGGTGAGGGGCACTGGGGAATGGTGAGGGGCACTGGGGAATGGTGAGGGGCACTGGGGAATGGTGAGGGGCACTGGGGAATGGTGAGGGGCACTGGGGAATGGTGAGGGGCACTGGGGAATGGTGAGGGGCACTGGGGAATGGTGAGGGGCACTGGGGAATGGTGAGGGGCACTGGGGAATGGTGAGGGGCACTGGGGAATGGTGAGAGGCACTGGGAAATGGTGAGAAGCACTGGGAAATGGTGAGAAGCACTGGGGAATGGTGAGGGGCACTGGGAAATGGTGAGAAGCACTGGGGAATGGTGAGGGGCACTGGGGAATGGTGAGAAGCACTGGGGAATGGTGAGGGGCACTGGGGAATGGTGAGGGGCACTGGGGAATGGTGAGAGGCACTGGGGAATGGTGAGGGGCACTGGGAAATGGTGAGAGGCACTGGGGAATGGTGAGGGGCACTGGGAAATGGTGAGAGGCACTGGGAAATGGTGAGGGGCACTGGGGAATGGTGAGAAGCACTGGGAAATGGTGAGGGGCACTGGGAAATGGTGAGAGGCACTGGGAAATGGTGAGAAGCACTGGGAAATGGTGAGAAGCACTGGGGAATGGTGAGAAGCACTGGGGAATGGTGAGGGGCACTGGGGAATGGTGAGGGGCACTGGGAAATGGTGAGGGGCACTGGGGAATGGTGAGAAGCACTGGGGAATGGTGAGGGGCACTGGGGAATGGTGAGGGGCACTGGGGAATGGTGAGGGGCACTGGGGAATGGTGAGGGGCACTGGGAAATGGTGAGGGGCACTGGGGAATGGTGAGGGGCACTGGGGAATGGTGAGAAGCACTGGGAAATGGTGAGGGGCACTGGGAAATGGTGAGAGGCACTGGGAAATGGTGAGGGGCACTGGGAAATGGTGAGAAGCACTGGGAAATGGTGAGGGGCACTGGGAAATGGTGAGGGGCACTGGGGAATGGTGAGGGGCACTGGGAAATGGTGAGGGGCACTGGGGAATGGTGAGGGGCACTGGGAAATGGTGAGAGGCACTGGGAAATGGTGAGAGGCACTGGGAAATGGTGAGAGGCACTGGGGAATGGTGAGAGGCACTGGGAAATGGTGAGAGGCACTGGGGAATGGTGAGGGGCACTGGGAAATGGTGAGGGGCACTGGGGAATGGTGAGGGGCACTGGGAAATGGTGAGAGGCACTGGGAAATGGTGAGAGGCACTGGGGAATGGTGAGAGGCAAGGCTGGAGAAGAAGGGGCAGGAAGAGGGTGTGTGTCATAGATCCTGAAGGCCTAGTTAGCCATGTCAACAGATTTGGAAGTGGTGAATGGTTTTCAAAACAAGGAGTGACAGGATTCGATTTGTATATTGGAAACAGCTCTCTGGAAGATTGATGGGCAACAAGAGAAGATGCGAAGAGGTCAGTTAGAGCTGCTGCTGAAGACCATGGGAAAAATGACTGTGGATCATGGCATTGAGGGTGGAAAGCAATGAATTGATTTGAGGACCATTAATGAGACAGAATCAGCAGGATGACTGCCTGGATAAAGGAATAGGGGGAATGGTAATGCCACTTGCTGGAGTAAGGAGACTGGAGGAAAAGCAGGCTTGGGCTTTGGGGTTTCAGGTGACTAAAAGACACCCCATCACAAGGAGGAGCCCCTCTTCTGGACACAGCCAACCTCTCTTCCAGGGGATGGTGCTCCCTCTACTAACTAGCTGCTTGGTCATCTCTCCACTCTTCTGGCTGCCTTTCTACAGTCTTAAGCATGCCCAAATGACATGGCTGTTATCTTCATTAGAACTCTCCACTAAACCAGCATCTCCCCAAGGCAACCACTAGATCTCTCTCCTTCCTTCATGCATAGACATCCTTGGCAGAGTACCTTATACTTGCTATCTCTGCTTCCTCAGAGGCTTCTAGGAGTCCTTGTGCTTTCCACAGAATGATTTTCCAGTCACACTCAAGTTAACAGAAGTCTGGCATCTTCATCTAATACTGCACAGAACTGCTCTAACAAAGATGGTTAAAGACCTCCATGTTTCTGGTTCACAGGACACGCCAGTCATTATCATGTCAGCTGACCACTTCCTTCCATTGATTTCTCTGACCCACATGCTCCTGGGTTTTGTGATCTCTCTGGCTGCTCTTTTCCAGTCTCCCTTACAGATATCTCTTGTTCACAAACATCGATGTCCTCTAGAGTTCAAAAACTAGGCTCTTTTTACCTCACACACATCCCCTGGGTGATCTCATTATTGTCTTTTTGTTGAAGATTTCCAAACCTGTGTCTACAGGCCAGCTCTCCTCAGTCTCAGACCCATACACCCACCTGCCTGTTCAGTGCTTACACTGGGGTAAGAAGCAGACTGTTTGGTGAGTCTGAGGGTATGTGGCAGCTCCTTCTGATGGTGCCCAGTTTCTCCATTGAGTAGGAGGCAAGGCCATGTTTAGGGGAGTGGGAGTGGGTAACATGGTAGCAGGTTTAAGAGACTAGTGGACATTTGCTGTATCTTCTTGGGAGAATGGAACTAGGAGAATGTAGAAGGCAGTATGTGGGATCCAGTTGCTAATGGAAACTATGAATCCATAGGGTTCCTGCCTTCTATGTTGTGGGATTTCTCCAGCACTCCAGTAAATAGCATGGGTACGGATCCAAAGTTGGATAGTAACATTCTGCCACGTGGATGAGACAGACGGACCAAGCAAGGAAAGATCCCGGCAGAGGGAGTTGCAGTGACAGGCCCTGGGATGAAGACAGAATACCAAACAGACTTGGAGACAGTAGAGGATTGGATGTTTGAATTTTAAAATGCAGAGGCAAAGCCAGACTGGGGTGATGATATGGTGCAAGGTGAGACCGTAAGTATTGGTCAATGACATGAAGTGGGAGTGCAGGTCCCTGGAGATGAGGATGTCAAGGGGCTGAGAGGCTCAGTGTTGAAGTCATTCCTAGCACTGGTAGGAGCTGGAAGGACTGGGGCCAATGCTGGTGAGGTCAAGGGGGAGCTAATGGGCAGTCTGCACAAGACACTAGTGACAAAGAGCAGAGATAAAAAGGAGTTCAGAGGAGTTTTCCAGGAGGGAGAAAGAGGGCTTGGGGAGGGAGGGAGTGGAGCTGTGGGAGAATGAACCTGTCATAGGAGAAGGGTCTTCTGGGAAGGGGTGGAAGCTACAGAGAAGAGCTGAGTGTATCAGGAACAGATCGCTGACCCCAGGAAGCATAAGGCAAGGTTGAGTAGAGGGAACAGCTTAGGAGTCAGAGGATACATTGTGTGATACATCCAGGTTCCCACCCTAGATAATGGAGGTAGGAGATTGACCAAACGGTGTCCAACTGAATTGGTCCCAAATCTTCCTGTGTCTGGGGGCAGGTGAGAGGAAGGTTCAGGCCTCTGAAAAGGAGTCAACAGAAGCAAGCTGGAGGAAAGCAAGTTCTGGCCCAAAGAGGAGGCCAGAGGTAGAATTTTTGCCTCCCAGTATTCCTAAAGCCACCTTCATAGTAGGGGGAACTAAGTACCCTTGGGGGAGAAGCCTGCTCTGGCCCAATTAGATTTGGGGAACTCTGAAAGCCAGGCTTCAGATGGGGTAGTCTAGGCATTTCTTGTTCCACTCATTAGTTACCTCATTCATTCACTCTTTAATCCATTCACTTATTCCTAAAACGTACATTAGTTGTTTCTTCCCTTCCTTCCTCATCTGAAGAGGCTTAAAGTGTTCATATTAGCACCGACTGTGTGCCAGGCACTGAGCAAGGGTTTTTAGAAATATATAGCTCCCTGATTACACTTCCTTTGCCATGTTCCCTTCTATTAAAACAAAATCTAGCCTTCCAGCATGGCCTAGACCAAATTTCACCTATTCCCTGAAAACTAAATCACGTTGGCCATCATCTCTTCCCTTTGGAAATCTTTTAGTACTTATTCTCTGAATCACATATTTTGCTATATATGTTTTTCTAGCTTACCCTGCCTGTCCAATGAAACTGTAAGCCCTTGGGGATGGGGATTTAGTATATGAATTTTAAGTGTCTCTAATATCTACTAAAGACACAGTAAGCCCTCAACAACAGGAATTACATTCTAAAGAGACATGCCTCTCTGCAACAGAGTGGTTCTTGATGATGCACTATAACTAGACCTAATAATGAACTCTGAGTTCCTCAGGAACACTCATTGGAGCATGAACAGTTTAAATTACAAGGTCAGCTCCAGGAAAGACAGAAGATAAAATGTGAAGAGCAATAGAGTAGCAATTTACATTTGTTCTCATCAGACTAAAAGAATATATTATAATATAGTGTCAAGTTAATGCTGGAGCTTTGGAAAGTAGAATGTTACAGACATATTTTGTTGCACCCATTTTAGGTTTCCAAGAAGTGTGCTGGAATTATGCAGGTTCCTCTCTTGGAATGAGCAACTGCTTAGCAAGACAAATGTCAGATTCTAGAACTTGACCCTAGGACACTTTTCCAATACAGTGATCAAGTGACCTAGTTCAAGGAAATGACAAATAAATGTCATGGATTTCTCATTCAGCTGTCACTCTATGGGTAGGAGAGCAAGTAGGAGGAAAAGGGGAATATTTAGAAGTTCTAAATGGGGCCTTTAAAATGCCAATGTGGAGACATAAGAAAACTGGTTCCCAACATAGTCTTCCCTTGACCAAATTTACTTTTTTCATTGCCCATCTGACAATGTTTCCCTGATTCCTATACCTTATTATCACTAAGCTTTATTTCTCCACATCTTGTTTTCTTCTATGATTTTATGTTCTTGCTTTTTATTTTATGCTCATTTCCTCCTTATAATCTCCTCTGTCTCCATCCCCAAAGTTTAAAAGATATGTCTTTTTAATTAAACATTTTTATTTCAATGCCCAAAGTGTAACTTGTAGTGAGAAAAAGACTCGGCTTGCACCCCAGGGGCCAGGGCAGCAGCAATTCTTTATAAGTGGTTGCCCTTTCAGGTTCCTGTCCTTAAAAATCTGTCTGCCCTGACCCAGTATTTCTATAGCATCATGCAGGAAGTACCTTTCTGGTGCATCTGGAACTCCCAGAAAAAAAGCACATTAAAGCTGGTAATTTTAATGCTTAATTTCATTATAATCTTAGATCCGTTCATAGATCATCCATGTACAAAATGTTTTTTTAATATGCAGCTTTCAGTTTGCCAGAGATTTTTTGTTTTTTAGCATCCACCGCTATGTGTGGCAGGCACTGGTCTACAGATACATATAGAAATTAACTGCATTCCCATTCTCTGCTCTTGTGGATCTCGTTGTACTAAGGATAAAATGAAATCTGGCACATAATCTTCCATGACTGTTCTGGTTTCCATTCCTCCACCCTTCCTGTGTGAAATGCCTCCCTTTTGGGAGGGGGCACGAGGAGTTGCCTACTATTTTATCCAGGCCTAAGGACCCATGAGATGGGCAACATTTGTAAAGCATCTGTGGAAAGCAGGAAACCATTCAGGCACATCAACTGCCCAGAGAGCTGAGAAGCTTGAAGCCCAGCAGGCCTGGCTTAAAGATCACGTGGCTGTTCTTGCTCTCCCGCTCAGAGTGGCATTCTCCCCTTGCTATACCCCAACTTGGAATGTCAACTTCAGGTTCTGGGAGGACAGAAGTTTGCCACTCTCCTTAAACGTCATCCACTACTTTGAACACTTATTGAGCAACTACCAACATCCAGACAATTTGAACATTCACTGAGCAACTACTTGGATATATGTAATTGTTAGATGCTTTACACACATTGTCTTATTTTTTACAAACCTGTGAACTAGATGTTTTTGTTGCCTCCATTTTAAGAATGAAGAAATCCAGACTCAAAGAGGTATAATACCTTGGTCAAGGCTGGTATGGGTCAATGTAGTGGCTGCAAACTGGATCTAAATTGACCGTGTTTAAGAAAAAAACAAACAAAACAAAAAAACCAAAAAACTAATACCTCACACTGCCCCTCTCCGCATGGTTGCCAAGCCGAGAAGGGGAACTGACAAGCACTTGTGGAACTGCATTCATTCACTCACTCATTCAACAAGTGTTTTCCTGGTACAAACGGTACCAGCTTAAGGGAGGCAGTTCCTGAATTCAGGGCCTATCACATAAAGTAGACACACAGCAATCTAATAATTCAAATGTTGAACCTCTTTTTCCATGCGTCTTTCTAATCATTAAAAAAAATCCATCATTTGTATTATTTTTATTTATTTATTTTTTTGAGATGGAGTCTCGCTCTGTCGCCCAGGCTGGAGTGCAGTGGCGTATCTCAGCTCACTGCAACCTCCGCCTCCCGGGTTCAGGCGATTCTTCTGCCTCAGCCTCCCAAGTAGCTGGGACTACAGGCGCCTGCTACCACGCCTGGCTAATTTTTGTATTTTTATTAGAAACAGAGGTTCACCATCTTGGCCAGGCTGGTCTTGAACTCTTGGCCTCGTGATCTGCCCGCCTCGGCCTCCCAGAGTGTTGGGATTACAGGCGTGAGCCACGGTGCCCGGCCAGTTATTCGTATTATCTTTAATAGGCATTGAATTAGCTTTCTTTTAACTGAATACATTCAACATTAATCCCAGAGGTAGCATTGAGTTCAGCTGACACAATGTTTCAGAATCCAAGCCTTCTGCATCCTACTTTCAACCATTATTTTTTAAACCAGTGTATAAAAATAGTTGTTCTTTGCTCCAATAAAGACATTGGAAAATCCAAATTCATAAACTAGACAGGGTATGAGGGAGTATTAATTAGCATGGCAAACACCCTCCCTTTACAAAATAATCCACTGTCTCTTAAAAAGGCTAACAATGAACGAATGCTGGTATTAGTAAAGAAATCACTGGGCAAAGAAACAAAGAGCGAGAAAGCCACGTGAAGTCCCTGGAATTACAATAGAGATAAGCAGAACGATGGGCCTTGATTTACAACATTGGGACTTAAAGACAACTTTTTGGAACAAGCCACTGGGCACGGCCAGGAAAGGAACCTCCCAGTTGTAATCCATGCTGTTGTAAGACTGTGTGCAAAGAATGCAGGGGTGGAGGGAGAATTGGGATCTACCTGGGTTTCTAAATTTTCCCGGGTTTAATTTACTCGTGCATTCTGCTATGTAAAAGAAAACATATTTTCGACTAAAATCTCCTATCTTATCAACGCCAAGTTTTCCTGCTTCCTATTAAGCAACAAGGTTACAGCAAGTGTAACAAACTGAATGTACTTATTGATGATCTTTCCTGCTCCAGCCAATCCATCCTATCACCTTCAGCCTGGCTCCTACCCTGGTCTTCAGTTTACACTTGTGCCTCGTCCCTTATCAGCTCCCCATGAGATTCCAGGCTGCTATTTTAATACTCTGTTACTATCTTAAATCGGGTCGCACCCGTTCTTCTTGTCGGTGAGTGAGGGGCTGCGCTCCAAGTTGCGCGACCACACTGCGGGGAGTAAACGGAGACGGTGACTTGATTGCCACCCGCGCGCTTCACATCGGTGGGGCCGACCAGGCGCCCAGGGCGCACGCACAGCGCCCCTAAGTGGCCGCTCCGGGCGCCTTCTCCCTGCCCCGCCGCGTCTCGCCTGCGCGGGCTCCAAGCGCAGCCTTAACAGGCTCCGAAACTTGAATCAGCGCCCCGATCCCGAGAGGGCTCTTCCTTCGGCCCCATCACTCCCACAATGGAAGGGCGGCCGCCTCCGGAAGGCCGTCCGCCCCCGCGTCCTCGCACCGGCCGAGCCCCGCGCGGGCGCCGAAGAGGTGTGGGTAGCCGGGCGCCAGAGGGGTCGGGCCCCGCCTGCGCCGGAAGTCCGCGCGTGCGCGCTGGCCGGCCTGGAGCGCGCGTCCGGCGCAGAGGGGCGGCGGGGGCGGGGCCGCGGCCGCTCGCAGGGTGTCCCCGCCCCCGCCCCCCGGCGTTCCGCGGTCGCCGTGACAACCGGAGCGGCGGCAACGGCGGCGGGCTAGCAAGTCCGGCGCCGCCTCCCGGCGGTACTGCCAGCCAGGCAGCAGCCGCCCGGCCTCCACGATCTCCCCGCCTCCCGGCCCGCGGGGAGGGACGAGCCCGCCCTCCACCCTCCGCCCGCCCGCCCGCTGGAGAGTGAGCTGCGCCCAGCCGCCCAGCCAGCCCGCCGTTCTCTGGCCGCCGTCCGGGCGCGCGCAGCGAGCGGGCGCGACTATGCCAAGATGGTCCTGCAGGCGCGGAACAAGCACCGGGAGGCGGCTCCCAAGCCGCCCCAGCCACCCCGCGCCTCACAGTCGCCGCTGAGGGGGGCGTCGGACGTCGGCGCCGGGGAGCCGGGGCCCGAGCGCGCGCCCCTGTCCCCGGGGCGCAAGGGCGCCGCGGGCAGGAAGGGGCCCCGCGCCGAGCCCGGCGCGCCGCCCGCCGGGGGCGGCCTTGGGGGGCGCCTGGCCGCCCGGCTGCGCTGGGCGCTGGGCCTGCGGCGCGCGGGGCGCGGCCGGACCTGGACCACGCTCCTGTTAGGTGAGCAGCCCTAGCGCCGGCGCCGCCGGGACGCGGAACTTTGAGGCGCTGGCCCCCTCCCCTCCCCTCCCCTCCCCTTCCTTCCCCTCTCCTCCCGCTTCCGCCGCGCCGAGCCCCGCCAGCCGGACCAGCCAGTTTGCAGCCCTCTCCGACTTTTTCTCTGGGACATTCTTACCTTCTCCTCCCCGCAACTCCCTGGCTCAGCTCTCCTCGCACGCTTCCCACCCGCGCTCTGCCTGGGCTTTAAAAGAATGGCCCGGGGATCAACAGCTGCCCGGCCTGGCCGCGGGCAGCAGGTCTGCGCTAACGAGACTTGAGCGCTGCTGATTGGTACGACTGGCCGCCTTCCCGTTATCTCGGCCTCTGACCGCCAGGATGGTTTGCTTTGGCTTGGAAACGATTCCGTGGAGCTCAAAGCAAACGCACGTTCCATGTCGTAGAGAGTTGCTTAAACTTATAATTAAATTTTAGCGTACTTTTTTCTTCCTGGCCGCAAACGCCGCTGGTGGCACTTTATTTGTGATTCCCCTCGACACGTCACTTTCTAGGTTGTGTTGTGTTTGGGGCGCCCGAGCCTTAATCCTCCCTGCTGCCCTTGGAACCTTTGGTGAGGAGGGCTCTCCTCCCCTCCCTCTGCCATTTACCAAATGGATGATGTGTAATGATGTGCTGAAAAAAAAAAACAAAGTTGACGCATTCGTATGTTTCGGACTGACTTCAGGTTTCCTCTGTTTCCTGGTTGAATTTTGATAAGGCAAGTTGTAGCAGTTTGGATAACAGGCCTAATTTTTCTAAGTCAACTAGTGAAATGCTGTTACATTGCTTTTTTCTATATGCCTCAGTGGGCTTTTCGCTACTGAACTATTTAATTACTGTTGATTTATCCCTTAGTATATTTTCAGATTCCCTTGGTGACTCAAAGTTCCCTTAGCCAGGAGTTGGGGTCCAGTATAAGTCAAGGAATAGGACACAGCAAATTGGCTTCCCCTGAGATCACAGCCACAAATAAAAGCCACTCAGTCATAAAAAGCCAGTCATCTCTGTATGTTTTAATGGGCTCAAGAAGGTTGTTCCTAGGGTACTTTTTTTCCCCCCATTGCCGATTCAAGCCTAGAAAAACCAAGTTTGTTTTTCTTTGTTTGTTTGTTTGTCTGTTTCCAGCACATTTCCCCCCGCCCCCTTTTTTTTTATCTCAGTAGCAAGCTTGAAAAGCTGGCTAGTATGCAGGTTAGAAAAGCTCACCTTGGGGAGGCAGCACGATACAGTGGATGAGGCAGAGCCTTCAGATCTAGTACACAGCGGTTCAGTTTGGTTTAAGTTTCAGGTTCCTTTGTGAGTCTTTCGTTCTCTGCTAGTGGGGGGTTATCACATGGCGAATTTACTCCACAGGGATCCACAGGATCTGTTAAGGATCATAACTAAAAGGTGTGGGTGATACATGGGAAGATACTTTGTGTTTAGAGCACTTGACACATTGTAGTTGTTGTAATAAAAGAAAGTGTGTGATGCTGATTTGAGATCTGATGACAGAATGGAGTTGCATTTTTATTGAATGACTAAACATTAACCACTTTGTAGTAAAATATAGAATGGCATTGCTTCTTCAGGGATGTTACAATAACAAATCTTAGAATAATGATATTTATTGCTATTTTCTGCATATTTTCTTTTTTGATTGCGTTTCCTTTGAATCTTCTTTGGATGGATGCATGACTTATATTTGGATGACTTACCTTTGGATTTAGTAATTCCCATACCTAAATACAGTTTTGTATTAATGTAACAGTATAGCACGTTGCTTGACTTGCCCCTTTGAGCATTGAAAGGAGGTACAGTGAATGTGGTAGATTGTATTTTTGGGTGTACCCTGGACCATGGCCATCAGATATATGGAAGTTGGATGAACAGACCCAGGTCTAGAGACTTTCTGTCCTTGTTAACCCTCTGCATGAGGCCCCAGGGCACCTTGAGAGATGATTCTGCTGAATGATTGGACCTGGGTTGCTTCTTTCTCTGGCTCTGTACCGTCATAAACTGATGTCAGACCTATTTCTTCCCCACGATTATGCCCTGCCACAGCGTCAAAAAACCACTCAGATCCTGCAGAGAGGAGCAGAGTTTAGACATTTTTGAAAGCTGCCTTATTTCCTGTTTTCTTCCCCCCTCCCAGAATGAGTGAGAGTTGAGCTGACATTATACAGTATTTCAATGTGGGACTTTAAAATAGCTGTTTGGTTTTCCACATTGCATTGCATATTCTTTTGTTCATCAAGAGTTCATTTGTAACTGATCAAAAAAAGAACAATTATAACAACTAAATATTAAGCTAGACAGAAATGGATTCATTTCTATTTAGAAAGTAATTTTGTAACTTAAAGCTCCGTGATAGAAACACACATTTTCAAGAGTTAGAAACTGTCTGGGGCTTTCCTCCATAGGTTCTAATCACTGATGAGGAACTCACTGCCTTCCAACATGGTCTTTCCACTGTTGGGCAGGGTTAAGCATTGTTGAAAAGTCTCTTTTCATAAATATATGTTTTTCTTATTGTGGGGCATTATTTGCTACTTATTTAGTGCTAATATTTGTAAAGAGGGGTTCTTGACATGTTTATTTTTAGAAGTTTCAACCTGATAGCTTCCTCATGCAGAGGTGGCTGTGACATAGTAAGAACCTTGACAATGTTTCCCAAACTTTTTTGACCACAGCTGACATTGTAACAATACATTTTATATTAAACCTGTTCACACTTCCACAATGCAACTCAGTACATATATGCATAAGTCTATATGTCTGTTGGTCTATTTATGTATGCCAGTGCTCCGTCATGGAAACAATTGTGGTAGTAAAAGATACACCCATTAGACATGCAAACAAAGCATGTCTGTGGTGAAAGACTAACATGAGATACTATATACACAACAATAAAACAAGAACCTGAGTATGGGAAAAGTGGATGATAAAAACTACCTTTTCCCCCCTTTGCATTAATCCTGTTTGACTCATTCCCATTGCCCACCTGGTTCCTGTGGTCAATGGCAAGGGTACACCTGCTATAACCTGGTTCCTTATTGACAAGGCTTTGCAACCTCAGCATTGTGGCATTTTGGGTGGGATAATTTTTTTGTTGAGGGGGCTTTCCTGTGCACTGCAGGATTTTAGCAGCATCCTTGGCCTCCACCTACTAGATGCCACTGGTATCTCCCCAGTAGTGACAACGAAAATGTCTCCAGATTTTGGCCATTGTACCCTGGGAGGCAAAATTGTGTCATTTGGGACCACAGCTTTTATTCTCTACAGCTTACGAGAACCTTGAAGCCCATATGGTAGGAAACACTTGCGACTTCTTAGAGGCAGAAGTGGTCAGAAACTGGGTGGAGGCAGAGAGTTGAATCTAGCTGTTGGGGACTAGATGGGGGGAGCAATGTGGTGTGGTAGAAGCAGCATAGCCATATCAACACTGGCCTGCATTTGAATCCTGTTTCTGCATTCGAGCTGTTCTACACTCCTTTAATATTTCTCACCCTTAAAATGGGAATAATAAATGCTTTGTCTGATTATGGTAAAAAATAAATGAGATAATACATGTAAAATAGCACAGTAAGTTCATTCATAGTCAGTCATACCATATCATTGAGCGTCTACTAAGCCAGATGCTAGTTGGTGGGGTAAAATGTAGAATGAGACTCTGTCACCCCTACCTTCATGGAACTTACATTCTGGAAGGGGGGATGGTAAATAAATGAAAATAATTGCACATTGTGAATGAGTGCACTGCAGGAAAGAAACAAGCTGAGATAGAAAAAAAAGGAAATACCCTCTTTAAGTAGGGTCAGGAAAGGTCTCTGGGGAGGTAGCCTTGAAGCTGAGACCGATAGAAAGAAAAGATGTCAGCCGAACAGAAGAGTATGACAGAGCTTAGCATGTTGAAAGAAGAGAGGGTGGAGGTGCATCAAAGTGAGATGGGCATGGGCCAGATCTTGAAAAGGAGCTTGGGTTTTATTCTCAGTGCAACAGGAAGCCATTGAGGAATGCTCAACAGGAGGAGAGTGACATGATTAAATTTTTACTTTGAGAAATCTGCTCTTGGGAAAATGGGTGGTTGCACTACAAGGACAAAAGTGGAGAGACCCATGAGGAGGCTGTTCACGGACCTAGCAAGAGGGTTGCTGGCCTAGATGAAGGCGGTGGCTGTGGAGATGGAGAGAAATTGGTCAATTTGAGTTGTATTTTGGAGGTGAAAATGATAGGACTTATGAATTGGGCTTGGATTGAGGGAAAGGAAGGAGTTATGAATACTTTGTACATTTTTGGCTTCTCTAATTGGGTAAATAATGCTGGCATTCACCAAGATAGTGAAGACTAGGGGTATGGATGAGGGAATGGGTTTGAAGGAAAAGGTCAAGAATTTCGTCTTGGACATGTTACTTTTGGGACATTTGTGAGATGTCCAAGTAGAAATGCCAATCAGTGGTGGGATATGAGAGAAAAGGTCTGAGTGGAGATGTACTACAGGGAGTCATCAGCAAATAGGTGGTTTTCACATTAATGGTAATTGAATTTGTATTCCCATTGAACTTCTATTTCCATACTTAGGGGAACAATAGCATCTTATACTGATAGGGGGCTTACTCTTTGCCAGGCTTTGTTGGAAGTGCTTTAGATGAACTCATTTAACTGTTTACTCAGTCCTCACCATGACACTATGATTACTGTGCTTGTTTTACCACGTGGGGGGAATCTGAGGCACAAAGATATTAAGTAACTTGTCCAAGGTCACCCCTAGAATGTAGAAGGGCCAGGATTTGACCCAGGCAATGTGTTTCCTAAGTTCATGCTCTTAACTAGTATGCTATATTTCATCTCCTCTAAGGGGACAGTACAGCAAAAGAAATGAAACCCTAGAGTCCAATTCTGAGAAACCCTAACATTTTGTGCTCAATAAATGTTAGTTTTCTTGTTTCTTCCTTCCCCAGGAAAAAGAAGGAAAAGAGGGTCATACTTAGAGATACAGGAACAACAAGTAGAAAGAGCATATTAGGGGTGGCATAAGGGCCAAGAAAAGCTAAGGAAGCATGAGGCACAGGGACACAGGCCATCTTGGTGTGCTTGCTTTCAAACAGACACATAGACCCAACTGAGCACCAGCTGTGAGAGTGTGTTTATGTTAATTCATAGAGGTTATGCCAATGGGAATTTGGGATTTTAAAGAATTTCTTTAATGTTTACAGCCATTTTTTTTTCTTTCTAAGATAGACTTCTGGCTAACTCTAAAGAATGTTTATAATCACCTAAACATATTTTATTATTAACAGATACAGTTAGAAGTTTTCTGAATATGTGATGCTCATTAGCATCCAAATAACAAATTTGATAAGTTTAGTTTATGTAAATATAAGCATATGTTATCTATTTGTGATTGATTTTTGGCCAATAATATGGCATCAATACTGAAAGCACATACAGTTTTATTTATGTACATATGGGTATTTGGATGTTGCTAATATTTGAACCGTGGCTGTTATGCATTGTAAATACTTATCCTATTAGGCTGTATTAATTTCTCTTAATGAGTGTGTTAGGTATATTAATGTTTCTTAAAGTTCATGCTAATGAGGCAAGTTGTTACTTAGTAACCCCGAGGGATTGGTTCAAGGACCTCCCTCCGATATCAAAATCTGCAGATTCTCAAGTCCCTAGTATAAAATGGCATAGTATTAGCCTATAACATACACACATACTCCTGGATACTTTAAATCATGCCTAGATTACTTAGAATACCTAATAGAATGTAAATGTTACTTATATATTTGTTACACTGTATTGTTTAGGGAATAATATCTGCATGTGTTCAGTACAGATGGATTTTTTTTCCGCCTACTATTTTCAATCTGAGGTTGGTTGAATCTGCAGATGTGGAACTGACAGATATGGAGGACTGACTAAATCTACATTGTCATAGAGACCATAAACCTGTGTACATAGTTCCAAATGGGGTAGCTTTAGGCTTTATTATTCATATGTTTAATCCTAAATTCCTGTTTTGCTAGTTCTTTTGCCATCAGCTTGTACTTCAGCCAAACCATTGAGACATTACTCTTCCAGGGGAAGAGGCTGCTAGTTTTATTTAGTTACTGTTAGAACTGTTTAGTTATAATGGTTACTAGTCATCAAAGCTAGTAAAAATTACGTCTATATCTGGGTCTAGATGTTGTTTAATCTCATAAAGGGCAGTTTCATTTCATAGGGAAGATCAGTTCTCCATGGAGGACCTTTCATAATTCAGTCAAGAATCACTGAATATAAATACATTTAAAAAGCAGAATAATTTATTTTCAGAATACATAAATCTACAACTATTGTAGCTTGATTTTGTGCTTTAATACTGCTTTCTATTTTCTCAGCATTCTCACTATTATTTTTTTCCTGAGAGCTCTTAATAGCTGTTTGTGTTTTTCTGGCATCTTTCTCCATATTTGTGGCTGATTGTCAGGTGTGTTTTTCAGCACGATCACTATCACATAAAGAATGTTTGGATGGCATTTTGTAATTTTAACTTTATTAAAGCAGCAATTGTTAACATAATAGCGTAGCTGTCACCAAGACCACTTACAGAAGTTCTAGTATGGTTTATTGTACTGATCATGAAAACGTGTGATTTTATCTACTAGTTTACAGTAGCACTAATTGTAAACACAGTTTATAAGTCACTTGACCAGTTACTTTTGAAAACTTGTTACCTAGACAAATTATTAGTTTAGGGAGATTGTTGTAATTGAGAAGAGCGAGGCTTTATTAATATTTTTAATACTAAAATTTGTCCAAAGTGCTACTACTCTGCCCTTTGGGCAAATACTTTTCCTATTTCCTAACAGTAATTACTACTTTTTATAATATAGCTTTTCAGTGTTGGAGTTGTCAACAGCAGAATCTTTTTCTGCGGGTTTTCATATTAATCATAAAGTTCTTATGTAATTGTTTTCCGCTAAGTTTAAAAAGTTGTTGTTGTTTTTTGAAAATGAGACCTTATTTCTCACTCTTTTCTCATCTTTCATATCCATGGGAATGTTATAAAAATGTAGAACTTAAAGGTTACCCTCTTAGAATTTTCTTGGTGAGAAAACTAAAATAGGGCCAGGTGAATGGCCCAATGTAATTATTGAGTTCAGCAGGTGAAGTTTGGGATTGAAGTTGAGTTCTCTTGTCTTTGTTAATTACATCCGTGTAAAATTGTAGGTTTCAGATCTAAAGTCTAAGGCATCTGTCAAAGGCACATTAGTGGGAAGTTGACCTCATGTGTCCCATGACCCTAGAGCTCTTTTGACAAGAGCTTTACTGGCTTCTGGTCATTTGGGGGAATCACTCTTTTATATCTTTATGGTCAACCTGTCAGTCTCTGGGGTTTTTTTATATGATTATTTTTGAAAACTATTTAATTGAATTTTTTTGTGTTGGTTGGCTTGGCAATGATATAACAACACAGTAAAATAGTAAAAAACTGTCACAGTTTTCTTAGTCACTTAAAAGATAAGCAAGATTTGTGATACCCAGGGGAAGCTTGCAATTTGAGGGGAATGCATATCTTACCATTGGAATGGGTTATCAGTTAATGAACTTGTTAAATCTCTTGCTGAATATGATGGGGCCTGGACGTGTGTTGTAGGTGTGTGTGGTTCTCTTTTTACTCTAGTGGAGAGATGCAGATTCTACACTTTTTCCATTAGGTTTACTAAAGTTTTACAGCTTCCCTATGCATGCTCAGAAGCAGATCATATTATCTTGGTTGTGTATCTTATCTAGCCATTTGTTCTTAAAACAATAAAATGCACTTTTTTAATAAGAAGAAAGTTACTTTATGAAAATTACTAATGTAGATTACTGTTTGATTTTGAAATGTTTGCGTCAAAGTCATTCGAATCAGAGCAAATCCATTTCGAATGGAGGCTGAGTAAAATAAGGCTGAGACCTACCAGGCTGCATTACCAGAAGGTTAGGCATCCTAAGTCACAGGATAAGATGGGAGGTCAGCAAAAGGTACAGGTCACAAAGACCCTGCTGATAAAACAGCATGCGGTAAAGAAGCCAGCCAAAACCCACTGAAACCAAGATGGCGATGAAAGTGACCTCTGTCATCCTCACTGCTCATTATACACTAACTGTAATACATTAGCATGCTAAAAGACATATCCACCAGTGCCATGACAGTTTACAAATGCCATGGCAATGTCAGGAAGTTAGGCTATATGGTCTAAAAAGGGGAGGAACCCTCAGTTCCAGGAATTGTCCCCCCCTTTTCCAGAAAACTCATGAATAATCCACCCCTTGTTTAGCATATAATCAAAAAATAACCATAAGTATGAGAATACTATAAGTATCCTTAGTCCAGCAGCCCAAACTGTTCTACCTATGGAGTAGCCATTCTTTATTCCTTTACTGAATGAACTTGCTTTGGACTCGCCCGGAATTCTTTCTTTTGCAAGATCTAAGAACTCTGTCTTGTAGTCTGGATCAGGACCGTTTTCTGGTAACATTTGTATTCATATTATGTGAGGATAAGACTTTTAAGGGAAATTAGAATTTATTGTCTTCAAAACACTTACGTTGAGTAGTTGTATTAAGTATTGCCTAATTTAATATCTGTACATATATACATATTTAAAATATGTGAACATTTACTTAGTGTATTTCTCTGTTTAGAAGCCTAATTATATTCCGCTTTGGGATGGTGATATATACTTTCCATGCTCTCCTGTTTTCATATACTGTATTCACTTTAAAATAAATCGTTTTGTCCTTGATGCTCTTGTGATTTCTAAGGCATTTCCTCCTGTGTGCTAGTGCATCCTCTTCGTTGAATGTGCTTAACATCTTCGAGCCTGAGCTTGGAGTCAGAGAAACCCAGCTCTCCTCCAGGCCTTGCTGTATCCCAGTCATGTGCCCCTGAGCCTCATGGGAAAATAAGACCCATATCTGCCTCAAAGGCACCCCTAGATCATTTTTGCTTAATATGTGAAAGGGCTCTCTAAACTGCAACTGACAAACAGATGTTAGACATTTTCATTGTAATTAAGTTTTCTAATTTTTTCTTAACTGTTGGAAAGCACAGTTTTGCTTAATGCAAAATATATGGAGGAGATTCTGATTAACTAAAGTTGTGCTTAAAACCATCATCATGTAGACCACTGATTTCTAGATCTTACTAGGGGCAGTAGTTTCTTCAGATCATGACTGAATTTTATTTTTATTTATTTATTTTTTGAGACGGAGTTTTGCTCTTGTTGCCCAGGCTGGAGTGCAATGGCGCAATTTTGGCTCACTGCAACCTCTGCCTCCCAAGTTCAAGCGATTCTCCTGCCTCAGCCTCCCAAGTGTCTGGGATTACAGACATGTGCCACCATGCCCAACTAATTTTTTTTTTTTTTTTTTTTAGTAGAGACGGGGTTTTGCCATGTTGGCCGGGGATGGTTTCGAACCCCTGACCTCAGGTGATCCACCCGCCTCGGCCTCCCAAAGTGCTGGGATTACAGGCGTGAGCCATGGAGCCCGGCCTTCATGACTGAATTTTAAAAGCAATCTTGCTTCTCACTTTGAAACTCAATATCTCTATTAATAGAGTACATTCCTTCTTTTCCAATTCAAAATAGATTTCTTTCCCTATTCAAAATAGAAAACAAATTAAAACTGCCAAACCTACCAAGGCTTTGTAGTTCGGGGAGCAGGAAAATCAAAATGAAAACAAAATTCTCAGAAAATAGCTGTGCAGTCCACCTGGGAGAGTACAAAGCCCAGCGTGTTAGTGATAACAGCTGTAGGTAGCTACTCAAGGTCGTTAAGTGCTAGGGATGGAGACAACCAAAGAGAAAACCCTCTTTTTTTTTTCTTTTTTTTCTTTGAGACGGAGTTTTGCTCTTGTTGCCCAGGCTGGAGTGCAATGGCGCAATCTCGGCTCACTGTAACCTCCACCTCCTGGATTCAAGCGTTTCTTCTGCCTCAGCTTCCTGAGGATTGAGCAGCTCGGATTACAGGTGCTTGCCACCACACCCAGCTAAATTTTTTGTATTTTTAGTAGAGATGGGGTTTCATCATGTTGGCCAGGCTGTCTTGAACTCCTGACCTCAGGTATCCACCTGCCTCGGCCTCCCAAAGTGCTGGGATTACAGGCATGAGCCACCATGCCTGGCCAACCCCTCACTTTTATACTTGGTGAAAATGAGACTCTGAGAGGCTGAATAACTTGAAAGTCATCTAAAACCTAAGGAATAGTTCTTCTTAAGAATGACTTTCTTACGAGGGAAGTAAAAGAATTTGAGTTCTTTCCCTTTCTTAATCATTATTTTCAGCTATCACGTTTTGCCAACCTCTCCCTCAGTGTATCTTTTGAATTTACTAATATATTTCCCTTTTCCTTATAAAGCCCATTTCATCACTAGTCTCCAGGTCATCTTACTCCTGGATTGTTACTATATTCTTCTCATTGGACCTTCTGACATAATGACACTGCTTCTCAAAGTTTGGACTGTATAAAGTCACCCAAGGATGTGTTAAAAATGTAGATGTCCAAGCCCCAAGTGAGATCTATTGAATCAGGATCTCTGAGAGTGGGGGCCCAGAAATGCAGGCTTAACAAGCTCCTCCTAGGTGGGTTTTCTTTACCTTGGTTGCACAATCACCAACCCCCATGCCAGACATAGTAATGTGGAAAGCTCCCAGGTGATTCCAGTGTGCTGTCAGTGTTGAGACACTGCTCTTTAAAGTGTCTATGAATCACCTCAGGCATCTTGTTAAAATGTGGATTGGGAATCAGGAGGTCTGGAATGGGACCTGAGACTCTGCATTTCCAGCTACTCCCAGGTGATACAATTACTACTGGTTTCCAGGACACTGGGAGTAGCAAGAAGCTGATTCTCACATTACATTTTGTGAAGAACTACCTAGATTGTGCCCCAGTCATTCTCTGTACCAATGATAATCAACCTTGACTGTATGTCAGAAGCACTTATGAATATATAAAAAAAAAATCCTGGAGTTCAGATTTAGGGGCCCTGGATTTATACTCAGACACCTCTTATCTTTAGTGCCACTGATGATTCTAATGCAATACCAGAGTTTGGACCACTGTGGCTCTCTATTGCTGCATTATGATGTTGTCTTTGAAACTTGCTTGGTTTCTCTGTTGACCAATGTCAGTGCTTCTCAACCTTCCACATAATGGCATGCAAAGAAAATGGTAATATTTGTGTGGCACAGTGGGGTAAATAGATGGTATCTTCAAAACCAGGAGGTTACTGGCCCCAGGGACTCTGGCTTTCTTATTCTTGGCACTTCCAGGCCTACTAGCTGGAAAAATCTGGCTCTTGCTGTTCTTGGAGTGCTGAAAGCCTGATGTACTGTGTATATAATGAGTGGACCTTCAGTAAATATTAGACATTATTATCATTCATATTCTATATCATCAGTATAAGTGGTGGGAATTCTTTTATCCAAGTCCAATATCTGGCTGTATTGTATTTGTCTTTTCTGGCTGTTTGCCATAAATCCACACCTAAGTTATATCCATGTCTTGAGGCTGCTACTCCCACCACCTCCCCCACCCACCTCTTCTTAACCATCTTAGTAAACCGTGCCCTAAGGTCATTACTGATCTGCCTTCTCAGGTTTCTTATAGTTCTTAGACTTTATGCCATCTGCTTGAGTGCTTAATGTGTTCTCTTATTATTTTATGTACCTAAATCTTATCTCTCAAAGATTTTATCTTTAAGGGCAAAGATATTGGCTATGTTTCTTTAATGTTTTTGGTTCCTAGGAAAACGTGTTGTGCATCTAATAGGCATTTAGATACTTGTTGGCTTTGAAGCTACACAAAGCAATCCACACAAAAATCTAGGCACTAGGAGGAGGAAGAAGCTGAGCTTGTGGGATCTGTGACTGCTTTCTCTTTCTCAAGCTGGATCCTAAAGAATGTCTTTTCATTTGTTCGCTATACAGAAACTGGGCTTTGATTCCAGGTACTTTAATTGTATTGTATATATAAAAATAGATATTTACCTTCATGTAATGGGAATGCTTCAAATAATTTGGATTGTTGAGAAAGTATCTTTATGTGTTAAGATTTTTGTTTAATTGAGTGCATTCTATAATTTATCTTATATGGTTGTAGTTAATAGTAATGTAACCGTTTAACTCAGCGAAGTGCCAGGCATGATACTAGGTAGTGTAAAGATGAATTATACACAGACTCAGCCTTGAGGCCATTGCATTCTAGCAGAGGAAACTGGTATGTGTGTAACTAGCTATTTAGGTGCTGTAATCGTGGTATTATAGCTAGGATAGCTGGATAAGCAATACAAAATGCCACATTTGAAGTCTTTTGATTTTGAAGGACAAATTACAGATTTTTAAGGCAGGAAGAAAGGCACAGAATCATTAAAGCACTTGGGGTTTTAGGGGATTGTTGCCCAGTGCATCTAGAATGAAGGGTGTGTGGTGGGATTGACTGGAAATAGGCCAGTGTGGGCTACATGTTGTGTGTAATGGGAAGTCATGGGGCTTTTCAAGCAAGGGGATGTGATGCTTAGAGGTGTATGTTTCGAAATTGACTTCACCCCCTAGGATGGATTGTACTTGTGGGGCAGGGAAACCAATACTGATGACTTCAGCTTCCGGAAAGAAACTTTAAAACTCAAAACGAACCCTTGTAACAGTGAGAAATGGCTAGTAATGTTAGGAAGGGATTGGAAATAGAACTTGTCAAGCTTGATTTGAAAACTTTATCCAGATAGATTTAAGGAGTGTCCTTAACTTCTTTTTATGTCATTTTGTCACTTGAGGGTTAGTAATGCCAAAAGTCTTTAGCGTGCTTTAGGTACAGATGAACCTCAATTTAGGAGTAGGTTGAATTTTTAAGTTTTCACTTACTCAACATGATAATGTGTATCATTTTGGACTTAGAATACATTTCTTCGGCCGGGTGCGGTGGCTCATGCCTGTTATCCCGGCACTTTGGGAGGCTGAGGCGGGGGGATCACAAGGCCAGGAGATCGATACCATCCTGGTTAGCACGGTGAAACCCCGTCTCTACTAAAAAATACAAAAAATTAGCCGGGTGTGGTGGCAGGTGCCTGCAGTCCCAGCTACTCAGGAGGCTGAGGCAGGAGAATGGCATGAACCCGGGAGGCGGAGTTTGCAGTGAGCCGAGATCAAGCCACTGTACTCCAGCCTGGGTGACAGAGCAAGACCCTGTCTCAAAAAAAAAAAAAAAAAAAAGAAAAGAAAAGAAAAAGAATATATTTCTTCATATAAATATTGTTACAAGACAAGGTCATTAAATGCCCAGCATAGAGAAGGAGGCAGCTCTGTCACAGTGGAAGGAGCTCAGGCTGGGAATTAGGACACCTGGGTTCAACCATCTCTAGCCACTTACCAGCTATGTGCCTTGGAGGGAATAGCCTCTTAGAAGCCCATTCTTTCATTTGTAAAATGCTGATAAATACTCACAAGATTATTGTGAAAATCAAGTTTGTGAAGGTGCTTTATGAATTTTAAGGCAAATACTATTTATGAAGTGCATGTGTAAGAGGAAAAAAAGTAATTTTTTTAACTTCTGGATGGGAACGTTGATTTGTGGTCAGAAACACACCTTGGTGGCTGCAGTTGTGGGAGAGCAGCCTGCAGGTTACAGAGAGGCACATGGAGAAGCCCACCCTGGCCTCATGGCGCCCTCGCACCTTGGGGAGGAGAAAGAGAAAGGACAGTGAGTCTCAAACTTTAGCTTGCCTTAGACTCAACTGGGGAATCTTAAAATTACAGATCCCAGCATTCGTACTTCCCAGTGACCCTCAGGACGGCGTCTAGGAAGGGCCCTGGCTTGGGGTAACTGGGAGGGGAAGGGGTAAGAGCAGGTGGGGGCCCGGGTGCTGGTGGGAGATGGAATGAGGTTTGGGGACTTGGAGGATGGTTTGTTCAGTGTCTTCGTCCTTTCCACCTGCCCTGCTCTCTACCGGCCAGACATGGGGGCCTGGGGTGGGAGAACTCCCCTCCCCACTTGCCCAGGACACTAGATATGCTGGGAAGAACGATGGCTTCCAGGGAGCTGGGGCAGGAAGGAAATGGCCACAGGGAGCAGGCCGGCTGGGGACAGGGAAATCTCTCCGAGGGGAGTGTCCGCCCAGCCGCCAGCACCAAGGCGTCCGGGACCGGGACCTGGGACCCGTGCCCCACTGCGAGAGGGCAGGGAGCTGGCTGCCTGTAGACCAGGTGTCTAATCTGCACAAAGTAAATGGGGGCTCCATTGGTGAAAAAGGATGATGTGTGTGTGTGTGCGTGTGTGTGTATCAAAATATATTCAATTGAGGTTATTAGGACATGATTTTGGATTATTTCATTCCTCCCCTTAATTATATCAAGCTTTATGCATTAATTCAGCAAACACTTGAGCGTGCTCAGCTTTGTGCTAATAAGTACTGTAGTAAAGTTTGGTAAATGTTGTTTCTACCCTCAGGGAGTTACAATCTGTTTTGTTTAAACAAGAGTCTAGTAACAGGAGATGAATTATTTTCAGTAGAGTCCTCTCAAATCCCGTAAGACTGAAAATTGATATAATGTGTCATATAGTCTGGTGAAAATTTTCTTTAATCAGAAAGAGTTAATGCAGCATCCTAGAGAGTCTAATTTAGCTTTAGGTTGTAGGTAATTTCTGTGCTTCCAGCAAAATTATGAACCTTACAAAATTCTTAGCCATAAGGATTGTGATTTTTTGAATTAGGTTACACAGCAAACCTTTCCTTGAACACCTTTTTCTTATAGAATAGGTTTGGATTTTTTAAAAATATATTTTATGTTCTGATTTTTTAAAATGCCATATTTATCTTGGTTCCTTAGAATGTAAAAAAAATGGCATATGTGTTTAAGTGGAAATAAATGGATTATCAATTTTGTTACACTCTCAAAAACGTCGATAAACACTGGAATAAACTTAGAGAAAATCATTTAAAATATTATTTTTTTGTAGGCAAGAAGGCTAGAAAAGCTCTTTAGGGGTGCCTTCAGAAGTTTTTGTCATTTTCCGTTTTTATTCTTAAATTATATGCTCACAACTCAGTATTTGCTTTACTGGGACTTTCATGTTCAAGTGACATACATATGTGTAATGTATTTCAATTTTTAAGTAAAATATATCTCCAAATTTTATATAAAATTAATAGCCTCTATAAAATATACTTCCTATATCAACAGATGAATTGCAGCATTTTTTTCTTTCATATTTAAGATTAAAAAAGTAAGAAGGAGGGGAGAGTAGGAATACTTTAGGGTAAGTAGGCCTAGGCTTTTGTTTCATCTGTTCCATCCTCTTTCTACAACAGCCATGCAGTGCAGGGCAGAATTCCTGAGTCCAGCCTCCCTTACTGGGTTTACTTGGTGTGCATTCTTATGCAAGTTACTCAACTACTCTGTGCCTCAACTTCTAGTCTGTATACTGTGGAAATATTTGTACATATGACATAAGGTAGTTGTGAGGATTTATCTGGCTAGTACAAGTAAAGTACTTATAAAGTGTTGGGTGTGTAATAAGCATTCAAGTGTTAGCTCCATTGCTCTCATCATTGTTACTGAGTTGAAATGAAAAAAAGGAATTCAAAACATTGGGCAGATGATGAATGGACCCTGGAGACTGTGAAAGAGTGTCAGGAACTCCAAGTGTTGTCCTTGTGTATTGTCTAAAAGGCACCAGAGGCCTCTTGCACCTCCCATCCTTATTCTGAGAAAGCAAGGTATTTTAAGGACATAGAGGGATGATGACCTTGATAAATCCTAGTTAGCACTCCAGAATTGTGAAGGTCAAAGGCCAACTTAATGGCATAATAGGAAATGCATTGCTGTTAAAGTCAGCAGAAATCAAGAATGCCCCCTTTGGAAGGCAGCTATGCTCACCACTATACCACCAACGCCAAGAGTGCCCCCATTTACCAGAATTGTTTAGTAATATTCTAGAAGTTTATTGTTTTTGTCAGGAATAAGAAACTAATAGTAAAATTATAAAACAGGAACAAAATTATTATATGTAAATAATACTGTTTAAAATGAAGAATTAGGGCCGGGTGTGGTGGCTCATGCCTGTAATCCCAGCACTTTGGGAGGCTGAGGCGGGCAGATCACCTGAGGTCAGAAGTTTGAGACAAGCCTGGCCAACATGACCAAACCTTATCTCTCCTGAAAATACAAAAATTAGCCAGGCATGGTGGCATTTACCTGTAATCCCAGCTACTCGGGAGGCTGAGACAGGAGAATCGCTTGAAACCAGGAGGCGGAGGTTGCAGTGAGCCAAGATCATGCCACTGCACTCCAGCCTGGGTGACAGAGCAAGACTCCTCAAAAATAAAATAAAATGCAATAAAATGGAGAACTGAAGATAAGTTTAAAAAACTATATGAATTAACAGTTTAGTAAATGAACCAAAAATAAATACATTGCAAAATAAATACTCTTCAAAAATAAATGCCTTAACAATATCCAATAATGTATAATAAAAAACATTTTATGAATATTAGCAGGAAAAAAATGTTTAACTCCCAGGAGAAACTTCATAAGAAATGCATATGTTAACAATACCTGTAGAATTTTTCTCAAGGACTATCGAAAAACAGTTTGAACAATTGAAGATATATGTTATGTATATATACACATACCTATATATACAACATATGTATATACCCACACCACATTTATGGATATGAAGGCTCTATATTGTAAACGTGTAAATTCTTCCCAAATTAATTTTATAAGTGAAAATCCAATTATAACCTCAGAGTGATTACCAAAGTAGAAGCATGGCAAGTCTTCAGTATGATAAAAGTTGCATTTACATTCAATGGGAGAAAAATAATTTATTCAGAAAATGATAGTTGAATCATTGTGAAAATAAAGACCAAATTTTATTATGTTAGGATTATTATTATTTTTTTTCTTTAGAGACAGGGTCTTGTTGTGTCATCCAGGCTAGAGTACAGTGGTGTGATCATAGCTGACTACAACCTCAACCTCTTGGACTCAAGCGATCCTCCCAGCTCAGCCTTCCTGAGTAGCTGGGACAATAGGCTCGTGCTTTGTAAAGACCTGATCTTGCTGTGTTACCCAGCCTAGATTTAAACTCCTGTCCTCAGCTGATCCCCCTACTTCCTCCAGCCGAGTAGCTGGGATTATAGTCATGAGCCTGGCAGATAAAGTTTTTAAAGACAGAAACTAAAAGGAAGCAAATGGTAGATTTGTTAATAAGAAAAAAATTTAAAATTTCAAAAGATCAATATATCTTATTAAAAAAAGTCAAATGACAAACTAAGTTAGATATTTGTAACTTCAATTATCTAGAAGTAACCATTCGTATTTCCAAGGCAAAATGGATTTTTAAATGAAAAAATATAACTGACTTTAAGAATAAAACAATAAGATCTGATCTATTTGGTTTTCATTTTTCTTTCCTTCTCTTCCTCCTTATTCTTCCTTCCTCCTCTCTTCTTCCTTCTTTCCTCTTCCTTCTCCTCCTCTTCTTCCTTCTTTCTTCTTCCTTCTCCTTCTCTTCTTCCTTCTTCTTCTTTCTTTTTCCTTCTTCTTCCTCCTACTTCTTCTTTTTCTCTTTCTTTTGTTTTTTTGAGAAACAGAGTCTCAGTATGTTGCCCAGGCTAGAGAGCAGTGGCTGTTAACAGTCATAGTCATAGCACACTGCTGCAGCCTTGAATTCCTGGGCTCGAGATGATGCTGCCTCTGCTTCCCCAGTAATGGATACTACAGGCATGTGCCACTGTATCTGGCCTGGGTTTCCTTTCTAGGAGTATTTTCATAGGTTGATTCCTTAGTTAAGAGTTATTTAATCAGAAGCCTGCCATCAGCTGTATCTTGTGAGATAAGAAAATTGAATGGTGTCTTCCAGGTTCATCTTAGTATGTTCTTTCTGCTTGGACAGATAGCAAGGTATTGATTTTCATATGAGACTGATTTTATTACTAGCTTGTTTTCTCTCTCTTACCTTTTCTTCTCCTTTACTCATTTCATTTTAAATTTGTTTAAAGACACGGGTTAATATTTGTCATAAAATTTCAGGCATTGCAGCAGTATATCAGAAGTGGTAGTTCCCTTTTTTCTTCCACCCCCAATCCTGTACCCCTCAGCCACCATATTTCTTTATTCTAAGTTATCCTTACCTGTTGATTCCATTCCTCTCTCAGTTCTATTAGCAATAGTTTCCATCTAATGGTTTCTGTCTATTAGCGGATATTAGGCCTTCATATATTTTGTTGAATGAGTGAGTGAGTGAAAATGGTGGCTGTATGCTTAATTCCCTTATGAGCTAGTCAATCACAATTTTAAACGTAGCCCTGGGACTTTTTTGAAGACCCAGTATTCTTTTTTACACATTTCAATATTTGACATGCTTTATCTTTGAAATGGCTTTTCTGTAAGATGAACATGTTTATGCTAAAATTCTAATTTAAATTTCTTTTTTCTTACAGCTGTTTTTGCAGCAGTGTTGCACTGGTAAGATTGTTTTTTTCTCCTATGGTATTTTATGCAGACGTTTATAACTTGCTAAAGCTATTTCCCATACATTTAAAGGAATAATTTCAGCATGATCAGTATGAATATATATTACATGTAACACAATAGTCTGAAAAACTAGTTTAATTGATAAATCAGGGTCAGAATAATATAATTGTTTAATAAAAAAGAGATTCATTATTAAAGAGGCTATATTTGAGACTCCACTCAACATTAATATGTTCATGGTGAGAGAGAGATTAATTTATTTAATCTTCTAGATAGAAATATGAATTTCATTAGATGTTTCTAAAATGGTAACCCAATGACATTTACAGTTTAATCTATACTTTTATTGTACTTCACTTAAAATATTCTGGTTCATTTTAATTTTAAAATCTAATTTGATTTTTTAGAGAGGGAAATTTTAGTATAAATGCAATACATACTGAGTGAAAAAAATATAGATACTATTGTATTTGAGTGTTATTACAAAATTATCTGCAAGTTAACTGATACTTTTATTTTTGCTTTTAGCTTACTTTAAAAAATAATACTTAGAGTGTAAGTTTTAACACTATTGCTTTGTTTTGTTTTTCCAGGAGCCATATAACACACCTCTTTGAAAATGACCGTCATTTTTCTCACCTCTCAACATTGGAAAGGGAGATGGCTTTTCGCACTGAAATGGTTAGTTTTTATTTGGGATTTCATCATAGTACTTTAGGAATTTAAAAACATTTAATATTTTTTATTATGGAAAATTTCAAGATGTTCCAAAGTAGAAAGAGTAGATGCTCCACCTTCTACAGCTGACAGCCACAGCCAGTTTTCCTTCATCTACACCCCCACTCACTATGTCTTTTTTATTTTTTATTTTTATTTATTAATTTTTTTTTCGAGACGGAGTCTCGCTCTGTCGCCCAGGCTGGAGTGCAGTGGCTCCATCTCGGCTCACTGCAAGCTGCACCTCCCAGGTTCACGCCATTCTCCTGCCTCAGCCTCCTGAGTAGCTGGGACTACAGGTGCCTGCCACCATGCCCGGCTAATTTTTTTTTTTTTTTTTTTTTGAGACGGAGTCTCGCTCTGTCGCCCAGGCCGGACTGCGGACTGCAGTGGCACAATCTCGGCTCACTGCAAGCTCCGCTTCCCGGGTTCACGCCATTCTCCTGCCTCAGCCTCCCCAGTAGCTGGGACTACAGGCGCCCGCCACCGCGCCCGGCTAATTTTTTGTATTTTTTTAGTAGAGACGGGGTTTCACCTTGTTAGCCAGGATGGTCTCGATCTCCTGACCTCATGATCCACCCGCCTCGGCCTCCCAAAGTGCTGGGATTACAGGCGTGAGCCACCGTGCCCGGCCAACTATCTCTTTTTAAAGGGAATCCCAGACATTATATCATTTCATGCTTTCATACTTTCATAAGTGTCTCTAAAGATAAGACTTTGTTTTAACTATGGCACAAAACCATGGCACAAGACATACTGGAAAACATTTAACAATATCCTTAATATAATCAAATAGAAATCAGTATTTAAATGCCCTGTTTGGCACTTTAAAAAAAAAAAAACAAAAAAACAGTTGATGTGTTTGAATAGGATCCAAACAGTGCCTACACATTGCATTTAGTTGATGTGTATCTTAAGTCTTTTAATATGTGAATTTCTTTACCTGTTTTTGTTTTGTTTTCCTGCTATTTGTTTGTTGAGAAATCCAGCTGATTTGTCCTATAGAATTACCCACAATAATCCTCATTCTTCAATTATGTTCCTGTATCCCAAGTTTCCTGAACATTTATGGATCAGAAGATTTGACTTATTTTCTGGCAGGAATACTTCCTAGGTGGTGCTGTATACTTCTATTGTATCAGGCCAAGAGGCACATCATATCTGGTTGTCTCACTTTCTGTGATGTTAAGAGTGATCACTGGCTTTAGGTATTGTGATGCTGATTCCTCCTATAGCCTAGCCATCAGCCTAGGTTAGTTATTTCATTATCCTTCTCAAACTGTGGTACCTAATCTATCATTTTTTTCTTTGCACTTATTAGCTATAATTCTTCTATTAAGAACTTTCACACAATACCTTTTGATTTCTCCCTGAGGTATATCATAGAGGAAAGTCAGAAAGATGCTTTATTCTTTCTTTTTATTTACTAATATTCAGAAAAATGAGTAGCTTCCCTAGCATCTTCTAGTAGTGATCAATGGAGTACCTTCTTTTGGAGTATCATTATGATATGATGGATTTTAACATATTTTGTAAACTTTCCTGTCTTTAGCTATTAAAGCCCTTGCAGCTCTCCTTGTTTGCCCTTGATGTGACCTCACTAGTATCCATGGCTTCCTTACTTTCAGGTACTACAAGACATTTTCTTCTCAGACCTGGCATCAGCCAGTTTTCCCATGAGCCACCATTTCTGTCAGTGGCAGATGCTCATTGCTACTAGATTGGCCATTGTATTTTGGCCTTTTTACTGAAGAGAATTAGGCTACAAAAATTTTTTTAAAGAGAAAAGAAATCATGAATTTATATTAATTTTTTAAATGGAAACAAGATTAGATTTTTTTTTACTTATTTGATATTAATCTTTTAGTTTGAGAATCTTGGTTTCAAATTATTGATTTGTTAGGAATAAAAGTACCAAAGGTATAATTAAAAATGTGATTACTGAAAAGAGTTTAAGATTTTCTTGCAGTTCGCTTCTTCACAGGGCAACCCCCAGAATTGGGGCTCAGCCCAGGAGGCCATGTGGGTTCTTGGCTTTGGGCAGGAAGGAATTCAAGAATGCTCCAACAGAGTAAAGTGAAAAGAAGTTTACCTTAAGAAAGTAAAGGGATGAAAGGGTGGCTGCTCCACAGGCAGAGCAGCTGTGAGGGCTGCTGGTTGATTGTTTTTAAGGTTATCTCTTCATCATATGATAAACAAGAGGTGGATTATTCATGAGTATTTTGGGAACAGGGAGGGGAATTCCTGGAACTGAGGATTCCTCCCTCTTTCAGACCATACAGGGTAACTTCCAGAGGTTGCTATGGCATATGTAAACTGTCATGCTGCTGGTGGGAGTTTCCTTTAGTATGCTAATGTATTATAATGAGCACTAAGGATGACCAGAAATCACTTTAGTTGCCATCTTGGTTTTGGCAGGTTTTGGCTGGCTTCTTCACCGCATCCTGTGTTATCAGCAGGGTCTTTGTGACCTGTAACTTGTGAAACCAGTCCTGCCAAGTTCCTGGGCTCCATTTTAACCTTAGGATATAGTCCACTAGGGATATACAGTAAAATTACAGTATCTTAATGTTACTTGAAATCTTCTTCCAAGTTGATAAATAGTTAATTCCTTTCTTTCATTTTTATTTTGATATTTAGGGATTTTTAAATTTTTGTTTTATAATTAAACATATGTTTCCAAAATCAAACCTACAAAAGAAGGAAGGTATAGTTTCCTAGGGCTGTCATAAAGAAGTGCAACAAGCTAGGTGGCTTAAAACAGCAGAAATATATTCTCTCACAGTTCCAGAGATTAGCAGTGGGACATTAAGGTGTTGACGGGCATCTTGTCTCTGAAGGCTGGAGGGGAGAGTCCTTCCTTGTCTCTTCTCAGCCTCTGGTGGTTGCTGGCCATCCTTGGAATTCCTTGGCATGCTGATGCCTCACCCCAGTCTCTGACCCCTCTTCACATGGCCTTTTCCCCTGTGTGCCTGTAGCTTTGAGGCCAAATATTCCTCTTTATGTAGGTACATCAGTTGTGTTGGGTTTAGAGTCCACCTTAATCCAATATGACCTCATCTTAACTTGATCACGTCTGCAAGAATCCCATTTCCAAATAAGATCACTCCACAGGGTCTGGTGGACATGAAATTTTAGGGGACACTATCCAAATCAGTACACAAGGAAACATAATTTTAAAAATAGTGGTATCAGAGTCGATACATCAGAGTATCAAGACCATTTTTTTCTTTTTCAATAAGTTTCTGGATAGGCATATCTCTTTTGTATTTGTGAGTCTTAAACCCAGTTTAAACTTTGGCAGCTACTGGTACTGGCTACCAGGGCAGCTCCAGGGAAAACTGAAGATGCAAATACAAGACGTAGATTTATCTTGTGTTTCTGTCTTCCCTCATACTGCCACTTAGACTCTCCGTTAGGCTTCTAGTATTTTCTTGTTTTTTTTTTGTCTCACATATTATTTCACCCTTGCTATCTTTCCAAAGTAGTGTGCCAAGCTAAAAACTGTCTCTTTTCTTCAAAAGAGGACCACTCCCCACCCTTATCCCCAGTCGCACAGGGTTCTTACCTTATGCTGACTTGATAGGAGGGAAAATAATCTGTAAAATTAGGTGGCACCCGAGTGAAATTCATATGTAATAATACATCAGTGTGTAGCCTTCTCAACACATTTGCATTTTTGCATGTAAATCCGGAGGAAAAATGACTGATAGTGTCATTTTGGGGATTAAAATAAGCAGTTAGAGGAGTATTTTTGGCTTGAGATTTCTTGGTTCATGATAAATTTTAGTTCCATAATAAACCACTCACTCTATTCATAAGATAGCATTTTCTAAGAGTGATATTAGTATAAGTAATAGGATTTTCTAAGTTGAAGTATGCTGAGTCGTATTATTTTTTAAATGCTGAAACTTTTTGAAGCTATTTTGCATTCAGTTATTTCAATTAAGATGCATTTATGTGAAAATACATAGTTTTTTCACAACTTTAGGATTTATCAGTGATCAGAAACCTGTGAAATTCATTGTATTAATAGCTATTACTTAATTGCTTTGTTTTTCAAAAACAGTGTATTTACTTAGAAGTGGCATCATAATTATGTACCTTTTGTTATTTTAATTGAGCATATCTTTATTTCAGGGACTATATTATTCCTATTTCAAGACTATTGTGGAAGCACCCTCATTTTTGAATGGAGTATGGATGATTATGAATGATAAACTGACTGAATACCCCCTTGTCATTAATACATTAAAAAGATTCAATCTTTACCCTGAGGTAAGGTACTTTTTCCAATTGTGATTTTTCACTTTTGTAAAAACTTTTTTGTATTAAACGCTGATTCTAAATCTAAGATATAATTCAATATATTAAATTGTATTTAATTTTTTAAAAGAAAATATGTATCTTGTGGAGGAATATGTAAAAAAGATCATTACTGATTTTGAGGAGAGGGCTTTAATTCTGTGGGGAACTGTTGATTTGATTGCATTGTTTAGAAAATATAAAAACTAGATTTGGTGTGCTTACAGGGATTATACCAAGGGAGCGCTGTTACTTTTACATGTCATTTGTTAAATGTTTTCTTCCCTTTCCTCATTTAATTGAGTGCACTTTCTTGAGTGGGAGTGGAGGGAAGGTGAGCCCAATCCAGCAAGTGGAGATGACATTTGGCCTCTCCTTTATCCTCCTTGCAAAACTATAAATTTGTTGATGTGGAACTCTAGTTCAATAGAATATATATTTTAATGATTTTGTCAGAAGGCTTTCCAGATAGATATTGAACTATCCACCAGCAGTGTTTTTGAAACTACTTATTTACCTGCATCTTTGTTAATTGGATAGACAAATTGGTCACGTGATGTATTTCATTCATTGATTTTATATATATATATCAGTGTTCTCTATATATGTATATATAACACACATACATATATACATAATGCATTTTTACTTTTAAAAATAATTGCCAATTCATGCCTTTCATCTATATTTCTGTTAAAATTTTATAAGTTCATTTATTATATACTGGATATTAATATAATGCTATATAATGAAACATTTTCCCCAGTTGTTTGCCCTTTAGCTTTGTGTATGATGTCTATGTATTTTTTTCTATACAGAAATATATCTTTGAATCTTTTTTGTCTTTTATACATACATGTAAAAAACTTCATTTTTATAATCATAATTTTTTTTAATTTACATTTTTAATTTATCTGGAATTGGTTTTGATGCATAGTGTGGGGTAGGAATCTAACCTTGAATTGTTTTTTGAAAATGTATTGTGTGTAACCTAACACTGATGAGGTGTCCATCCTCTCTCCACTGATTTGAAGTAAGCTTTTTTCTTTATATGCAAAATTATTATACATACATGCTTGCACGTGTTTCTGGATTTTGTGCTCAGTATTGCCTTAGGTTGAGGTCCTGGAAAGTGGACTTTGAGATGGAGATTTGCATGCAGGAAGTAGTCGAGGGAGTGTCCTTAGGGCCAACACCTGAAGGGGGATGAATGAAGCAGAATGAGGTAGGAGGAAGAGGAGAGCTTTGATACAGTCACTGTGAAGGCCTCATCCAGTCCCTGGGCAGCTCTGGATCTGGGATGGCTTTGCAGAGTTGTCCTACCTTGTGAGAAGGGCCCCTGGCCTTGATGTCTTTCCCTATTGACTAGTCGGTCATCAGATGCAGATTGCCCGTGGGTAGGGGATGTCACCTTGAGTGAATTTACTTTCTTCAGCCATGGGCAGTTCCCATGGAGGGACACAGCTTCAAGCTTTCAGGCACCAGTCTTCTAACCAGCTGGAGGAATGAGTGCCTCAGCCCGGAAGAGGGAATCTGGGGTGGCTTGCCACCGCTTGTACCATGGTTATTGATCTGTCTAGCCATTCTTGTGCCAGTATCACACTATTTTAATTATTAAAAGTGGTAAGACTTAATATCTGTTAAAACATTCCCTTTAATTTTCTTGTTAGTTTTCTAGATACATTTTAGACACTTGGAATTTTGACTGGAATTATTTTATGTTTATGAATTAATTTGAGGGAGAATTCATATCTTAAATAATTCGGTCTATTCCAGTAGACCCAGTATCTTTTACTTGTGCAAATCTTCTTTTGTGTCTCTTAGTAGAGTTGTAGAGCTTTTGAAAAACATAAATTTAGCACTTTTTTTTGGCCCATATTTTGTCCTTACCCATGGATGAACAATTGAAAACTGACCAGTGAAGAATCTGCCTAGGAGATTCTGAGCCTTGTTTTACTACATTTAAAGGGAGCCAAGTGGATGGTATGGAAAGGGAAAATATGGTAATTGTCAAAGTATCTCAAAAGTATTCTAGTAATGAAAATTGTTTAGTATATTTTCTTAAGATGCCTCTGTATTTTTTAAAATAGGTAATTTTGGCCAGTTGGTACCGGATTTATACCAAAATAATGGACTTGATTGGTATTCAAACCAAGATATGTTGGACGGTTACCAGAGGAGAAGGACTCAGTCCTATTGAAAGCTGTGAAGGTAAGTTTCTTTCTGTAATATTGTCCAGTTATCTGTTGTAACATAATAAACTTATCTAGCATAATAAACTTACACTGTAAACTTAGTGGTATAAACAACACCCATTTTATTATGCATATATAGATTCTGCAAGTCCAGAATTTGGGCAGGCTTTAGCGGGGCTGGTTTATGTCCATGATTTCAGGGACCTCTGCTACTAAGACTCAAATGTCTGGGAAGGCTGGAATTAACTGAGAGGCTACATTGCTCACATTTTGGCTCCTGGGCATGGAGGACTGTGAGGCTGAGCTCAGCTGGAACTCTCAGCTGGGACACCTACATGTGGCCTTTCGGGGTGACTTGGGCTTTTTGAAAGCAAAGTACCTCAGAGTAGTAGTAAGGCTTTTCCTATGGCAGCTGAAGGCTCCAAGCTGGACACTGTATGACCTCTTATGACCTAGCCTCAGAAGTCACATAGTGTTGCTTCTGCCATACTCTGTTGAAAGAGTCACAAGCCCAATGAAACTCAAAAATGGGGGCTATAGACCCCATACCTCCAGAGGAGGCGTATCAGTGAATTTGCAGCCCTGTTTTAAAACCATCATTGCTAATTACCCTGGTCTCATCTATGTTCTGCAGTAGTGTTGTGTTTTCATGTGGGAACCAAGGCAGCTATTTAATATATCTGGCAACCATTTTCAAAATGAACACAATTTAATATAAATTGCTAGACACGTAAGGTAATTTGGGTTAATGTGATTAGAACATATGTTTTGTTTATTTTTAAAGGATTGGGAGATCCTGCTTGCTTTTATGTTGCTGTAATTTTTATTTTAAATGGACTAATGATGGCATTATTCTTCATATATGGCACATATTTAAGGTAAGAATATTTTAGTATGTGTTTATAAGATATACTAAAATAAAATAGTTGATTAGTTAATAGTTAATCATTGATTAATTTATAGTTCAGTTTTATGAAAATATCCTAAAATATCTTATTATCATAAAATTCATTATTTGCATGATTTCACCACTGCCATGGCCCATCACACTTAAGATAGTTTTAGAGATGTAAATAGAATTGGGAATACTTGATAAATTTAATTACTTTTTTTTTTGAGACAGGGTCTCACTCTGTCACCCAGGCTGGAGTGCAGTAGTGTGATCTCTGCTCACTGCAACCTCCGCCTCCTGGGTTCAAGCGATCCTCCCACTTCAGCCTCCTGAGTAGCTGGGACTATAGGTGCACGCCACCAAACTCAGCTAATTTTTTTGTATTTTTTGTAGAGACAGGGTTTGCTATGTTGCCCAGACTAGTCTCAACTTCCTGGGCTTGAGTGATCTGCCCATCTCAGCTTCCAAAGTGCTGGGATTACAGGCATGAGCCACAGTGCCTGGCATAAATTTTGAATATTCATAGGCATTTGAACATAAGCAATATATATTCCATATATTGTTATGGAATATCTAATATATTGTTATGGAACAGTATATTCCATTTGCTGTATGTACGTGTATACGTGTGTGTGCTGAGATGTGTGAAGTCTTACTTCTTACTGTAGTTTTGGTGTAAAAAAAGTCTGTAGACTACTGCTTAAGGTAACATGAGGGAGCAGCTTTTACCTTAGAGCATTTGGGTCTTTCTAGATGGCTGTCTGTGGTTCTTCTTCCAATGTCAATGGCTGTAGATGGTTTCAGCTCCATCCAGTATATATTGTTTACATAAAATATAAGGGAAAAGACCACTCATTATCAAATGATATTAATAGCTCTTTATTAATGTTAAAGTAGAAGTATCTTCTATGTAATATTTAGAAGTGTCTTCTGTACAATATTTAGTATCTGACCTGATTTACTTTACAGTTGAGCAGCATTCCTAAAACTAAAAGACTAATTTTTTAAGGCTTTTTATGTTTACTTCTTTTTTGCCAATTTATTATTCTGTATATATGTTTGAAGTATTTTACCTTGAGATTATCTTTAGAATTTTCTTCCTTGCTGCTTATTGATTCTTTGTAGTACAGAATTATGAGAATTGTATATGATTTTCAATTTGGGATAATGAGTTTGAATTTGCTATTATCGCATTATCTCCTTTCCTTTGGAAGTGTGGCATTTTCAGTTTAGTACCTCAAAGATGTGTTGAGTTTCTAGCCCACCGTTTGAGTATCTAGCAGTTACTTGATAAGCATTTGTCAAAAGAGGAAGCTGTTAGAAGATCAATGTAAAATATATTTGCATATAGATTTAAGACACTTTGATGTTACTATTTCTGACTTAGGTCTAAGAAAATTCTTTTGTTTAATTGGGGAGACTAAAATAAAAATGCATGATTAAAAGATGATTGTGAAAGATTTTGTTTTTGAAACAAGATGCAGGGAAATAAGTTAAACCAAAAGAATATGGTAATGAGAAAAGGAGGCTGACTTGAGGGAAAGTGGGCCTGTGTGCTTGCATCGTAATGAGCCAGAGGGAGAGAAACTTGGTGGTGTCTATTCATTTTGCTGAGTACTGCCCATCTGTCTATGGGTAGCTTTATTACATTTGGGAGATTAGATTTTACATAAGAGAAGTTAAAATATGAAACATGGCATTACTGCTAAGCTGCTAATCTGCACTTATGCTACCCTTTTTTTAAAAAAATATGGGGTCTTGCTATATTGTTACCCAGGCTGGAGTCTAGTGACTATTCACAGATGTGGTCACAGAGCACTATAGCCTCAAACCACTGGCTTCAAGCAGTCCTCCTGCCTCAGCCTCCCAAGTAGCTGGAACTACAAGTGTGTGCCACCATGCCTGGCTACTTTTTTAATTGAAAGAAGAATTTGTAAACATCCGTTAAAGCATTCACATTTTCTTGTAATGCTTGTTATAACTGTTTTTTCAAAGGCAGAAGGCACAACATCTACTGAAGAGAATAAAAGTTCCTGGTTTTGGTTGAGGGGTTTTTGGTGGTTTTGGCCCTGACCTGACCTAACCCTGTGGTGCCTGGTAGACAGTTTTTTGTCTACATGGGAGATGCATATTCAGTTGTTCAGTCAACACACACTATTCATACCAAGTAGTTTCTTAAAACTCTGGGCTCTGAGAGCATGGGAGTGCAGCAGGGTGTGTGTGAATGGAAGATAGACAGGAAGGAAAAATTAAGTGCTTAGAACTTCAGAGGCAGGAGAAATTTGTTCTGCATGGAGGGGCTACTTTAGTGTGACCTTGTAGAATCAGAGGTATTTGAATAGGTGGAAATAAACCATGAAGATAAAAGCATACCAGGGAGAGACAAAGGCCAAAATCTAGTATGTGGAAAGCAGGTAATAAGCAGATCAGTTTTGCTGGGATGCATGTTCTTCAGGGAGTGTTGTGGAGGATTCAGATTGGAACAGAGGTTGTGCTGGATGATGAAAGGCCTTGGTAACTGACTGGGTTGAAACCTATTCCAAAGCAAGTGAAATAAGTACAAAAATTGACCAGTATAAGAACAGGATTCAAGCTGAAGTATGATCTCATAGAACACTTGACTTTCCCCAGTCCCCAAAGTCAAGCAGTGACTACTTCAGCACAGTGTTTGTCAAATTGCAGGGCATCACTTATTAGAGAGTTTTAAAATTGATTCAGTGGGTTGAGCCCATTTCATTTTAGATGAAGAAAAAAAAATGCTGCAAAGTAAATAATATCATATACCACACTAATAAGGATAGATACTATTTAGAGAAACTTCTATTTGCTATAAATATATATATACACACACACACACACACACACCACACGTGTGTGTGCTGAGTTGTGTAAAGCCTTCTTACTGTAGTTTTGGTGTAAAAAAGTCTGTAGACTACTGCTTAAGGTGGCATGAGGGCAGCTTTTACCTTAGAGCATTTGGGTCTTTCCAGATGGCTGTCTCTGGTTCTTCCAATGTCAGTGGCTATAGCTTGTTTCACTCTGCCCATTTGACTGCTTTGTGCTTTAGCTGGCCCCTTCTGTGTTACCCAACTCTTGGACCCCATGGTGGTCTGCACTAGCAGCACATGTTTTCATTTTTCCAGCTTTCCTTTTGTGTTTGTGGGCTTTTTCTTAACCCGGAACCATCTCTTTAGCTCTATTCAAAGGCATCGTTAACTGAAGGTTCTTTCCAAAATTGATCCTGATGTATATTATTTTGAATAGAGTCTCTTATCACTTCTTTTCTATCAGTGTTTTTCATTGCATTTTTGTATGTTTTTTGACCTGAAGTACATTTAGAGGTTTCAGATTACTAGTTAGTTCTTAATATTTTCTTCCTTGATGGTTAGTCACCCTTGTAATTTTATGAAAGGGATAAAGCTGCAGACTTCTTAAAATATGGGTTAAAAATAAAGAGGAGGGTATCTAAAGTTGTTTTTAGGATTAAAAAAATAAATTGTATTATGTACTGAGAAATAAAAGTTGAGATTTGTCTAGCAGGTTAGAAATTTGCAGGCAGATTGACTGTGACATTTTAAATTCAGAAGTATATTTGTTTTGAAATAATATACATATAAGTTTTTAGAAGCCAGGTAAGCCAGTCCATTTCGCCAGAAATGGAAGAAGGGAAAATAGAAAACAGGCAAATGGTGAATGGAGCCAGGCTGCCAAGCTCTAACTTGAGGAGATGAAGTGAGATCTGTTTTGCAAACACAGCCTACTCATGGTATAATTCTTTTTCTGGAATTCTCAGTATTTTAGTATTTTTTTTAAAATACTCATTGTTAATTATTTTTTGAAGCTGTATTGATTTATACTTACGTTATGTATTTCATAAGATACCCTGATATTTCTTAGCCACAGACTAACAGTTTCTGAAGGCCAGTTTCTTAAGACCCAGTGTGTGGAAATCTCTGTTCTGCAAGTAAGAAGGAGCATTGGTTGTTGGACAGTTAGAACTTTCCCCCTAGTTTCTTCTGGAGGAAATTCATATATGCTTAAGTTTCTCTTATTGATAAATACAAAAAACTTTTGGTGTTGGACTCTAAGGCAGATATCAAGCAGGTGATACTAAAACTTTTATTCTTTGCACTTTAGTGTGATTTTAGTATTATTTTGGAGTTCGGGGTTAGCTAGGTTATGGTGCATTGTTGAGGAAGAATAGATTGGATAGTGTATTAAGCTGTTAAATAATGTATATGTTTAACAGTTCTCTGGAAAAATACATATGTCTATAAAGTTTATTATAAATTTTACTGCTATGTAAGGATGAGTGCAAACAATAACAGGGTTTATAAGCAGGAGATTTTTTCTTTCTCTTTTGAAAAGGGTGCCAGAAATACTCTGACTAGCTGAAATAAAAGAGGGAGTACAATACTGAGATACAGAGGCCTGGTGGAATCAGAGAATCATCGAAAAAAGTGCCTTTGTTTAAGGCTCATTCCTTTGTAGGTATTAGATTTATCCCTACTGGCTGCCAGTTCTTTGCCTGTTGCTGTCCTTCAGGCTTGCTTTCCTGGTTCCTTCCCATCCGCCTCAGAATGTGTTCATCCCTTACCTTCTCTCTCACATGACAAAATTAAGACAAAACTTTTTTTTTTTTTGAGACGAAATCTCACTCTGTTGCCCAGGCTGGAGTGCAATGGTGCGATCTCAGCTCACTGCATTTTCCACCTCCCGGGTTCAAGCAATTCTCGTCTCAGCCTCCTGAGTATCTGGGATTACAGGCGCGCACCACCACACCTGGCTAATTTTTTTTTTTTTTTTTTTTTTTTTTTAGTAGAGACAGGGTTTTACCATTTTGGTCAGGCTGGTCTCAAACTCCTGACCTCAGGTGATCCACCCACCCCGGCCTCCCAAAATGCTGGGATTACAGGTGTGAGCCACTGTGCCTGGCCAATAAAACTTTTTAATTGGACTTCCCTTGGGTCCCCTTGCTACCCCCATCTAGTCTCCCACCCCTTCCTCCTCTCCCCAGCAGCGAGGCCCTGGTCCCATTCACCTCTCCCACTGCTCTGCTTGTGCAGCTGCTTACTTAGCAGCCCTGCCTTTGATTGCTTGATTTGTTTTGAATCTTAGGATGGTGAAATGATGCCTGAAACCACTCAGGGTTTTCACAGACCAGGCCTGTGGCTGGCCAGAGAGGACTCTGGTGCTGTCTTTTTGAGCTTCATTTCTTTGTATCGTTCTCCCCTGATTACTGCTGCCTCTGTCTTCAGAGTTCCTACTACTCTCCTTAAAACTGGAGCTGAAGAATAGACAAAAATTCCTTTGCCTAAAATAAGAGAAATATGGTAGAATTATAAAAGTACTTAAGTTGATTTTTAGATCTTATGTTAGACTCTGAGTTCTTTCCCATTCAGTATCCTATCTGAGGTTGCCCCCAAAATAACCCATTAGATTTTTAGACTCTTCAGCCTTTGATTCCATTCTAGAACAAGTGCCATCTGAGGAGGTCTTCTGGAGAAAACAGTGGGCAGTGAGTGTGGCTGATGAGTCATCCTGGGGGAGACAGAACAATGCCCCTGCGGAGTGTCTCATTATTGACTGACAGCTGCCCAGTCACTGCTGCCTACTTGGACTTTTGTTTATTGTATCCCATGCAATACTTTTACTGGAACTTTACTTTTAAATTATCCCTTCAGTTTATATTGAGGATCTTATAAGAAACAGCTGTGTGAAATTTCTTACTTTATTTTATGCATTGCTATCATATGAGTGTATTATCTATGACCCAGTAAATAAATAACCAGTAAAATACTTTTTTATGTGTAAAATGTTATGACTATGGAATTGTGTAAAATCTTTATATACATGTTTAAAGATTAGTAAAATGAATACTTATGTACCCATGACACAGATTAGAAAAATAAATAAATTATCAGAGCTTTCATACCCTTAAAATTCCTTCTTAATACATTCTCTTTCCTTCCCTCAACCCTCAGAAGAAATGACATCCTAACTTTTGGACCAATGTTTTCCTTGTTTTTCTTTATGATTGTGCCACTCATGTGTTTACCCTTAAATATGGTGTGTTTAGTTTTGAAAAACTGAGTATCAGGCACAAACCTAGCTGCTTAAGGGGAGGACACTATTGCCCTTGTTAGATGAAAGTTCCCAGAAGAAGAGAATTTCTGAGTCATGGTCTTTAGGTTCCCTGAGGGAACTTTCTGAGGCTGTCAGGAGCGCAGCTGAGCTAGGGGAGGGAGCTGAGCTGCCAGGTATTGGAGTGGCTGGTTAAAGCGACAAGCCAAAAGTGAGAGTTAAGCCTTTAATCATTTACTGTAATGGTATACGTGAGATGTGACGATCAGGATGTCTCACCCCCATCAAAAGGGAACAAAAGGCTCCTGTAGTTTATGGTTCTTGAAGTGATGGGGCAAAGGAGAAGGGCTAGGAGCCAAAGAGTGCAGAGTCTGAGTCAGAGTGGGGAGCGGCCTGTTCAAGGAGCCCCTCTCCGCCAGGCCACAGCAGAGAAAAGGACCAGGAAATAAAGGTGCCTGGGCTAGGAAGGCAAATATAAGAAGAGCTTTATCACCCAGAAGTGGCTGAGTCATTGACTGCAACTCCCCTGAGAGACTACAGTACACTGGCTCTGCACCAAGCCTGGTGTGTGAAGGGCTTCTTTTCCCTGTGAGGCCTGTCAGGCAAAGCCTTGCATATGGCCAGGCCTGAGAAATCCCATATAGGTTTTCAACCAGGAGCCTGATTCCTCAGGACATCAGTAGGCAACGTCATGAGCCTGGGATAAATGTAGGACTCAGTCGGTAGGGACATCTGGCAGAAATGTAGTGGCCAGGTACTGAATATCCAGCAGAAATATCATGAGGGGAAGAGCTGTTCCCTCTTTCTAAATTCACCACTGTTTACCCTGGCTCTCTGGAGCATATCAAAGCAGAACAACTTCTGTGAGTGATATAAGTGTCTTTAACTGATGCCAGCAGTAAAGTATGTGGAGCCAAGATAAAATACAGACAAGAATCTGGTCCAGGCTCATCCAGGCTCACACAAATAAAATGTGGAGATTTTGGGCATGAGTCAGTACTTGGTTCTGGACTGGCTACCTTCCATGGTTTGTGTACATCTGTCCTTTTGGCATCCCATTGGGATTTCCTTGACTGCTCTCCCCTGTTGGATCCCCTGTGCCCTTATCCTGTTTGTTCCTCTTTCTTGGTTTATTTTCCCTCTTTGGTAGACCTCATCTTCTAGTAGGTAGGTCTTGAGAGTAGATAGCTGGGAAGTAAACATTTTATGAAACTTTGCAAAATGTGTTTATTTGCTTTCGTATTTGGTTCACTGTTTGGCCGAGTGTTGAACTCTAGACTTGAAAACATTGTTGGTTGCTGGCCGGGCACGGTGGCTCACGCCTGTAATCCCAGCATTTTGGGAGGCCGAGGTGGGTGGATCACAAGGTCAGGAGATCGAGACCATCTTGACTAACACAGTGAAACCCCGTCTCTACTAAAAAATACAAAAAAATTAGCCAAGCGTGGTGGCGGGCACCTGTAGTCCCAGCTACTCAGTAAGCTGAGGCAGGAGAATGGCGTGAACCCAGGAGGCAGAGCTTGCAGTGAGCCAAGATTGTGCCACTGCACTCCAGCCTGGGCGACAGAGCAAGACTCCGTCTCAAAAGAAGAAAAGAGAACATTGTTGGTTGCTTCAGATGATGCTATTCAGATGTTCCTAAGTTATTCAAATTTCTAAACCTTTGTATGTGACCTTTGCTTCCCCTTCCTCTCTCTGGAAGATTGTAGAATATCTTCTTTGTCTCTATGGTTCTGAAATTTCAGAGCAATATGTCTCAGTGTAGATCTGCTTTCATGTGTTCTCTTGGACACTTGATGGGTTGTTTCAATCATGCCTTTGATTTCTGAGAATTTTCTTGAATTATTTCTTTACTTATTTTATTCCCTTTGTTTTCTGATTCAGAACTTTTGTTTGGATGTTTGTAGTTTCCAGTCCTCTAATTTTCTTTTTTTTCCCCCCATTTTTAAGCTCTTTGGCTTTGTTCTACATTCTAGAACATTTTATCAGCCTTATTTTTTCCAACCTTCTACTGAGTTTTTATTTTTCATTATCATGCTTTTAATTTCCAAGAAGTTTTGTTTGTTCTATAAACATTCCTTTTTAAAAAATAGTATTTTATTTTTGTTTCTTGGATTCAATAAATATTCTCTCTAAGGGTATTAATGATGTTTTTACCCTCCCAGAATAACCTTGGCATCTTCTAGCTTGTGTGTGTGGGTTTTTTTTGTTGTTGTTTTTTGTTTTGTTTTTTTTTTTTTTTTTGAGCTGGAGTCTCGCTCTGTTACCAGGCTGGAGTGCAATGGCACGATCTTGACTCACTGCAACCTTGGCCTCCTGGGTTCAAGCAATTTTTTCTTGCTTCAGCTTTCCAAGTAGCTGGGACTACAGGCACGCACCACCACACCCAGCCAATTTTTGTATTTTTTAGTTGAGAGGGGTTTTTACCATGTTGGCCAGGATTGTCTCAATCTCTTGACCTGGTGATCCGCCCGCCTCAGCCTCCCAAAGTGCTGGGATTACAGGTATGAGCCACTGTGCCCGGCCTAGCTTGTTTTTTTAAACATCCTTTGGTCTCTACCTTCCATGTTAGGTGCCTTCCTTAGATGTCTGGCAAACTTAGGCTGTCATGATTAAGGCTAGAAGACCAAAAAAAGCTGTATAGAAGCTCTAAATTGTGGGTGGAATCTGTTAAGGTTGAGTTTTTATATAGTTTGAATAAATGATGTGAGCAGAACTTAGAGTGACTGCCAGTTCTTTGGTTTGCCTTTAAATGTAAAAGAAAATATAAAGTAACAGAGGTCTTTTAGGGTTGTAAAAGGGAGGTGCAGTGTTTTATTAGGTTAACTGAAATGGAAGATTATAGATGATTTTTAAAGAAGTGATTGAGTAGAGGGAAGAACACCTAAATGAGTTTAAGAGACTCTGTCTTCTATGTGAGAATGGAATAAGGTAGTGTTTGCAAGTGACCCAGAAGAATGCTTGCCTTCCAAAATATTTTTTGATTGAATAAATTAATTAATAATAAAATATTGAAAGAAAAACTTAGCTTATGGTTGCCATATATGAAAGGCACAATAAAAACATATTATCTATCACATAAGCTTTACTAGCGTTTACCAATTTAGGAAGTATTTTTCCAATGGACTCATTCTGAAGCTTTCCTTCTGCAGATTCCAATCTTCACTGAAGACTGTTTTTGATTGCAGAAGTTCAGTTCATGTATGACGCTTATGTGCGAGGCTCTAAACTCTTTACTATCAGAAACTCATTTAATCCATATGGTTTTCCCATGAGATAGGTAAACCGCTTTATAGATGAGGAAACTGAGACACAAGGATATTAAATAACTTTTCCGAGGTCACAGAGCTAGTCACTGGCAGAGTAGGGATTTGAGTACCAACAGTGGCTCCAAAACGTGTGCTCTACTGTCTCTGAGAATACATTTTAAGTGTTCTTTCCACAGCAATTAAATTGTCTGCAGCTTTAGTTAATTTTTGTTTAAAGATCCTGCATAATGAAGAAAAAAGTGTTTATTTCATTGCCAAAGTAAGTGGTATTTATATTTCATAAAAAGTTTTACTTAAAATGTTTTAAAGATACATGACACTAAGAAGGATCTAGACTTTCCGTTCTCTTTTCTGTTCTGATGTTCCAGAATATTACTGTTCTGTAATAATTCATTTCCGAAGGATTCTGAGGTCCCAGGATTTTGCTGTTCTTCAGCTGATATTTCTGTATGCATTGTTTTGGTTTGATAGGTGGAAGTTTACTCTTTCTAATATTGCCATTTTTCAGGATCCTATTGTGCTCCATTTTTAGCTGTCATACATGTAATTTTATAATTATTCTAATAGTTTCCTCAGTTAATTTTACTTAGACTCATTTATTGAACTAACGACACATTGGAGGGAAAGGTAACATACTGCATGTTGGGGGGCGGATTCTTAAATGTCTGCTTTTGTGATTACACATTTCCCCGACTCCTCATTCTCCAGGTAAGATGACTGTAACTCCATACCTTCGCATGATCTGGTAGTTTGTAGTTGGTAATTTCAGTATGGAAAGTTTTTCTTTTTTTTGGAAGGTTTTTCTTTAATGGTTTTCAAGCCAAGGTTAAAATATACTGTATTATTTCTTTTGGTGGTGAATACGAACAGCTATTTTAATGTTATCTGGAACATTTTTATGATTTGTTCCTTAGAAGTATTTTTTGGCAAAGATCAAGAGGTCTCCATGTAAGTTAATTGAACAACTTTCTTTCTATTAATGTGCTCTACAATGGGTATGTTAGTTATTAGTATGTTTTTAAACTGAATTTTCACTGCTTTGTATATACATGCATATCTTTTGGCATTATTCAACTTTTTATAATCAAGTACGTCAGTGGTCCCTTGCCCCATCTGTCTTCCCCACCCTGTGTATCCCTTTGTCTAGGGAAAGCCACTTTCAGATCTTTGGAAACTCAGCAATTCTGATACGTAAAACCATAGTCCGCAGTTACATTATTATGACTGTAAAAATATTGCTTACTGCTGAATTAAGTGGTATAAATAATTGTTTATTTGGTAACTTAAAATTTTTCCTGTGGTTAATTATTGCTAATATTTTGTTTTCCTTGGTGTTCTGTATGCTGATTAATTCCTCTCCAGATCTACAGCTGAACTGTAAACACTTATTTTGTACTTTGTCAAATGTATAAAATCCATTATTTCAATTCTCCCACTCCTATCCCCTGGGGCCTCCCTCCTGGAGCCTCTGTCTCTGGTTCCATCCTAGACCCGTCCTTCCCTGGGCTTCCGTTTAGCGATTCCCTTGGAGTTTTGTTTACCACCATCCTGAGAATTCCCCTTTCCTCTCTTGCATTGGATTCATTGTGTTTTGGACCCCAGGTTGGTCTCTTTCTGGTCTGTTTCATCCTTTTGAGGATCATATCCTCAGGTAATTTCCAAGAGAGTCACAGAGATAATTTTAAAATACATTTGTCTGACATGTTTGAACATTTCCTTTTTTATTTTTGTACTCAATTACTGGTTTGCCTGGTTGTTGATTTTTATTTTTCCTCAGACTTTTAAAGGCTTTGTTCGACTGTATTCTAAGATGGAGTGTAGCTTTTCAAAAGTCTGGTGCTATTCTACCATTAGTTCCTTTTGTGTGTGGCTAGTTGTTTTCCTCTGGCACCTTTTGGGTTCATCTTTCTCTCTTTAGTCCCGTAAAAGGTCATGATGTGGTAGATATTATTTCATCCTTCTCATCGCATACTTTGTGCGCTCTATCTGGGCACTTACTTTCTTCACTTTGGAGGAAAACTTTTTTTAGTATTATTTCCCTAATGACATTCTCTTCTCCATTTCTTTTTTCCTGTTTTCTTGAAAGTTAGTGATTGGATATTGGACTTCTTGAAGTCGAATTTTCTCAGGGTTTTTCTCCCTTATTTTATTTTTACATTTTATTGTCATTTCTGTTAGATTTCCAACTTAAAGAATCTTGAGTTTGAAAATTTCTCTGCCTGTTGCATTGTCTTTGTTACCTCTAGGTCCCCCTTCAATTTGTATTAGTTTCTATTTTTCACATTGGAAGCTTCCATCCCCACAGCCTGCTGATTCCTAGCTTGACATTTGTATCTAAGAATGAGGAGCTGGTTGGAAGATTGCAAAGTGGATGGGTCTTAACTGACTAGTGGCTTTTATTACAGCATGATGAGGGTGTAAACTGCTTTGTTTGGGGAGACCCAGGCTCCTTTCATCTTGTTGCTTTTTCGTTTACCAGCCTCAGCTGCTTCTGCCTGTGGCCAGAGTCCGGGAGACATATCTGATTCTTCACGTCAGTGCAGAAGTGACACCCAGTGCCATTGACTACTCCTCCCCCTCACCCCTGGTCATATGCAGACACTTATGCATGAGGGCTGAGCACACACTTTCTGAGGCAGGGTCAGTGTTCCCTTTTCCTTACTTCATCCCCTCTCTGGCGATGAGGTCGCTTTTTGAAGAGAACTTAAATGATCTTTTTCACGAACTCTACATTTAATGGGGGCTGCCCAGAGTTCCTGTGGCCCCTCTGATCTGTTCCTGATCTCCTCCCCCTCTTTTGAATTTTTACCGTTGTCTCTACCCAGTTCTTCATTGTTTCTGAGCTTTTGTGAGAAGAGCCTGGACGTCCTTTTGTAGACATAAGTAGTCAGCAGAAAATGCCTTTTCTTCCACATAAGGAACCAGCTAGTCAGAGGACAATACCTTCATCTTCCAATTTTCTGTTCTCTGTTATCTTCTTTGGTCATTGGAGGTTCAGAGTGGTTTCTCTGATATCTGAGAGATTTTTTTAAGCTGCTTTATTTCTAGATATGTTCCAGAAGCCCTGAGGGCCTGGATGATTAGTCTGTATGTCAAAGCCCTTTTTAATTTTGCTTGATGTCCCCCTTTACATCTGGAGTGAATAGTCATCATTAACACAGTTAATCTTCCTACCTTCTCTTCCCGTGATCCAACCAAGTTGCCTATGAAGTATTCTTAGGCTCTGTAGCAGAATGGAATAGTGTTTTGTATTAGTTTTCCACTCTTCCACTGCCCTCTACCTGTTTTAAGGAAAAGTTGAATTTCTTAAATTTTATGCCAGTTTTGCTTCCATTATTTTGCATGATATTTTCTTATTCTTTATTTTAAAAAAATCAAGCATTTGCTGCTTATACAGGCTGGATTTTTGGCCAAAAAACACATCTTAAATAGGCTGTGAATCTACCATCTCAAAGTTTTCCAGCTACTTTTTTTTTTTTTTTTTTTTTTTTGAGACGGAGTCTCGCTCAGTTGCCCAGGCTGGAGTGCAGTGGCGCGATCTCAGCTCACTGCAAGCTCCGCCTCCTGGGTTCACGCCATTCTCCTGCCTCAGCCTCCCGAGTAGCTGGGACTACAGGCGCCTGGCACCACGCCCAGCTAATTTTTTTTTTTTTTTTTTTTTTTTGTATTTTTAGTAGAGACGGGGTTTCACCATGTTAGCCAGGATGATCTTGATCTCCTGACGTTGTGATCCGCCCGCCTCGGCCTCCCAAAGTGCTGGGATTACAGGCGTGAGCCACTGTGCCTGGCCTTTTTTTTTTTTTGAATTAATATTAACTTGGCCTGCTAACATATCTTTAATCAAACCCATTTGGTCTAGCAGTTGTGTATGAATATTTAAAAGATAAGTATTTTTATTTAGTATGCATAAATTGATGAAAGTTGTTGGTTGGCAATATTGGCATCTTTTCTCCAAAACCTTCCCCTTTTTATGTCTTCACTCTCTCAGCAAATGACACTTCTGTCTACTCTAATGCCCAGCCTGACCTCTAAGAGATAGCCATGACTTTCCTCTTTCCTCTGTAATCCAAGGAGTCACAAAATCCTATTATTACTGTCCTGCTTCAGAGTATCTCTGGCGTCCTTCCACTTCTCTGCCAGCCCATCCTCCTGGGATGACTCTGCATCAGCTCATGTGGCTCTGCTCCCCACCAGTCTTGCTCCCAGGCTGCTCTGCACACTGTTGTCAGTGTGGTCTTATCATTTGAGGAACTGTGATGAGGGCAGTGCAGCTGGAGAGCAGAGTGTGGGTAGGAGGAAGAATAGTGAAAGGAGTTGAGGTGTATGCAGGGGCCAGATCCTGCGAGGCATTTCGGATATGTTTTGGTGTTTGGATTTGACCTTGTGGGCAGGGATGCCATTGAAGGGCTGTGTGCATGGAGTGGGATTGGGTCCATTCATTGTTAAAGACAACACACTCTGCAGTGTAGAGGGAGCAGGCTTTGGGTAGGGGGTGTCGGAGGCTGTAGCAGCCCAGGGGAAGACGATGGGAGCCTGAGCTGGTATGATGGTGGTGGGATGGAGGGAAGTGGACAGACTCTGGAATACTAGGAGGGAGGCTCCAGGGGAAGCATTTGTTCAGAGGAGAGTGATATTTCTAGGCAGGAGAAGGAGGAAGCATCTGGGAAGAGGCTGCAGTTGTTGGATAGGTAGTTGTTCACCATGGAATGAAGGGCCTGGAGCACACAGTGGAGAGGTCTGCGTAGGAGTTGAGGAGTGTGGTGTTTGGGTCAGAGCAGAGGCTCACCTGAACACATGGTCCTGCCTGGTTTTTGGGCCAGTACCAAGAGCAACAATGACATGAGGTGTGGTGTGTTTGGCTGCAAGCTTTCAAAAAAGGAATGCCAGCAGTCTTTTGATTGAATAGTTCTATTTTCAGATACCCTTTCATTTTCTTTCATGGACAAGACTTGGTGCTAGGCACCATGGGTGAATTGAGGAGTTCACAATCTAATAAGTAAATAACTTCAGTTAGAATCGGCAGATAGAGAGTTAAATTAACGGCGTTAATCACTTGCTTGAAACAGACTGGAAAGGACCAAGCTGAGAACTTTTCTCACCCTTCCCGATTCTTATCCTCATTCCTCATCTTTCTTTCCTATCTCTTTACTTAGTAACCAGTGAATCCCCCCCACCGCCCCCCCCACCGCCGCCATGAGTATAGGGGAAGGTTCTCAGCTCTGAACCAGGCCTGCTTGGCATTTCTTCATTGGGCTAGGAAGGTGCCCAAGCCTTCAGTCTCCAATTTAAGATTGGAAATTATCTTAATTTGATTATTTCCAAATTTTTCTCCATTTTCTCTTTCTTAAGCATTTATACAATAAGAAAATCGTAAGAGTTATTTAATATAGTTTTGAATTAACTCTGATGGCTTTTTTCTCTTCAAAAGTTTAACTTTGGATGGTTCATCATTTTTGTAAATAGAGATAAAAATCTCAATGATTAATGAAACCTATCAAAACTTGATAATTGATTTAAATCTATACAACTGTAGTAGGTAGGAAAGAAGATAATTATAGAATTCTTAAATTTTAGAACTGGAAAGTATTTTGAGGTCCTTTTTAACTTTATTTTTTATTATCCCTTCATTTTATATCTAAGAAAAATCAAGGTTTAGGTGAATGAGATGTATGAGTAAATGTGGTAAATGTTTAGCAAGCTTAGAATGTTTTAAAATTTGCACAGTAGGAGGTTTCATATTTTCTGACAGTCATATTGCAGAAGAGACTTTTTTTTTTTAACCACTAGGGAATGCTAAAATATCAACTGATCAACTATAGTGGGGAGAAAAATTTAAAAATTTTAGGTATTCTGATTGCTGCATCTTTTCTGTTTAGCAAAATAAAAGGACTTAGTAGCCTCTATGGATTGGGGCGAGAGGGTGGACATGGAGAACACCATTTTAGATTTGTTTCAAGTCACATCATTTCACAGTGTTTCTAACTCAGAACATTCCTTGGAGATAAATAAATTTTATTCTCCTCCTCTAGCTTTGCAGTTCCCAAAAGTGTATAGAAAAAAATCGGCCTCTTTTGTTAGTTAAGTAAAGCTGGGCCCATATTCATGGAAGATGTTGGACCATAACCTGTATTTTAGTAATTTGGTGAAAAAGGAATGTTGTCACCGTGGCTCTGCCCTCAGGAAATTGTCCAACCTCAGAGCCTCCCAGGTTGTATGGCAACTGAGTGAGGGTATGCGACTTCTTAGGCAAACCTCATCCTGAGATTTGGTCGGGGAATTGGATTTTTTTTTTTTTTTGAGACGGAATCTTGCTCTGTCGCACAGGCTGGAGTACAGTGGCACAGTCTTGGCTCACTGCAAGCTCCACCTCCTGGGTTCACGCCATTCTCCTGCCTCAGCCTTCCGAGTAGCTGGGACCACAGGTGCCCACCACCACGCCCGGCTAATTTTTTGTATTTTTAGTAGAGACGGTTTTCACCATGTTAGCCAGGATGGTCTCGATCTCCTGACCTCGTGATCCGCCCGCCTCAGCCTCCCAAAGTGCTGGGATTACAGGCATGAGCCACCGCGCCCCGCCAGGGAATTGGATTTGTGAGTCTTTTGTTCTTTCTCTACCTTTACTCTGCCATTTAGAAAATTAAAGTTATTAAATTTCCATTTTGATTCCTCGTTGTTCAGGGAATTTTTAAAAGGAAATTTTACATTAAATTCCCCAAGTGTCATTTTTTTTAAAAACTCATCTTTCGTGTTTTAGGTTGTTTTAGATTCTAATCAGAGAATGAGGTGCCTTTGCAACTAGATGTTCCAGTGACATAAGAAAATGATGTGTAATCTCTGTATAGTCACGACATTGAGCTTGTTGATTATCTCCTTCAGATCCCTAATATGTTTCCTTTAGCTTACTTGACCTGTTAGATTATGAAAGAATTAAAATTTTCTACTGTGATCAGATTTTATCATGTTCTCTTTGTATTTCTAGAAGTTTTAACTTTTAGTACTTGACTCTTACATTGGTTGTCCAAAAAAATTTTTATTTTTTGAGACAGTTTCACTGTCACCCAGGCTGGAGTGCCACGGCGCAATCTCAGCTTATTGTAGCCTCCACCTTCCCGGTTCAAACGAATCTTGACTCTCAGCCTCCTGAGTAGCTGGGACTACAGTTGTGCGCCACCACACGGCTAATTTTTTTTTTTTTTGTATTTTCGTAGAGATAGTGTTTCATCATGTTGGGCAGGCTGGTGTCGAACTCCTGGCCTCAAGTGATCCACTTGCCTTGGCCTTCCAAAGTGCTGAGATTACAGGCATGAGCCACTGTGCCTGACCCCAAACATTTTTATTTAAAGGAATACAGTTAGAATTGAGTAAATGGAAAGAGATATACTGTGCAACTGAATGACCATCATATAAATGACAGCCCTTCCCAACCCAAATTATATATAAATTTAATGTCATTCTGATCAGAAGTCTGACAATTTTTTCTTGGGTGGGGGGGCAGGGTTGGGAGACTGGTTCAGATGTTATATGTAAGAATAAGTTGGTAAGAATTACCTAAAAAATCTTAAAAATAAGAGTAGTTGGGGGTGGGTAGCTTTTTAAAATCATGTGTTAAAATTACCATAATGCTACAGTAATAAAAATAGTGTGATAACAAAAAAAAAAATACAGAATTAAGTCAGTTGAATGAAATAGAACAGAGTCTAGCATTGTAAGAAATTAAGATAAAGGCTGAATTTCATTTCGCTGGTAAAAGGGATGTTTACTTGATAAATGATTTTAATATAATTGGCTATTTCAAAGAGAACAAAATTAGGGAGAAAGAGCTAAGTGGAAAATGCAATTTATAATATTAGAAGAAATTTTAGGAGACTATAGTTTTAAGGTGTGGAAGACCTTCAGAGACAAGACAGGAAGTGCAGAAGAAATAAAGGAAAATATCAACATATTTAAATACATAAAAGTTTAAAAATTCTTTCTGATAGAATACGCCGCAAATTAGATCAGAATACTTTGTCACACATATGTGTTAACTTAAAATAATCAAAAGGATCAGAATCTAAATAGCGTTTATTCAAGCACAAAGTGTGAGGGTAGACCACTCAGGAACACGAACTCCAAAGGAATGAAGTCAGACTTTGGAAGTAAGGAAGTTTAGGTTTCATTTATATAGGCAGAGGCAGAGACATTTTTAGCAGGAATACAACATTATTCATACAGGTTGGCACATAGTCACAGCAGTTTGATTGGTTATAGGTGTTATTTCTTTTGGGGAAGGGTACAGTTAAAAACATTTTTTTTTTTTACAGAGAGTATAATAATGATGGGTTTTCTATAGTCTGATCTAAGCAAAGTAAAACAACACAGGGAAAATTAATCTTTAACAGGGGTTATTAACTACGAAGGCAGGGTCACACCTGTAGTTTCAGCTACTCTGGAGGCTGAGGCAGGAGGATTGCTGGATCCCATGAGTTCGAGGCTGCAGTGAGCCATGATTGTGCCACTCTACCCTAGCTTGGGTGACAGAGTGAGACCCAGTCTCTGGAAAAAAAAAAAAAAAAAAGGCAGGAAGGTTTTGTGCCTGACATTGTTTAATTCTCTAGTCATTGTACTGAACAGGAAAAATAAGAAAGCAAGTTAATCTATAATCTGAGAACGGAAGTTGTAACCATATGTGACTCAGATCACAGTCACATCTCTCTCAAGGCTTAAAGGGGTTGTTTTTTTGGACAGCTTTTAAATGTTATTTTCACATTTGACAGTCAGAGGTTTGATAACCTTAATTTTTAAGTAGGGAACAGTCAAATAGAAAAATAGACAAGAATATGAATAAGCAGTTCACGGAAGAGAAAATGCATGTTGTCAAAACAAAACACTAAAATGCTACTGCATACAAGTAGGCAGTGAGAAAAGGGTTTTCACCTATCTAAGGAGAAAATTTGAAAAGCACATGAGTCTGCACGAGGGGTGGAGAAACGACCTCCTGCATACTCTGTGACAAGAGTGTGGACTGCTGCAGTGCTTCCGGGCACAGCTCACATCCTTTGACTCACGTGTCTCACAGTTAGGTCCCTCCTGCCGAAACAAACGTGCCAGCATTTACATGTACGAGGATGTTTAACCATTTTTTATTATAGCAAGAAACTGAAAAATATTTATATGCCCGGTAATATGGAATGGACTAAATAAATATATTTGTACTATACAGTATTTGCCATCTATAAAAATAATCCCTTTAAGTTTACATACATTGATTAGGAATAATCTTTATGCTAGAATAATTAGAAAAGGAACAAATTTCAGAGAGATGTTATATTGATCACATAGAAAATATATGTTTGTGTGGTTAGAGAGAGAGATTTGGAAGAACAGACACATACTAAAATGTTCTTAGGTGAATAGGATTGGGAGAGGGTAGTGAGAAAATCACTTTTTTTCCCCTATAAACTTCTATATTTTTTGTCTTGTTAGAGTAAGTTCAAAACACTAAAATGTATTTATTTGTTTTTTAAACCGTTAACTCTATCTTAACCTTTCTAATGTCTAATCACTTGTGATGAAGCCTGGGCCTAGCCTGTGTGCTTCTCTTCTGAAGAAGATGTGGTACACCTTTCAGGAGAGAACCCTGGCGTCCACTTCCTGGCCTGTACTGCTTTCTAAGCTCCTCTGTCTGATGCTCTCATTTCAGTGATCCATCACTTCAGACACTTTCTGGCTTCAGTTTCTTTGCCCCTTTATATTTCATTTGTGCTGTCTAGGCTGATAATCGGTAGGCAAAAATCACACAGTCTTATGATTACTGACCCTGTAGATTTGTGTTCTGCAGCCTCAGTTGTTCCCCTAAGATATCCCAGCAGCACTGTGTTTTCCCCAGTTACCACTCTCCTGAAATGTGAGTGGTATTTCAGACATTTCTGTCTTTCCTCAAACGTTTAATGCTGCCATCGTTTCACTCTGGCAGCGAGTGGCTGTGTCTTCTGCTCTGTGGGGAACATGGAAGCTCCACAAAGTACTTACCACTAATATGCAGTCTTCCTCCTCTTTTGCCAAGGCAAACAGGCCACCTGTGCTGGGGTCCCAGCCCTACCTGTCTCCTTCTGGATACTCCCTACATGGATTATCCCTGCTGGCCATTGCATCTCTTCCTCTTTTCCTCATTGATACATCACAAGAGTAAATACAAGGCCTTTGATGCCTATACCATCTGGTTCTTTGTTTCCTCTCTGACCTCTCTGTGGTATACTTATAGATAGAGAAATAAAAGGAAGGTAGATAGAGAAAAAGAAGGAAGGATATTTGGGTAGAATAATGAGAAAGCAGCATGAGCTAAAATGAGTGAGAAGACCTCAAGAGTAAAAATGCAGAACATGATGAAATAAACCTAAAGATAGCCTTATGTCCCCTACCCAGACTTGGGGGACAATAGGGAACATATTTCACTCTCATCTGAGCAAATGAAGGTTAATTGTTAGAACTACCAGATTATACCATTGTAATTTCTTACCTAGAGTTATAAGCCTGATTGTCATACTTTGATATTTGTGTTCTATTCCAGTTTTTGAAATCAAATGAAACATAAAACTTTATAAATTGGTATTCCTCAAGTGTATTCTGCAGAAAAGTAGCTTGGGGATGGGATTTGGGAAATATAAAATTAAATCTTTAATGTGTGGAAGTGCCTTGTGAATTTCTAGGAGCAGGTAGGCAGTGTGGGGTTTTCCATCCTTATGACCATGGATCCCTTTCCTTGCACGTCTTTCTCTCCCTTTTTCCTAATGTATGTCATCTGTCCCAAGGAAAGCAGTTTGAGAAATGTTGAAGGACATAAATAAATATGAGGTACTAAAGAAAATAAAAAGAAATATCAGGTTGCGTGATGTACAGTAATATGACTACTAAGAATTTTCTATTCCCTTTCAGTTTGCGTGCTTTTCTGAGTCTATACATTTTGAAGGTAGCAAATGATTTTTAAAAAATGAGAAAAGATTATTTTGACTAATGATCTTTTGGAGGAAATAAACTATTTTGTAAATAAGCATAGGAGAGTTCTAGTATGACTATAAAATCTTATATAATACCAGTGGTTATGATATTATGTGTTTTAAGGTTTTTCTTAGGATTGACCTGAATTTTTGTTATTTGAGTTATGTTTTCTTCTTTTCCAGTGGCAGCCGATTAGGAGGCCTGGTTACAGTGTTGTGCTTCTTTTTCAATCATGGAGAGGTAGGTAATCAAAAACTATTCTCAGAATTACTTCTGGAAATGCAGTTTTCTTCTTTAAATTTAATCTATAATGGCATTCTTTAAATGTTTGATCTTATTATTTTGATTCAAAATTTAAACACTAGCATTCATTTGAGTTAACTTTTCATGACCATTGTACTTCTTATGTGATATAAGGCTTAGTAATTTGATGAAATAATGGGTCTGTATCAACTGTATCAATTCTGTTTTTTTTTTTTGTTGTTGTTGTTGTTTTTGTTTTTGAGGCAGTGTCTTTTTTTGTTGCCCAGTCTGGAGTGCAGTGGTAGATCATAGCTCACTGCAGCCTCAAATTCTTGGGGTCAGGTGATCCTCCTGCCTCAGAATCAGCTTCCAGAGTAGCTGGGACTACAGACGCTTATCACCACACTCAGCTAGTTTTTTAAATTTTTTATAGAGATGGAATCTTTCTATGTTGCCCAGGCTGGTCTTGAATTCCTGGCCTCAAGCAATCCTCCTGCCTTGGTCTCCCAAAGTGTTGGGATTACAGGTATAAGCCACCACGCCTGCCCTCAAGTATCAATTGTTTGTATAATTTTAAAACTGTGAAAGCTAACAATTTAGTTATAATGGAAGTAGGTGGTAATTGATACAACTTTCTTTTGTAGGGATAACTTTTTGTTGCAGAAACTACACAGCATATTCTTATTTTAATGTATTAACATTTGATACTCTTTTAAGTACTTTTTGCAAAATATTTTAGTGTTCAAGGGCTTTCTAAAGACAACAGTATTGTAAAAAATATAGACTCTGGATCCAGGTTGCCTGGGTTCAAATCCTGACTGCTATGTGGCTCTGTGACCTGAGCAAGTCATTTAATCTCTCTTTGCCTTAGTTTCCTCTTTGTAAATGGGCATAATGATGTTACCCACCTCATAGGATTATTGCAGAGACTAAGTGAATTCATATGTGTAAATGCCTAGAGCAGTGTTTGGCACATGGTAGCTGCTATGTAATTGTTAGCTTGTGTTATTACTGTTATTGACTAATTAACTTAGTTTAAATTCTACTATAAATTCAGAATGTCAACGTTTCTAGATTAATCATAGTTGTAAATGAATTTCTAATACATCTGTCTAGATTTCTTTCATGATAAATTTTGTATGAGGGAGAAAAGAATAAAGGTCAGCTTGCTTTGTGTGAAGTGACTTTGTCCTTCCATGCATTTTATACACTCAGTGCCTGCTGTATTTGAATATGCACATGTTTTAACATGTGCTATAACAGTAATCATCTCCAAACATAATGCAGAGTCAATGCTGGACTTCTTTTTAGTCAGCGAGTTACTAATGGATACTTAGCTAATATGTTCTTAGTATTTAGAATCACAGAAATGTAAAGCTAGAGTAATTGACAAGTGGTTGCAACATGACATCAGTTAATTGGTATAGTATGTGTTTAAAAAAAAAAAAAAGATTTGGTTTTTCCTGACTGTGGATCCTGCACATTGTGATAGTGTGGACCATGAAGCACTTTGAGCCACAGATTCTGAGGGAATGACCTAAGAAACAGGGAAATAACCATTTAATAATGGAAGAAAGAAGCATTGTGTGTTAACAATAAGGTGTCAGAGGAAAGAGGTTATTCAAAATTTTGGAACCTAGACCACCAGGAAGACCACTGTTTGTAAAGTGCAAAGGTCTATCGTGCTACCCTCAGTGTATACTATGGTTTTTAATTCTTCGTCTTACGTTTTCTTATAATTTTGATACTCATGTGGCATGAACATCATTCCTTACAAAGTTTTCTTAAATTTTAACAATGGAATTCAGACTATTCAACTGGCTTTTCAGGCTGATGAATTGTCTTTTTGATACTTTTCAGCTACTTGGTGTAGCTGAAAAGCATGCTTAGACATCACTTTTTTAGGAAAAGGTAAACCGAATATCATTAGAATTAGAATTTCAGTTTTACTGAAATAGTCAAGTAGATAATTTTACTTACATGTAAAATTACTTGTGAAAATACAGGTAATGGCATTAAAATTGAGAGCATAAACTGCAGTTTTGGGTAAAATATTGGTGAGAACTCAACATATTTTCGTTTTAGGTAATGAGATCTTCAGACCCTATTTTTTTCTGATTTTTAAGTATATACTTTTTCTATGGACAGAAATATTTACTCTGGTAGTACCTATTTATGTATTTAGTGAGCTTTTGTAGAGCATTGCTCACTGGAAATGCCACTGGGTTACTAACCGGTACCTTACTTTCTTAGGAGAGTTACTTTGATCACATGAGTGATTGGTTTATGTTGCAAAGAATAGTTCTCAATTGTTACTTGCATTTAAGTTCTATTTCCATTATGTAGTTTGCTGTGCACTACATGTGAAGATAGCATAGGTTTACTTTTTTAAAATTTTCTTTTTCCTCATATGGTTTTATAAGGGAAAATTTTTGCCTGAACAAATTATTTATAAAATGTGTAGCATGAATAGCTTAATAGATTATTAAATAAATTATTTAAAACACATTTAAAACCTTCAAATCCGAAACTTGTGAAATGCAGTAAAAGGGTTTATAATAATGATCAGTAATGTTGAGGTTATACATTCTATAATAAAAACTATGCAGATGTTTTCATTGATCAAGCTTCTTTAGTAAATTTCATTCAGTCACAATTGAGAATTTTTGCAAAGATGAAAGCTAGCAATTTTGTTTTGCCTTTAAAATGTTTTCTTTTACAAGATGCACACAACATGTGTTGATGGTGCAGGGTTTTGGCATGCTGATAGAAAAGCACATGAATGTGTATTAAGAAAAACCTGAATACTGTATTTTTCTCCAATTTTTTGATTGTTAGAAATTCTTTTTTTGTGAAATAGGATTGTTTAGCTTTTTCATGATAAGATTAAAAAAATTATTATGAAGCATGATTGATGCTGTTTTATGTAAAAGATGTTCACATATATAAAGATGTACACATATGAAGAGGAAATTCCTTACTTTGTGTTTTTTAAAAATAAATACATTTTAAAAAAGTAATTCAAAGTAAATGAAAGGATTGCCCCCGAAAGTACTTCAAAGTAAATTAACGGATTGCCTCCAAAAGTAATTTAAAGTGAATGAAAGGATTGCCTTGAGGTTCATATCTAATTAAACCATTTTTATGACCTACAACATATTTCTGACCCATATTTCTTAAATATTTTTCCACTGAACTGAGACTAAACTATAAACATACATGTTCCTAATTATTGAAATAGTTATGCCATTTATATAAGATTTGGAAAAGAATTCTTAGAGCACTTTGAAAACAATCTCATTAATTCTTATTCTTATATGGTAGGTATGTAGTGAACATTCCAATATCATAAAAATGGAAGCACTTAAACATTAAGTGATTGGCTCAAGGTTACCCAGCAGGGAGATGATTTTATTTATTTGTATTTTTAAAAAATTATTTGTTTTAACTTACAAATAATAATTGTAGATATTAGTGGGGTACAGTGTGATGTTTTGATTTATGTATACATTGTAGAAAGAGTCAATCAAGCAAGTTAACATATCTATTCCCTCACCAACTTAGCATTTTTTGTGGTGAGAATGCTAAAAATCTCTTAGCAATTTCGAAATATGCAATACATTAACTGTAGTCACCAAGTGGAACAATAGATCATTAAAACTTATTCCTCCTGCCCAACTGAAACTTTATATCTGTGGATCAACATCTGCACATTACCCATCTCTCCCCTGAGCCTCTGGTAACTACCTTTCTGTTCTCTGTTTCTGTGAGATTGACTCTTAGATTCCACATATAATTGAGATCATACAGTATTTGCCTTCCTGTGCTTGGTTTATTTCACTTAGCATAGTATCTCTGTCAGTTCCATTCATAGTGTCTCAAATGACATAATTTCCTTCTTTTTTTAAGGCTGTGTCATATTCCGTTGTGTATGTATAGCAAATTTTCCTTATTAATCTCTTTATGGACACTTAGGGTTGCTTCCGTGTCTTGGCTATTGTGAATAATGCTGAAATGAACATGGGAGTGCAGATATCTCTGATGTACTGATTTCAGTTCCTTTGTATATATACTCTGAAGTGGGATTGCTATTCTATTTTTAGTGTTTTTGAGGAAACTTACATAGTTTTCTAAAATGACTGTATAAATTTACATTCCTACCAACAGTGTGCAAGAGTTCCCTCTTCTCCACATCCTCTCCAACACTTATCATTTGTCTTTTTTGATAATAGCCTTTCTAACAGGTGTAGGTTTCTCACTGTGGTTTTAATTTGAATTTCCCCTATGGTTTGAGAAGCTGAGCATTTTTTTTTTTCATATATCTGTTGGCCATTTGTATCTTTCCTTTTGAGAAGTGACTTCAGATTCTTTGCCCATTTTAAAAATTGAGTTGTTTTGTTGCTATTGAGTTATTTGAGTACCTTATATATTTTGAATATTGGCCCCTTATCAGAGGTGTGGTTTGCAGATATTTTCTCCCAATCCTCGGGTTGACTGTACACTCTGTTAATTATTTCCTTTGTTGTGCAGAAGCATTTTAGTTTGACGCAATCCTATTTGGCTATTTTTGCTTTCCTTGTCTGTGCTTTTGCAGTCTTATCCAAGAAATCATTGCCCAGATCAATATTGTGGATCTTTTTGCAGAGAGAGGATTACAAGTTTCCTGATTCCCCATTAGTCTCTCCAAATACGAAATTCTTAGGGGAGTAGCATTTCAAAGAAGACATCACTATAATTTATCTTTTACAAATGAAAGGTGCAGAGACCTTTTCTTGCCAATTTGTGGACCTCTTACTTCGTTTTTCTTTCATTCTTTCTTCCCTTCTTTCCAGTGTTGGTAAGGTTTTGGTAAGGTTGGTAAGAAAGAAAGTCCCTTCTTCCCAGGTACTTTTTGATGCTTGAGATGTGCAAGTAAAACAAAGACTCCTATCCTTGTGAACAATCATGTGAATGAAGTGGGATAATCTTCTACCTTAAAGCAGGAGAATACTGGGCAGTAGCAAGGATGAGCAGAAAGTGATAGCGGATAAGGTCAGACAGTTAATAATTGGAGGTAGGATAGAGTGGGAGCAGATTTCTGTAGGTCATTATAGGGTCTATTTGGAGTGGATGGAATGCCACTAGAGGATGATGACTAGTAGAGTGACATGATTTAAATTATGTTTTACATGAATTTGGGAAACAGTGTAAGTACAAGATGTATAATTTTATGAAGGCTATTCACTGGTGTGTCTATGGATTTGTGAACTTATTAAACCTACAGTAACTTCAAAAGTTCAATAAAAACAGAGCATGTTAATCTTAGCAGCATATCTGCTGATGTAAATTTGAAAAGCAATCTACAATAGAAAAGTAGCCTACAACATCTGTTATGACCTTGCCCAGCTGGATTTCTGATTTTGTCTCACGTCACTCTTCAGGCTATTTTTGATTGCTTTGCTTCAGCCCTATTGGCCCTTCTTTCTTCTGTTTCCAGAAAGGACTATTCCTTTTCCTTCCTCAGGGCCTTTGCACATGCTGTTTCCTATGCTTTGTATATGCCTCTGCGCCCCTCATCTTGACGTGTGCCTAATTAACGCCTAGTCATCCTTCACAACTGGGCATTTCAGTTTGCATCTCAATGGTGTTCTTAATTTCTTCCTGCAGATCTGGATTTCCATCTGACATAATTTCTCTTTAGTTTTAAGAATTTTATTTAGCATTGTGATAAAGATCTGCCAATAAGTCCCTTAGTTTTTGTCTGTCTAAAAATGTTATCTTGCCTTCATTTTTTGAAGTATATGTTTGCTTAATAAGAATTATAGGTTGATAGCTTTCCCTTTCAGCACTTTAAAGATGCTATTCCATTATCTTCTGGCTTCCACCGGTTTATAAGAAGTCAGCTATAATTCTTATTGTTCCTCTGAATGTAATGTGTCTTTTCTCTGTTGTTCAGAGATTTTCATTATATATTTGGTTTTTATTGGTTTGATGGTGGTAAACCTAGACGTGCTTTGTTCATTGAACACTTTTGTTTTCTGGGTTGGTTTTTATTTTTAATCAGTTTTGGAAAATTTCTAGCCAAGATCTTCTTTTTAAATACTTTATTTTCCCCATTCTTCCTCTCTTCTTCTTTGGGGATTCTAATTACATGTATGTTCAACTTTTAAAAAATACTATCTCACAGATTTTTGACACTGTTCCTTTTTCTCCCATTTTTTTTTTTCTCTCTATTCCTCCCTTTGGGTATTTTCTCTTGCCATGTATAGGAGTTGGCGGTGCTTTATTCTGATGCATGCAGTCTGCTATTATCACTATCTGGTAAATTTCCATCCCTCCCTCCCTCCCTCTCTTCTTCCCTTCTTGCCTTCCTTTCTTCCCTCCTTCCCTCCCTTCCTCTCTTTCCCTTTCTTCCTTCGTTCCTTCTTAGAATTTCCATTTATTCCATAGAGCCTCCATTTTTCTGTTGAAATTTCCTGCCTCTTCATCTCACTAATATTTTTCTATACGTTTTAAAATCTAATTATTGTAGTTATTTTAAAGTCTGTTTTCTAATGCCAACACCTACATTATCTTGGAATTTAACTCCATTGACTGTTTTTTTTCTCTTGATAATGGGTCATATTTTCCTGCTACTTTGCATGTCTCATAGCTTTTTATTTTATGAAGACAATTTCTGTAAAAGAATGATGAAGGTTGAACTAGATAATCATTTTTGCTTCAATTTCCCTAAAAAGGGAACATCTTTTATGTCAAGCACCTAGGAAGAGAGACTGAGAATTTGGATCCCACATGAAGCCCTGCCAAGCAGGGCAGTAGTATAGTTTTAATTTGTTTTAGTTTACTTCCAGTTTCAAATGAATTACAGTGATTTCTTTTTTCTTTGTCTCAGTCTCCAACTTTCCAGGTGCTTAACTCAGGGGATGATTCCTTTGATCTTACCATTCTTTAAACTGGGAAGGGGTTAGTTTTCAGCTTTTTAGTTAATTTTAATCCATCTCCAGATTCAGCTGTGCCAAGGCCCCGAAACCAAATGCTGTGTGAGATTGTGATCTCACAGAGTTCTGACTCTCCCCCACTCCTCTTTATCTGCCAGATTCATGTGTGTGTATGTCTGTGTGTGTCCCAGGTTGGGGGAGGGGTGGCTGTCACAACAAATACTCATTTTTGTGTTTGTACCTTTTTCAGATTCTTATTTATATGGTTAGAAGTTGTTTGGTTCCAGCAAAGACTCTCTGCCTATGGCAGATCCTTACCTAAATTATGCAGTTGTTCCCAGGTGTGATGGTAGAGCCAACAGCTGTTCTGTATCTTCACTTGGGCTATATCTAGTTTCACTGTAAATCTTGTACTAAAAAGGCAGTACAACAAAAGTGCATTTTTCTTTACTGTTTTTTCTCCGGCTTTTTATTTTGAACAAATTGAAACTTACAGAAATGCTCTAGATTCAGTTTCATTTACCAGTTTTAATATTTTGACACATTTGCTGTCTCTCTTATACAAACACTGACACAGACATTTTTCTAATCCGTTTGAAAATGAGCTGCAGATATGATGCTGTCTCACCCCTAAATACTTCAGTATATATTGCCTAAAAGCAAGACATTCTACATAATCACAATACTGTTATCATACTTGAGAAATTTAACACTAATAATTACACAGTAATACCTTAATACAGCCCATATTCTCATTTTCATAGTTTATTCCCATAAATTCTTTGATGATTTTATTTTGGATCCAGAATCTGATTAAGGATCGTACATTGCATTTAGTTGTCATTTTATTTGGAAAAGTTTATCTCAAACAGTTTCTCTTTGTTTTTTCATGGCATTAACATTTTTGAGGAGTCTAATTATTTTGTAGACGTCTCACAATTTGGATTTGTCTGATTGTTTCCTCGTTAATAGATTCAGATTAGAAGACTATTTTATTTTATTTTATTTTATTTTGAGACAGGGTCTCACTCTGCTGCCCAGGCTGGAGTGCAGTGGCACAATTTTGGCTCACTGTAGCCTCTGCCTCCCGGGTTCAAGGATTCTCATGCCTCAGCCTCCCAAGTAGCTGGGATTACAGGTGTGTGCCACCACGCCTGGCTAATTTTTATACTTTTATTAGAGACAGGGTTTCACCATGTTGGCCAGGCTGGTCTTGAACTCCTGGCCTCACGTGATCTGCCTGCCTCAGCCTCCCAAAGTGTTGGGATTACAGGCATGAGCCACCACGCCCAGCCAGATTAGACATTTTAATGAAGAATATGGCACATATGATGTTGTGTCCTTTGCTTTGCATTACCTCTGGAGGCATGCAAAACCAATTTGTCCTGTTATTGAATTTACAAAGTTAAATCACATGGTTAAGGTGGTGTCTGTCATGTCTCTATTATAAAAATGCCCTTTTTTCTTTTAATTAATAGGTGAAATGAGGGATGATACTTTGAGACACTTGAATATCCTCTTCCCCCATAACATTTACCAACTGATTATGCATCCACTGATGATTCTTGCCTGAATTAGTTATTACATTAGCCATTGCAAATGGTAATTTTCTAATTCTGCCATTTCATCTACATTTAATGGTGTTCTATAAAGATAAATCCCTTCTCCTGCCATTTTATTTTATTATATTTGCATAGGGTTTTTTTAATTCAATGTTTTATAATCCATTGCAGTTCTTTTTGATGCTCCCATTGTCACAGATTTGGCTGGTAGTAGTCTCCCCACATTTTAATGATATATACTTTTCACACATTAAGATTTGTATATTTTAACTGTTCAGTGGATCTTTACATATGTATACAATCTTGTATCCAGGAACTAGATCAATGCATAGACTATTTCCAACCCCCAGGCAGGCTCACCTCTGTTCCTGTCCAATCTGTATCCCTCCCCATCCTTCAAAACTCTTCTATCTCTATCACTATTGATTAGTTTTGCCTATTTGGGGGCTTCATGTGAGTGGAATCATACTTTCTTATGCCTGAAGTCTTTCTCTCAACATATGTCTGTGATATGTATCCACATTGTTTTCCAAAGTGCTTGTACCAGTTTTCACTCCCATTGGCAATGTACGATAATTCCAGTTTCTTCTATCAATACATCCTTGTCAGTGCTTGGCTTTGGCAGTCCTCTTAATTATAGTCATTCTGATGAGTGAAATGGTACCTTATTATGGGTTTAGTTTGCATTTTCCTGATGAGTAATGATATTGAGCACCTTTTAATATGGCTTATCGGATTTAGATACTCTCTTTTGTTTAATACCTAAGTCTTTACCCATTAAAAAATATTTGGGTTATTTTATTCATATATGGGAACTCTTTGTCAATTCTGTGGAGTTCTTTATAGAATATATGTTCTACAAGTACCTTCTCACCACTTAACGACCTGTCTTTTCCTCTTTTTTCGTTTTTTGATTTTTATCTTTGTGTACACAGATCTTTTTGAGGTTTTTTGATGAAGTTCTTAATTTTCATGAAGTTCCATTTATCAGTCTCTTATGTTGAGTCCTTTTTGTGTCTGATTAAAAAAATCTTTGCCTACTGTAGGTCATGAAGGTTTTCTCATATTTTCTTTTAGAAGCTTGAAGAAAATATAAGGGAAAACCTTGGTGTAGCTTTCACATTTTGGTTTGTAATCTGTCTAGAATCTTGTATACAGTATGAAATAGGTTCCAGATTCCTTCCTCCCCTACCCCACCCCAAATAGGATGTCCAGTTAACCTAGTACCACTTGTTAAAAAGAAGATTTTTCCCCGCTGAATTGTAGTGGGCCTTGTATCATAAATAAAGTGACTATATAGTTTTGGATTTATTTTTACATTCTCAATTATGTTCTATTAGTCTGTTTATCTTCAAGCCAGTATCACACTGCCTTAAATATTGTAGCTTTATAAGTTCAATATCTCATAGTGAAGATCTCCAACCTTGTTCTTCGTCAGTATTGCCATAGCTATTCCAGGTCCTTTGTGTTTCCATATAAATTTTAGAATCAGTTTGTCACTACTTCCCTCTCTTTCAACACATACACAACTTGCTGGTTGTGTTTTGGATCTCTAGATTAATTTAGAATGGACATTCCTGAATATACTAAATCTTCCAATCCATAAACAGATTTATATTCGTCTCCTTTAATTTCTCTCAGGAATGTTTAATGTTTTTCACATATTTTATTAATCTCTAGATATTTTATGATTTTGGCACTATTTTCTGCCCTTTTGATATATCTCACTGGTGTCTGAACACTTCCTTTCAAACTCAAAAAGGTTCCAGAAACAAATTATTCTGTAATACACACAAAATAGTTTCAAAGTTACTACACTAATGTCATTACCAATAACAATCCTACCAAGTATGGTTCAGTATTTCTCCAGTTATTTTTCTCCTAAGAGTATATTCTACTAAGGAGGTATAGTCAGAATATAAAGGTTAAATAATTTAGAAGCAACCTGAATTGTTTTTATTTCTCCATGTTGTATTATCATTTTGACAGTGCAATTTGAATCATTTGTTTCTGTTTCTATTTATATTGCCTATATATCTTGGTTAATGCTTTCATTTTGTAGTCAGAATTTTGGTTATGTTGATAACCTTGAGCAGTGTAGTTTATAACCACATGATAAAGGTGGTAGAGTTGATACTGATAACATCTTGCCAGATATATTTTCTATTTTAGATGAATAAGCAATGGTCAAGTTCGAGTCATTGCAACAATGGATGGAAACATGGAGGTGTACTCACCGCTTTTTCAACAAAGTTTCACAAAGGTTTTTTGTAAATTTGGATAGGATATACTGATATCTTAGATTTTCAGAGACAAAAAGATCAATGTTTTCTGTCATACAACCAGCTGAAATTCTTTATAAAGATAGTACAGTTTAAAATAGCATTTACATATCACTGACACATTAAATCCTGTGTGAGCTAAAATTGTATTATAAGTTCAGATTGAAATATGTAACTGGTTAATTGAGCAGCTTATCAGTACAGGCTGTGCATAATATGAAAATCTGCAGTCTGAAATACTCAAAAAGTCCAAAACTTTTTGAGTGCCAACATGACTCTCAAAGGAAATTCTCATTGGAGCATTTCAGATTTTGGTTTTTTGGATTAGCGATGCTCAATCAGTAATTAAAATGCAAATATTCCAAAATTTGAAAAAATCTGAAATCCAAAACACTTCTGGTCCCAGGATTTTGGATGAGAAATACTCAACCTGTGTATGGTACAAAAATAGACCAAAACTCCAAGAAAGCAACCAGGCTTACTTATTATCAAGATACAGTGCCCTGAGATGCACAAAGCTTACTCCAAACTAAGGGTCTTCCTAAATAATGGAACTGCCCTAAGTAGCATCAAACAAGAGATACTCAAGCCATGTCTCTTAAACCTAGCATGTTTATGGTTACTATGTGGACAGCAGGATTCTTAACACCTATAACATTCTCTGAAGAGAGGTAGCATAACCTTCATGGTGCCAGCAGTCTTTTAAGGAAGCACTCATAAATATAGTGTTTAAAGCATTATTATAGTTAATATTAAGCAATATAAAGCAATAGTATAATCAGTATAGAAAAGCAGCAGGCAGAGGTGGGTAATTTGTTTTAAACCTAAACATTATAGTAACAAGTTAGGATTGATCCAGCAAATGGCAACTCTAGTAAAAACTCTTGGAATAAATCTTAAACATGATCTGTTTGATACTAATACTAACCACAATTTATAACTCACTAGTCAATTGTTCTTCTATTTATTTTGAAGTTATGAAGATAAATCAATTAGATCATACTGTATTCCCAATATTATAAGTTAATAGTTTGAAAATAGAGATTGGAAAATTAAGCTACTTTTGAGATTCCTTAGTTATTGATTCTTCAGTGAATGATTAAAAATTATTAAGCAGAAAATAAAAGCCTATTAATATCTACACAGTATTATGTTGCAGTATAATCAGTGTTATGAAATGTGTGCTAAAAATTATATACTAGATAGAAGTTTGTGCAACATAAGATTTTTATTGAATTTATTTTCACAATAAATGTATTTCTTATACTTAGAAACAACATACATTTGTATAACCCTTTTTTGAAGCAGTTCACATGTATATTTCCTTTAATTCTCAAATTTCAAAATAATGCCTTTAAAAAGCATTGGCATTTTAAACTGTCACACTTTTTATTTTACATTTAAAATGAGATAAAGAAAAAATATTTATTTTGTTGAAACGTAAGGCATGACTAAACCAAATCTCTTCACTATTTTCAAATTATATGGCATCATCTGGAATGGCAATTATGTTTGTACCAGACCTAGTAAAACACGTTGTGTTATTGGAGAAACAATAGAAAGCACTTTCATGGACATTTGAATTCATGTACTCAGAATTTTGGAGGGAGAAGACCTTGCCCTTCATTACAGTCCTGTAATTGGGTTTTCTTGTCCCTGCTTTCAGAGGATATAATTCAGTTTTGGTGAACTGAGTGACTATAGCTATTAAAAGCAACGAATTTTGGAGAAATGATAATGTCATTGAATGTGGGTAACAAATGTGGGGGAACTGTCTGCATGAAGAAAATTCTCAAATTGTACATTACATGGTTGGAATACTTGCTTGTTTGAATACTTGTTTTTGTACAGAGACTGATGACTTTACAAATTTTGATCATACAGGCATACTTCAGAGATACCGTAAAATGAATATCGTAATAAATCAAGTCATACAAATTTCTTGGTTTTCCAGTGCATATAAAAGTTATGTTTACACTGTACTATAGTCTATTAAGTGTGAAATAGCATTATGTCTAAAAAACAATGTACATACCTTAATTTAAAAATAAGTGGCTAATCCCAGCACTTTGGGAGGCTGAGGCAGGCGGATCACCTGAGGTCAGGAGTTCAAGACCAGCCTGGTCAACATGGTGAAACCCTTTCTCTATTAAAAATACAAAAAAAAAATTAGCTGGGTGTGGTAGTGGGTGCCTGTAGTCCCAGCTACTCGGGAGGCTGAGGCAGGAGAATCGCTTGAACCCAGGAGGTGGATGTTGCAGTGAGCCGAAATTGCACAGCTGTACTCCAGCCTGGGCGGCAGAATGAACTCCATCTCAAAATGCACAAACAAACTGCCAGTGATCACCTGAACCTTCAGCAAGTTGTTCAGATGGAGGGTCTTACTTTGATGTTGATAACTTCTGACAGAGGGGTTGCTGAAGATTGGGATAGCTGTGGCAATTTCTTAAAATAAGATAACAATGAAATTTGCTGTATTGATTGATTCTTTCTTTCACAGAAGATTCCTCTGTAGCAAGTGATGCTGTTTGATAGCGTTTTACCCACACTAGAACTTTCAAAATAGGAGTCAGTCCTCCCAAACCCTGCCACTGCTTTAGCAACTAAGTTTATGTCATGTTCTAAATCCTTTTTTGTCATTTCAACAATGTTTACAGTATCTTCACCAGTAGTAGATCCCATTTCAAGAAACCACTCCTTTTGCTCATTTAAGAAGCAACTCCTTATCCTTTAAATTTTATCATGAGATTACAGCAGTTCAGTCACATCTTCAGGCTCCATTTCTAGTTATCTTGCCATTTCCATCACATCTGCAGTTACTTCCTCCACTGAAGTCTTGAGCCCATCTAAGTCTCCCATGAGGGTTGAAATAAACTTCCAAAGTCCTATTAATGATGATATTTTGGCCTCCTTCCATGAATCAGAATGATTTTAATGGTATCTGAAATAGTTAATCCACTCCAGAAGATTTAAATTTCATTTGTCCAGACTCATCAGAGGAATCACTATAGCAGCTAGAGCCTTATGAAACATATCTCTTAAATAATAAGACCTGAAAGTTGAAATGACTCCTTGCTTCATGGGCTGCAGAATAGATGCTCTGTTAGCAGGCATGAAGGCAACATTAATCACCTCATCCGTCTCCACCCGAGCACTTGTGTAACCAAGTGCACTGTCAATGAGCAATAATATTTTGAAATGAATCTTTTTTTCTGAGCAGTAGGTCTCAAGAATGGGCTTAAAATATCTGGTCAATCATGCTAAAACAGATGTGCAGTCATCTAGGCTTGTTGCTCCATTTGTAGATCACGTGCAGAGTATATTTAGTGTAATTCTTAAGGGTCCTAGGATTTTTAGAATGGTCAATGAATATTGGCTTCAAGATAGTCACTGGTTGCATTAGGTCTAACAAGAGAGTCAGCCTGTCCTTTGATGTTTTGAAGCCAGCCACTGACTTCTCTCTGACTAGGAAAGTCCTAGATGGCATCTTTTTCCAGTAGAAGGTTTTTTCATCTGCCCTGTTGTTTAGTGCAGCAACCTACCTCAGTTATGTTAGCTAGATCTTCTGGATAACTTGCAGCGTCTACATCAGCATTGCTGTTGTACCTTGTACTTTTATCTTACGGAGATGGCTTCTTTCCTTAAACCTCATGAACCAACCTTTGCTAGTTCAAACTTTTCTTCTGCAGCTTCCTCACCTCTCTCAGCCTTCATAGAATTGAAGAGAGTTAGGATCTTGTTCTGGATTAGGCTTTGACTTAAGGAAATGTGGCTGGTTTGATCTTCCATCCAGAACATTAAAACTGTCTGCGTATCAGCAATAAGGTTGTTTCACTTTTAATTTCCTTCAATAATTTTTCTTTTGCATTTCTGACTGTTAGGCATAAGAGGCCTAGCTTTTGGCCTCTCTCGGCTTTTGACATGCCTTCTTCTCTAAGTTTAATCATTTCTAGCCTTTGACTTAAAGTGAGAGATGAACAACTCTTTGTATTAATTGAACACTTAGAGGCCCTTTTAGGCTTATTAATTTTCCTAATTTTAATATTGTGTCTCAGGGAATTTGGAGGCCCGATGGGAGGGAGACAGATGGGAGAGTGGCTGATTGGTGGAGCAGTTAGAACACACACATTTATCCATTAAGTTTGCCATCTTATTGGGCATGGTTCAAGGCACCTAAGGCAATTAGAATAGTAATATCAGAGATTACTGATCACAGATCACCGTAGCAGATATAGTAATAATGAAAAAGGTTGAAATATTATGAAAATTACCAAAATATGACACAGAGACATGAAGTGACCACATGCTATTGGAAAAATGGCACTGATAGACTTGCTTGATGCAGGGTTGCCACAAACCTTCAATTTGTGACAGACGTTATCTGTGAAGCATGGTAAAGGGCAATGAAATGTAGTTTGCCCATGTATCTTACTGTCAATCATACTGAACTCTCCAGTTAATCTAATAAACTAACAGCTTTTAAAAATTGCATTCTAGTAACAACAGTATACATTATCAGGGGACCTTTTCAATCTTTTCAGCATTCTCTTGTGTGAGTAGTTCATTCATAAATAGATATGTATGTCAGTTTCATAAAGGATGGTGAGCTTGTTAGAAAAGAGCAGTAAATTGGCTCAGTCTTTCTATAGCAGCACTAGAAATATTCAGTAGTCTGAGGTACAGCGAAAATATAGGAAACACTTATTTCTGACATGGTCTTTGTCATTCTGTGGAATCTTTTTAGGTACCCGTGCTTGCATTGAAAGACATCATTATTTTAGTGTGACTTAATAATATCAGATTGCTTGCATTTAATTGTATGCGGTTTTCTGTCGATGGAAGGATGAACTTACTAATATGTTTAGTCTATATACAGTAAAATGACATTATTACAACTGTGATAGTACATTGCTTAATTATGTCCAAAGTGAGCTTTTCAGAAAGGTTTATACTTAACAATTTCAGGACTTTTGTTACTTAATTTGATTACACTGCCTACTTTTAAATATTTTGCAACCCAGGGCAGCTTAGGCAAAGAAGTAAAACCAAAAATGGAATATTCCTTTGTAGCAGCACAGTGAATGAAAATACTAAAATTGATGACTAGAAAGAGTTCTCAAGTACTGGTTATGGATAGTTTTGCTGAAATTCATGGGAAAGAAGACAAACAATAGATAAATAATCAACTCAAAATATTCTAAAATTTGGCAGAACGTTTTCTTGCTGGTACTTTCCTCCCTTTCCTTTTAAGATGTAGTTGCATCTTTTTTGGTATTTTCTTCCTGACAATTCATGATATTAATGCTTTACATGATCTTAAGCCACATGTGTCTCTGTCAGTAATATTTGTCACATGCTAGTTTTGCTGTTTATGGAATAAAGTCCAGTAGTTTGTTTTACAACACACCGTTTAAATTATTTGTTAAAAATAATTTTATTTATAAATAGCAATTTTTACTTGGAATGTCTTAGTAAATTTAGCAAGTATACTATACTACAAATTTTTTTTTTCAGTGTACCCGTGTAATGTGGACACCACCTCTCCGTGAAAGCTTCTCATATCCATTTCTTGTTCTTCAGATGTTGCTAGTGACTCATATTCTCAGGTAACTTTGACTTAACCTTATTTCTTTTTGCATTAAATAATTTTAACTAAAATTTCTTAAGCTTCCATAATAAAGTGAACATAATAAAATAATTAACCAATATGATGCTGTTATTAGTAAAAATATTATAAGAGTGTAACTTAAAAATAGTATCAAAAACATTTCTTCTATCAGCCTTCTGTTCCTCCTCCTTTTTCTTGGTAGTCTACAGTGATTGCTTGAGAAGGAACAAATTGCTTTCACTTCTCCTGTCATTTCCACTTTCTCAAGTCTTCTTCTGTTACCACTGTAACCTCTTGAAAATGAGCAGAAAGAAGGTAAAGGCTGGTCATGCTATAGTGTATCCTGTAAGATACAATCCTTTGGGGCAAAGGATAATTCACAGAATTCACACTTCTCTCCCTTTCTGCTGACAAATATTGAATATAGCTGCCTTGCTCCAGAGGGTAAAAAGGAAACCAAATGGGGGCTATGGAAAAATGGAACAAAGCATGATAAAAATCTGAAGATGACTCAGACTGATAACTCCCTTCAGTGATCCTCCGAATTCAGAAGAACTTTGTTGAAGGCTGTTATGCCAAACCCTTTGGGCAATCTATTTCCCTCTGATTGTTACAGCAAGTATAGAACCATCACATGGCTTTTAGTCTCCTATGTAGTAGTGTCTTTAGACAGACCCTTCATAGAACATGGGATGGGTAATGTTTTTGCATTAGCTTTTTAAAGTCTGTGTAGCTCCAGCTTTATTGCTGTCCCCTAAACTCCTCTTTTATAGGGTTTAAAACTTCTTTAGCACCTTCAAATAAGGTGAACCTCTATGAATTCATAACCTTTAACTGTGCCCTGTTGGTTCTGAGGCATCTTGAGCAATGGTCCCTTCTCAAACATCTCTGTAAGAAGTGTTGTGCTGTAGGAGTCTTTGATTCACCACTACAGATGCTGTTTTTCCACATTCACATTCTTGACCGTGGCTTTTTTCTCCAGTATAGTGCAGACAGCAGACTGCCCATCAGTCTCTAGTTCCTTCCTGCTTTTCTACCTCTGCTCCTGTCTTAAATCCAGCAAAGGCAAACCTTTGATTCTTCTTTCACTCACTGATCCGATCTGTCCCTAAGTGGGCATGGGGATGCTGCTCCGGGGACTGAGCGCTGCTTCCTTTAGTCCATCTGTACCATAGAAGGTAGTGTTAGTTTCCTGTTGCTGTGTAGCCCATCACCACAAACTGGGATCTACTATCTTGGAGTTTTCTAGCTCTGAAGTTTTAAAATCAGGGTATTGGAGGTGCAACCCTCTTCCTGAAGGCACAGAGTGGGAGGGGAGAGAATCAATTTTCTTGGCTTTTCTAGCTTCTAGAGGCTGTCTGCATTTCTTGGGAGGCTGCCTGCCTTTCTTGGGAGACTGCCTGCATTTCTTGGCTTGTGGCTCCTTCATCTTCAAAACCAGCAATGGTAGATTAAGTCCTTCTTTGTCAGTTCACTCCAACCTTCTCTTCAGCCTCTCTTCTGCTTTTAAGTACCCTGTGGTTACATTGGGTCCACCTGGATAATCCGGGATACATTCCCTACTGTGAGGCCAGGTGATTAGTCATCTTCATTCCATCTGCAGCCCTAGTTCCCCTTTGCCATGCAACATGACATGTCCACAGGTTCCAGGGATTAGGACACAGGTATCTTTGGAGGCCATTATTCTGCCTACCAGGATGGGGCCTCTTCAGTTGCTGTTTCCTGCCTTCAAGAGCTGCCTTCTGTTGGGTTCTTCTCTGTTTTTGGCTCCAGGTGCTTCTGTGACAAGCTTTTTATGTTTTCTTTAGTCTCTTATCATTGTCTTTTTCAGCCTTACCCACGTCTTAATACCTGTCTTTACTTTTTGCTGAGAAGTTTTAGAGAACTTTCCTTTCTTTAGAGCCTTCTTCATTGTCTCTGTTTATATTCCAGTTGGCATTTCTGTTCTCATATTCCAGGCCATCTGAAGCTGCATCAGCTGCTGCTTTCACCACTCCTGGTTCAGATCCATCCCATCTTGATCTTCCTCGCCATCTTCATTGGCAGCTTATGACTTCTGATTGCGATGGCTTTCCTGGTTATGCCCCTTAGTTGTCATGGCTCCCTGCTTGCCTGCTGTGGCTATCTATGACTGGTTGCTTGGAAGTGTGGGCTTTCATTTTGCTTTCTTGGACACTGCAGTCTTTTTAGGAGGGAAAACCTGCTAAACCTCCTTTCTTGAAATTTTGGCAGACATCTTGTCTTTTTTCTGAAGGATAGTAACCTTCTCTCTATTGGCCATCTTCATCTTCTGATATTTCATCCTTATTACTGACATTGTCTCCTTTGGAAGAGCAGCCATTTCCTTTAGGTCTTGGTTTCTACCTATAGTTGACATATTGTGACATTAGAGGGAGGTGGTGGGTGGCGATGGCTTGGTGGAGGCAAGAAGAAGCTGAGCAGTGTTGATGCAGGCTGCAGTGCTGAGGATACTGTTACAAAACCAGAAAAGAGACTATTCCTTAATGCTAGGAATCATTTATAAATAAGGTTAGTGGTATGTTTTAACAAATTGGTTTTGTCCAGTTTTGAATTTTAAGCATTTTTAGAAATTCAGTTTATATACCCACCTAATAGTAGCACAGCTTAGCTTTTTCTTGGTTGTTCTTAGCTTTTTTTTTTTTTTTCATTCTTGGCAATATTTATGTTTCCATTTCTGTTGTCTTGGGTCAGAGCTATTTTGATCACCAATTGGATTTTCTTTGTTTTCTGTTCACTCCTATCTCCCCACAGCGCATTCTTTATCCAACTGCCAGATTGGTATTAAATTCTGCTTGGAAATCTTAATGTCTCTTGTTACCCATAAAATGAAAATCATATTTAGTATTCAAAAGCAGTAGAGAAATGCTTTATTTTAGATAGTGGCTTTCAAACTTTTGGACTATGATCTATGAGAAACAAGAAATAAGTTTTACACTGCGGCTTAGTATACACATACATGTATGCACACAGCTGAAACAAAAGTTTCACAGAATAGAACCCCTCGTAAGTAGGATATAGTCATATATATTCTGTTTCACTCTGCTGATCTGCATTTTTAAATGCTGAATTTTATTCCATAAGTTGATTTCATAACTCATTAAAAGGTTATCTGGAGTTTAAAAGTACTTTTGTTGGATTAAAATAGCAGAGAGGGATGTCCTTTGGAGAAGGGATACTTGGGGAAGTGAAGAAAGGCATGTCATAATGGTGCTCTATGCTCCAGGTAGGTTTATCTAGCCAGGATGTCTTTACTGTATCTGAGCTGCATACACCTCATCACCTCAGTATATCAACATGCACACTCCACTTCTGTGAAGATGGACATGTGTGGGGGCTTTGCGTTGGCTCACAGGTTTAGAGGATAAAATCATCTTACCCTCCTAAAAATCTCCTAAATTACAAGTCAGTACCAAAATGAGATCTCTAAAGGTTGCTTCAGAATGGACCCCATATCTTTTCCTCCACTTAACTTTTCTGTGTTCTCCTACCTGTGCCAGACCCAACTTTTTATCTCACATGCTTACAAAATCTCTCTCAGCCGCTTACCTCTTATTCTGCATTATTGCAGTAGTTGTCTGCCTAATACTTAGCACTTAGAATATGCTGCTATCATCTTTTTGTAGGCATCTTCTGCCTTCCTAATGAATCTGTTGAATCAGTATTTTTAAATATTCAGTCATGGATTCACCAAAATATAATTTGAAAAAAATGTTCATGGATATACTGACCCACCCTCCTTCTCTCTGTGTTATTGTTAGCAAATGGGTATTTACCTTTCAAAGAAAATTGTTGTAATTGAGTATCAGGAGGTATAATTTCTAACCCATTGGTTCATTTTATGTTTAGGTTGTGTTATAACCAGATCATATATATTTCGAGATTCTAATTTGCAGCAGTTTGGAGCCATGCTAGACTATTTCGTGTTTAAACTTACTAACACTTATTTTATCTTTTCAAGGGCTACAAAACTTTATAGAGGAAGCTTGATTGCACTCTGCATTTCCAATGTATTTTTCATGCTTCCTTGGCAGTTTGCTCAGTTTGTACTTCTTACTCAGGTGAGGTGATTATATTTTAAGCTGTTTTAAGCTTAGCATGTTTGACTATGTGAGCTCATTTGCATAAAATTACAACTGAGATATTCTATGGTTCTAAGTCCTAAAACACTAAAACATTTTCTAGGAAAAATGTTTTTCTAAAACATTTTTTAGAAATATTGAACAAAAGAAAGTTCAGGGTAGAGAAATATGTTGGATTATTTATTAATGATTGTTAATTATTTACTTCCTAACATAATGCATTTATTGAACTCAAATTTGTAAGAATGCTTATCTTTGTTATTCAGTATCGTTAAGTGCTTAAAAGAGGACTAGTGCTATAACTTCAAGTATTTCTCTTAAGTTAACTATAGTATTTCTGTTACCTAAAATGTTTCTTTTATGAATAGTTGTGTACATTCTTGCATGTAGAATAAAGACACATAGGATTACAGGATAAATAGCTAACCAGTTCATCTCTTATAAAATTCTCTCTACCAGTCTGGAAATTTATCTATTGTCTTTCCATGTACTCTTGCCCACTATAAATGGAGGTAGCTTGTTGAGAGAGGGAGTAAATTACATATTCATTTTTCTCCCTGCGTACTATTTTTTTTTATTGTACTGATATATTTGTATAAAGCAGTTGAAGAGTTGCTTTTTTTTTTTTTTTTTTTTTTTTTTTGCGATGGAGTCTTTCTCTGTCGCCCAGGCTAGAATGCAGTGGCGCAATCTCGGCTCACTGCAACCCCACCTCCTGGGTTCAAGCGATTCTCCTGCCTCAGCCTCCCAAGTAGCTGGAACTACAGGCACGTGCCACCACACCCAGCTAATTATTTATATTTTTAGTAGAGACGGGGTTTCACCGTGTTAGCTAGGATGATCTCAATCTCCTGACTTCGTGATCCACCCGCTTTGGCCTCCCAAAGTGCTGCGATTACAGGCGTGAGCCACTGCGCCTGGCTGCTTTTTAATATTTTTTAGAACATCTTGCTTGGGAAATGAAGTTAGACTTGGATTTGAGTCCTAATTCTATTCACTAGCCTCTTAACTTGGATAAAATAGTTAACTTTTCTTAGTTTAGGTTTTCTCATTTCTGAAATAGAGATAATAAAAGAACCTACTTTATTGGGTTGTGGATAGGACCAGATGAAGTAATGTATATGATTCTTAACACAGTACCTGGTACTTAGTAGGTGTCAGTAAGGTTAGTTGGTTTTATCATTATTTTTTAAAATAGGCTCTATTTGTACTTACTTTTTACTTTGATCTTGTCTTGTAGACTCCTTTGTCTAACTTAGTTCGATGACATTTTCAATCAGTTTCTGGTTTAAAATTGTCTCTGAGATTGTCTCTTGAAAATTCTACCCTGTAAATGTACTGTGTGTTGCTTAGCCCTTGGGGTGAAAAGGGAGCATTCTCATTGCTTCCTGATAGTGGAGACTGCCTGCTTTTTTGTGGAGGTAAGGGTCAGGGGAGGTATTTTGCCTCCCTGTGGGGCTTATGTTGAATAATAACACACACTTCCCCACAGTTGTTATGTCATATCAGGCACCCTAAGAAATGCAGTGTTCTCCATGGGTAACTCTGAATAAAGGGAAACTTTGTTGTTTTTCTCACTAATGGAAAAATTTGTTGTAGATTGATTTAGAGATTAAAAACTTGATGAATGAAACTTAAGTTATATGTTTAAGTATTCAGCTATTTTGCAATCTGTTTATGCTATGCTTTTGTAGTAGGACGGGAAGAATTTAATTTGAATTGCTTTCTCTATGAGGAAGGGTGTAGAGGCATTGTCTGCTATATTACCTCTATGTAATAGATACTATACCATCATTTAATCAATTAATTCATCTAAATAATTCCAGTACTCTTAGAATTATTGATATATAACATACAATTTTCTTCCAAATGGAAAAGAAAGTTAAAAATACCTTTGCAGCGAAAGTACTCTTAATTTGAAATTGATAAATTTGATTATAACTAACTCTTGAATATTTGTATTAATGAAAGAACATTAATGGAGATACTTGTAAAGAGTGACTAGCAAGCAGAAATTGAGGTATTTTTATGCACACATGCATTGCATAATTATTTTTCAGTTAAATGTACCTTCCCCAATTATGTATTAGTTGTCATGTTATAATTACATTTTCATCTTTTTTGATTGGACAAGGCACTTTTTAATTGTACATGTTGACAGTAGGGTTGACCTGAAGTTAAAATGAGTATTGTTTTGGACAGTTGACAAAGTAGACAATTCACATGATTGAGAAAGCTGTGTGTCAGAGAGAAAAATCAACCAATATTTTCTATACTAATATATTGACTATATTTAATAATAAATTGTCAGATAAAAGGAAAACAGAAGAACTCACTCTGTGTGTAGATATAAATCAGTTGAAACAACAGTAAATATATTCTTCATTCTTGTAGCTATTCATTTTATCTTTTTTACTTCTAATTTCTTTTTAAATTTCAGATTGCATCATTATTTGCAGTATATGTTGTCGGGTACATTGATATATGTAAATTACGGAAGATCATTTATATACACATGGTAATAATTTTTTATTGTTCTTTTCCATTTAGTTTGCCCTTAAAACTCCTGATTAATATTTTATTTGTTCATGGTTGAAACTAGTTGTAACAATTTCATAACTAAAACAAATGTTGTTCAAACATTGTGATATAATCAACAGACCTCATTTTGATAGACCACTCACAAAAATTTAATTTGGGTCATATTATCTGATTGAAGTTGTGCCCAACTTATGCAGTATCAGTAAAAGAAATAATTTATGAAACGGAAACATGGGGCTGATATATTATCCAGGAGCTGTCTGTTAAAATGAAGTAGAAGGGCCCGACATGGTGGCTCATGCCTGTAATCCCAACACTTTTGAGAGGCCAAGGTGGGGTTCACTTGACGCCAGGAGTTTGAAACCAGCCTGGGCAACAGAGCCAGATCTCATCTCTACAAAATAAAAAATTTTAGCATGGTGATGCATGCCTGTAGTACTAGCTACTTAGGAAGTTGATGTGGGAGGATTACATTAGCCCAGGAGGTTGAGACTGCAGTGAGCTAAGATCACACCACTGCACTCCAGCCTGGGCAACATAGCAAGACCATGTCTCTACAAAAAAGAAAAAAAGTTCATTAACTGAGCGTCAACTGTCAAGGCATGTGGAATACACCAGCATTCATATTACTACATTCTAACAGAGTGGGGGAAAGAGGGAAGACAGAAGATAAATAATAAACATAGTAAATGGGTAAATTATGTAGGATGTTAGAAGGTGATAAGGATTTGAGGCCAGGTATGGTGGCTTGGGGAGGCTGAGGCAAGAGGACATTTGAGCCCAGGAGTTTAAGACCAGCCTGGGTGAGACCCCATCTCTATTAAAAAAAAATACAAAAAAAGATTTTAGAAGAAAGAAAAGGTAAGGGTAAGGCAGATCAGGAGCACCAAGATCAGGGGGTAGGAGAATGGAAAAATCAAATGAGGTGGTCAGGGCAGGTCTTCTTGAGAAGGGGAGTAGAACAAAGATTGGAAGAAGGAGAAGGAGTTAGCCAAGTAGATATCAAAGAAACTGATCTCTAGGTTGGTGGAACAGCTGGAACAAAGACCCTAAAGCTGGTTGGTTGATGTTCTTGAATGGTTATCCTTTAAAAACAAACATTGTCTTCTCTCATTAGTTTTTATAATTTTGATGTTTTCTTTTCCTGTTAATTTTACAGTTGTCATAATATCCCATTATTTTCATTTTCTTAATAATTTATACATATAAAAGAACATTTATAATGTGTAAGGAAGTTATAAACACGGTCATAAAATAAACAACCAGGAGCCTACTCTCCAAATGGATAATAGAACTTTATTGTTACTTTTAAGTCCTGTATGCCCTGAGCTCATCCCCTCACTGTTCCTAGAGGTAACCACTATTCTGACTTTTTGAATTGTAATCAATTTGCTTTTCTTTATAACTTTACAATATGTGGATTACTAAATAGTACATATTTTTATTATTAAATGTTCACATTCTTTGTAAGGTTTATGCAAATGGCATTATTTTATAAATACCATTTTTTCACTCAGATTTCTGCTACTTACATGTAACTAGAATTCAAATATTTTCACTGCTTTATATTTTCCATCATATAAATAAAGCATAATTCATTTATTCATTTTCTTGTTGAAGGACATTTAGGTTCTCTCCTCTCCCCCCAGCTTCTTATTTTAGTTATAAATAATGCTGTACATTCTTCACATATCTCCTAGGGCACATATGTTGAGAGTTTCTCTAGGGTATTTACCTGGTAGTAAACTTGTTGGGTGGTAAATTATGTACATGTTCAACTTTATAAATACTAAATTGTTTTTCTAAAATGATTGGACTACTTCCAACAGCAATATATAGCAGCTTATGTTATTCTACATCCTTTTTTATTTTATCAATCTGGTTCGTGTAAAATGGTATCTTGTAACCTTAATTTGCATTTTCTCTGATTCATAATGAAGCTGAGCATCTTTTGGTTTGTTTATATGCCCTTCATGTTTCCATTGTTGTAAATTCCTATTCAGATCTTTTACCAGTTTGTCTTGTGTCCAAAAGAAAATGACATCTATTTTAGTCAATGCAGTGTAATCCATTATTTTTGTTATTTATGTTGATGCTCCAATTGTTCCACACTTGTCCAACTATTTAAGCTGACTTCTCTTTCCTTTTAACATGTCCTCATCATGCTTTGAGCACTTTTAAAAAGAAATTAATAAATGTTAAGTTTCATGAAATGCTTTACTACATCTGTTTAGATGAATCGGTGTATTTCCCCCTCTTCAATCGGTTACTATAATGAATTAACATTAATTAACTTTCTAGCATTAAATAAACTTGCTTTTCTGGGCTAAACACAATTTTTGCATGTCGCTGGATTCACTTTGCTGTCATGTTGATAGGATTTTTACATCCTTGTTCATGAATGAGTTAGACAGTAATTATATATTTTTTAGACTTGGCTTATTTTTTCCCCAAACTATTTAAAATAGTTTTTTATTTTGTAGTATAAATCAGATTAAATGTTAAGCCTTCAGAGTTGGCTGGTCACATAGGCAACTATGGCTGAGGGCCTTGACTCAAAGTTATAGTTATAAAATTATAAAATTACACAATGTAGTTTGCAGCAAAACCTACTTTGGGTAAATGATACATACTTTATTATATGACTTACTGTTTTCTATCTTCTTCCATTATCGTTTTATAAATTCCTAAATTCTTATAGTTATAAAAAGAAAAAAATATATAGAATTATTTCCAAAAAATTATTTTTCCATTTTTTATTGTGGTAAAATACATGTAACTTAAAATTTACCACCTTAAGCATTTTTAATTATACAGTTCAGTGATATTAAGTACATTCACATTGTTTTACAACCATCACCACCACCTATTTCCAGAACATTTTTCATCTTGCAAAACTGAAACTTTATACCCATTAAAGTCCTTATTCTTCCATCTTCCCAGTCCCTGGAAACCACCATTCTACTTTCTGTCTTTGTGATTTTGACTACTTTATATATGTCATGTAAGTGAAATCATACAGTATTTGTCTTTTTGTGACTGGCCTATTTCAATTAGCCTACTGTCCCAAGTTACTTCTATGTTGAAGCATGTCAGAATTTCCTTCCTTTTTAAAGCTAAATAATAGTCCATGGTGTGTACACAGACACACACACACACGCACACACACACACGATTCTGCTTATCCATTCAATCTGTCCATGGATACTTGGATTCCATTGTGTGTACACACGTGTGCACACACGCACACACACACACACACGATTTTGCTTATCCAGTTCATTCACGGATACTTGGGTTACTTCTGTGTTTCAGCTATAGGAAATAATGCTGCTATGAACATGGGTAAACAAATATTTTTTGAGATCTTGTTTTCAGTTGTTTTCAGTATGTACCCAGAAGTGGAATTGCTGGATTGATCATATGGTAAATCTATTTTTTAAGGAACTGCCAAACTTTTCCATAGTAGCGGTACATTTTACATTCCTGTAAACAGTGCACGAGGTTCTATTTTCTCCATGTAATCACCAACATTTATTTTCTGCTCTTGGATGGTAGCCATCCTAATAGGTATAAGGTGATATCTCACCGTGGTTTTTGTTTCTTAATTAAAAATCTTTATTTTTCAGAGAAGTTTTAGGTTTATAGCAAATTTTTTTTTTTTTTTTTTTTTTTTTGAGACAGATCTCGCTCTGTCGCCCAGGCTGGAGTGCAGTGGCACGATCTCGGCTCACTGCAACCTCCGCCTCCCGGGTTCAAGCGATTCTCCTGCCTCAGCCTTCCGAGCAGCTGGGATTAGAGGCATGTGCCACCACACTCAGCTAATTTTTGTATTTTTAATAGAGATGAGGGTTCACCATGTTGGCCAGGCTGGTCTTGAACTCCTGATCTCATGTGATCTGCCCACCTCAGCCTCCCAAAGTGCTGGGATTACAGGCATGAGCCACTGCACCCAGCCAGGTTTATAGCAAAATTAAGCAGAAAATACAAAGTTCCCATATACCCCCTGCCCCCAACCATGCACAACCTACCCCTCTATTGACATCCCGCACCAGAGTGGTACATTTGTTACAATTGATAAACCTACATCACACATCAGAATCACCCAAAGTCCGTAGTTTACGTTAGGCCTCACTTTTCTACGGGTGGTTGTTGTGTTTTGTTTTGTTTTTTTGATACAGGATCTTGCTCTGTTGCCCAGGCTGGAGTTCAGTGGTGCAAATATGGCTCACCACAGCCTTGACCTCCTGGGCTCAAGGGATCCTTCTGCCTTGGCCTCCCAAAGTGCTAGGATTGCAGATGTGAGCCACCACAATCGGCCTGGATTTTGACAAATGTATAATGACATGTGTCAACCATGTAGTATCTTGTAGAACAGTTTCACAGCCATAAAGCTCTTCTGTGCTCCACCTATTCATCCCTCCTTCCCCCTAACCCATGGCAGCCGCTGATCTTTTTACTGTTTCCATAGTTTTGCCTTTTGTATAGTGTCATGTGTTTGGAACCATACAGTATGTAGCCTTTTCGTATTGGCTTCTTTCACTTAGTAAAAAGCAAATAAGTTTCCTCCAAGTCTTTTCATGGCTTGATAGCTCATTTAGATCTTGATTATTATTAACATTTTATTAACATTATATGGATGTACCACTGTTTATTTATTTGCCTATTGAATAACTTGTTGGTTAACTCCAAGTTTGGGCAATTATGAATAAAGCTGCCGTAAACATCTGTATGCAGGTTTTTACATGGATGTTTCAGTTCATTTGAGTAAATACCAAGGAAAGTGATATTTGGATGGTATGGTGAGAGTATGCTTAGTTTTTAGGAAATTGCCAAACTGTCTTCCAAAGTGGCCATACCATTTTGCATTACCACCAGCAATAAATGAGAGTTCCTGCTGCTCCACATCCTTGTCAGCATTTGGTGGTGTCACTGTGGATTTTGGGCATCCAGTAGATGTGTAATGGTATCTCATTGTTTTAATTTGGTTGAACATCTTTTAATATACTTTTTTTTGCCATCTGTGTATCTTTTTTGGTGAAGTGTCTATTAAGATCTTTTGCTTATTTTTCCTTGGGTTGTTCATTTCCTTATTGTCGAGTTTTAAGAATTCTTTGTATATTTTTGATAACAGTCCCTTATCAGATGTGTCTTTTGCAGATATCTTCTCTCAATCATTGTCCTGTCTTTCACAGAGCAGAAGTTTTTAATTTTAATGAAGTTCAGCTTATCAATTGTTTCTTTCATAAATTGTACCTTTGTTCTTTTATCTAAGAAGTCATCACCATACCTAAGGTCATCTAGGTTTCCTCCAATGTTATCTTCTAGGAGCTTTATAGTTTTGCAGTGTGCATTTAGATCTGTTGTCTGTTTTGAGTTAGTTTTCATGAAGGGTGTAAAGTCTTATGTCTAGATTTATTTTTTTGTATGTGGATCTCTAGTTGTTCCAGCACCGTTTGTGGAAAGGACTATTTTTGCTCCACAGTATTGCCTTTGCTCCTTGGTCAAATATCAGTTGACTATATATGTGAGTCTATTTCTGGGCTCTGTATTTTGTTCCCTTGATCTGTTTGTGTCTTCTTTCACCAATATCACACTGTCTTGATTACAGTAACTTTATAGCAAGTCTTGAAGTGGGGTAGTGTCAGTCCTCTGACTTTGCTCTTCTTTGGTATTGAGTTGGCTCTATACTGGGTTGTTTATATCTCCATATAAACTTCAGAATCACTTTATTGGTAACTTGCTAGGCTCATTATTGGGATTGTGCTGAATCAAGTTGGGAAGAACTGACATCCCTTCAATATGGAATCTTCCTGTACATGGAATAACACTTCATGTATTTATAAAGTTCTTTGATTAGTTTCATTGAAGTTTTGTAGTTTTGCTCAGATAGGTTTTTTACGTAGTTAAATTTGTATCTAAGTGCCTCATTCCAGGAATGCAGGAATGTGTTGATAATAGAAATTCTATTAATATGATTTATCACATTAGGAAGTTTAAAAAATCCATAATAATTGCCTTTGATATTATAAAGGTATATGATAAAAGTCAACATCTATTTTTGGTGTTTAAGACCATAATCAAGTAAAAATAGACGGATATTTCATTGAAATTTAAGATACCCACACCTCAAAAGAAAAACTAGTATCACATAAAATGATGAAGCCATAGAACAATTTCCTATTTCCATTAATGCCAGAAGCATGGTAAATATGCCTACTGCCTCTCTCATTACTTAACATTATTGCAGAAATGTCAGCTAATACAATTGACTGAAAAATAATTCAAAGGAAAATGTAAAAATATCATTGTTTGTAGTTGATATCATTTTGAATACTTGAGAAATCCAAATAAACTACTACTGGAAACAATGAAATCATATTCATTGATGCATATTTAATATAATTTTTCTGTATACAAACAATCAAAATATGAAGATTCTTGATAAAACAGCAGCAAAAATAATATGCTTTAGAATAAACTCAAGAAAATATGCAGGAATCTATACAAAGAAAACTATACTTGCTAATGCATGTAAAAGAAGATTTAAAGAAATGGAAGGAACATGTATTGCTTTGGGATCTGAAGATTTGATGTTGAACAGATATAACTATAAATAACACGTTATTGAATAAAGTAATTTTAATTAAAATTTTAGTTTTTGAAGCTTAATAAGTTGATTCTGAAATTCACATGGAAATTGATATATATGGATCAAAAATAAAACTTCTAGAATATGGATTATTTTATTTTTAGTGCCTTTTAAATGACAGATAAATCCAAAGACCTAAAGGAAATGAAAGATAAATTTGCTAACATAAAGATTTAGAAAATAACCATAATACAAAAAATACTACAGAGGTCAAAAATGAACTGAGAAAAATATTTACAATATGTTTACTTGATAAGGGGCTAGGTTCTTTTATATATATATATATATATATAAATATATATATATATATATATATATATTTATATACAAATAAACATATATATTAAAATATATATATATACTTTAAGTTCTGGAGTATATGTGCAGCAAGTGGAGTTTTGTTACATAGGTATACACGTGTCATGGTGGTTTGCTGCACCCATCAACCCGTCATCTACATTAGGTATTTCTCCTAATGCTATCCCTCCCCTAGCCCCCCAGCCCCCAACAGTCCCTGATGTGTGATGTTCCCCTCCCTGTGTCCATGTGTTCTCATTGTTCAACTGACAGTTATGAGTGAGGACATGCAGTGTTTGGTTTTCTGTTCCTGTGTTAGTTTGCTGACAGTTATGGCTTCCAGCTTCATCTATGTCCCTGCAAAGGACATGAACTCATCCTTTTTTATAGCTGCATAGTATTCCATGGTGTATATGTGCCACATTTTCTTTATCCAGACTATCATTGACAGGCATTTGGGTTTGTTCCAAGTCTTTGCTATTGTGAACAGTGCTGCAATAAACATATGTGTGCATGTGTCTTTATAGTAGAATGATTTATAATCCTTTGAGTATGTACCCAGCAATGGGATTGCTGGGTCAAATGGTATTTCTAGTTCTAGATCCTTGAGGAATTGTCACACTATCTTCCACAATAGTTGAACTAATTTATACTCCCACCAGCACTGTAAAAGCGTTCCTATTTCTCCACATCATCTACAGCATCTTTGTCTCCTGACTTTTTAATGATCGCCATTCTAACTGGCATGAGATGTTATCTCATTGTGGTTTTGATTTGCATTTCTCTGATGACCAATTATGATGAGCTTTTTTTTCATATGTTTGTTGGCTGCATAAATGTCTTCTTTTGAGAAGTGTCTGTTCATATCCTTCACCCACTTTTTGATGGTTTTTTTTTTCTTGTAAATTTGTTTAAGTTCTTTGTAGATTCTGGATATTGGGGCTATGTTCTGTAATATATGAAGAGAGCTGTTAAGGAAAATAATGAAATCCCAGTAGACAGATGGGCAGTGGGAATAAGCAGTTCACACATACACACAAGACAACATAACCAGCAAATAGAATAAAAGGTGCTGTGTCTCATCTACTATTAAAAGAATGGAAAAGTGAAACAATGAGGTAACATTTTTTCCCTACTGGATTGGCAAATATTTAAAAGAATAATACAGTGTTGCCAGAATATATATCCATAGGAACTCTCCTGCCCAGTTGGTGGGAAAGTGAATTGCCACAATCTTTTTGTAGGCCAATTTGTCAATATTTGTATTGAATTTAAAAATGTGTATATCCTTGATCCATCAATTTCACTTCTAGTAATTTATTCATAAATGTACTGACATGCACATAAGGTATACACATAAGGATGTCTATCATAGCAGTGTTTGTATTGGGAAGATCCAAACAAAACAAAATAGAAGTGGAAAGCACTTAAGTGTTTCGCAGTATTCGGAGGACTAGTTAAATAAATTAGGATACATCTATAGAATAGAATACTTTTACCAGTTCTTAAGCAGAATGTATTAGATTGGCTTGCATGTGTATGGAAAGCTCTCTGAAACATATTACGAATAAAAGCAAGAAATAGTACAGCTTGTGGGGTAAGTGTCCATTTGTGGTTTTACAAAATATATAAACTAGAATTTATACATGTTGTCTGGAAGGATAAACAGGAAACTGTTGATGATGGTTATCTCTGGGAGTTTGAAGTGTGAGATGGAGAATGGGCTGTTTTATAGTCCCTTTTCAACAGTTTGAATTTTGTTTATTATGGGCATGTGCAGTTTTCACAATAAAAAACAAAGGTTTTTTGTTTTATGTGCATTACTTATATTTTTTTCTTGGATTTTTCCAGATTTCTCTTGCACTTTGTTTTGTTTTGATGTTTGGGAACTCAATGTTATTAACTTCTTATTATGCTTCTTCTTTGGTAATTATTTGGGTAAGTATTCCTTAACACTTATATGGCTGTTTTTGAAACTAATGGTTTAACAATTTTTTCTTCACTGGCTTAGGATTCATCAGGGTTTTCTGTAGGAACCATCTTAAGTGTCTTACTGAATATTCTAGATGTATGGTGTTCAAGTACTCAATTCTAAAACAGGGAAAAAAAAAACAAGGAAAAATTAGTATCATTTCAGAAAAGTTTCTATGCTTTCTTCTCCCTTCCTCCTTTGCATTTTTAATCCTACTCCTGCTCCACTTTTTGAACCCCTTTCCTCTCATTGCAATCTTGTAACAGCCACCCCTCTTCATTCCACTGTGCTCAGAAGATCAAGGCCTTGGTTACTTTTTCTTCTGTTTTTTGTTTTGTTTTGTTTTTCTTGTTTTGTTTTTTGCCCCTTGTCTACTTGTATGGACTATTCAGATGGTTTAAGTAAGGTGATGATTCAGTTTTATTTTGCTAAATCACTACCAAGAACAACTTTAGATTATGGAGAGATTATTTTACAGAATTAGAACAAATTGATGGAAGGTCATCTAATTCTTTCTGCTACATATGGCAGGATGACTTTGTTTTTTTGTTTGTTTGTTTTGTTTTGTTTTTTTAAGGTGGAGTTTCACTCTTGTTGCCTACGCTGGAGTGCAATGGCGCAATCTTGGCTCACTCCGCCTCCCAGGTTCAAGCGTTTCTCCTGCCTCAGCCTTCCAAGTAGCTGCGATTACAGGCATGTGCCACCATGCCCGGCTAGTTTTGTATTTTTAGTAGAGACGGGGTTTCTCCATGTTGGTCAGGCTGGTCTCTAACTCCTGACCTCAGGTGATCTGCCCACCTCGGCCTCCCAAAGTGCTGGGATTACAGGCGTGAGCCACCATGCCCGGCTGGCAGGATGACTTTGTAAGTCTAAAAGTCTTCTGAAATTTTAAGACTGCCTTATTTTTGGTGGATTTCCATTAAAATGTTTTGCAGACTTGTTATTCCTTATGTTTAAAGTACATGTGCTTTAGTTTCCCTGTGACTTTAAAAGCGTATTGCACTGTCGTAATTGGAATATATTCGACTTCTTGAGTAATTAAGTTACTCAGATCATTTGGGGTTTCTTAATTTCTAGAACCCATTACATTTGAAACCTCCATTTTCATTTATTTTACAAATGATATTTATTTAAAAACCCATTTTTCGGCCAGGCGCAGTGGCTCACGCCTCTAATCCCAGCACTTTGGGAGGCTGAGGCAGGTGGATCACGAGGTCAGGAGATCGAGACCATCCTGGCTAACAAGGTGAAATCCCATCTCTACTGAAAATACAAAAAATTAGCCGGGCATGGTGGCGGGCGCCTGTAGTCCCAGCTACTCAGGAGGCTGAGGCAGAATGGCATGAACCCAGGAGGCGGAGCTTGCAGTGAGCTGAGATCGCGCCACTACACTCCAGCATGGGCAACAGAGCGAGACTCCATTTCAAAAAAAAAAAAAAATACCCATTTCTCAAAAATATGCCTCTTCCCAGTGTGGGCCGCCACCCTTTTCAGGTTGTGCCTTGAGTATACTTAGCTACAGAAATTAGCAATTAGCATGATGCTATATTTTCAACAACAACAACAAGAAAAATCATAACTTTGGGATTAATAAGTATAGTTCTTCAGTTCTGTGTTCTCTGTTTATTATTAGGAAAGGTGACAAAGTACTCAGTTGTATATTTTACATATGTATTTTCTCATGTACTGCTATCACCCAGGATAAAGTATATGAATCTTGGTACTATGGACAGGGAAACCATTGAATCGAATATTACATACAAATAAAATCTAATTTAAGTACATTTTGTAGGAAATTTCTTTTCAGTTCTATATGTCAGGTATGCTGCTAGATGCTTCACACTGAGGTGTGCCTTAGGTACGAATTAAGCATATTTATGTATATTCCATATATTTTGGTGTATAAAAATAAATGATAACAGGGAATACAGCATGTTTGTGCATATTTAACTATAAACACACATTTGCATATATTTATAATTTCACTTTGAAACCTGAATTGTATCACATTTTGTATTCTCAGGTATTTAGAAACTTCCAAAAAGATTTAATTTGGTTTGAAGTATTTATGTTTTGATCTCTAATCATATTTTTGCCATGTTTGAAGTAGTTTTAGCTCCCCAAGGGTAATACAGTTTGGAAGCATTACCACCTGAAAATACTTCAGAGAAGTATTTAGTTGATCCATTAACATTTCATTTGCTGTTTACCCTAAGAGTCAGTAATTTTTAGCTAAAGGAAAATCTTATGCCTGTATGACTACTGTCCAAAATTCTGAAAATGTTATATACCTCATGGCTCAGAGATAAATCAGATATGTCAAATCAGTCATAGACATTTACATATGGTGATTCCTTTTTCAACTTTAAAAAGTCACGCATTCACCTAATTGACTTTGGATAATAGGGCTATACCTTGAAGTCACTGACTCTAGAAATGAGCATGTGGATGGTATGTGGAAAGTCAACCATGTGCTAAATTTTAGATACTTGAGAATCTTATTATTTAGAAGAATTTTTTGGTACTTGAATTTATGTCTATAAGTATTAACTGTGTATACTATGTTATTTTTCTCTACTCAGGGTATTCTGGCAATGAAACCACATTTCCTGAAAATAAATGTATCTGAACTTAGTTTATGGGTGAGAATCAATCTATTTTAATGCTTATGTTTTTTCTTCTCTAAAATATATCATTGGTTTTATGTTTTACTTTTAAGAAAATGATCTATGCAACTCAGGGGATCCAACAGTTTTATAGTATTTTAGGGCTCAGTTTTAATGTACCAAATTGCCCTTTTTATGAAACAAGTTAAAGTTAATCCTGGGTATGTAGTTTAAAAATTCCAGTTTTATTTATTACTCATGTTTCATCTGAGAAACAGTGCATGTATAAGAAACTGTTAAAGGGAATTTAACTGCAGTGGTTGTGTAAATCTTCTATAAAATATATTAATTTTGATAAGATTGTATGATTATATTTTTATTTTTAGTTACTGTCCCTTGATTTTGAGCAACATGCTTGATTTTAAATTGAGATGCATTTTCTAGCATTTTCTCTTGTAGATAGTAATATGTATTTCATGTATGATTAAAGCATTTATTTTTTTCTTCCTAGCCTATGTCTGTGGAATATGAAGCATCAAAGTTATTTTTGTTTTCTTTTGTTTAGGTTATTCAAGGATGTTTTTGGTTATTTGGAACTGTCATACTTAAATACTTGACATCTAAAATTTTTGGTATTGCAGATGACGTAAGTGCATTTTTTACTTAAATTTGAAAGACTTGAAAAGAATCGAATAGGCTAAGAATAAATTGAGTTATTCAAGTATCACTATTAAATGAAATTCTAGGATGAAGTCTGTTCACCTATTATTTTATTTAATATAATAGAAAGTAAATGTAATTGTATATAGATTTTCGTTCTCCAAAATTAGTTTCTTAATCTCTTTTTTTATTGGTCCTTCTATGTCACTAAAATTTTAACGCAGGAAAACTGTAGATAATAGATTAAAGATCGAATTTTAAGCTCTATACAGTCATTTTTCTCTAGCTTCTTTGTAACTGGTAAAGACACCATCTTTAGAGCCTTAATTGGAGATCGTATTATAGTCTCATTCTTTTTTCTCTCCAGTTTTCAAGTCATTACTTGTAAAAGGCTTTTATAAGCCTTTATAGATAATGTAATCCAAGTGAGTCTTATTTAGAGAAGATTTTTGTTTATTTTTGGTATTAGGGTAGAAGGGAAGATAAAATGGAGAAGTCTGTCTTATAATTTTAAAGATTCTCTCTGTCCATAATTGCTTTGCCTATTTTATTTTGGTGTTTTAATCAGCACATCCTAAGTCAGGAGGCTATCAAAGATTTAATTTAAAAAAGCAGCACAAGAACCAACATGGAAAAAATAAACTATTTTTTTCCTATAGTGTATTTTTATTGGTGATTTTCTTCTTTCTGTACTAGATTAATGCTATGGTTTTGAAACTGGGTTATGTGAAGTCCTAGGACTTCCCAGGAATCTTCCCTGAGGGCTGTCTACTCCCCTGTCTCCTAGCCTCTCTTTTACCCAGGGCAGTTTAACCTCAATCTCTTTCATACAGGTTTTCATAAGAACAAGGGTTATTTTTGCTTAAAAGATTGAAAACACATGGACCATTAAATGGTTGGTCTACAATCTGTGGAAAGATTTTTAAAACTATAAAACTATAGTTGAAAATGTATTTATTCATTCATTCATTCATTCAGTACCTCCTGTGTGCCTGACAGTGGAAAGTATGCTAGAGATACCAAACTGAGTAAGGTATGGTCTAGCGGAAAATTCGGAAAATAGGAACAATTCCTAGCAGTTACAATACAGTGTAATAAAGGCTATGATAAAAAATGACGTACAGAGTGCTGCAGGAATACACAGGAGGAGCATCAGGGAAGGATCCTGGAAGTCAGCTCTGAGGATGAGAGCTGAAAGGTGGGTAAGTCAGCCAATATGCAGAGCGTGATCAGGAAGACAAGTGAAATAACCCTAGTCCTGCGTTTATAGAATCTGTTTTACTCACTGGGGGAACATGAACCAGTTAAGGTATTAATTCAGGTTAAAGCTATTATTGTCATTTTCTGTCATAGCCTAAAATTATGCAGGGCCAAAAAAGATGCTATAAACTATGTTATTTGCAAATTAGAAATAACTTAGTTGTAACTTTAGTATTTTTAGAAATACGTAACGTTGATTAAGGGCATTGGCTCATAAATTCTTAATTTTGACATTGGTTAAAGGAAGATAGTGGCAAGGCTACCCAGCCTTTTATTTCCTACTGAGTTCTCTACTTTTACTGATAGTGCCTCTGAGCGTAGGTTTTTAGCTGTCCGCCCCAAATCAGGTCAGCCTGTTCCAGTAGTACAGGTTCTTTTTATGAGTAGCCACACTCGGTCCTGCCCCCTTCAAAAGAACTGTTGGACTAACAGTATGGGGGAGATGGGGGTGGTGCTGAGGTGGATGGGAGCAACCTAGGTAAAAATGCCACAGACTCCCACTGTTTTTACCCACAGTTTCTCAGTTTTTTATGAATGAATGCTTCCCACATTGTTGCTTCCTTTTGGTTAATCTCTAGAACCTGATATGAGTGTTTTTTTTATAATTTTGTCCAATTTTAAAGTGGTTTTGGAGAATGGGAGTTACCAGTTTCTTCACTCTGCCGTATTTGGAAGTTGACACATTTTTTTGATATATGAGTGTTGATCTAGTTTGTATCCTGGGATAAACCTCACCTGCTCAAATGTAGTATTTCTTTTCTATATTGTTGGATTTGGTTGGCTAATATTTTTAAGGTGTTTTTCGTCTATTACTCATGAGGAATATTTGTTGTAGTTTTCTTGTAATGATTTTGTCTGGTTTTGGTTTCAGGGTAATGTCATCTCCTAAAATTATTTGCAAGTGTCCTGTCTCCTGTTTTCAGAAAGATTTTTATGTAGAATTGGTATTATCTCTTCCTTAAATGTTTGGTAGAATTTAACAGTGAAGCCCTCATGGCCTGGAGCTTTCTTTATGGGTAGGTTTTTTACTACAAATTCAATTTCATTAGGAAGCTCTCCAGTTCATCTGGAGTGAACTTTGGTAGTTTTATGTTCTTAGAGGAATTTTTCCCATTTTATATATGTCATCAAATGGATAATGCTTTTTAAATTTAGTCAGTTAAAATTCTTATTGGAATTTTTGTGTATATGCATATTTGGGAAGTGATCTTTTTGTTCTTTGGTTGACTTCTCCTTATTTGGATTTGGAATTAATATTGGTCTTCTATTAAGAGCTGTTGTGGGTTTTTTTTTTGTGGTCTTTTTTTTTATTTTTCCTACTTTCTGGCAACTTAGGAAAGTTTTTTTTTTTTTTTGAAAGTTTAGTAATTCAATGTTAACCATCTCAGTCTAGGGCTTTTTGGGAGGGAAAATACTTGATTTCTATTTCAGATATTTGAATGCTTTTTGTTCTATTCAAGTTTTCTATTTCTTTTTGTGCCAGTGTTGGTGTTTTATGATTTTCCAGAAATGTATCCATTTTACCTAGGTTTTACAATTTATTAGCAAATTGTGTAGCCTATTCTTCTTACTATGTTGAGTCCATAGTTATTTCTCCCTTTTTCATTTTGCTTTTTGTTTGCATCATTTATTTCCTTCATTAGATTTGCTCTAGAGGTCTATTGTTTTAATATTTTTAAAGTTATATCTTTTTTTAGTCCTCTTTGGTTTTATTGTGTTTCTCTTTGTCACCAATTCCTGTCCTCATTCTTATTCTTACTTCTTTTTGTTTCCTGTCTTCTGATGCCCAAGGGAAATACTTAGCTCTGTTGTTTTTACCTCTCTTATTTTCTGATCAATGCTTTTAAAGCTAAAATTTTCTTTGTAAGTATGTAGTACTCTTTTATGTATCTTATAGATTGTCTATTTGTGATTTTTTAAAAGGTTAAGTTTTATGATATTTAACTTCTAATCAAGAATTTTTAAAGCAATTTCTAGGTATTTTCTAGTTGTATTGCATTTATAATCAAATATATACATATTTTTGGAATTTATTGTTACATGGTATGTGAATATTCAAAAATATTTCACTTGTGTTCAAGGATAATGTGTATTCTCTTTGTGAAGTTTATATTTTCTGTTTGTGAGCTAATTGATTGTATTCACCTTTTATGTTAACTTTTGTCAGCTTTTTTATTCAAGGAGGCAGTGTTTAACATTTGCAATGAACACTGTCAACTTTTCTATTTCTTCCTTTAGTTTTTGTCAGTTCTTATTCTGTGTACTTTGAATCCATATTTTTAACTGCAGATATGTTGGCAATATGTATAATCTTGCTTTTTTGTTAATTTTACTAGCATATAATATTTATTGTCTCTTTTCATATATTTTTTGCTTAAATTCAGTTTTGTGAGACATTATAATTGCTAACAGATTTCTTTGTTTTAAACTTACCTGGTATATCTTCTTCCATTCTTCTGTTTTCAACCTTTCAGCATACTTTTAAGTATTTCTTTTGGTGACAATATAATATTAGATTTTTTCCCTTAAGTCCAATTTAAGCATCTGTCCCTTAATTAGTGAATTTATGCTCTTTACATATATGGTAATTGTCATAATACTAGGACTTATTTCTTTCATTTTGTTTGGGATTTGTTTTCTTATGCTATTTTAGGTGCTGTATATTCTTCCTATTGATTTCTTATGCTTATCAGCATACATTTCTTCTCCCAACAAGACATAGTATTTTGAAATGCTTCATCACATACCTGCCACCATCTAGTTCCTACTCTTACCCTGTTCCTTCTGCTTCATGTAGATATCATATAGAATTTTAGTCATGGTTTGTCCTAGATATAATTTCTCCTCTTTTCTTTGGTTGTTGCTTTTTTAGACTATAATGAACTTGAACATTTGGCAAATGTTTTATGTCTTTGTGCCCTAGTTTTCTTATTTATAAAGTGAAAATCCACCTTCCTCACATGGCTTTTTGTGGGAGGTAAATGTGGCAGTGTGAGTGAGAATCCTTGATAACATGTGAATAATTATATGAGAGGTGATTATCAGTCAAGAAGTACCTTTTATTCCAGTACCTGCCCATTTCTACTTCACTCAAGTACTCTTTTCAATCTCCTTTTCAGAATTCGTATTTCTTTTTCTTTACCCCATAGTCCTTTGTGCTTTTATGATTAAAAGAAGTCTGTGTGTGTTCCCAAGCCCAGAGCTGCTGGTAGGCTCCAGCAAGGGAGATGCTGTGCGGCCTGTTTCACCAGGTTTAGCACAGTAAGCTGGGAAAACCCAAGGGAAAAAGCCTTTGGGATGTCGATGAGTGTGGAAGGTAGGGTGTCATTGGAGCTATCACTATTCAGCAAAAGAAGGGAACTGTGAAGGTGGAGGATATAGCATTTCCTTCTTTAACAAAAGCAGGCTTGGTGTGGGAACAGTGGGCTCTATAATGTAATGAAAACTATTTTCAGATACTATTGAAATTAAAATATATTATTGCAGTGTATGGCTTAATATAATGGTAACTTTATTTCTTACCAGGCTCATATTGGCAACTTACTAACATCAAAATTCTTTAGTTATAAGGATTTTGATACTTTATTGTATACCTGTGCAGCGGAGTTTGACTTTATGGAAAAAGAGGTAAGATGTGATTTCTAGTTCTGTTTCCTAAGGTTTTGGCCCATACATTTTTCATAAGGAGTGCTCCTCTTATATCAGACTCTTTATGTGCTGTTATCTCAGTTTGAAGGAAAAGGAAAATCTGGCAGCTTAGAGGAAGATTTTTCTGTTTACTTTAGTGCAGCTCCCTGAAATATATGGCCTTTACTCATTTTGATAATTTAGAAATACACATTCAGACTAGCAGTGGTTTTCTAGGTGAGTAAACACAGAGGCATTTCAAGTTGCCATTTTTCAGTGATAGCATTAATTTAGTCAAGCTCTCAAACTCTTACATTTCCACTCATTTTGTGGTTATTTAAATAGATATTTGCTTTGAAACATCAAGTCCAAGCTTTTCATTCCAACAGCATTTTTCTTTCTAAAACTGTATTCAGAGATTTAGAAGGAAAGCAGAGAGTAGTTTAGTGGATTGTGAGACAGAAGCCTGTAATTTTGCTTGATGTTCTTGAACAAGCAACTCTCATTCGTCGTGTTATAGTTTACTAGTTTCTAGTAGCATGCCATAAACAGATATTGTGAAGACAAAATGAGATAATACAAAGGAAAGTACTTTGATATTTTAAATAAGTAAATATTTAAATAAATAAAATATTAATTTGCAATACTTTATGAGCTGGTTTAGTTCGACAAGCATGTATATATGTGCATTTTTAACACCATCCATGTGGTACTGATTAATTATATTATCTGTGTCACTCCTTCAGAGTGGTATGTGTATGTATATGAAACTGGCCAACAATACTCTATTGACATGTTAGTTTCCCTCATGATCCCACTGTGTTAGCCCAGTGTCCAGAGTTCCAGACCAGTGGATGAGAGGGCACCACACAGGAAACTTTTATCTACCGGCCATTTGGAGTTGAGTGTGTTCTGCAGAGGTACTGTTTACTCCAGTGGCCTGTCAGTCTTCATTTATTGTGTTCCGGCAAATGGTTTTGACACACAGTGGCTGACAAAGGTATATGAGTTTTAGTGTTAAACCTGCTGAAACAAACAAAGGAAGCATATCTTGCAAGACATTGAAATGCATGTTCATAGGGGTTCAAGACTCCTTCAAATATTAGAGAATTAGGATGTGGTGAAGTTGTTTAATGTTATTGAGAACATCATACATACTGCTACAGTCTGAGAGTATTAAACATAAGCTATGTGATGAAAGAAATAATTTATTGAGACATAGCATGACTTCAGCTAATTTGAAGAAAATAGCAAAACTGTTTCCAGCATACCATTCCTCATCACTGTAAGTATCTTAATTCATAGGGACTGTGCTGTAGAGACAGAGTACTGTCAGTTCAGGGAACATATGTTCCAATTATGGTACACCTATACAGTGGAGAAGAGGGGAAAATTTAACATGGTATTTCCTAATATGATATCATACTGACATGGAAAGATGCTTAAGATATATAAGGGAGTAAACAAAATGATATAGTCTTATTAACCCATAATTAACACACATAAAAGTAAAAAAAGTATAAAAGCAAAATTTTAACAGTGGTTTTTTGGGTGGAGAGATAATTGAGAGGTGCACAGGCTCACAATGTGTAGGGCTTTGTTATTAAACTTATTTCTATTTTTTTTCTGCTACTAAAGAAAATGTAAAAGCCTTTTGTTCCCCTCAAACATAGATCATTATTTTGTTTATGCGTGAGAAAGTGTGTGTGTGTGTGTTTCAAGGATAATATTTTTATCCCCCACAAAATATACAGGAAAAGCTTATTCCATTTAAGGAGCTTTACATACCTTAGATGAATATTAAGTTGGTCTCTCTAGTTAGATAAGTAGCATGCAAAAAGTGAGCAGTAATCTCTTCAGTGACATTTCACACTTACAGGTGTTTGGGTACTGTATTTTTAGTGTTTCAACTCAGCATTTTGGGGAAGTTCATTTCTATGGAAATGCACCTTCCTTTTTATGATGGCAGTCAGTGAGTAGATTGGTGAATGTTCATATTTCTCTACTTTCAGAAATTTACCTATTTCATTATTTGAAATGAAATTTTGTTTGGTTAAAATGTTTCCTTCTAACAAAACATCTCTTTGAATTTCAGACTCCACTGAGATACACAAAGACATTATTGCTTCCAGTTGTTCTTGTAGTGTTTGTTGCTATTGTTAGAAAGGTATGTCTATCACTTAAGAGCTCTTTCTTATAATAGAATATTTTCTTGTTTTTACATAGTAGTCGCATATACTTGGCCACATTTATCTGATACAACGTTTTGTATGGGCTTACTGTAACATATTCTATGTTTTCTTAATGATAGCTTTTGATAGACATTTATATAGCTTCAAAATATTCTATCTGCTAGCATAAAACAGACATCAGAAAAGGATGGCTCAAGTTCCGATAGTCATGTATTTTGGAAGGCATGATCAGAGACCATATTGACCCAGATACAACTTGCCTGTGTAAATTATTACTGGCTTTTACCTTTAATGTAATATTTCCCTAAAATATTTAAAATATACCTAAGTGATTTGTGCAGTGTGCAATAACTCCTGGATTGTGTTTATTATTAATCAGAAAGAAAAAACAGAGTATTTGCAATGTGTTGATGAACTAGATAAAATGTTTAGGTCCCCAAGTTGGCTTTGACGATAAAATTCAAAGCCCAGATATAAATAAGATCAAAGCAAGTGTGATATTCCCTCTCTTTTTTTCTTTAAGAATTGTGCACTCTGTAACCAAATGTGTCTTAAGAGAATGAACAGAAGTTAATCTGTGATGGAAAAAGAGACGACAGACCTTAAAAGTTTCCTGATACGTGGCCAGTGATTTCTGTGTTAACACAATGTCATTTATTTGTAGAATATTCTGTATTATAACAATTGTTCATATTATATATTTGTACTCTGCTTTGTATAGAACATTTTCACATGAGTATTTAAATTGGTTATTCAACAGCCCTATGGGGTAGACAAATGTTATCTCCATTTTAACATACAGAACTGAAAGATCAAAGATGTTGTTAGGAGCCTCGCATCATGTCCACTTAAAAGCAAGGGAAGAGTGAGACTCGGGCTCTGCACCTTCCCCTATCGTTGGGCTATGTCTGGTATTCAGCTGTGTACTCCGACAGCACTTTTAATCTCTAATCAGTTAAGAGTCAGTTCCTGCTGTGTGCTAGGCTTTGTGTGTGCTTTGCACTTTTGTATAGTTTATGTGGGTTTGCACCTAGTGGGTACTCAAAAAATACTAAGCATTGGCCATCCAGAACATATGCAAAAGACAGCAACCTGAGTGGTGAGAGATGATGAAAACTATTAGCTAGGCTGTTTCGTTTAAAGAAGAAAAGATGTAGATGGAAAGCGGATAATTACTTTGAAATATGGTAAAAGCCTGTGCCTTGAAAATAAGGTTACACACAATCTGGCTCCTTAGAATCATGGCCAATTCCAGGAGGTATGACTTTTGACCAGAACTGATCTCGACTGATAAGGAAAGTGTTATAGATTCAAGCAGCAGCTGGTGGATTCTAAGGGCTGGATTACAGCCTGTCATCAGTGTTGTAGAGAATATTTGTACTGGAGATACGATTTTAGATTAGATGACCTCCTCATTATTGCTGAATATGAAAGCACAGTGACTGTGTTTTGAATGCTTCCAGCTGTGATTATCAACCTCTGAGCCAGCTCTCCAGTTTTCTGAGTGCACTGTTAAGAAGAGGTGTTGCCAACAACGTTGGCATGGTGGAAGCAGCGCTGAATGTGAATTTGAAGCCAGAAGATCTGGTTTCAAGACTGCAGTGCTTCTTAGTAGTTGTCTACCTACAGGGCAATCATTTAATCCATATGAACCTGTTGCTCATTTACAAAACGAGGATGATATAATCTACCCAACAGGGTTGTTGAATATTAGCTTTGATCAGATACTATACAAATATAAGATTATGTTGTTGTGATTATTATTTTCTGAGTTATCTCTATACTTATATTTTCATTAAAAGTTATTTTACAGTTTAGAAGATACTTTATTTAAAATATCATTTTTCCCAACACAGCTTTTCTAAAGTGTTTCAAAATCTATTTACAGATTATTAGTGATATGTGGGGTGTCTTAGCTAAACAACAGACACATGTAAGGTAAATATGCTATTAAGAATTTTATTACCTCCTCTGTTCATTTATTAAATAGATATTTACAGTGTATTAATTGTATACTTACATGTTGTGTACCTAATATTTGATAATTGATGTTTTTATTGTGGTCATTTCCCTTCCTGGCATTTCTTCTTATTTCCTATCTGTGCAGAACACAGCACATCACTTATTCATCCTTCAGATGTTATCCAGTACAGTCTGACAGTAGCCCTGCACATAATCTACACTCAAAGGACACAGTTTTGTACTTCATTTCAGCAGGGAAAGTAAATTATTACGTGAGTGGTTTTAGGACCAGTGGACTGCCTTTTTGGAAATGAGCAGGGAAATATAAAACTGGATTCATACCTCACTTTTTACAGAAAATAAATTTCAGATGAACCAGAGAATTATGTATAGGAAAAAAAAAACCCAAAATTAACCAAGAGGGTTTGTTTATAACCTGAGAGTTAGAGAGGCCTATAGCATGCTTGGTATTTTCCACCATCACACCCTTTGTCTTACTCTCTTACCATTTGTCACCCTTTGTACTTAAATGTTGATGTGTGACCCGTATCTCCTGAAGGGAGCGATCATTTTTGTTCAACAGTTTATATACAGTGCCTGCAAGATAGTAAAGGATAGTAGTTGAATGAGTATTTACATATGACTAATGAACATGAAAAGGTAGTCTTGATCCTATGGTAAAGCCATTCAGGTTAAAGTGAAGACCTTTTCACTTCTTATATTTCTAAAAATTAATAGTATATCCAATGCTTGCAAGAGTGGGAGGTAGTAGATGGGAGGGAAGTTTGGCAATACACAGTAAAACATATAGTGGGCCTGTCCTTTAGCCCTGCAGGTTCCACCAGTGCAAGTGTACCCTCTAGAGATGCTCACAGAAATACAGAGATGATGGGGAGAGATGCCTTTTGTAGTATTGTGTGTTATGTGAGAAATGGAAACATCCAAAATATCTACTATGATACATAGAGTGGAATGTTAGGCTATCTTTCTGGAAATAGGTCCAGTATACATTATTGAATTTTTAAAATTGCCAGTGTGTGTGTGTATAGGATAATTATACTTCTCTTTAAAATTTAGAGATTTTTATGTGTTTGTGCATAGAAATGATCCGGAAAGATAAATCCTGTAATTATTAAGAGTGGGATTAGAGGATGGAGTGAAGGTAGTTTTAACTCTACTTTTATTCTTTTGTGGGATTTTGGGGGGAGAAGGATTGTCGAATGTGTATGTATCTATATTTTCTTTTTTTTAATTTTTCTTTTTTTTTTTTTTTTTTTGAGACAGAGCCTCACTCTGTCACCCAGGCTGGAGGAGTGCAGTGGCACGATCTCGGCTCACTGCAACCTCCGCCTCCCGGGTTCAGGCGATTCGTCTGCCTCAGCCTCCTGAATAGCTAAGACTACAGGCGACCACCACCACGCCCAGCTAATTTTTGTATTTTTAGTAGAGACGGGGTTTCACCATATTGGCCAGGCTGGTCTTGAACTCATGAACTCGTGATCTGCCTGCCTTAGCCTCCCAAAGTGCTGGGATTATAGGCATGAGCCACTGCGCCTGGCCCTATATTTTATTTTATAATTTGAATATACACACCCTTGTATTATTCCCTCACCTCCAAGTCTCTGCCAACATAATGATAAATTATTGCACATACTCCTGAGAGAATCCTTGTTCTCATTTAGAAACAATTTACTGTAACATATACAGGTATATGTTTATACCTGTAACATTTGAGTTGAGGGCTAAGGGGGAAAGAAAAACGTTCTGGTTTACAATGCCGAAATTTTTCATTTGAGGTGAAATTATTTTTGAAGAGCTCAGGAAGAAGCTACAAAGTTTCAGCTGTAGTATGCAACTCTGGAAGAGGAAGGTGGAACTTCTCACAGAAACAAAGCTGTCCCTTCAAGAGTAATAACTCACCTATAGAAGTAATTATAGGAAACCATTGAGCTTCATGGAGTTGTCAGTTCAAATAGGATCAGAGCTCTTTTTTGGAAGAGGAGTGGCATGTTGACATTTTATTTTGCATAGCTACCAAAGCCAGTGTAAAAAGGAGAAGAGTAGGACATAAATTTTAACTATCAAAGACATGAATGCCAATATTCTCTTTACTCAAAGACCCAGGAAGTAAAGTGGGATAGAGACAGCATGATGTAGTAAAAAGTATATTGGCTCTGAAGTCAGTCAGAATATAGTCCTGGCTGCCACTTACTAGCTCTGTGATTCCTTTCCTTGGCTGTAAATTGGGGTAATAAATGGTTGTAGGATTAGAGTTAATGGAATGTACTAAGCATATTAACATTGTAAGTACTCAACAAATGGTAACTGATAGTTTTTACTTGGTGTGAAAGAAGAATAAAGAACTGTTTCATCTCCTTCACTAGCCCCTTATGTGTCCTGAGTTTGCTAATATATCAGTCTTTTTGAGGCTAGATTCTCAAATTAGATTATATGCTACCTGGATTAACAGTTTATTGATACACTTGTTCATTCATTAAAAATGTTGAGCTCTAAGTGTCAGGTATTACTCTAGGTCTTGGGAACATATCAGTGCTTAAGAAAGAGAAGGTGTGTGTTGTCAACTCACACATTTCTGTCTCTGACCCAGACTTCTCCCTTGAACTCAGATTTACACATATAACCACGTATTTGTTATCTCTACTTGGTTGCCTAGTGAAAATCTCAAAGGTTTTTTTCATTCCATGCTTTGCTGGGGTATCACCAGTGAGGGAGCTGGGACACCACCGTGTGCCTTTGTTGTCCTAATAAATACCCATGTAGTCAAATAGGATATAATACAACATTGTCATTCTTCATAAATTTTCTTAAAATAGTATAGCACCAGTTTTGGCATGTGACTTTTAGTTATTTTGATTTGCCTGTGTGTGTCCTGAGAGAATGTTATAGAAGTTGTAAAACTCCTGTTTGCAAGATGAAAATGCAAATATATGACGTAAGTGCTTCAATAATGAATTGATGGCAATATATTTTTTTCTGTTCCAGAAAACACCAGTTTGATCATGGAGAGGTAAAGACTTAATATGACTATAATTTTACTTATCTTAAAGTTGCATGCATTTGGACTTTCCTTTCTAGTTCCAGTTTCTAACTTTGTTGGCAATTGTCAGCAATCATCTTGAAAATAGCCTGTTATGTGTTTTTATGAGAATGCTATATGCAGATTCACTGACTATTCATTTGTTAAAATTAACTAGGAAACTCATATGTTCTGCTCTGATCATCTTTACACTAATGGCAGTTGATTTCTGGAGCCCATTTAGACATATGTATGAGGTGTCTATTGCATGATTGGAAATCACTTTCCTCTCTGCTCACCTTGCTTGAGGCCTCAGAGATGTGATTGGTTACTGCTCCCATCTCCTAGTTGTCCAGTCTGGTTTTGAGGGCAGTTCCAAGGTGGAGCCCTCAGATCTTGAGGCAGCAGTCATTTCTTTTACCACTGTCTTTTCTTGGTCTGATGGTAGCATCAAGGTTGATTAAAAAATGTGGGCTTTATTAACCACAGGTTTGACTCTGAGAATCACAGAAACACTTGCCTTAATGACTTTATAATTTTAGCCTTCCACTAAAATGGAACAGTTTGAAAGTGAATTTTAAGAATTGTTTTCGAAGTTTCAGAAACCTTAGTAGTATTTTTTGTTACTAAGGAGAACGTACCCCTTTCTGCATATTGCCAGTTTAGTATTCTTAAACTTCACAAACAGTAGGAGTAAAAAACATTTTCTTCTTTCTTTCAGCTGGTTTACCATGCATTGCAATTGTTAGCATATACAGCCCTTGGTATTTTAATTATGAGACTAAAACTCTTCTTGACACCACACATGTGTGTTATGGCATCACTGATCTGCTCAAGACAGGTAACATGTTATGTTGGAGTATAGCTACTATGATAATTTTAGCCTTTATTATTGAGTGGCCCTAAAATAATGAATTACAAAGTCTTTTAAGTGATTATAGTTAAAGCTCTTCATGGTTTTGTACTTATCTTTCTTAAAGGGTAAGGGCCAAAGCTGATCATTTTCTATCTTTCTAAAGATTTAAAATAGTTGTTGGTGTACAACTAATACCGATTTAGTACAGACTGAGTTCATGAGTGATTACTGCAGGTGCTGATAGAAAGCAGAGCTTAATTGTACAAATAATAACTTTTTTTGTTTTGACATTCATATCACAAAGAAATCTAATAATTTCAGGTTATAAGTGCTTGAAAATTATATGTTCTTTTTTTAGTATCAAACTTATTTTTTTTTCAGTTGGTGCAATTTGTGTGCACATTCTTGACTTGTGCTTTTTAAAATTTAGTTTAAGCCTTCCTTGGTGGTTTGCTGCTTATTTTTCCTGGATAGCTGCCTCCTTGTTCTGTATTCACAGATTTATGCTTCTCCATAGTGTCACCTTTCCATCAGTCAACCAGCCTAGGTACAACAGCAGCACCTCCCTTAGACGTAGCAGATAGTCACTAAGCACCTACACTGCGCACTCTAGGGATGGAGGAGAGAGTAGTAGACAGAAAAGTCAAAAGCCAGTGTTTATAAGCCCTCAAGAAACTTGAAATCTAGCTCTGTAGACATGTGGAGAAAGATCAAGAGAACAAAGTGTTGTTATGGAGTGTGGACTATTTGGATGTGGAAAAAATTAGCCAGCCTTGAGGTTCCCAATCAGTATGTTGTATTATGTTAGAAAGGCACTACTTTCTACCTTTCTGACCCCTTCAGGCTGGCACAGGAAAGGAGGCTGGTTGGAAGCCTTTAATCTTGAGTCTTATCCCACAGCATGACTGATGATATAGGTTGGTGCAAAAGTAATTGTGGATTTTGTCGTTAAAAATAGCAAAACCCGCAATTACTTTTGCACCAACCTAATAGAAAGTGTCACCCAGGGCAGGTTTTCCAAGTGTGGGGTTCCTGCTGGTCACACAGGACCTCACATTCAGGACCCTGAACTTGATTGAATGTTTGCTGCTGCTGTTTTGAACGTCTTAATTTTTTAACAAGAGACCCCACATTTTTGTTTTGTACTGGGCCTTGTAAATTGGTTGTGGCTTTACTTGAATCTGGGAGTAGTGAAAGCAGGTTGAGAAAAGAGCTTCCTACATTGTGTTCCACTTATATGAGGCTGATGGTAGAATCCTTTTGATCCCAAAGATTATTATTTTGGGGCTTTTTCTTTAGGATAATTAATCCTTTATTTGGGACTCTAGCAGAGGCCTTATTCTTCTCTGGGAAGAAGTTTTGCATAACAGATGCATACTACTTATACTAACAATTACCAATGTATTCTTAATTTGGTTTCAGCTATTTGGATGGCTCTTTTGCAAAGTACATCCTGGTGCTATTGTGTTTGCTATATTAGCAGCAATGTCAATACAAGGTTCAGCAAATCTGCAAACCCAGTGGAATATTGTAGGGGAGTTCAGCAATTTGCCCCAAGAAGAACTTATAGAATGGATCAAATATAGTACTAAACCAGGTAAAAAAAAAAAAAAGAAAAAAAAAGTCATATTATTTAGCTGTTTTTCCCACAATTTTATATACCACTGCAAACTCTTAAACCCTAGTTACTTCCACTGATCTCACTCTTTCTATGCAATGTTGCTTTTAGAATATCTAAAACAAAGGAGATATCAATCCTGTTTAAATGGTTTGCAGGGGAAATGTTATACATATGTTCTTAGTAATTTATTCTGCCATTTTTTATAGATTTTAATTTTTTCAAAATTTATTCACAGTCATAAATGCCACATTTAAAATAATTTTTCCTGTGCTTATTTTCTTAATGAATTTTTAATATTAGTCCTTCACATTCCTTCTTGAAATAAACTCATGGAATGTGACATTTTATTCATGTGTGGAAAGGGAGACTTTGTTGTCATCTGAGTATCAAATGATTGAATACTAAATCATCTTCCAGAACTCCTTGTTACTGTAAAGCTTTCCTAGTCCATTTGATACTTCTTTTTTAGATTCAGGAAAGATTTCTAAGATTTTTTCTTTAAAGAAAGAAAGAAATCTTTAATGATGAGATGATGAAGCTCTGTTTTCCAAGGAAAATAGTTTACCCAGGCCTGGCTGCCAACTGCTACTTTATCAGCCATCTGACTTCATGCTAGTTCTGCCATTGAATCTTGAAGTCATGAACCTGCTGGGCTTCCGCTCTGTTACCTGTGAAATAATTGATTTACACTTGAAGGAGACACCTTCTCGCCTTCACTGAGTGTCTTCCTGAGACATTCCTCTTGCCTTCCAGATGCAGTGTTTGCGGGTGCCATGCCCACGATGGCAAGTGTTAAGCTCTCTGCACTTCGGCCCATTGTGAATCATCCACATTATGAAGACGCAGGCTTGAGGTCAGTGCACAGTCTTGCATCATCAAAACAAACCTCCCATGCAAACAGACAGTGAGTGGAGGACACCAGCAAAGTAATAAGGAATGTTTCAAAAGGATATGATGAACTGAGGCTTATCGAGTCAGGGAGCAGAAAGCTGAAATAAGACCGCTAAGCTCTAAACAAATCCGTTAAAGCTTCACAGGGCAGGAAAGTGACAACTTTGGGGGCTCTCTTCTCTACCAGGCATATAAACGAAGTCATACTATAGCACTTTCCCACAGGTTAACAGGGCTCTAAAATGTCCAAGTCCTTTTCATCCTGTAACTCCCTGGGGAGTTTAGCTTAGAGTGTTTATTAAGGTTTTCTCATAGGTGATTTTTCTTGAGTTTGGAGAAGTCATTTGAAATAGAATCCCATTCAAAGAGGAGTTTATTCTGGTTTTCACCAGTATAGCCTGTTAGAATGATCTTGGGTGTTTTATGTTTTTTTAGATTTTTTTGAGACTTTAAAAAATAATTTAGAGATGTGTTGTCCAAATTTTTTTTTAAAAATTTAATTTTTCTTGCAGTTTCTAAGGCAGGTGAAGCTATTCATTTTCTAAGTGATTAGGTGAATCTTATTAGCATCTTCTTTTTCATAACAATGGCATGTACATTCACAAATAAGCTTTTTCATTAAAAAATCAATCTCATCAAGCTAATTTCCAGACCAATTTTGTTAAATAAGTTTAGTTTTTCTTAAATCTAGAAATAAAATGAAGAACCATTTAATGTGAATTATTGTTGATGTCTAAGTTGGGACTGTTGCAGCTTCACAGTAGTCCTATAGTTGTGTTTGTTGTAGTTCATCCCTGTTCACACACAGGGTACCTTACTCTTACATGTGATAGCGAAGTGAAGAATTTAAGACAAATAAATAAGTGAACAAACACAAAGAGACCAAGTTTGGGAATGTAGGGGTGTGTTAAAGGTCACCCTCTTCTCCACAACTTGTCCTCCTCCTGCCTTCTGCTTTTGACCTCACTGATGCCCCTTAGCGGGAACTTCCATGGGGAATTTCCTCCTGACTGGATTCTTCTTCATCGTCTTCTAGTCTAATTCAGTGCTTTCTTCCAAATGTGTTATTGTATCGTTTTAGTCTTGAAAATTTTATGCCCAATTATTTTTCTTTAAAGAGCCAGAACAAAAATAGTATACTCAATGTATAGTCGGAAAGCAGCCGAAGAAGTGAAGCGAGAACTGATAAAGTTAAAAGTGAACTATTACATTCTAGAAGAGTCATGGTGTGTAAGAAGATCCAAGTGAGTATCAACACAGTTAACATTTTATAATCATAAGACATGAAGGTTAATTCAAGCACATGGCACATGCTTTGCTGGTGGCGGGGGTGTGTATATAACATAAAGTATACATGGAAAAACTTCTTCTTTTTTTTTTAAACAGGCTCTCACTCTGTTGCCCAGGCTGGAGTGCACTGGCATGATCTGGGCTCACTGCAAGCTCCACTTAATTTTTGTATTTTTAGTGGAGATGGGGTTTTGCTGTGTTGACCAGGCTGGTCTCAAACTCCTGGCCTCAAGTGCTACTCCTGCCTTGGCCTCCCAAAGTGCTGGGAGTACAGGCGTGAGTCACCACGCCTGGCCTGAAAAAACTTTTTAGATAATGATTTGGAGACTTTCTTTTATAGTCTTTATAAATATCTTTTTTTTTTAAATAATGATTTGTATGTGTATACTACCTTAAAGAGATTTTATTGGCACTAGTTGATAATCTCCCAAATTGTTCATATTTGCCTTTGATGTTTTAAAAGAAACTTTTATTTAAAGTTGGATGTATTTTCTTTCAAAAGACTTCCAGGGTCTGAAACCAAGTAATGGGGAGTCTCTTTTGGTGAAGTCAGGCAGCTGAGCACCAGGGGTCACATTATCCTTACTGGGTCTCTGTGCTACACCATGTCCTGTCGATGGATGGGATACCCTGTCAGCAAAAACTCAGAATGAAATTTTTCTTTCCTGGTGTTTCACATCTTACTTGAATGGGAAAATGACTCTACTGTGACCCACTTTCTCTTGGGTTTATAGTTTTTAAGTTTCTATTTCCACAGAGATGTTTACTAAGCTGAGTATAGCTCCAAGTGACAGTAAGATCTTCAAAGCAGATGTGAATCTAAAGCTATCTAGAAATGTGGCACGTAAGTGACTGGACACCAGGTGACAGTAGCCTGCTTTTAAAGTACCAAAACATTCACTTCATGAAGAGCACAGTACAGGAACAATTTTATCAGAAATAAACACTATTTTATGGAATAATAATATTTTTTAAATTCTTACTATTCTGTAACTAAACAAAAGCGTTCAAGAGATTGCTATATTTGTGGCTTGATCACACTTTCCCACCATATATTTCAATGACACATATGGTATTAAGACAACATTGTTAAATACTGAGTCGTGAGTGAAAAATAGTTCTGTGACATAGTATCTACAGCTTTGCTCACAAGGAAACTAAAATAATTGTTGATTATAGAATGATTCTCCTATGAACGTGTGCTACGTGGTTTGAATTCAGTCAGGATTTATAGAAAATGTTATTTTGTAATAATTCAGAAAATGTTTTAAGCGTTTGTGAATATGTATATGAAATTCACATACTCACCTTTAACATTGTTATATAAATTTAGGACAGAAAAGTTCTAAGCATCTCATGACGATCTTAGGAAATTATATGAAATGAATGATAGGCTGACATTTGCAATAGGAAGAACTCAGTTCTTAGCATAGCTTTCTACCAGAATGGGGATCTTCTTTATTTCTTTGGGCTTCACTCTCTTGAAACAACTGTAAGTTACTGGAACATAAAAATAATTTTCGTAACCTTTTTTCTCCAAGCTAACAATGAGCCTTTGAGAGTTCATATTCTGCCTAGACCCCTGCATAGAGTTTGAATATGTGAAAGTTGCAGAGGCTTTGTGCTGTAGAGTGTTGGGAGAGCTCCCTGGATTTGCATAGCTCTAACAGTCTCATGTTTGGGTAGGCAGAGCACTGTTTTACCCACACAAGAAGGGATATGAAGGCAAATTCAGGATGTATGGCAATAAACTTTGCACACTAAACAAAATCAGCAGACATTGAACTGACTTCAAGTCACTTACGAGCAATCAGACTGAGAGTTGGGGTGCAGAAGAGGGTGTGCTGGATTTCCCCATCTGGACCTTGACTTGCCATTTATTGTGTCTGTCACAGCAGGAGTTGAGTGGGAGGAAGCTACGAAAGTGACTCTCTCATCTGTTTTCCCCACTCATTAAAACAACACTCTCCATCTAGTACAAGATCTAAGCCAGGCTGATGACACACTGTCAGGAAACCTTGGACAGGTCCACTCTGCTTCAACCTTGACACAAAACAAAAGCTGTGCTTTCTGTCCTGACAGGGAAGCAAATGGGGAGTTCAGATAGGAGAGGAAAGTGAAGAATGACTAATATTTATCTAGTGTTTACATTTAGAGTAGGAAGTTTCTTGACAAAGCTTTCTGCCTGGTTTGGGACCTTCCTTATTTCCTTGGCCTTCACTCTCCATTTCAGTTATGATCAGCCTGAAACCCCTGTAGATTGCTGGGACGTGAAAGTATGTTGGAATGGGGGAAGCAGATGGGGAACTCAGTTAGGAGAGGAAGGGGAAGAGGGACCAATATTTATCTAGTGCTTAATCTGTGCCTGGCAATTGGTGAGCACTATGTTTAAATGATCTCATTTACAAGTGGCTTAATTGTATGGCTTGATTATTCCTTAAATATTTGACACTGTGTTTAAATATAAACACTCAAATATATTTGCATGCAAGTTGTAGATTAGTTTTAAATTAACTACAGTTCTCTGCTTTCTTTTACTCCAATAATAGAGTTGACATAGAATACATGTATTTAGAAGGAAATTATTCAGATTTTCACTAATGCTATTTGCAGATGGCTGGCCTGGGGAAACCTTGGGAAACTCAGATGAGGACTAAATAGTGTTGCACAAGGCAAACAGAGCTCCCCAAGACAGCTGTTTGCCCTCTCTTTTTCCTAAAAGCTGTTGAACTCAGGAAAACTGTGGGTCGTTCTCTACTTTCTGTGTGTCTCACTCTCTGCCACCGTGGGCCCTCAGTGTTGTAACAGTTCAGCCTTGACGTGTATGAGAAAATTACAAGGTAGAAAACCCATGCCCAGCCATATGATCATAGGTGTTCCATGTGAGTAGAAACCAGTGTCAGCAAAGGTGTGCAAAAAGTGTGCACTTGAGCCCTCTTCATGGGAACACTCACTGGCAAAACATTTCTAGGGGATAGTTTGATGAAGGGAAGGTAAGAAAAAAATTGTGCAGTCCTTTGGCAGAGTGATAATGTTGCCTCTAGAGCAGGGGTCTCCAAGCCCCCGGCCATGGACCAGTACTGGTCTGTGGCCTGTTAGGAACCCAGTCTCACAGCAGGAGGTGAGCGGAGGGTGAACAAGCATTACAGCCTGAGCTCTGGCTCCTGTCAGATGAGTGGCAGCATTAGATTCTCATAGGAGTATGAACCCTATTGTGAACTGCACATGCGGGGGATCTAGGGTACGTGCTCCTTATGAGAATCTAATGCCTGATGATCTGAGGTGAAACAATTTCATCCCAAAACCATCGCCCCCACCCTCCAGCCCATGGAAAAATTGTCTTGCAGGAAACCAGTCCCTGGTGCCAAAAAGACCGGGGACCGCTGCTCTAGAGGTTTAGTTTGCAGAAGGGAGCTCTGCACAAGACTGTTTGTAGCTGCATTGCTTTATAATGGCAAAATGGGAAACAATTAAAGTATCTGTCTGTAAAGAATTGGTTAAATAGTACATATGAGAACTAGCAGCTTTTAAAAACAGTAGAATAGATCTTTATGCACTGAGATGGAAAAATGGTTCCACGTTTTATTGTTCAGTATACAGTCCCAGAATAATTCCATTTTTGTAAAAACAACTCAAGAGCATCTGCCAGGGTTTTCCAGAGGGACAGAACTAATAGGATAGATGTGGCCGGGCGCGGTGGGTCACGCCTGTAATCCCAGCACTTTGGGAGGCTGAGATGGGCAGATCATGAGGTCAGGAGATCGAGACCATCTTGGCTAACACGGTGAAACCTTATGTCTACTAAAAATACAAAAACTTAGCTGGGCGTGGTGGTGGGCACCTGTAATCCCAGCTACTCAGGAGGCAGAGGCAGGAGAATGACGTGAACCTGGGAGGTGGAGCTTGCAGTGAGCCGAGATCACACCACTGCACTCCAGCCTGGGCGACAGAGGGAAACGCCATCTCAAAAATAAAAAAAGGATAGATGTATATATGAAATGGAGTTTATTAAGGAGTACTGACTCACACGATCACAAGGTGAGGCCCCACAATAGGCCATCTGCAAGCTGAGGAACAAAGAAGCCAGTCTGAGTCCCAAAACTTCAAAAGTAGGGAAGCTGACAGTGCAGCCTTCAATCTGTGGCTGAAGGCCCAAGGTCCCCTGGCAAACCACTGGTGTAGACCCAAGAGTCCAAAAACTGAAGAACTTGGAGTCTGATGTTCAAGGGCAGGAAACATCCAGCACAGGAGAAAGATGGAGGCCAGAAGACTCAGCCAGTCTAGTCCTTCCACAATTCTTTTGCCTGCTTTTATTCTAGCCATGCTGGCAGCTGATTAGATGGTACCCACACAGATTGAGGGTGGGTCAACCTCTCCCAGTCCACTGACTCAAACATTAATCTCCCTTGGCAACACCCTCACAGACACACCCAGAAACAATACTTTGATCCTTCAATCCAATCAAGTTGACACTCAATACTGACCATCACAGCATCTATGTATATAATGATATCTGTGTCTGTATGTGTGTCTGACATTGGAGAAAGATACAGCAGATAGCAAATATTGTATGTTCTCACTTATAAGTGGGAACTAAGCTACCAGGATGCGAAGCATAATAATGGTACGGACTGTGGACTCGGGAAGCGAGGAGTGGGGTGAGGGATAAAAGACTACACATTGGGTACACTTTACACTGCTCTGGTGGTGGGTGCACCAAAATCTCAGTAACTGCCACTGAATAACTTATCCGTGTAACCAAAAACCACTTGTTTCCCAAAAGCTATTGAAATAATTTTTTTTTTTTTAAAAAGGTCCAGCAGGATATATGCTGGATTGTTTATAGAAGTCACCTCTGAGAAATGCTATTGGAGATGATGGTGACTTTCATTTCTTAAAATGTATGTAGGTCTATATTTTGATACTTTTATAATGACTGATTATTATAAATTAAAGGTGTTATTTAAAAAGGGAAAATGATGTACATACCTGCTACGGTGTTTGCCTCATGGTGGAGAGTGAGGGAGGGACTGCTACTAAACATAAGAGGGACTTGGGAATTTTTTTCTCTTATTTAAAAATAAAAAGGGATGCAATTATGACAAACATGAGCAGTTGTCAATTCTCTATAATTTTCCCATGTTTTTCTGTTTTTTAAAATTCCTCAAAAGGTAGATAGCAGCATCCAACAGTTATATCCATAAAACTGTTCTTGATTTAAGATAAATGGTACTGTTATTTTGAAGGACTTATTTAGGCAAATGTCATATGCCAATTTATAAAGATATGTTGCTTTTGAGATTTAATTATGTGTTTAAGATGTATGCTCAACACTACCAGAATTTCTTTAAATTGATTCATTCTAGAATATCGACTGTCCAATTTAAGATGTTTTGACCTACTGATTTTTTTACTTTATGACAGTGTTAAAGCCATATGCATTCAGTAGAAAGCATATTTCAAATACCCATACAACCATTCTGTTTTTCAGTGTCAGTACAGCATTCAATAAATTACATGAGATATTCAATGTTTTGTTGTAAAATAGCATTTGTATTTGATGATTTTGTCCAACTGTAAGCTAATATAAGTGTTCCTAGCATGTTTAAGGTAGGCTAGGCTAAGCCGTGATGTTGGGTAGATTAGGTGTATTAAATGCATTTTCAACTTATGATGGGTTTATTGGAACATACCCCATTGTAAGTTGAGGAGCATCTATACAATTAATGCAGCTTCCCTGTGAACTAAGCATATTTGTTCATTATAATTTTTTAAATCAATGTCATACGTTTTTCTGTGTGAATGGTGCTAGATACCTGGTCTCTCATAATCCTCACAACAAACCTATGTCATGGTTGTTTATTTCCCCATTTTACAAATGTGAAAACTAAGACCAAGGGAAGCTACCTGCCCAGAACCACATTCTTGATAAGTAGCTGAGGCAGAGTTTAACTGAGGTGTCTCTTTCCGCAACACCTGGATATATGTATCTACAGGTCTGTTTCTTTCCTTATAGTCACCTTTGCTGCATTGACCTTGTCCTAAGGTGAGTCATGGCAGCTTATAAAAACATAAATAGCTATGTAACAGGATTGTTTAAAAACTAAAGTAATTTAAGGGGAAAAAAGGAATTGAGGTCAGGAATGTAAGAAGTGCTCTGCTTTCTCTGCAGTTATATAATGCATATTGATTTTTAACATGTACATTCATTTTTCTAGGCCTGGTTGCAGTATGCCTGAAATTTGGGATGTAGAAGATCCTGCCAATGCTGGGAAAACTCCCTTATGTAACCTCTTGGTGAAGGATTCCAAACCTCACTTCACCACTGTATTCCAGAACAGTGTTTACAAAGTCCTAGAAGTTGTAAAAGAATGACTGCTACATGACCTGCTGCCTACGGAGAACTACATCTGTAATGGTTTTAATGTTTTGCTAAGTCATGTGTTGTTCATATCCCAAAAACTTTTATAGGTAACTGTTTTCAAATAGAAAACGTTTTATTTGGTCAATTTGAATGTCATTCTAATTATAAAAATGACTTACACCTTTATCAATTGGTTACTATTTCAATGCACCCTTTAAAATTTGCTATGCAAATGAGTATATGCTTGTACTTGACTTTAATATTTGTGCTAAAGTGAGCAAAGCTACCTGTATAAAGAAAACACAGTGGGTTGTGACAAGGATGACATGAAAATACAGGACAATTCTGACAATGTAGGGGCTGATTTTATAGTGTAAGAACTATTAATGCCCCTTGCTTCTTTTTTCTGCCTCTTGCTCTTGTCTTTTGGACATTTCAGTGATTGTAAGTTCTTCGGTCATGTCAGCCCCTGTCATCAACTTGAGTTACAGTAGATGGGGCAGACATGGAGTGTTTGCTATATAGAACTATCTGTTTGTTTTACTTCCTTGTGCGCTTTTTGTTCTCTGTTCTCTTGTTAATGAAGCTTTTCCTGCCCATTATTAATCCAAACTCTTGGACCTTGTGGTTAGGAAATTCCCTTAACTTCCAGCCATATGGCATTATCGTGTCTCTTTCTCTCTCTCTCTTGCTCTCTCTCTTCTCCTCTTCCCCATATTTTCTGTCAAATAAGTACTGTTTACTCATTTAGTTGCTTATCAAGTACTTATTCTTGGTTTTAAAAAAAATTAATGGTAACTGTATTTTTCTCATTTTTAGCATTATTCAAATGTTTATATTTTAATACCTTTAAACCACTTTAAAGTTTTTTCATGTTTAATTATAGTTTTAAGAAAAACTATTTTGAACAACCCCAAATATAGTGCATCTAGAAACTAATGTATATTTGATTAGACATCATTTATAGTGGAACAGTAGACTGTAGTACATGGTAATTTTTCTTTTACTATTAAGATACAATAAAACATGACTAATTTTGCTGTCAAAAATGTAAAGAATAATGATAAATGGAGTTTTTATATTTTACTTTTAAGATTGCCTGTCTTTAATAAGACAAAGCCTTAAGCCTTATGTTATAATTTTGGTTCTAAAAACCATCATTTCAGTATAAGGAATAAGTATATTTCGTCCTCCTCTTTAGTTTTTTTCTTCCTATTTATTTTTATTTTGAAAAATTTCTACACCTTCTTTGAATTCCTTGTATGAATTTTTGTTTCTTAGAAGTTAATTTGTGTGAAATGAGATTCTTCAAAACGATGAAACCTCATAGCTCTGAGAAAAGGTTTTAGGGTTTTAAATTCTAAGCAAAGCGTGACTATGGCTGACAGACTACACATTTAATTATACAGCTTCTCTTTCTTAACCACAGGCAGATTAACCTCATTGTGGATTGTCCTTCAGACCTTAGTCCTCAGGCATGGTTTCTGGTGCCCACTCCTGGAAGCCGCTGTTCCCTTTCTACCTTCTTACCAGAGCCCAAGGGCAGGCCTGGTCCCGGGGAAGCAGCAGCTTGCTGACATAAGTCAGCTGCAAAGGCTGAGGAGTGTGCCCTCAGAGAAGCACCGCCCCCCAGTCTTGTGCCAGCGCCTAGAGCCGCAGCTCCCAGGGATGCTCCTTCCCTGGAGGCAGCCCAGGAGAGGGACTCTGGCAGCGTTCTTCAGATTTGTGGCCACTGTTTCTCATTTGCTGGTTGACTGTTTTTATTTCTTAGGCTTTTGCTAGTTTTAGAAAATAGGGAAGCAGCCCTTGATTTGTGGATTAAAAGCAACATTTGAGCGATGATGCACAACAGTCCAGGAAAATGGGCGGTGGACACTTGAGGCTGAGGATGGGAGTTGACATGAGCAGGGAGAGGGAGGTGCGCGCTGCTTATCTGTGATTGTTGCTCACCTGAGTGTGGCTGATTGTGTACATCCAGCAGTTACAATTTTTAAAAATTATACTTTTACATTTATTTTATATTTTTCTCACCCCCAGTAATTTCCTTCCAAAGAAGTTCACATGTAATAAGTAGAAATTCTGTATAGGAAAAAAGCATTAAAAATACTATTATAACTGCTTCATTTGCTGGGAACCATTAAAAGTAATATAAATTAGCTTTTTCCAGAAGGATCCTTTTGTAGCAGTGTTTATGAATGTAACCCCCAGCAAAATATGGCTATATATTAGGGGAGCCAGTTTGGAGCAGAGGCCTGAAGGTCCCTGCTATGCAGCCGTGGCCACAGCTCGCAGCCCAAGCACTGTGGAGCATCCACACCTTTGATGGCAATGCAGATTGGTAGCAGGTTCCATAGGCGTACAAAACAGTATTAAAGCTCAGTGTTTTGCATATTGTTAGCATTTACAAATATTTTTGCTTTAGTATGAGGAAAGTAAGGATGGGCAAAGAAGCGATCAAAATAGCTATTGCTACAACATTTTCGAAAACAAAGTTGGGGCTGTATTTCTTTAAAAAGATAAGCCTCTAAAAATGCTTGGCAAAAAAAATATAGTGTTAAAATAGGCCAGTGATATTAATGAGAAAATGAAAGTATGTATCAGGAATAAAGTGATATTGCATAGGAGTATTGTATTTTTATGAATTTTATGCCAGTTGTTTACATGTACTATATATGTTAAATTAAAAAAAATCATGAGTAATGAGGGAAGTGTTTTTCTTGATTGTTATTTTCATTTTCACCTTGATTGTGATCAAGTTCAGCCTCGTTTTGTAGTCAGATAGCCATGAACTGGTTTGAGTCAGATGGCAGTCCTGAGAAGAGAGGGAGGGATCATAAACAGTGGGGGTAGACTCTTTGGTCTTGTTGTTGGTAGTGGTAGGTACTGAGGTTATCCAAACTTTTCCTGTATTTGTGGTAGAGTCACTTACATTCCTTTTTTATCCTTTTCATCAAGGGACACAGTAATTCATTCAAACTATATATTGGGAATAATTAAAGGGTTGCTAAAAGCTGTTTTAATGTATTTAAAACATACATTGGTATCAACATTTTCTAAATTGTAACTCAATGTGTTTACTTGATACAAACATCAACTCTTGGTTCTTTCTCTATGTAGGAAAGACATTTCAGCTCTGTTCATTCCTGTATAATTTCTTAACACAATGACACCTTGATTCTGACATCTTTGGGGAGTGAGGTGTTCTAATACAGTGGTTCTCAAAATTAGCAGGCATCAGCATCACCTGCAAGGCCTGTAGTTTGCTGGGCCCCACCACAGAGGTTTCTGTTTCAGTTGGCCTATGGTGGGGCCCCAGAACTTGGATTTCTTAACAGTTCTCAGGTGGTGTTGATGCTGTTGGTCCAGGGACCATACTTGAGAGCCTCTGCTCTAATCGATGGGAACAGACTGGCTGGATGACTGGCCTCCAGGGGGCGCTCCATTCCTGACAGCACATCCCGCCAGAGCTGGTTGATGGACACTCTACCGGGAGCTGAATTTTACCACGTACCTTCTTTGCCTGTTAAGGGCACTGCTTCAATGAAACTTGCAAGGAGCAAAGAACAGATTAGGTAATTTTTAATTGGAACACTGATATGAGTTATAGGTTATTTAAATATTTTGAAGCTGCAAACTGCCCCTTGTTTCTTTTCAGTTCAGAGATGGAAAAGGAGTGAAAATCCTTGAAATAGAACTTCCTTTTGTAGGATTACTTTGCCTAGAAGACAATAGATAAATTCAGTGATGTGTGGGGATTGCAAAAATTCATTTTCCACTTTATTACTTTCGTTTTGGCACCAGAAATCCGAATCTTCTTCCTTTATTAGAGGTCAGCCAATAATCAGCGCTAGGTCACAGATTGCTTGCTTCTCTCTTCTTCCTCCTTTTTCTCCTGCCCCCAGTTAGAAGTTTCTAATTTGAATCAATAAAATTGTTCTCAGTGCAAAAAAGGAGCTACTTTTAAACTTCATTACATTCCTGATGTGGTCTTTATTTCACAGCATTGTATCAGGACAAATACGTTTTACATTAGAAGTTGAAAAGGATATTAAGGTACAAAAAGGTCTTGAAAACTTTCCTTTTACATTTCCTCCCGTGAGAGAGATTTTAAAATTCTGAATGAGCATATAAGAGTTGAAGACTCGATTTGATTGTAGTGTAATTAAGAGATAGTTTTCTTTTTTTTTGGCAAAGAGATTAGGATAACATTGATACTGGCTTCACTTTCAAAGCAATGTTTTCTATAGTTTTCTATACACAATTATCTTTAACCCAAAACTCTAAGTATGCACAGTGTTGTCAAAATGACTTTCAAATAAATGGTAGCACTACATGGTATTCTGCTTCATAGGCATGTTCTTTTAAATGCAGCATAATATCATTTCATTAATTTTTTTAAGTACCTGGTGGGCTTTTTTCCTGTAGGCAAATTTAATATCTAGGCAGGGGGAGTTGAATTTTGCAGACTTCAGCTCGTTTGGTTGTTATGCTGATTACTCTGACACCCTTAGTCCTTATACATTTCTGAAAAAATAGATATGAAAATAAGAAATGGCCACTGCTAAGTAGATTTGGGATCATGTCATGAAAACTGGGAAAGAAAGATGCCTGCAGGCCACCTCTGGCTCTGCCCCCTGCTGCTGATATCCTGGTCTTTGCCAGGCTCCTCAGGTCTTCACTCTGGTATCCGCTTAGTGACCAGACTTCAGATTCAGAGGCCTCCCTCTTGCTCTGGAAAATTCTCTTCCCAGAAGAGTACAATTTGGTAATCCCTCGAGCCCTTTACATGGGTAACGAATTTGACCTTTTTGAACAAAGACTTCTATGGCCGTAATTCTCAAACTTCTCTGCACATTGGAATTACTTGGGGAGCTTCAAAAAATCCTGAAGCCTTTTTCCCACCCTTAGAGATGTGTGGCCTGAGATTTGGAATTTTTTTTTAATCCCCAGTAATTCTAGTGCCCTAGGGCTAACAATTTTAGAACTTGCCCTCCCTACTTCACCTCTGAATAACAAGGTTTCCACGTCTCCATCCAGTCAAAGAAGGAATGGTAAGCAAGTGTCTATCATGTACACTTTATTAATCGTGATTATTAATTTCTACATTATTTCTAATCATGGCACCTAGTGTTGAGTAGACTCTTTAGGAAAGAATTCTGTCTTCAGTTATGGATGCTGCCAATGGCAGGGCAAAGGGGGAGAGTGGCAGTGCAGGTGCCACGTATTTGTAAGCCCTGATTAGAATATGAAGAAGAAATGGGAATATAGCAGCAAAAAGAAAAAGAATAAAAATCACTTTGAAAATTTAATGTGTGAGGAATAATGTGTCTTCTCTGCAGATGCTTTTTGCCCCTCCTGGAATATGCTTTTCTTAGTATGTATTTCAGATGCAACTCAAATGTCATCTCCTCTGTAAGGCCTTTCCTGACTGCCTGCCATTTGGTTGAGTGCATTGCCTCCCACTGCCCACGTGCCTATAACCCCCATGCACACATTTATCAACATGACTTTTCCCCCACTCTATTGTGTTCTTCATAAAAAGAACATGTCTTACTCCATTCTGAATCCACAGTGCCTTCTAGCACAGTTCCTGGAAAGTAGTACTGCTTAATGATTTTTTGAAATAAACCATACTTTATTCAACAATGCAGTAAATTCCAGATGGCAATAAAAGTTTTTAGGACTAAAAGACAGTTTATGTTCTCCAGCCATGGAGAAGAAATAACAAGGAAATTCAGGACAACATCATCAGATGAGATAAATATCGTAGGGGAAAATATCCTTGTCAAACAGCTAAACAATAATTAACCTCATAGCATATCCTTGGTAGGTACTTTCAGACATGGCTAGTGACCATATGAATTTATTGGAAGGCAATATGATAAAGACACATACATCTGTCCAGGGGCGGGACTCATTGACCTGATTTCAGTGTGTGGCTCAGGATACTGTGGTGACCAGCCATAGACACATTTGCTGCTGAACAGGGAGCAAGGAACTCTGGTAATTTGATTAAAAGTCTGGGAAGAGGGATTTTCCAAAGGATGGGAAGGTACTGGTGTGTTATTATTGGGTGTAGATATTAGGGAAAACAGATGACAACAGTTGCACAATTAATATTGTCATAATAGAGACCAACTACGCTGGAATCCATAATCCATCCTTTACAATCTTAGTGAAATAGGGCATGTTTCTTGAACATCAGTTTCTTTTAAAAGAATATGGCTTTTAGGATAGTAATTAGAAACGAGAAATAGACAAAGAAACAATCACAGCAGGAAATTTTAATATACCTCTCCTTAGAAATTGAGATAATAAGCAAAAATCAGTAAGGAAATGCATGATTTGAGTAATAAAAGCAACTTGATTTAACAGTCATATGTAGAACTGCACCCAACAAGTGAAGAGTATACATTCTATTCAGGTATATGGGACATTTCCAAGAATTGACAGTAGAACATGAGCTCCTGGCCAGGCACAGTGGCTCATGCCTGTAATCCTAGCACTTTGGGAGGAAGAGGCAGGCAGATCTCTTGAGCCCAGGAGTTTGAGACCAATCTGGGCAACATGGCAAAACCCTGTGTCTACAAAAAAATTAGCCAGAGTGGTATGTGCCTGTATTGCCAGCTACTTGAGAAGTTGAGGTGAGAGGATCACTTGAGCCCAGGAGGTTGAGGCTGCAATGAGCTGTGATTGTACCACTGCACTCTGGCCTGGGCGACAAAGTGAGACCCCTGCCTCCAAAAAACCAAAAAAACTTGAACATGAGCTCCAAGAAAGCATGACTTTTTGGCCTATTTCGTTTACACCTGTAACCTAAGCATCTAGAACAGTACCTGGCACATGTGGGTGCCCAATATTTGTTAAAGGAAGTAATTGATCATACCTGGAGCCAAATGGCAATTCTTGGGGAGGAAAAAAACAACCTTAAGGACTGAAAATCCTTTAGTTGGAAATCACAAATGAAACAGTTTTAAATATTAATTCATAATTTATGATGAAAATTTGAGAAAAAATAGAACAATTATATGCTACAAATTGCATGTGGAATATGACTAAAGCAGTTCTAGAGATACTTTTTTTTTGGACTTTAGTCTAAAATGCATTCATTAAGCCAAAAATCAATAAATATCTGTATCAGGAATATAAGTAACAGAATAGTTCCCCCACCCCAATTTGAAGGGAATAATGAGCAGAAATTGATGAAACAGAAAACAGATCAACAAAGTCAAAGTTGGTGTATTAGTCCTTTTTCACACTGCTGATAAAGACATACTTGAGACTGCGCAATTTACAAAAGAGGTTTAATGGACTTAAGTTCCACATGGCTGGGGAGGCCTCACAATCATGGCCGAAGGCAAGGAGGAGGAAGACACATCTTACGTGGATGTCAGCAGACAGCTTGTGCAGGGAAACTCCCCCTTATAAAACCATCAGATCTCATGAGACTTATTCACTATCACGAGAACAGCATGGGAAAGACCTGCCTCCATGATTCAATTACCACCCTTCAGGGTCCCTCTCACAACACGTGAGAATTCAAGATGAGATTTGGGTGGGGACACAGCCAAACCATATCAGTTGGTTATTTGAAACCTTAATCAGGAGATAAGAGAGAAGGTATAAAAGATAAGGAATGGCAAATTACAGAAGCTGCAGAGAGTAAACAGGTAATGGGGATATTATAAACTGTCAATAAATTTGGACACTTTGATAAAATGTCTAAATTCCTAGAAAAAACAGAACTGATCCAAGAAGAAATAGAAATAACAGTCATCCCCTGGAAAGAAGTTGGATTAACAACTTTTTTAAATCTTCCCTTGAAGAAAACAACATATCCAGTTTTATAAGCTTTTCCTACTGAACATTCAAGATACTGATTATTCCAGTCTTACACAAACATCCAAAGAATAGCAAATAAACTCATTTCTTTATTTAGGTGACTGCAACATTAATACCAAGAGCACAGTAGGGTCAATGCAATAAAGAAAAATTGCATGTCTATTGCAATCATTAATAAAAATGTAAACAAGAACCTAGTAATTTAACAAGATATAAAAGTATCATTTCTTAAATTTATCTAAAGTTTTAATCAAAATTTCAGTAAGACTTTTTATGGAGCTTGACAAACTAAAATTTTTACAAGTAAAGAAAAGTCAGAAGAACATGAGATATGGGCATTTTTCCTATAAGATGTCAAGATTTATTACAAGACCTGTAGAAGTATTGGCACAGGAATGTTTTAAAAACTGACTAATAGAGCAGAATAGATGGCTTGGGAGCAAGTGTGCATACATTTAATAAATGAGGCTGTAATAATTGATTATCCATATCAAAAGCAATGGTATTGAGTCCCTACTTCACATTATACACAAAAGTCCCCAGATGAATCAAATATCTAAACATGAAAAGCAATATTGTAAAACTTAGAAGACAATATAGGATAATATCTTTACCTTCTCAAGGAGATTTCCTTAAAGAAGGACTTCCTGAGACCCAAAAAACACTACCTGTAAAAGATCAATAAATTCACTGTTACGGTTAATAACTTCTGTTCACTACAAGATATCAAAAAGAGTGAGGTAAGCCATGATGTGTTCAAGATATTTGCAACTTGAGTACCTGACAAAGATTAGAGAATAGAGAACTGCAAACAGTAAGAAAATGCAAAGAACCCTTTAGAAAAACTCCAAAGACATGAACATTTCACCAAAAAAGAAATATAAACAGCTCATAAACATTAAAAAAACCCAACCTATTCATAATTAGGGAAATGCAAAATGAAACAATATTTATAACTCCTAACATTGGCAAAATTTTTAAGTATTGAGAAATGTGGAACATCATGAACTCTCCTTTACTCCCAGTGGAGGGTAACCACTTTGGAAATAAATGGCATTACCTAATAAATACAACCCAGCATCTCCACTCCTTAGATACATACCCCAGAAAAATTCCTACACGTATGCACCAGGAGCATGTTTAACATGTTCACAGCTGCATTGTTCAAAAAAGCAGAAAACCCAGAAATCACTTGAATGTGTGTCTGGAGTAAATAGTAGAGAGGATAAAGACATCGAGTATAATCATCTAGTATGATCCTATGGAATATGTAAAATGGTAAAATAGCGATAGGCAACAACATGGATGACTCAGGAAGATATTGTTAAGGAAAAATATGTGTATATAATTTGCAGAATAATACATGTGATGTGAGTTTGTTTATAGTGTCTTATTTATGAGGCCAGCAGTTGCTACGTAGGATAATAAAACCACAGAGTATTAGAAGAAAGTGTTTGCCGACAAAATTGAAGCCAATATCTTCTTTTTTACAAATGAAGAAACTGAGACTCTGGGAGGGAAAGAGATTTTCCCAAGCTCACACTAATATTTAGTAGTACAGCTGAAATTAAAAAATTGGTCCCTGGGTCCTAACCAAGAAACCGCATTCACCATGGGCTTGGGGATATACTGAATCTGCTCAACACTTAGCTGTGTGAACCAGCACAAGTCAATTACGTTCTTGAAATCACATTGCCTCCTGAGTGAAATGTGTACAAGAAATAATGAGAATCTCATATGGCTGTTAGGACATTTGCATTGAAGTACTGTATGCAAAAGTTTATAGTCCAAATGTAATGAATCCTGGTTCTTTACATCCTACCCATGATAGCAGCAGACAGGGAGAAAGCTGAAATGGTATGGTGCCATCAGCCGAACACACACCCAGGCAGGAAAGCACCATACTCCAATGACAGATAAAGAGCCCAGGACCTCTCTGGGTATGCTTACACACAGGAGGGCATATAGGTGTTTCTAATTAAGTGTCTTTATGCCCCTTGACTTTTGCTTTTGATACTCATGCTGAATTTATTTCTATTTCTGTTTCCAGATGACTAGACATTCACTTTGCAAATAATTGTTGTGACTCTATGTTTGCTCCAGACACAGAGCTTTTATTGTCACCCAAAGATGCCTATGGGAACCAAAAGAATCAAGCTGAACCAAGATTTCTGCCAGAATCAATTTCCTCAAGCCAGAAGGCTTTATCATTCAGTCTGTGCAACGGATTTTTTTTTAAATAAAAACAGACTTCTTTGTTGATTTCTCCCTTTACCCCGCCTCTCCTTGCCCCTTATTTTGCCCTGACTTTGGGATCTCACCCTGCGTGGAAAAGGATTGGAGGGCATTCCTACTTTAGGGGGCAATATGTGACTCCATCTCTCAGCTCTGACTCAGGACCTTTGGCTTGGCCCTAAGCAGAGGTGTGGGAGGCTGGGGCTCTCTGATGCCCACACAGGGTCATTGGGAGGTTGGCCGAAGGATACCAAGCAGATTGCTGCCCCAAAATATGACTCCCTTGCCTATCCAGGTGTCTATAAACCTATCATTAGAAACACAGTCTTTAAGACTCATTTCCAGTACTTTCTGAAAAAGAGAGCAAATTCCCCTGAAGGCATAACATACTAAGCCCCTCTCAATCAGCAGTAGAGAGAGGCTGGGCCAGTGGAAAGGTCAAAGTCATGAGCCAGGTGCACCCGGCTTCTAATTCTAGCTTGGCCATTTACTATCTGAAATCCTGAACTTCTGCGAGCCTGTTTCCTCATCGGAAAGTATGGAATCAATACTACTGAGCTTGCATGCTTGTTGTGAGAGGCAGGGACAAGAAACCCAATGCAATGCCCAACACTCACATCAAAGGGATCCTATACATAGACACCATGATTTTCAACATCTTTGTGGAAAGTCTCCCTTCTTAAGGAGGCTGGATGGAGAAGGCACAGCATTCTTCTTAATAGACATCCACATTGATGTGGGTCTAATGCTAGGGAGTGATGTCAGGACTCTGGACACACTGTGTTCTGAAGCAGCAAACAGGCAGCAAAAAGACAGCTGAGCCAATGGGACAGGAGCAGCCTCTGTCCTGGCCAAGAACTGTCACTCAGCTCTCCACAAACCAGGAGCACCGTCCCACCCAGGATGACTTCTGGGCAAGGCAAGGCCTCCACGGGTCCCCAGAGGAACACGTGGCATATGTGAGACTCGAGTCAGACTGGAGTGCATGTTAAGGCAGGGAAGAGGAGTGATGTGAAAGGAAAGGGTTGACAGGTAGAGCCTTCAATAAGATGTGGCATGCCTTCACTGGAGAAGCCAGGAGGATTTCTGACTACCATCTCACAGGAAGAGAATGTAGACCAAGGACCATGAAGGGAACTTTGTAGGATTATGGAAACTTCATCATGTCCTTCTGATGTATTTCTGTGCTTTTCTGAAGGGTTCAGTGATTTGCCCAAAGTTATTTGAATCACCCCATAAGGGGCAGAAGCATGTCTCAAACCCTCTGGTGGAGCTTTCGTTTCAAATGGGGAGAGAAAATCTAGGTTTCATTTGAAGAACTGCCATTTAGACTCCTAGGCTGGGGAAGCACAAGACAGTACTCAGCTGAACAGCTTGCTGAGGAATATGGGCTGGGAGAAGAGCTTGGAAAAATGCGTGGCAGCCTGACTTCACCCATGAGGGTCAAGAGGTGAGCAGGGCAGAGGGGCTGAAACACTCAGAAGAGAGCAGCCCAGACTCAGACTCCTCAGACTGGGAACCAGGGGAGACTAAAAATCAGGGAAGAATGGGAAACTGGCCAGAGAGGAAATGCTGTTTACATCCAGGCCGGAGTTTCAGGCCTGGGAAGGCAAAGAAGACCTAGGGCGGCAGAGTCCAGTAGACCTTTCTGCAACAATGGCAGCGTTCTACAACTGTGCTGTCAGTAAAGTGGGCACAAGCCACAAGTTCTTATCAAACCCTTGAAATGTGGCTAGTGTGATCGAGAAATACTTTTAATTTTATTTAAATTCAATTAATTTAAATTTAAGTTTAAATAGCCACATGTGGCTAGTGGCTACCACATGGGACAGTACAGCCCTAAAGAGTCAGGCTGTTTAAATTTTGCAACAGCAGAGGACCCTTGAATTGATTATATTTGATAGAGTAAGGGTGGACAGCTCCTGAGACTCAAGTTCAGGCAGGGAGGTCTGGGACCAATTGAGATGGACGTCTGTGCTGGAAATTCTAAGAACTGACCCACATTAGCTGGAGAAAGAAGCCATTGTTCCCTCCCATGCCTCCCTGCTTCAGCCTTTGCCTTTACTGAAGACTTGGCACTTGGCATCTCTCACTCATTGGTCAGGTGACAGGTGTTACCTGCCCAGTAACTAGTCCTTACCCCCTCTTCCTTCCACTCAGCTGGGAATCCTCCTCTGTGCTCCCCTAGCACCTGCAATGCCTCACTTCTAGTCTGCTCTTTATTTGCTTGACTAGCTCTACGCTGCACATAGCAGGTCCTCAGTGAGAGTTTACTTAGGGCTGACAGGGGTCACATGATAGAGCATCACATTCTTGCTATATGACCTCAGGCGAATTAATAACTTTTGAGCTAGCTGGGGAATATTCTTCATGACAGAAATAGTAGGACTTCATTTCACATCTGTGTTCCAATTTAACATACTCAGATTGAGCACCTGCTGCATGTCAGGCACCAGGCATTATAGAATGAGTAAGTCAGACTCCCTACCATCAAGGAGATCCACAGTTAAGTTCAAGGACATACAAGTTTTATTAAAAGCAGACTGGTTAAGAGCACATGTCTTGGAGTGGGTCAGAGCAGGGTAGGCAGCCTGGCTTTGCCATGCTCTAGAGGCAAAGGCTGAGTGATCTTAGGTGATGAATTCACTTTCTCAAGTTCTGTTTCTGTGTCTGTAAAATAGCATCATGATTCTGTCCGGCCCAGGTGTGAGGTTTAAATGAGATCTTACTTTTCTTACCAAGTTACTGCCAGCTCTCAGTGCTTAATCTTCCATTTAATATAACAATAAAACCAGCTGGGGATCCTGACACAGGTCCAAGTCTCGCTCTTGCTGGCCTTTGATCACAGCAGCAGCATCTTTCCTATGGCTGTTCTCTCCTCCTCACCCTGCACCGCAGGCAGCCTGTTTTCCTTTAAGCCCTCCAAACACTGCCAACTCAAGACGCAGCATGTCACAGACTTGCACTGAGGTTTGGGACAACTGGAAGCACTGGGTCACAGTTACTGCCATCATGTTGTCATTTCTGCCACAAGGAATTTCTTGCTGACTATGCTTCTTCCCCGGCCCCTGCCCACTGCCCTTCTGTGGGGCACTGTCTCTTGCTCCCCCTCGCTTTCATTCCTCCACTGCTCAAGAGACCCCACCCCCACTTCCAGTCACTGGAAGCCACTTCTGGCCAAATCCTAGATTCCTCTGCATTATGCAGGACAATTTATTTCCTTTTTGTCTTACTTTCTTATCTAGGTTATCTGTTCCTAGGAGGCTTCCTGTTCATAATCAAATGTGTCAATTCAGTTGTTTTTCCCAGTCAGAAAATCAGAACTCTTTTTAAAGATTGATTCACTGACCATCAAGCTTAAGTAGCAGGCAGCTTCAGAAAATAACATTTCCTCACCCCCTTCCCTTTCCTTAATCCCAAATTCTCTAGGCACAAATGAGCAAATCTGTGGGCTGGGTGGGTCTGATTACTAACCATTTTTAATACCGCAAACCCCTGAGGTTTTCTTTTTGTGCATTTCTTCCCAGGTGCCATCCGGAATCATTTCTTACTGTTCCTCTTTGCTTTTTATTGAGAATAGAAATAATTCACCCACACATATGGAGATAAAATAGTCTTTTGGAGGGGAGAGGGGAGAAAGTGAATCTTCTGTCAAAATAGTCTGGGCCCCACATCTGCCCCTTTCACTCAGCCTTTGCTGAAAGTGGGCCTGGCTGGGTGGGGTAGCCGGGGGCTCTGCTGAGCACAGCGTCTGTCATTCCCAGCAGAGCCAGGGCTGTCTTCAGAGCTGGAGCACAGAAGTGACTAAGTGATGACAGAGAAATAGCTGCCAATTCCAAGTAGAACTGCCACCTCTGAGGAGGCACAGCATTGTCTTTTCAGATGGCATTTTCACAATGAGCTAGCTGCAGAGCCTGAGGCCCCGATTGGATTCCTGTCCAAATGCCCAGGCATCCACTAATTCACAGAGTTGTAGAGTTTTACGCTAGGAAGAAACAATCAAACTTGATAGTGAAGGGCAAAGTTGTAGGCCGTGAGCTTGATTTGGAGAGATAGAAAATTCCTAATGAAAATTTAAAGAATACCAAGATTTCTGGGTGAATGCTGAGGAAAGAAGAGTAGTCTTATTCTAGAGACTTCAGTATTAGCTGCTGCTCTGACACTAACATCCTGTGTGATCTTGGACAAGTTCCTTACTTCTCTGGGCTTAAGTTTTCTCTCTTATAAAGTGAGGACATAGGATGAGATTAATAATTTTCAAATTGTGTTCCAAGGATCTTGTAGACAATATGTTGGGAAAATCCTGGGATCTATAACATAGAATAGTTTGGTAATGACTTTCTCAGAAACTTTAATGTGCTAATATGCACCCTGACTTTCCAGAACAAAGTTAAAGTGTAAGTTTTCATAAGCAACTAAAAAGATTCTAATGGAAAAGATGGCATCCAAGCCACTGTGTCCTTATTGACACAAATGATGCTTGTTTTGGACATCTGGCTACACAGTTCAGGAGGGTGGGGAGAAGCTAAAGCAGGTGGAAAGACGAACAGCACAAGTCTTGAAGACGCAGAAAGTGAATCCCATGAGAAGAGAAAAGTCAATAGTAAAAGGATGTTAAATTAAAAGGAAAGATGAGTAAAAGACATTGGATTCATCTCCATTTATATAAAGGACTTTAATGAAGAATTGGAGATTGTGGAGGACCAGTTGAGAAAGAGGTACTTAAAATTTAAATATTTAATAGTAAGAAAAAAAAGTCCATATTTGTTCACGTTATTACCATTCCCAGTGCTCTTCATTCCTGTGTGTAAATACAGATTTCCATTTGGTATCATTTTCATTCTGCCTGAAGGATTTCCTTTAACATTTCTTAGAGTGTGTGTCTAGTGGTGATGAAGTCTTTCAGCTACCGTATGATTGAAAATGTCTTTATTTTGCCCTTGCTTTGGGATATATTTTTACTGGGCATAAACTCTAGGTTTACAGTTTTTTCTCAGTGCTTTAAAAATGTTTCTCCACTGTCCTTCTACTTTCACTGTTTTCAAGGAGAAATCTGCTGTAATTCTCGTCTTTGTTTCTCTGTGTGTAATACATTGTTATTCTCTGGATGCTTTCAGGATTTCCCCCTTTTCACTGGTTTTAAACAATCTGATCATATGTGTCTTGGTATAGTTTTCTTTATGTTTCATTCAGCTTCTTTGATCCATAGATATACAGTTTTCATGAAATTTGGGAAATTTTCAGTTATTATTTCTTAAAATATGTTTTCTGTCCACACCTCTCTCTCCATTATCTCTTGGAGGCTCCAACTGCATAGGTATTATGCTCTTATAATTGCCCTGCAGCTCACTGATGCTTCTTTTTTTTTCTTGCATTTTTTTTGTTATTATTATACTTTAAGTTTTAGGGTACATGTGCACAATGTACAGCTTTGTTACATATGTATACATGTGCCATGCTCGTGTGCTGCACCCATTAACTTGTCATTTAGCATTAGGTATATCTCCTAATGCTATCCCTCCCCCCTCCCCCAAACCCACAAAAGTCCCCAGAGTGTGATGTTCCCCTTCCTGTGTCCATGTGTTCTCATTGTTCAATTCCTATCTATGAGTGAGAACATGCAGTGTTTGGTTTTTTGACCTTGCGATAGTTTACTAAGAATGATGATTTCCAATTTCATCCATGTCCCTACAAAGGACATGAACTCATCATTTTTTATGGCTGCATAGTATTCCATGGTGTATATGTGCCACATTTTCTTAATCCAGTCTATCATTGTTGGACATTTGGGTTGGTTCCAAGTCTTTGCTATTGTGAATAGTGCCGCAATAAACATATGAGTGCATGTGTCTTTATAGCAGCATGATTTATAGTCCTTTGGGTATATACCCAGTAATGGGATGGCTGGGTCAAACGGTATTTCTAGTTCTAGATCCCTGAGGAATCACCACACTGACTTCCACAATGGTTGAACTAGTTTACAGTCCCACCAACAGTGTAAAAGTGTTCCTATTTCTCCACATCCTCTCCAGCACCTGTTGTTCCTGACTTTTTAATGATTACCATTCTAACTGGTGTGAGATGGTATCTCATTGTGGTTTTGATTTGCATTTGTCTGATGGCCAGTGATGATGAGCATTTTTTCATGTGTTTTTTGGCTGCATAAATGTCTTCTTTTGAGAAGTGTCTGTCCATGTCCTTTGCCCAATTTTTGATGGGGTTGTTTGTTTTTTTCTTGTAAATTTGTTTGAGTTCATTGTAGATTCTGGATATTAGCCCTTTGTCAGATGAGTAGGTTGCAAAAATTTTCTCCCATTCTGTAGGTTGCCTGTTCACTCTGATGGTAGTTTCTTTTGCTGTGCAGAAGCTCTTTAGTTTAATTAGATCCCATTTGTCAATTTTGGCTTTTGTTGCCATTTCTTTTGGTGTTTTAGACATGAAGTCCTTGCCCATGCCTATGTCCTGAATGGTAATGCTTAGGTTTTCTTCTAGGGTTTTTATGGTTTTAGGTCTAATGTTTAAGTCTTTAATCCATCTTGAATTAATTTTTGTATAAGGTGTAAGGAAGGGATCCAGTTTCAGCTTTCTACATATGGCTAGCCAGTTTTCCCAGCACCATTTATTAAATAGGGAATCCTTTCCCCATTGCTTGTTTTTCTCAGGTTTCTCAAAGATCAGATAGTTGTAGATATGCGGCGTTTTATTTCTGAGGGCTCTGTTCTGTTCCATTGATCTATATCTCTGTTTTGGTACCAGTACCATGCTGTTTTGGTTACTGTAGCCTTGCAGTATAGTTTGAAGTTAGGTAGCATGATGCCTCCAGCTTTGTTCTTTTGGCTTAGGATTGACTTGGCGATGCACTTCTTTCGTTTTGGGGGGAACAAGAGGAGGGATCCTTTTTACTTTCATTGTTTCACTTTAAACAGTTTCTATTGCTATGCCTTTCAGTTTAGTAATCTTTACTTTAGAAATTTCTAATCTGCTGTGGATGCCATCCAGAGTATTTTTTAAATCTAAGACATGATAGTTTTCATTTTCTCAAATTTCATTTGGATCTTTTAAAAATATCTTCTATGTCTCTACTCAACTTTGTGAACATACTGTAGTACAGTTACAACAAATGCGTTAATGTCCTTTTCTGCCTGCTCCATCATCAGTGTCAGTTTCTATTGATTGATTATTCTCATTCTGGGTCATATTTTTTAGCTTCTCTGCATTGCACATTTGATAACCTTTGATTAAATGTCAGACATTGTGAATTGTACCCTGCTTGGTGCTGATTATTTTTATATCTCCATAAATATCTTTGAACTTTATTCTGGGATGCAGTCAAGTTGCTCTGAAACAGTTTGATCCTTTTGGGTCTTGATTTTGTCATTGTTTATGTGGGTCCAGAGCAGTTCTCAGTCTAGGGCTATGTATTCCCTACCACTGAGGTATGACTTTCCTGAGTACTCCACCAGTCTACCACAATTTATGTTTTTTTCCAGTCTGGCTGGTTAGAACAGGCACTATTCACTATCCTGTGTTTGCCCTGGACACTGTTCTCTGATCCTTCCAGGTGATTTTCCCTCAGCCTCAGGTCATTTCCTTAAAAATATATGCTAATCAGTGCTTTGCTGAATACTTGAAAAGGAACCTCCACAGATCACTCTCTGTGCAGTTCTCACCTTTTTGGTACTCTGTCTTGCAAACTCTACCTCTCTTCATCTTTCTAGACTCTCAGCTATGTTTCTTGACTTCAAGGAATCTGTCAAGTTCTATCTAGGCTTTTTCTCCTGATGCTATAGCCTGTGAACTCTCTGAAAAAGGTATTATGGACAATGACAGGGCTCACCTCATTAGCTAGTCATCTCAGGAATCACTCTATTTGTTGTCTAATATCTAGTAACTTGAAAACATTTATTTCATATATTTTGTCTGTTTTTCTTGGTTATTTCAGTAAGAACATATATACAGTTCCTGTTACTCTATATCTGGTGGAAACAGAAGTTCTTAACTTTATATTTTAGCAGAAAGTTTAAGTTAAATGTAATTTTGTTTTTGCTACCACTTATTATAAAAACAAAAATCATTGAATTGAGAGACCCAGGAATATTGTAGGGTCCTCATGTTTGGAGATCTTAACAAAGGGGACAGATGGCATTAGTTATGGGTGATTGTTTATTAAGAATTCCTTCTGATGTATGTGACAGAAAATGAATGCAAACCTTCAGCAAACACGCACACACACACACACACACACACACACACACACATAGACAACTTTTTGGCTTAATACAACTTCTGGGAAGTCCAAGGAGTTGGGCCAAGCAGATCTATCACTCAAAGTTTGAATGACAGTTCCAAACACACATGTTCTGTTGACCTGTGAGCCAAGATAAAGAGAACAATCCTCTTCTCTACAGAAATAGTCTGATTATCCCTGTTTGAGTCATGTGAACACTTCTGGATTAATTAGTTTCCAGAGAAATAAATATTTCAATTACTCTGTGAGTTTAGTTTAATTTGGATTTTGTTCTCTAGCCTCTCTGAATTCCCTGACTCCCCACCTATCTCCATGATTGACAATCTCATTAGAATCTCATGCAGTGGGGGAGGGACCCTGGCTAGTCAAAAATTTACCTGTGAAACAACAGGGAGCTATATCAGATGATCTGGCAAGATTTCCACCTACTCTAAAAATTTATAGTTCTAAGGATCAAAATGTTATTAAAAGGATTTGAAAAATGTCAACTATAGGGCTTCAAACAATGCATTATAAATTGATTCTCAAGAATCATTTCTTAAATCTTTAATGTTTTTCTAATTTTTAAAGTAATACACGCTTATTATTAAAATTTTGGACAATTGAGAAAATCTCACTACTCAAAGAAGACCCCAATAACATTTCAGTGTATGTCTGAATTAATAAATAACTTGATTTATTTGAATTAAAAGAAAGAAGACCTTAATAAAGACTGTGAGCGCTCTTTATTTTACATGCTTATAGGTGGAGTTGAACAACAAATCCTGTCATTTATGCACCCAGTAAAAATGAGCAGATTTTTCCATTAATTCTGGCATATGTGCGCTTGTGAAAGTCTTATGCCTCTAATTACTTGCTAGTGTCTGCTCTGCCCTGTGCACTGCTCAATAAGATGCACATCATTCAGATCCAGTCATTGTTGCTGTATTCTATTGTGTCCAAGCTTCACTACAATTTGCATTTTATCATGATATATTTCAGAAGAATCTTTTTATTTATTTATTTATTTTTTAATTATTATACTTTAAGTTTTAGGGTACATGTGCACAATGTGCAGGTTAGTTACATACGTATACATGTGCCATGCTGGTGTGCTGCACCCACTAACTCATCATCTAGCATTAGGTATATCTCCCAATGCTATCCCTCCCCCGTCCCCCCACCCCACAACAGTCCCCAGAGTGTGATGTTCCCCTTCCTGTGTCCATGTGATCTCATTGTTCAATTCCCACCTATGAGTGAGAATATGCGGTGTTTGGTTTTTTGTTCTTGTGATAGTTTACTGAGAATGATGATTTCCAATTTCATCCATGTCCCTACAAAGGACATGAACTCATCATTTTTTATGGCTGCATAGTATTCCATGGTGTATATGTGCCACATTTTCTTAATCCAGTCTATCATTGTTGGACATTTGGGTTGGTTCCAAGTCTTTGCTATTGTGAATAATGCCGCAATAAACATATGAGTGCATGTGTCTTTATAGCAGCATGATTTATAGTCCTTTGGGTATATACCCAGTAATGGGATGGCTGGGTCAAACGGTATTTCTAGTTCTAGATCCCTGAGGAATCACCACACTGACTTCCACAATGGTTGAACTAGTTTACAGTCCCACCAACAGTGTAAAAGTGTTCCTATTTCTCCACATCCTCTCCAGCACCTGTTGTTTGCTGACTTTTTAATGATTGCCATTCTAACTGGTGTGAGATGGTATCTCATTGTGGTTTTGATTTGCATTTCTCTGATGGCCAGTGATGGTGAGCATTTTTTCATGTGTTTTTTGGCTGCATAAATGTCTTCTTTTGAGAAGTGTCTGTCCATGTCCTTTGCCCACTTTTTGATGGGGTTGTTTGTTTTTTTCTTGTAAATTTGTTTGAGTTCATTGTAGATTCTGGATATTAGCCCTTTGTCAGATGAGTAGGTTGCAAAAATTGTCTCCCATTTTGTAGGTTGCCTGTTCACTCTGATGGTAGTTTCTTTTGCTGTGCAGAAGCTCTTTAGTTTAATTAGATCCCATTTGTCAATTTTGGCTTTTGTTGCCATTGCTTTTGGTGTTTTAGACATGAAGTCCTTGCCCATGCCTATGTCCTGAATGGTAATGCCTAGGTTTTCTTCTAGGGTTTTTATGGTTTTAGGTCTAACATTTAAGTCTTTAATCCATCTTGAATTAATTTTTGTATAAGGTGTAAGGAAGGGATCCAGTTTCAGCTTTCTACATATGGCTAGCCAGTTTTCCCAGCACCATTTATTAAATAGGGAATCCTTTCCCCATTGCTTGTTTTTCTCAGGTTCCTCAAAGATCAGATAGCTGTAGATATGCGGCGTTATTTCTGAGGGCTCTGTTCTGTTCCATTGATCTATATCTCTGTTTTGGTACCAGTACCATGCTGTTTTGGTTACTGTAGCCTTGTAGTATAGTTTGAAGTCAGGTAGTGTGATGCCTCCAGCTTTGTTCTTTTGGCTTAGGATTGACTTGGCGATGCGGGCTCTTTTTTGGTTCCATATGAACTTTAAAGTAGTTTTTTCCAATTCTGTGAAGAAAGGCATTGGTAGCTTGATGGGGATGGCATTGAATCTGTAAATTACCTTGGGCAGTATGGCCATTTTCATGATATTGATTCTTCCTACCCATGAGCATGGAATGTTCTTCCATTTCTTTGTATCCTCTTTTATTTCCTTGAGCAGTGGTTTGTAGTTCTTCTTGAAGAGGTCCTTCACATCCCTTGTAAGTTGGATTCCTAGGTATTTTATTCTCTTTGAAGCAATCGTGAATGGGAGTTCACTCATGATTTGGCTCTCTGTTTGTCTAGGAATGCTTGTGATTTTTGCACATTGATTTTGTATCCTGAGACTTTGCTGAAGTTGCTTATCAGCTTAAGGAGATTTTGGGCTGAGACAATGGGGTTTTCTAGATATACAGTCATGTCATCTGCAAACAGGGACAATTTGACTTCCTCTTTTCCTAATTGAATACTCTTTATTTCCTTCTCCTGCCTAATTGCCCTGGCCAGAACTTCCAACACTATGTTGAATAGGAGTGGTGAGAGAGGGCATCCCTGTCTTGTGCCAGTTTTCAAAGGGAATGCTTCCAGTTTTTGCCCATTCAGTATGATATTGGCTGTGGGTTTGTCATTGATAGCTCTTATTATTTTGAAATATGTCCCATCAATACCTAATTTATTGAGAGTTTTTAGCATGAAGGGTTGTTGAATTTTGTCAAAGGCCTTTTCTGCATCTATTGAGATAATCATGTGGTTTTTGTCTTTGGCTCTGTTTATATGCTGGATTATATTTATTGATTTGTGTATATTGACCCAGCCTTGCATCCCAGGGATGAAGCCCACTTGATCATGGTGGATAAGCTTTTTGATGTGCTGCTGGATTCGGTTTGCCAGTATTGTATTGAGGATTTTTGCATCAATGTTCATCAAGGATATTGGTCTAAAATTCTCTTTTTTGGTTGTGTCTCTGCCCGGCTTTGGTATCAGAATGATGCTGGCCTCATAAAATGAGTTAGGGAGGATTCCCTCTTTTTCTGTTGATTGGAATAGTTTCAGAAGGAATGGTACCAGTTCCTCCTTGTACCTCTGGTAGAATTCGGCTGTGAATCCATCTGGTCCTGGATTCTTTTTGGTTGGTAAGCTATTGATTATTGCCACAATTTCAGAGCCTGTTATTGGTCTATTCAGAGATTCAACTTCTTCCTGGTTTAGTCTTGGGAGAGTGTATGTGTCAAGGAATTTATCCATTTCTTCTAGATTTTCTAGTTTGTTTGTGTAGAGGTGTTTGTAGTATTCTCTGATGGTAGTTTGTATTTCTGTGGGATCGGTGGTGATATCCCCTTTATCATTTTTTATTGCATCTATTTGATTCTTCTCTCTTTTTTTCTTCATTAGTCTTGCTAGTGGTCTATCAATTTTGTTGATCCTTTTGAAAAACCAGCTCCTGGATTCATTAATTTTTTGAAGGGTTTTTTGTGTCTCTATCTCCTTTAGTTCTGCTCTGATTTTAGTTATTTCTTGCCTCTGCTAGCTTTTGAATGTGTTTGCTCTTTCTTTTCTAGTTCTTTTAATTGTGATGTTAGGGTGTCAATTTTGGATCTTTCCTGCTTTCTCTTGTGGGCATTTAGTGCTATAAATTTCCCTCTACACACTGCTTTGAATGCGTCCCAGAGATTCTGGTATGTTGTGTCTTTGTTCTCTTGGTTTCAAAGAACATCTTTGTTTCTGCCTTCATTTCATTATGTACCCAGTAGTCATTCAGGAGCAGGTTGTTCAGTTTCCATGTAGTTGAGCGGTTTTGAGTGAGATTCTTAATCCTGAGTTCTAGTTTGATTGCACTGTGGTCTGAGAGATAGTTTGTTATAATTTCTGTTCTTTTACATTTGCTGAGGAGAGCTTTACTTCCAAGTATGTGGTCAATTTTGGAATAGGTGTGGTGTGGTGCTGAAGAAAATGTATATTCTGTTGATTTGGGGTGGAGAGTTCTGTAGATGCCTATTAGGTCCACTTGGTGCAGAGCTGAGTTCAATTCCTGGGTATCCTTTTTGACTTTCTGTCTTGTTGATCTGTCTAATGTTGACAGTGGGGTGTTAAAGTCTCCCATTATTAATGTGTGGGAGTCTAAGTCTCTTTGTAGGTCACTCAGGACTTGCTTTATGAATCTGGGTGCTCCTGTATTGGGTGCATATATATTTAGGATAGTTAGCTCTTCTTGTTGAATTGATCCCTTTACCATTATGTAATGGCCTTCTTTGTCTCTTTTAATCTTTGTTGGTTTAAAGTCTGTTTTATCAGAGACTAGGATTGCAACCCCTGCCTTTTTTTGTTTTCCGTTTGCTTGGTAGATCTTCCTCCATCCTTTTGTTTTGAGCCTATATGTGTCTCTGCACGTGAGATGGGTTTCCTGAATACAGCACACTGATGGGTCTTGACTCTTTATCTAATTTGCCAGTCTGTGTCTTTTAATTGGAGCATTTAGTCCATTTACATTTAAAGTTAATAGTGTTATGTGTGAATTTGATCCTGTCATTATGATGTTAGCTGGTTATTTTGCTCGTTAGTTGATGCAGTTTCTTCCTAGTCTTGATGGTCGTTACATTTTGGCATGATTTTGCAGTGGCTGGTACCAGTTGTTCCTTTCCATGTTTAGCACTTCCTTCAGGAGCTCTTTTAGGGCAGGCCTGGTGGTGACAAAATCTCTCAGCATTTGCTTGTCTCTAAAGGATTTTATTTCTCCTTCACTTATGAAGCTTAGTTTGGCTGGATATGAAATTCTGGGTTGAAAATTCTTTTCTTTAAGAATGTTGAATATTGGCCCCCACTCTCTTCTGGCTTGTAGGGTTTCTGCCGAGAGATCCGCTGTTAGTCTGATGGGCTTCCCTTTGAGGGTAACCCGACCTTTCTCTCTGGCTGCCCTTAACATTTTTTCCTTCATTTCAACTTTGGTGAATCTGACAATTATGTGTCTTGGAGTTGCTCTTCTCGAGGAGTATCTTTGTGGCGTTCTCTGTATTTCCTGAATCTGAACGTTGGCCTGCCTTGCTAGATTGGGGAAGTTCTCCTGGATAATATCCTGCAGAGTGTTTTCCAACTTGGTTCCATTCTCCCCATCACTTTCAGGTACACCAATCAGACGTAGATTTGGTCTTTTCACATAGTCCCATATTTCTTGGAGGCTTTGCTCGTTTCTTTTTATTCTTTTTTCTCTAAAGTTTTCTTCTCGCTTCATTTCATTCATTTCATCTTCCATTGCTGATACCCTTTCTTCCAGTTGATCGCATCGGCTCCTGAGGCTTCTGCATTTTTCATGTAGTTCTCGAGCCTTGGTTTTCAGCTCCATCAGCTCCTTTAAGCACTTCTCTGTATTGGTTATTCTAGTTATACATTCTTCTAAATTTTTTTCAAAGTTTTCAACTTCTTTGCCTTTGGTTTGAATGTCCTCCCGTAGCTCAGAGTAATTTGATTGTCTGAAGCCTTCTTCTCTCAGCTCGTCAAAGTCGTTCTCCGTCCAGCTTTGTTCCGTTGCTGGTGAGGAGCTGCGTTCCTTTGGAGGAGGAGAGGCGCTCTGCTTTTTAGAGTTTCCAGTTTTTCTGTTCTGTTTTTTCCCCATCTTTGTGGTTTTATCTACTTTTGATCTTTGATGATGGTGATGTACAGATGGATTTTTGGTGTGGATGTCCTTTCTGTTTGTTAGTTTTCCTTCTAACAGACAGGACCCTCAGCTGCAGGTCTGTTGGAATACCCTGCCGTGTGAGGTGTCAGTGTGCCCCTGCTGGAGGGTGCCTCCCAGTTAGGCTGCTTGGGGGTCAGGGGTCAGGTACCCACTTGAGGAGGCAGTCTGCCGGTTCTCAGATCTCCAGCTGCGTACTGGGAGAACCACTGCTCTCTTCAAAGCCGTCAGACAGGGACATTTAAGTCTGCAGAGGTTACTGCTGTCTTTTTGTTTGTCTGTGCCCTGCCCCCAGAGGTGGAGACTACAGAGGCAAGCAGGCCTCCTTGAGCTGTGGTGGGCTCCACCCAGTTCGAGCTTCCCGGCTGCTTTGTTCACCTGAGCAAGCCTGTGCAATGTTGGGTGCCCCTCCCCCAGCCTCGCTGCCGCCTTGCAGTTTGATCTCAGACTGCTGTGCTAGCAATCAGCGAGACTCCGTGGGGTAGGACCCTCCGAGCCAGGTGCGGGATATAATCTGGTGGTACGCCGTTTTGTAAGCCCGTCGGAAAAGCGCAGTATTCGGGTGGGAGTGACCCGATTCTCCAGGTGCCGTCCTTCACCCGTTTCTTTGATTAGGAAAGGGAACTCCCTGACCCCTTGCGCTTCCTGAGTGAGGCGATGCCTCGCCCTGCTTAGGCTCGCGCACGGTGCGCGCACCCACTGACCTGCGCCCACTGTCTGGCACTCCCTAGTGAGATGAACCCGGTACCTCAGATGGAAATGCAGAAATCACCCGTCTTCTGCGTCGCTCAGGCTGGGAGCTGTAGACCAGAGCTGTTCCTATTCGGGCATCTTGGCTCCTCCCCGCTTTCAGAAGAATCTTATATACATGCAGGAGTGGTGAGGTATGTGTTGAATGAAACCCATGGTTAATTTTGTGTTGATTCTACTCATCTATTCCTGCATGCATCCTTCATTTACTCATGTATTCAATTACTTTTTATGGAATTCATACTATGTTCCAGGGACTTACAGGGTAGTTGAGAAGTAAATGTGAACAAAACAGACATAATTTATTTCTGCTCATAGCTTGACATTTAGTGGAAGATATGGAAAAAAATAAACAAGTCCACGAAATAATTGCAAACTTCCATAAGTGCTATGAAGGAAGCAGAGTGTTGAGACTTACAGAATTTAGACAAGGCAAGGTTCTTCTCTGCTTTAAACCTCCCAGAGCTCCCCATGGGCTGGGTAATGCAGTTCCAAGTCCTTAGCATGGCATTCAAGGCTCTTTAAAACATCACATCTTGCCTGATGTTCCCGGCCACTGATGCTCTCAATACTCCAGGCACAACTAATTACTGGCCACTCCCTGGACATGTGTGTTGTGCCAAGGAGCTCAGATATTGACCTGTCAGTGATAGGAGTGGTTCTAAGCATGATGGTGACACAATCTCATCCAATGTACACTGTCGATGGTAATTCTGCAGAGTGTGTAAGAGGGCCTGGTCAGGGAGAGACACGAGAACCTGTTAGGAAGCATCAGTTAGGGCTTCAGCAAGAGGATGGCATGGCCTGAAATGTGAGTGGGAAGGATAGATCTATGAGATACCGAAGTGATCCATTCTTAATACTCTGTCATGGATTGGCTGTGAGGGCGAGGAGAAGGGGATAGCAAATGACTTCCAACTCCTAGCCTTGAACAGGTTGTTGAGCTGCAGACTGAGGCAGTAAAAGTGGCAGAAAAGTGGTCTTAAGATGGTAATACTCCTTTAATCAGTGTATAAATTCTCCCAGAGAAAAGTAAGAAATAGTTTTTTTTCCTCTGGGACTGGTTAGAATCTTACGAGAAAACTATCCAGACTTCTTGCCAGTGGTGCTTGCACATCAAAGGGCGTGGCAAGAGGATTATGTTACGAGCCTCTCATCTGGGGGTTCACGACTGTGATCTGCAGGCTGCAACTTGCTTGTAGATAAAGAGCTAATTTTTCTTGCATTTTTAAACCAGGAAGTTCTCCATAGAATTCCTACTTTTCATATTTGAAAAAACAAGATGATTTGCTAGTGTTCTGACATGACAACAGTTGGCTGAAGTTGAGGGGTCACCTTCTTCTTACAAAGGCGTCTGCAGCTTTGGTTCACCACAAACCTCACCACTCCCTAATGTCTATCTCGACTGCAGACTGAGTCCTCAGTGACTGCCATGTTTCAGGGCCCCTGTGTGATAAGTGCAGGGACATGGAAGTCTGAGACCACAGAGCACATGGGTGATTACGGCTGTAAACACACAATCAATCTTCCCTAATTGCCAAGGAGGCTTGAATTTCCTCCAAGGTGCTCCACCAGCTGCCTTTCCCCTGGTAGTGCTCCCAGGCCATAGCTGCTCTCCCTACTCCCGTGTCTCTCCCCAACCAGTGTGTGCTGGTGTCTTGGTTGGATTGAACTCAACACTGCACCCTGTACCAAGGAGTCCTGCAGGTTAACTGCAGCCTATCAACTATTTAAGCACTATTAACAGTAATATTTTCCATATTAACAGGAACAAGTATCAACCACTCATTATATTCTAGGCACTCTTCCAAGGGCTTTGCATGTATACAGGACTCCTTGAATGAACCTGGGGTAGACACATTATTCCCGTCTTATAGATGTGGAAACACACAGAGAAGTACCTTATGCAAGGTTACATGGTGTGTGATTAGTGAGAAAGAGGATGCTAGATTAAACCCTTGGCAGTACTGAAGTATCTCTTGACGTGTGCTATTGTTTTTAAATACAATACTGTTATTTTTAAATAAAAATTATTCCTGTTTTGTTTTACTGATTTTTCAAGTTTAGCGATGCATACTTGAAATCTTCCAATGGTCACATCAATCTGAAATCACTGATTCATTCTAAATGGTGTGCCATATGGAGCTTTCCTGTCCTGTGTCTTTGTGCACGTGTTTCTCTCACAAGAATTGTGGTTCCCTCCTCCTCCTCCTCCCATGCAAGTCCTGAGTCACATGTCCTCTGTTCTGGGCAGCTTCTGTAGCAATTTGCATATGTCTTTTACAGGTGGCATGGCCACATTTTCTGAGACAGTCTTGATTTTAAATATTTGGCCCCATTGTTATACTTTCTCATAACTTGGAGCCAGATTGTGGATCCTTGATTCAGAATATGTGACTATGAAATGTTTATAGCCCTTTCTATCTGTATTGAGGTTTTACAAAATTATGTACAAGTCTCCCCTGTGAGACAGTGAAGTCTTTCAGAGCAGAAATCATGTTTTTCTCATTGCACATTGCAGCATGGAGCCCAGCTTGGGACTTACACATAAGACAAATGGTATGGAGAATATTGCATGAAGTGGCAAAAAAAAAAAAAAAAAGGAGAAAATCTTGTACCTTTCTAGATCTCAGTTCTATGTCCTTTTCTTTACTTAATAGCTCATACGGTTTCCTTTTTCTCTCTCCCTTCAAACCAGCTTGGTTGAAATGATGGAAACTCACTTTGAGGCTGATTACAGCTTTGTGTGTTACCTCCCTAGGCACTTAATTTTCAACCAGCATCAAAGGCCTCAACCAGAAGCACCCATATATAAAAGGGCAGTGACCAGAATCCCAAGTGGGTGAGGGAAAGTGTGTAGTAAATGCATAACCATGCTGAGTTTAGAGCAGCGGTTCTGAGCCAGGGGTGATTTTTTTTCCATCCCTCCTCTTCCACTCCCCCGTCCTGGGCAATGTCTGGAGACATTTTTGGTTGTTACAACTTGGGAAGGGGAAGATCTACTGGCATTTAGTGGGTAGCGGTGAGGGATCCTACTGCATATCCTACAATTCACAGAATAGCCCCACAACAAAATATTTCCCAGACAAAAATGGAAATATTGCTGAAACCAAGAAACCCAGGTTAAGAGAGTATATCGGTTTCCTGTGTGCTGCTTCCAGTGCTGCTGTCACAGTGTTCCACAAACACAGTGGCTTAAAACAATACAAAGTTATCATCTTACAGTTCTGGAGGGCAGAGTCTGAAATGGGTCTCTCTGGGCTAAAATCAAGGTATCAGCAGGCTGCATTCCTTCTGGAGGTTCTGAGGAGAATCCATTCCCTGCCTTTCTTTGCTTCCAGAGGCCACCATATTCCTTGGCTTGTGGCTCCAGTCCTCCATCTTCAAAACCAGCAAAGTCTGCCAAGTCCATCTTAGGCTGGTGTCTTTCTGGTTCTCCCTTATCTACCTCCTTCTTCCACTTACTAGGACCCTTGGGATTACATTGGGTCTACCCAGGTAACCCAGGATAATTTCTTTGTTTTCAAGTCACCTGATTAGCTGTCTTCATCCTATTTGCACCCATAATTTCCTTTTGCTGTGTAACCAGCATGTTCACAGTGTCTGAGGATTAGGATGTGAACATTCTGGTGTGCCACTACTTTGCCTACCGCAGAGGATCTGCCCTGGTTAGGCAAGTATTGGCCACAACTCAATCCTAAATCAAGCCAGTAAATACATTTATCAAGCCGGTAAATACATTTGATTTACGATTGAGTTGTGGCCAATAGTTTACTTGACCAATGTTCAAGTCATTTCAATAATGCCCAATTACTATAATGTGATTTCACCAGAATTAAGTGTAGACCGCTCAAACTATGTAATTGATTTCATTTCCTTTCAATTAGAGTTACTCACTGACCAAGGCCTGCCACATGACCTCCGATGGCATTGTTTTCTGAGCTGTAGAAGCTGTTAACAGCTCTGAGCTCAGCCACGCCTGCCTCTCACTGTGATTACCAAGTGAGAGGCTTATACACAAGGATTAATAGCCAAATGGAAAGGAATATGCCTATTAATTAAGTGCCAGATGCAACGACTTCCAACGCAGAGATAGGAGAGCCCAGAGAGACTTCGCTCTCCTCTGAAATTTTAAGACACCAGCCTAAATCTGCCCCTCAGTTACAGGCAGAGTGGGGGTGGAGAGAAAGAGCCCTGACTAGTCTCCCCTGAGAAGGAGGCTCAACCAGGTGTGCTTACCAAAGGGAACAGGGACATGCATGAGTGAGTGCACAGGAACATGGACCTTTAAGGCCCAGTAACTCGGCCCAGTAACCTGGCCCACTAATAAAACATGGCCAGGCGGATGCCCTGGGCTCTGACCAATCAACGATCACTAGACAGTGCTCCCTTAACCCAACTTAGACAATTAGGTGAAAAAAAGACTGGCTGACATGGATTTAGGTAGCCCCAGATTGCACTCTTAGGAGGCATGCAGTAATTTGGGGGCCTTGGGCAAAAGGATCATCCACATAACCTCTGCCTCAGACAACTGCCTTCTACAGCCTGCTGGGGCCTGCACTGGGGCTCCCCACTGCCATCCTAAAGCCTGGTGTTCCAGCCCACTTCAAACAGGGTAGGTGCCTACAAACTAATATTCCCTGGAACATACAATGGTCCTTATTTTAGGAGCACGGTAGGAACACAGCTATTAGGTTGGTGCAAAAGTAATTGAGGTCTTTGCCATTACTTTTCATGGCAAAAACCACAATTACTTTTGCACCAACCTAATACAATTGCAGGCATGCTCCAACTCTTGACAGGAAGACTCTAGCGCTGCCTTGGCATGCAATGGAGACTGTGGTGCTGTTGTCCTTGACCTTGGGGTGTCACGTGAGCCCAGATAAATATTCTCCTTTAGAAATGGCAATATGATTTATTTGAAAGTGTACAATGAACATGTGCTTCAAATGAAAGAATCAGGATGATACTGTCAGGGCTCAGCCTGTTAGGCTAATGCTCTGCAGGGAGGTAGCTTGGAAATTGCTTTTAGCATGAGAATGGGCCACACAGAGTAAAGAAAGAGTGCTTGCTGGCAGCCAGAGGTCTCCTGTCTCTTCACCTTCAATGTGCATGTGCCTAGGATGCCAGCTACAGTTGGCAGGGCTGTCGTTAGTGAATGTTGTTGCTGGATGCTGACCTCACGGGCTGTCTGGGCCTGGAGAGTTGGCTTCCTTTCATTTGCTATTGGCCTGAACTCGCTGTCCCTGGCTCTCTCTGCTCTATCTAGGTGTAAGCTAAGAAAGAAGAGCAGACTCCCTAGTGCCCCCTACAGTACAGAGTGAGGCAAGTCATGGTTGAATTAAGAGGTGTGGTGATTGGTTGAGTAGTTGTGCCTCACTGGCACTAACAAGTGCATTACTGCCAACCTGGAGGAGGATTTCAGAGAGGTCTGGCCTGGAGAGAAGGGGTGAGGCCTCAGGAGGGGATGACATCGCCATATACAGAGCTGACCAGCAGCATATCTTGCCCCCTGAAGTTTTGGCAAAGGCCCAAAGTCTCCCATGTGCACCCATCAACCCCCCTTCACTATATGGGAGTGTATTAGTTTCCTATTACTGCTGTAAAACAACTATCACAAACTTAGCGACTTCAAGCCACACAACTCTATTCTTTTACAGTTCTGGAAGTCAGAAGAAAGCAAGGTGTCAGTGGGGCTGTGTTCCTTCTAGATGCTTCAGGGAGAATGTATTTCTTCATCTTTTTCAAATTCTAGAAGCACCTGATTCCTTGGCTCAGGGCCCCCTCCCCACCTCACTCCGACCTCCTGCTTCTGTTGTCATATCTCCTACTTATTCTGATCTTGCTTCCCTCTTATGAGGACCCTTGTGGTGACCTTGGGCCCACCTGGATAACCAAGCATACTCTTCCCAGTCCATGGTCCTTACTTTAATCATATCAGCAAAGTCCCTTTTATCATGTAAGATAACAGGTTCCTAGATTAGTGCGTGGACTTCTTTTGGGGGGCTCTTACTCACCCTGCAACAGGGGACCACAGCTGGTGGTGTGTGATGGGAGACCACAGCACACCTGCACAATTTGGCCCTGCAATGGCATCTCATCTGACCCACACTGGAAACCAAATCAAATGCCAGCACCAGCACCCCCTTGCTAGTCTAGGCCCACATTAGCAGCTCTCTAAGTTCTCCCTTGCGCTTGAATCTGCTCATCTTCACCGTCCTGGCCAAGTGACCTTCCTGCTCTTTTTCTCCTTCTTACTTTTTTCTTAATGCCCAGAATGGTTGTGTTATGCCATTTCCCTGATTCTGTTTAACCTTGGATTCTCTTATCCATGCTCTGCCCCTCCTCCCTGTGGCCCCACCACAATTGAACATTTCCCCAGAAAGCTCTCCATGGTCCTACAAATTCTGTAAAGTGTGAGCATTTCAATGCTCACATGGAAAGTCACAAGTATGTGATCTCTGGAAGCCAAGGACAAAACTTGAGGACAGCAAGTGTGAATGGGGATGAGGTCACAATGCTTCCTTCTGTCTTTTAAGCAGAGCATCATGCAGGATGAGCAGGGGCAGAGAAGAAATGGAGCACCTTGAATGACGTGGGGACAGAAAGTAGAGAGCTTTGCCATAGGCTAGTGTGCCCCAAAGGGAAATCTGCTTAGGAAAGACTTGAAAATAAATGAGGAACATTCAGTGGGAATCGGGGGAAGATGCTGATGAGTGACTCTGCTCAGAGGTCTTGTCTCTTTGACACAGACAATAATTGCTTAAGACATCCGGGGACACCCCCAGAAAGCAGGTTATGAATCCAAGACAAGAGGACCAACCAGAAAATAAAGACCAGGAGACTGGGAGGGTGAGCTTGGATTGGAACGAAAGGTGGTAGCAGCAGGGACAGACCAAAGAAAGGAAGCAAACACAAACATCTGGCTGCTGTGTGAGACACTAGGCTGTCATGAACAAGCTGTGTAATTGGAAATTGTCTACCTCAACAGTCAGTCCTTTTCTCAAATGACATAAAAATGATTTAGCTAGAGGTGGCTGAAAAAGAATTAATTCCCTGGGAAAAAGGAAAGAATAGATTCTGAAGCATGGCAGGGTGAATGCCAGGTGGCCAGGGTTTGGGGAGTGACTGAGGGGTAAGGGATGGGGTCCCTGTGTGTGTAATGATCACTCCAGGGGCCTTCTGGAAAAGAGAGCAATAGGGCTATGGCTGAAGGAGCACATGGGGCAAAAATGGTGTCTGTTTTGTTTGGAGGCTGCTTGAGTGCCGTTGGAAATGACCCAGCACCGGCAGGTGATGACAAAGCCAGGGAGAGGAGATGGCCTGGACCTAGCCTTTGCTCTAGCACCGGCTGTTTCCTTTAGCAGAAGCCAAAGATTCCTGACTCCTACCCTCCAAGGATTCGCTTGATTCCAATCACTGTCTCCATCCTTTTGTTCATTTTCTGCTCCCCCATTTCTGTTCTAAACACTCTCATACCAGAGGGTCTGACCCACCATTAGGCACAGACGCCTGGGTGGGTGGCCAAGGAGGTGGAGAGAAGTGTCAGGGAAGGGAAGCATGAGGGCAGGGTTGAGTTGAGTCAGGGATGGGAGATGAAACAATAGGCAATGAAAAAATGGGTGGGGAGAAAGTGGTTTTGGGGGCTTAGGGAGTATGGGTTATGGGTCAAGCTGGCAGGGGGTGCAGGGGACAGAAGCTGTGAATAGGCATGAGGAACAGGGAATTCACAACCAGCCTGAGAGTGAAGCAGAGAGGAGCCAGTTCCTCCCACCTTGAAGAAGTAAGGCCCTAAATCACTCAGCCCCTCAGACAGCACCCCCAGAGGTGCATTGGCTGCAGCCTTCACAGGGCCCCCAGGGCAAATTCTTCCATTTGCTTTCTTGTTCTCCTCTGGATCAGTTCCAAATGTTTACCCCCTCCCCACTTCCACCCCACTCTGTCCCTTTCTCAACACAGACTGTACTTAAAAAAAAAATCCAAAAATCCTGTCTGAATGTGGTGGCTGTTGCCTGTAATCCCAGCACCTTGGAAAGCTAGCTTTGAGCCTGGGAGTTTGAGACCAGCCTGGGTAATAGGATGAAACCTGGTCTCTACAAAACATAGAAAAAAATTAGCTGGGCATGGTGGTTCACACCTATAGTCCCAGCTACTTGGCAGGATGAGGTGGGAAGATCACCTGAGCCTGGGAGGTTGAGGCTTCGGTGAACTGTGATTGCACCACTGCACTGCAGCCCGGGCAATAGAGTGAGACCCTGTCTCAAAAATTAAAATCCCAATACAAAAAATCCCTTGAGAAATGATCTCCCTCAGCTTTCTTTATGAATTAATTTGCATCGAAATCACCCTAACCCTTCCTTTTGGTGCAGAAACTAAAATACATCCCAGTTTAAGATCTGTGCTCTCCAAGAGGCTTGATCCCCTCTTCTTCCTCCCTTGCCCCAACACTTTATCCTGACACTCATATGTCATCAAAGTCTCCCAGGAGTCTCCGTTAAGTTGTAGGCTGCTGAAGTCTCCTCTGCCCTTGACTGTGGTCCATCTCTCTCTGGTGACATCCCCTTTCTCCTTCATTCTCTGCCACGCATCTTTTAGAAGTTGTTTACTTTCTCATCTACCACTCAACCCGAACCAGGGCCACTTGCCTTCTGCTCCCTTGACTGCTAACACCACCACTGATCACATCTACCATCTTTAATCTGTGGACTTTTCATGCTGTATCTTCCCAGGTTTCTGCCCTTTTTACTACATTGACCACGCTCATCTTCTTGACGCTATGCTGCAGCTTCCAAGACATCCTACACTCCTAGTGCTGCCCTTTCAGCTTTGCCTGTCGCTTTCCCGTCTCTTGCCTGGGCTCCTCTGCCCACCACATTCATGATGATGTTGCTCAGGGTTCTCCCCTTGACACTTGCTTTTTCCAGTCTTTGCCTACTCTCTGTGATCTTAAGGGCCTCCATGCTGTTGACTCCCAAGCATTTATCTTTGTGTATTGCATCTCCGTGAGCTTTAGATTTACACACTCAACTGTCTGCTGAACACATTTGCATATTCCTTAAGCTTCCCCAAATCAGCATGTCAAAAACTGAATTCATAAACTCCCTTTATTCCCCAAACTGGCTTTTATTACTCATTTTTGCTGCAAAATCACCATCCACCTAAGTTTCTCCCACTATGTTGTCCCCCCAACATCCAACCAGTCACCAGATCTTGCCACCTTTGTCTCTCGTATATTTCTGGCAGCTGTCACCTCTCTCGCACCCTATTTCTGTGGTCCTGGTTAGGCTCAGGATCCATGGCCTCTCACTGGGGCCATGACAGTGGCCTCTCACTTAGGGTCCTGTGTGGCTGGCTCCTGCAGGCTTCTCCAGACTGCAAGTCTATAGAGCAGATCTTGCCTTCTGTGCCCCAGTGGCTTTAAGGGGGCTGTCTTTACTGTTCCCACTTTTATGGCTGGTAATTCCCACCACACACCTTGTTTCAGTGCCTATTCATTTGCTAATTGGTTTCCTTATGTTGATGTATTAGTTTGCTAATGCTGCTGTACAAAATACCACAAACTGACTGGCTTAAAACAATAGATGTGTATTCCCAAACAGTTCTGGAGAGTAGGATTCTGAAATCAAGGTGTCAGCAGAGCTGTATGAGTCCATTCTTGCACTGCTATAAAGAAATACCTTAAACTGGGTAATTTATAAAGAAGAGGTTTAATTGGCTCATGGTTCCATTGGCTGTTCAGGAAGCATAGTGGCTTCTGCTTTTGGGGAGGCCTCAGGAAACTTACAATCATGCAAGAAGGTGAAGGGGAAGCAGGCACGTCTTACATGGCCAGAGCAGGAGCAAGAGAGAGAGGTGGGAGGTACCACAAACTTTTAAACAAAGAGATCTTGTGATAACTCACTCACTATACCATAACAAAAGGGATGGCTCTAAATCATTAATGAGAACTCCACCTCCATGATCAAATCACCTCCCACCAGACCCCACCTCCAACACTGGGAATTACAGTTAGATTTGAGATTTGGACAGGGTCATATATCTAGACCATATGATTCCATGCTGCCCCCTCCCAAATTTTATGTCCTTCTCAAATTTCAAAATACAATCCTGCCTTCCCAACAGTCCCCGAAAGTCTTAACTTATTCCAACATTAACTCAAAAGTCCAAAGTTCGAAGTGTCATCTGAGACAAGGCTAGTCATTTCCATCTATGATCCTGTAAAATAAAAAAACAAATTAGTTACTCCCAAGATACAGTGGGGGTACAGGCATTGGGTAAATACTCCCAAAAGGGAGAATGTGGTCAAAATAAAAGGGCTACAGACCCCATGCAAGTCCAAAACCCAGCAGGTCAGTCATTAAACCTCAAAGCTCCAAAATAATCTCCTTCGACCCCACGTCTCACATCCAGGGCACACTGGTGCAAGGAATGGACTCCCTCCCAAGGCCTTGGGCAGCTCCAATCCTGTGGCATTGCACGGTTCAGCGTCTGCGGCTGCTCTCAAGAGCTGATGTTGAGTGCCTGCAGCTTTTGCAGGTAGAGGGTGCAATCTGCTGGTGAATCTATCATTCTGGGGTCTGGAGGATGGTGACCCTCTGCTCACAGCTCCACTTGGTAGTGCCCCGCTACCCAACCCCACATTTCCTCTCTGCACTACCCTAGTAGAGGTTCTCCATGAGGCTCTGCCCCTGGAGCAGGCTTCTGCCTGGACATCAAGGCTTTTCCATACATCCTCTGAAATCCAGGCAGAGGTTCCCACACCTCAATTCTTGCACTGTGTGCCCCTGCAGGCTTAACACTATGTGAAAGCTTCTAAGGCTTATGGTTTGCACCCTCTGGAGCAGCCACCTAAGCTATAAATGGGTCCCTTTGAGCTACAGCTGGAGCTGGACTGGCTGGGATGCAGGGAGCAGTGTCTGGAGGCTGTGTTGGGCAGTGAGGCCCTGGGCCTGGACCAAAAAACCATTCAGTCCTCCTAGTCCTCTGGGCCTGTGATGGGAGGGGCTGGCACAATGTTCTCTGAAGTGCCTTCAAAGCCTTCTCCCCATTGTCCTGGCTGTCAGTGCTTGGTTCCTCTTATGTAAATTTCTGCATCCAGCTTAAATTCATTCCCAGAAAAGAGGTTCTTCTTTTCTACCACATGGCCAGGCTGAAAATTTTACACTTTTACACTCTGCTTCTCTTTTAAATATAAGTTCCAGTTTCAGGTCATTTCTTTGCTCATGCATGTGAGCATAGGCTGTTTGAAGCAGTTAGGTCATATCTTGAATACTTTGTTGGTTAGAAATTTTTTCTGCCAGATACCCTAAATCATCACTCTCAAGTTCAAGGTCCCACAGATCCTTAGCTCTTTGCTAACACATAACAAAAGTGACATTTTCTCCAGTTGCCAATATATTCCTCATCTCTGTCTGAGTCCTGGGCCTCATTGTCCATATCACTATGAGTATTTTGGTCACAACCATTCAGGAAGTCTCTAGGAAGTTTAAACTTTCCCTCATCTTTCTGTCCTCTTCTGAGCCCTCTGTACTCTTCCAACCTCTGCTCATTACCTGATTCCAAGGTTGATTCCACATTTTTAGGTATCTTTATAGCAATGCACCACTCCAAGTACCCATTTTCTGTATTAGTCTGTTCTTGCATTGCTATAAAGAAATACCCAAGACTGGGTAATTTATAAAGAAAAGAGGTTTAATGGCTCACAGTTTTGCAGGCTGTACAGGAAGCATAGTGGCTTCTACTTCTGGGGAGGCTTCAGGAAACTTATAATCATGGCAGAAGGCAAAGGAAAAGCAGGCATGTCTTACATGGCCAGAGCAGGAGCAAGAGAGAGAGTCGGGAGGTGCCACACACTTTTAAAAAAACAGATCATGGGCACTCTCCCACTATAAAACCAGTACTAATGAGGGATGGTGCTAAACCACTCATGAGAACTCTGCCCCCATGATCCAATCACCTCCCACCAGGCCCTACCTCCAACACTGGGAATTACAATCTGACATGATTTTGGGTGGGGACACAGAGCCAAACCGTATCAATGGCCATGCTCATGCTCCAGTTTCTGTGGTTGCAGGCAATTCTTGGTGTTCCCTGGTGTGCAGTTACATAACTCTAATTTCTGCCTCTGTCATCACACAGCATTCTCCCTGTATTTCTGTGTCTTCACATGGCATTCTCCTCTCTGTGTGAGTCTCTGTGACTCTTCCTCTCTTATAGGGACACCAGTCATATTGGATTAAGATGCACCCTAATGACTTTATCGTAACTTGATTACATCTGCAAAGACCTTATTTCCAAATAAGGTCACATTCTCAGGTACCAGGGTTAGGATTTCGGCATATCTTTTTGGAGACACAATTCAACCCAAAACGGTTGGGAATATCTTTCTTATATTTACTTGCATGCCAAGTTCTTTGTTAAGATTCAAATCTCCTCTCAGGTTTTCTTTCCTGCAGGAAGAATTCCCAAGATGTCTTGCTCCCATTTCCATCTTGGTGGCACCACCATATCACATTGAAGTTATATTTTTATATGCCTTCTCCCCTATTGGACCACTAGCCCCTCAAGGCCAAGGATATTCATATATGCCTAGGGAAAAGCCTGGTGTCTAATAGATGATATTCAAAGCAGAATTTAGATTTTGTGTGTGTGTAGTTTAAATCTATTTTTTCTTCATTGCGAGTTCTTATTGTGAAAAGAAAAATTATGTTTTCCAAATCATATACCCTGAAGGCACCCAAAAATATCCATTGGCATGTAGAAATAATACATTAAAATATCTATTTACATATTTTATCTCTTCCTTTAAAAGCTTTTTGTCAAATGTGTATTATTATGTTTATATTATATTTTGTACATAGTACAGATATAAAATCTAGAAATATTAATAAGTAATCAATAACATTAGTCAATAAATACAAATATTGGCACATGCTAACATATATCTCTATGTTTCCCTTTTAAATGATAGCAATTACTAATTTAAAGTGGCTTCACCAGGGTAGGCAAAAAAATCACATTTGCAAAAACACTCAGCACTCCGGCTCACATTCAAATGACCCATCCTCTTCTCTGATCCATCAGAGCCTCAACTCCTGTTGTACTGAGCCTTTGGTTTTAAAAAATTAACATTTTCCACTCCAGCCTGGGCTATAGAGAGAGACCTTGGCTCAAAAAAGTAATAATATTTAAGAATACATGAGACTTAATACCTCCAGGAATATTTTCATAAAATTTTTCTTGTGGAAAATGTCAAACATTGACACAAATAGGAGATTAGTAAAATAACCCCCTGTGTGCCCACCACCCAGCTTCAGCAATGAACACCCAGACAATCCTGTTTCGGTCACTCCCCACTCCCACCCCCGCATCAGTTACCCCTCCTCCCACATTATGATTTTTCAAAAAGGTTTGTTGAAGTATGATGTACATGCACATGTATACATATACACAGGCACAGAAAAGCATATGCTATAAAATTAAAGCACAGTGAATTTTCATAACCCAAAACCATTTGTGTAAATGCAAATCCCAGATACCCACCTCGTCCTATCTACTGGTCACTATCTCCACCCTCCGCCCCACTCTCCTCACCTCAACAGCATGGGTTTATGATTTTCTTTTTGCTTTTGTACTTCATGTAAATGAAATCATACCCATCCTGCATTATTTGAAGCTAATCCCACAATCATATGATTATATTTGTAAATATTTCAATATGTGTCTCCAAAAGATAAGAACTTTAAAGAAATGACCACAATACTGTTATATAATTAGATTTCTACCCTCTGTATTTCCCTATTCAATCTTGGCTGCCACAATCAGACAGACAGAAAATGTAAGGTCACTTTTTTCTTGCATCTGCAGGGGAAACCTTAGCAGCAGATAGTAATTATTCTAGTCTGTCAAATAGATGCAAATGTAATTGAATTTTTAAAGAGATGTGTTGTTAATACCAACATATCACTATCTCTGGGAATGAGTGGAGGAGAGAGTTGTGAGGGTCATTTACTGCCAGCAGTGTCAGTTGGGGCATGGGGCAGGTTGTTTACTGCGCCATGTTCTCCTCTGCCCCTTCGTGAGGTTTTAGACACACCAGATTCAACAATGACAGGGCTGGGGATCAAATGTCTCCACTCACACCTGTGCTGGTTGCTGATGTTTATTCTGTAGTGTGTTTCTCCTAAGGTAATTACAGAAAGTCCTCTTTGGGGAATTGGAAGAGCTGGAATTGGGGGAAACTGATCCTGGTTATGACTTCAGGTGAGGATAAATCTGCTTGTCCTGCTGTCCTTGATGACTGCACCGTAGAGGAAGAATGTATCTTTTGAGCATTCATGTCAAGGATCCTTGACTGGAGAAATCCCTCTACAGCTGCATTCAAGGCATCTTGTAAAATGTATGGGTAAAGCAGAGATCTGCTGAGGTTCTTCACTTGTCAGAGACATAAGTGCCCTTGACTCAAATGCTCCAGCACCCTGCCCTCAGAAGCTTCTAGAGCCCTTGCCCTAATGTTGGTTCTATTCTAAGTCCATGAATGGAGCCTCTTGTTCCAGTCATGTCAGCCTGTGGAACTCAGTTCTGCCAGATTTTCACAGAAAATGCAATCACACTAGCATTGTGTGAGCCATTGGCTTAAGGCTGAGAGTGCAAGTCAGAGGCCACACCACCTCCCAGACAGCCTCCTCCAGCTCCAGACTTCTTCCCCCACCAGAAAGAACTTAGGGGCTCATTCCCTCAGGAGCAAACACATTCCTCTCTTCCCCAGGATGAGTCATCCCACTGCCTTACTTTCCAAATCCCCTGCCCGCAGACTCTCAGCCAGTTTTCAGACTGACTTGTCAATGATTCATGTTCAAATATTACAGAAGTCATAATAAGTGGTCAATAAATATTTCCAGAATTAAACTCTCCCTGCAGGTTGGCTATTAAAAGAGGAAAGAAACTAACATTTGCTGGGTGCTGTTATATGCCAATCATGATGCTACAGTCTCTCACAAATAATATCTTACTTAATTCTCTCAACAGCCTTGTGAAAAAGGCACTATTATCCCTGTTGGAAAGATAAGGAAACTGGCCAGGTGCAGTGGCTCATGCCTGTAATCCCAGCATGTTGGGAGGCCGAGGCTGGGGGCAGATCACTTGAGGTCAGGAGTTCGAGACCAGCCTGGCCAACATGGTGAAATCCCATCTCTACTAAAAATACGAACAATTAGCCAGATGTGGTGGTGCACGCCTGTAATTCCAGCTACTCAGGAGGCTGAGGCATGAGAATAACTTGAGCCCAGGTTGGGGAGGTTGCAGTGAGCTGAGATTCTGCCATTGCACTCCAGCCTGGGAGGCAGAGCACGACCGTCTCAAAATAAATAAATAAAAGGAAACTGATGCTTAGAGGGATGAAGTGATTTGCTTGCGGTCATCCAGTTAGTAACTGAGGACAAGTGCTCAGATCTCTGTTCTCACAGTCTTACACAGTAGTTGTATCACTGTGGATAACTTTGTCCAGCTCAGGTTGCTTGGAATGCTTCCACAACATCCCCTCTGAGTGGGTGTCCAGTCTTGGCTTCTTTGTCTATGAGGGTAGAGGGCTCACCTATTTGAGAAGCCCCATTTCACTTGCGAAGAGATCTGTAGCTAAAAACATCTGACTTATATTGAGCTGAGTTATAAGTCTTTGAAACACTAATCACTTGATACGTACTCCTTCTCAAAAAATAGCACACAAAAAATAAGATCACACAGGGCATGGTTGCTTATGCCTGTAATTCCAGCACTTTGGGGGGCCAAGGTGGGCAGATCATGAGGTCAAGAGATAGAGACCATCCTGGCCAACATGGTGAAACCCTGTCTCTACTAAAAATACAAAAATTAGCTGGGTGTGGTGGCAAACGCCTGTAGTCCCAGCTACTTAGGAGTCTGAGGCAGGAGAATTGCTTGAACCCAGGAGGTGGAGGTTGCAGTGAGCCGAGATTGTGCCACTGCACTCCAGTCTGGCAAAAGAGTGAGATTCTGTCTCAATAAATAAATAAATAAATAAATAAATAAATACATAAATAAGATTACTTTTTAATATGTGAGAAGAGTCTTGTGTTCTCAAGACCAAGATGACAAGTATTCCAATCCTACTAACACTGCTGAAACTTACATAAGCATACTACTTATGAGCAGATAAGGATTGCTGATCAATCAAATAATTCAATGATAACCAAAAGATGGGAGTTCTTCATTAGATATCAAAGTAGACAAGTGGTATTTGTTTGACTCAACATTCTCTGCTTTAGGAAATCACCTCTTTCTATGTGGGTTTGAGGGATCTGTCAATCATATTGCCTCATCCTCTTGGCAGATACGGGATACCACTCAACTCAGGATGGCCACTCAGAATAGTCCCTTCTCAGGCACTGGGCTGGGTTCTAAAATCTGGGGTATCTCATGGCTCAGGCCAGTCTCATTGTCTTTCTCTATCTACTCTCAATCCTTAGGTGATGTCCAGTCCCATGGTTCTAAATATTATCTAAATATCAGAAACTTGCATATGTTTTATATATATATATATATATATATATATATCTGTATAACTCTCTGTTCAATATTTCTCCGTGGCTGTCTAACTGGCATCTTACATTTAGCATGTTTGAAACTTAGCTCTCTGGCCCAGTGTGTTGACTCACAACTGTAATCCCAGAACTTTGGGAGGCTGAGGTGGGAGGATCGCTTGAGATCAGGAGTTCGAGAACAGCCTGAGCAACATGGTGAAGTCCTGTCTCTACAAAATATACACCACTGGGCATGGTGGTGCGCACCTGTAGTCCCGGCTGTTTGGGAGGCTGAGGTGTGAGAATTGCTTGAGCCCTGGAGGTCTAGGCTGCAGTGAGCTGTGACGGTGCCACTGCACTCCAGCCTGAGTGATAGAGCGAGACTCTGTCTCAAAATAATAAGTAAATAAATAAAACTGAGCTCTCTAGATCCACCTCACTCATTGTATGCCTCTCATAATTTACCACATTTTGATAAGCGGCAACTCCATTTCATCACTTGGAAAAACTCTCAGAAATCACCTTGAACTCTTTGCCTTCTACACACAATCTATGAGCAAATTCCACCTCTAGCTTCAAAATATGCTCCAAATCATACCTCTTTAAATCTCTTGAAATATTGTGATTTTGCTGGAAACCATGATGACAATTGCATCCATAGCATCAGATAGGAATCTGATTCCCTGACCCTCCCTTGTTCTCTGAGGAAGAGAAAAGCAGCCCCTGATAACTGGGATCTGCCTGGCAGTCACACACAGAACACTCACATTCAGACAAAGCCACTCTGTGACTATGATGGATTAAGATAAAAACAAAAACATTGTCCAGAAGCAAAAGTGACCAAACATCTTCCTAGCTTGGTTAATATGAGTGATTGCTGCTTCTTTACCAATCAAATTTTCAGCCTCACTCTGTTCTTTCCACCTTCAAGATAAGAATGATTAAGATACACAGCTATGGATTAGCCTGATGGCACCCAAAACCCCACTTCCTTAATCCCCACTCTCAAATCACCTGACAGGATCCTAAACCCTGCAGTAAGTTACACCCATTTTTTTAAACCGAGACATTCCACACTTCTCCTTATTGCAACAAATAAATAAAACCAAACTACAGACTGGTGGTCTTTGGCTGGAGGACACTCATACCCCTACAATCTAATCTCTGCACAACATCATGTAGAACCTTCTAAAGCATCGGAACACATCACTGTTCTGCTGAACACCCTTCCATAGCATCCTGTCTCACTCAGGGCAAAGTACAAAGTCCTTATTATAGTCTATAAGGCTCTATATGATAGCCAACCCCAAACCCCAAACCTCATCTCGTACTACTCCCTTCTTTGTCCTTGACTCTCTAGAGGCAATGGTTTTCTTGCAGTTTCCTAAGCATGATGTACAGCTTCCAATCTCAGGGCCTCCATATTTGCTGTTTCCTAAATCTGGATTACTCTTTCTCCAGATGTGGATATTCATGGAGCTTACTTTCTCACTTCCTTCAGGTTTTTGCTTAAATATCAATATTACATCGTCAGAGAGGCTGTCCCTGCCATCCTATCTGGAAAGAACCCCTCACAATGACACCTTATCACCTTACCATACTTTTTTCTTCTTTGTCACATATGTCATCACATGACATGTTACATCTCAAAATCTTAAGCTTCAAGAGGCAGAAGAGTGATTGTTGTCACTGCTGTACCTTCAGCACTAGAGCAGTATATGCCACACAAATTAAATTAAGGTTTATTGAATAAATGAATTAATAAATAAATCTGAAGGTGGACACATGGACTAAGCTAGGCCAATAAGAATCCTTCCATGAGATACCCTCCAGGAGCACTGGGAACAGAAAGCTCTTCTTTTGCCAATCACAATTCAAGGGTCTAAATTTGAGACTGCCAGTGGCCTTCTTTTCTACCAGGGGTGGGGTGGGGAGACTGCTGCTGAGAGTGAAGTCAACATTCTGAGGGAACGAGGTGGAAGGAGGGCACAAGACAGCCCTGATAACATCACTTGAGCCCCTGGATTCAGCTGGGCCTAAGGCAGTTCTACTACAGACTGTCCAATTATTTGAATCAATAAATGCTATTTTATTGCCTAAGTGAATTTTTTTTTGAACAGAGTCTCACTTTGTCACTCAGGCTGGAGTGCAGTGGCGACATCTCAGCTCACTGCAATCTCAGGCGATTCTCATGCCTCAGCCTCCTGAGTAGCTGGGTTTACAGGTGCACACCATCAAGCCCGGCTAAATTTTGTATTTTTAGGAGAGATGGGGTTTTGCCATGTTGGCCAGGCTGATCTTGAACTCCTGGCCTCAGGTTAATCTGCCCGCCTGAGCTCCCCAAAGTTCTGGGATTACAAGCGTGAGCCACCACGCACAGCTATTGCCTAAGTGAATTTAAGTCACTTGAAGCAGAAGGAGTTCTAATTAATACAGACACCTTCCTAAAGTATGGCTTGTGGGTTTGACTATGATGTTCCGGGTACATCCAAGTGACAACACAGGGCAGAACAACAGGCCTTTATCTCCTCGTTTTTTAGACTTCACACTTCTGTGATCACAGCCTGAGATGATGTTTTTCTATTGGCCAGCATATCACAATGTTGGTGCCTATTGAGCTGCTTCTACAGAGGTACCTTGTTTCCTGGAAAAAAAAAAAAAAACAAACAAACTCCTCCTTTACATCCAGGTGCACATTGTGGAGGGCTAGATGGTTTTTCCTTATTGCTTAGGTGACTATTTCTATGAAAGAATGTCAATGACATCACCTGCAAGACAGGTTCTACTTTCAACAGAGGAAGAGTATCAGTATGCTGGGCCTTTGTCCAGAGAGAGAACAAATTCAGACTGACTTCTATGCAGGTCTTAGAAAATGCCCAATGGAGGGAAATGTCAATGGGAGATCCTTGAATGGATAAGCAGTTCATCCACTTCTCCATGCACACCATCATCCCATTCATTTACAGAAGCATTGTTTCGGAATTGTCTTAATTATTTGCCTGAGGCTTTCATCAAACAAAGATAATTGCAAGATATAGTCATTATTGCATTATCTCTGCAAGACACAGTAAAAATATTATTGCATTCACCATCTATTACATTTCCACGTTAACTAAGTCACAGGAGAAATGACATTTAAAATTAATACAAGAGAACACTTGGCTTCTCCTGAGGAAATGGCATGCTTTCTCCTTGTGATACTAAGAATAAAGTAACTGATTCTGCTTGCCTTTCACATTGGCTCCTGGGAAGCTCAAGGTCAGTCTTCTTTTTTTGTTTGTTTGTTGAAGCTTAACTGTAGACATTCTCTTGGCTCTGAGGAGGGTGTCTGTACATTTCATTAGCTTTTTTGCTTTGATTCTAGTCTCCTAATTTTAATAGTATTTTCTCCAAATCCTGTCTTTATTTTTTCTTTTTTAAATCATAATTTCATTGAGTATGTTCTTGTCACTATGACCTAATTTTGTGCATGTGTTTATAACAAAGCCCTTTCAGCTGGGTCTGGAGTCCTAACACAGCATTAATCATGAGGAACTAGATAATAGCTCTTGGACAAATTAAATGATCTCCTGAGATCTCATTTTCCTCACCTGAAAAATGAGGTCATTGGGTTCTTTCAGCCCTAACTTCCTCCTTAATTGGATAGAGACCCAGAGCATTGATGGATTTCATTTTCTTCATAGATGTACACATGGGCATCACCAGACTGTTCCTCATTCCTGCAGTGATGTAGCTGTCAGCCACGAGACTTACATTTGTTTTAGAGTTTTGCTCAGTTTTTAATGGAATGCATCTCTAACCATCTGCATTAGTCTTCTCAGGCTTCTGTAACAAATTTTCACAAACTAATTGGCTTAGCCAACAAAAATTTATTCTCTCAATCTGGAGGTCAGACGTCTGAAATCAGTATAACAAGACTGAAATCAAGGTGCCAATAAGACTGAGATCCCTCTGCAGGCTTTGGGGAGAATCTGTCCCTTGCCCCTTCCAGCTTATAGTGGCAGCCAGTATTCCTTCATTTATGACTACTTCACGCCAATCTCTGTGGTCACATTGCCTTCTCCTCTTCTTCATGTGTTCTCTTAAGGACACTTGTGATTGCATTTATGACCCACCTTGATAATCTAGGATAATCTCCTCATGTCAAGATCCTTAATGTAGTCACATCTACAAAGACTCTTTGTCCTTACAACATTTACAAGTTCTAGTGGCTAGAACCTCATATTTCTGAGCTAACTTCACCATTTTATACCAGCCTTGTCAATGCCAGGAGCAAGGACAGGAGATAAGTGGTTGCAGTGGCATTTCAGCCTCCGAATCATAGCTGTGACCTTTGTAAAATCAATCATAGAGATGGTGTCAATGGGGATGGCTCCAACATTCTTAAATGCATTGAACTTTTTCAGGCAAAGAAGATAGAGAGCAAGTCTATGGATCTAGGGTCTAGGCTTCCTGTTAAGTACACGATGAAACCCTCAATGCCCCAGCACCCTGCTAGAGACAGGAAACAGATGACCTGTTCAAAGATCTTTTGTTCTTTTCTCCTCTAGGTCACTATTCTGAGTGAGGGTGGTGTGGGAGGGAAAAACTGCAGAAGCAATTGAAAACCTTCCATAGGCAATGTTTTACTGGAAATGTAAAGTTCTCAGATCCATGATCTACCAGCTCCCAAGACTTTGGCTTTCGGCTTTCTGCTGTCTCTCTCTCTCTATCTCTTCCTTTTTCCGTGCACACATGGCTGATAGGTAAGATTGTTAATAAACATTTTTTTGATTTAAATACATTAATTCAAAGTCCCAGTCTCAAAACTCGTTACCTGGTTTTTCCCTGTATTACACTGGCAAGTCACTACACCTTTCTGGACCTCAGTTTGCTCATTTGTAACTTGAAGGGGATGAGCAGTGAGGGCACAGGCAGGAAGGGATATGCAGCATTGTGAAGACTGCATGATGTAGTGGAACAACCCATGCATCAGAGCCAGGCAGACTAGAATTAGAAACTTGGCTCTGACACTCTGCTAGTAGGGAGCTCTGAGCAAATTACTTTTCTCTCTGAGTCACAGGCTCCTCATCTGTAAAATGGGGATACCAATTGGTATGAGAATTCATGGAGGTAAATTGTCTTGTATAGAGCCTACACATAGGCATTCTCTGTTATCTATATCTAAATCTAGAACTATCAAGGATATAGATAGATAGCTATAGGAAAATTGTGTATATGTGTGTGCATATGTGTGTATATATATATATATATATATATATATACGCACACACATATATATAATAGGATGTCCATAGGTAATATCTATCTATCTATCTATCTATCTATCTATCTATCTATCTATCTATCATCTATCTATCTATCTCTCTATCTATCTATCCATCCATCTGATATGGCTTGGCTGTGTCCCCAACCAAATCTCAACTTGAATTGTATCTCCCAGAATTCCCACATGTTGTGGGAGGGACCTAGGGGGAGGTCATTTAATCATGGGAGACAGTCTTTCCCACGCTATTCTCGTGATAGTGAATAAATTTCATGAGATATGATAGGTTTCTCAGGGGTTTCTGCTTTTGCTTCTTCCTCATTTTCTCTTGCTGCCACCATGTAAGAAGTGCCTTCACCTCCTGCCATGATTCTGAGGCCTCCTCAACCATGTGGAACTGTAAGTTCAATTAAACCTCTTTTTCTTCCAGTCCTGAGTATGTCTTTATCAGTGAGAAAATGGACTAACACAGTAAATTGGTACCAGGAGTGGGGTGTTGCTGAAAAGATACCTGAAAATGTGGAAGCCACTTTGGAACCAGGTAACAGGCAGAGGTTGGAACAGTTTGGAGGGCTCAGAAGAAGACAGGAAAATGTAGGAAAGTTTGGAACTTCCTAGAGACTTGTTGAATGGCTTTGCCCAAAATACTGATAGCGATATGGACAATAAGGTCCAGGCTAAGGTAGTCTCAGATGGAGATGAGAAACTTGTTAGGAACTGGAGTAAAGGTTACTCTTGTTATGTTTTAGCAAAGAGACTGATGGCATTTTGCCCCTGCCATAGAGATTTGTGGAACTTTGAACTTGAGAAAGATGATTTATGGTATCTGGCAGAAGAAATTTCTAAGCAGCAAAGCATTCAAGAGGTGACTTGGGTGTTGTTAAAAACATTCCATTTTATAAGGGAAGCAGAGCATAAAAGTTTGGAAAATTTGCAGCCTGACTATGTGATAGAAAATAAAAACTCATTTTCTGGGGACAAATTCAAGCCAGCTGCTGAAATTTGCATAAGTAGTAAGGAGCCTAGTGTTAATCCCAAGAACACAGGGAAAGTGTCTCCAGGCCATGACAGAGACCTTCACAGCAGCCCCTCCTAACACAGGCCTGGAGGCACATGAGGAAAAAATGGCTTTGTGGGCCAGACCCAAGGTTGCTGTGCTTTGTGTAGCTTATGGACTTGGTACCCTGTGTCCCAGCTGCTCCAGATGTGGCTGAAAGGGGCCAATGTATAGCTCAGACCATGGTTTCAGAGGGTGAAAGTCCCAAGGCTTGGCAGCTTCCATGTGGTTTTGAGCCTGCAGGTGCACAGAAGTCAAGAATTGAGGTTTGGGAACCTCCGCATGGATTTCAGAAGATGTATGGAAACACCTGGATGTCCAGGCAAAGGTTTGCTGCAGAGGTGGGGCCCTCATGGAGAACTCTGCTAGGGCAGTGTGGAAGGGAAATGTGGGGTCAGAGCCCCTACACAGAGTACCTACTGAGACACAGCCTAGTTGAGCTGTGAGAAGAGGGCCACAATCCTCTAGACTCCAAAATGGTAGATCCACTGACAGCTTGCACCGTGTGCCTGGAAAAGCCACAGACACTCAATGGCAGCCTATGAAAGCAGCGGGAGGGGGGCTGTACCCTGCAAAGCCACAGGGGCTGAGCTGCCCGAGACCAGGGGGAACTCACCTCTTGCATCATTGTGACCTGGATGTGAGACCTGGAGTCAAGGGATCACTTTGGAGCTTTAAAATTTGACTGCCCTGATGGATTTCAGACTTGCATGGGCCCTGTAATCCCTTTGTTTTGTTCATTTTCTCCCACTGGAACAGCTGTATTTACCCAATACCTGTACCCCCATTGTATCTAGGAAGTAACTAGCTTGCTTTTGATTTTACAGGCTCATAGGCAGAAGGGACTTGCCTTGTCTCACATGAGACTTTGGACAGTGGACTTTTGGCTTAATGCTGAAATAAGACTTTGGGGGACTGTTGGGAAGGCACAATTGGTTTTGAAATGTGAGGACATGAGATTTGGAGGGGCCAGGGGCATAATGATATGGTTTGGCTGTGTCTCCACCCAAATCTCAACTTGAATTGTATCTCCCAGAATTCCCACGTGTCGTGGGAGGGACCTAGCGGGAGGTAATTGAATCATGGGGGCCAGTCTTCCCCGTGCTATTCTCATGATAGTGAACGAGCCTCACAAGATATGACGGGTTTATCAGGGGTTTTCACTTTTGCTTCTTCCTCATTTTCTCTTGCCACCACCATGTAATCAGTGTCTTTTGCCCCTCACCATGATTCTGAGGCCTCCCCAGCCATGTGAAACTGTAAGTCCAATTAAACCTCATTTTCCTCCCAGTCTTATGTATGTGTTTATCAACAGCATGAAAACACACTAATACACCATCTATCCATCCATCCATCTATCCATCATCCATCCATCCATTCATCCTTGCATCCATCCATCCATCCATCCATCCATCCATCCATCCGTCCATCTATCCATTCATCCATCCATCCATCTATTGGTAGCTCAAATCCATACCTTGCTTCAGACACTGATGAGCTGCTGAGAACATGACAGAGATCAGTACAAGAAACTGCTACTTCCTAGAACTCTCACCCTGAAGTGCTTAAAAAACTTTTCATTTTAGAGAAGTTCTAGATTTATGAAAAAATTATGAAGATAGCACACAGCTTTCCCAAATGTCCCACACCTGGTTTCCCCTGTTACTAACATCTTACAATGTTAGTACATTGTTACTAACATCTTGTGGTATATTTGTCACAATTAATGAACCAATTTTTGATTCACTATTATTGACTAAAGTTCATAGTTTTTAAAAGATTTACTTAGTTTTTTCCTAATGTCCTTTTTCTGTTCCAGGATTCCGTCAGGATATCACCTTATAAACTTAAGGTGATATAAGTTGTTGTCATAGTTCGAATTGTATCTCCAAAAAAGATATGTTGAAACCCTAACTCCAGTACCTCAGAATGTGACCTGATTTGGAAATGGAAATAATGTGGATGTAATTAGTTAATATGAGGTCATACTGGGGTAGGATGGGTTCTTAATCCAATGACTGGTTTCCTTACAGGAAGAGGGAAATTTGGACACAGACAGAGATGGAAGACAGAGATGGAAGCAGAGATTAGAGTGATGCTCTGTGAGCCAAGGAACACCTGGGGCTATCAGGGGTCAGGGAGGCAAGGGAGGATCCTCCCCTAGAGACTTCAGAGGGAGCTTGGCCCTGCCAACACCTTGATTTTAGACTTCTAGCCTTCAGAACTGCGAGGTAATAAATTTCTGTTGTTTTAAACTACCCAGTTTGTGGCAATTTGTTATGGCAGCCCGATGAAATGAATACAGCCACCATGTTTCCTGAGGCTGCTCTTGGATGGGGCAGTTTCTTAGGCCTTCCTTCTTTTTGCTGACCTTGACTGTGTTTTCCTTTAAAGATGTGGGAGGGGTAGCAACTGAGAAGGGCACAAGCAGGGATGAAGGTAGGGTTATCTGGATGGTGGTTACAAGGATGTGCCCTCTTTGTCATAATTCATCCAACTGTATACTTAGGATTTGTGCCCAGTTTTGTATGTGTTCTGTAGTTCAATAAAAAGTTTACTTCAAAAGGTATTGTTGGTCTAGATAGAAGACATTGGTAACTTTGCTTCTGCCAATAAAGGAAAATGACTAAGGCAAGTCTTGATCATTTTAGGAGGTTTATTTGCCAAACTTAAGGACACGCACTCAGGAGACAGGTCTATGCCTTTCTCCCAAGATAATTTTGAGGGTTTCAAATTTAAAAGGGAAAAGGTGGGATATTGAAAAATACAGTTTTCATGTGGGAGGGGTGGAGGGGGAAAAGAGTCATTCATGCTTTTGTCTGGCTCAGTGAATCTGCATTTTTACATAAGATAACATAGACAATAGGGCAGAGGAAACAATCAGATATGCATTTGTCTCAGGTGGGCAGAGGGATGACTTAGAGTTCTTTGTCCCCCACACCTGTGAAGGTAAGCATTCAACTTACATTGCAAAGGAACTTCCTTGTGGGTAAAACTTGAGGGAGGCATGTAATTTTTCACTTTTGTAGTCATCTTATTTAAGAACCAAAATGAGAGGCAGGTTTGTGTGACCCAGTTCCCAGCTTGACTTTTCCCTTTGGCTTAGTGGGTTTGGGGTTCAAGGATTTATTTTCCTTTCACACTTCGAAGAGGTTGTAGATCAACTGTGATTCTAAAAGTAAAATTTATTCTTCTGTGTCAGTTACATTTGTCTTCAAGACAGAGAAATCTCAACTCAAGCTGGTTTAAAAAAGGACTTTATTATCTCAGGTACCAGGAATTTGTGAGATAGGCACATCTCAGTGGCAGCTGATTTGTTGGCTTGGTGATGGCAGCAAAGACCCGGGTCTTACTCTCTCAGCACTGGCTGTGTCCTCAGGCTGGAATGTGATGGCTGCAGTCATTCCAGACATCACATCCAGACCCTTAATACTCAGTGTCGCTTCCTGTGAGTCTCCCTCAAGAGCCAGGGACCTTTCCAGCAGTTTCTCCCTCTCAAAAAAGTTTTCCCCTCAGGCTGCCTCCAGTCAGAAGTGAAACAGAGAATGAAGAATCTCAGTATTGGTAACAAATATTGTCTCAATGGCTGAAGGGGAGAAAAAAGCAAACACCTCCTCTAAATATCTGGCCCCAACCCTGAGTCTTCAGAGCAGGCCCACACTGTCACTCCATCCTGAGGAGGGTGAGTGGCGATGGGGTCTTGGGAGCTGGACAATGGTCGTGACCAAGAAATCCATTGAGTAGATGCTGTTATCATCCCTACTAGATGAGAGGAAACTGGGCTTAGTGAAGGACAGTAACATCCCTGAGTGTTCAGTGCCAGACTCAGATTTTGAATCCAGTTCTTTCTCACTCCAGAAACTTGTTCTTCACCAGTGTGAAGCACTCACACTGGACTCATACCAGATCTTCTCCCCTCCTGCCCCAGGGAGAGCAACTGCAGACTCAGCCCTGGCATGACGCTGCTATGGCTTGACAGGGGTCTGGGGTCCCCAGGGAGACCCCTGGCACCAGGCACAGGGCGACCTGCAGCACAGGGGAGCCTCCGCACAGCAGCCTCTCCTCCCCACCATGTTGATATCAACCTCAGTTTCCTTGCTCAGCTCTTTCATTTCCTGCTGACTAGAGCCCTATCCTGAATGCATGCCCAGCCCCCCAGCCCTGATCTCTTCCTCAACTCTTGTGGAAAAAAAAAGTCAATATATTAATTTAATTGAGTAAAATGAGTGTTCATTTACAAAAGCCAGCCATGCAGTCTGCTAGTCAGAATGAAGAGTGTATTGAAACAAACACATACAAACACTCTTCAGAAGAAAGGAAGGGGACAGCACGCCTCTCTGGGAGGCGTTGCATTTCTAGGAAACCCACACACGGAGAGTCTGAGCTAAGCCACTCTGGGAGTCCAAATATGTCATAATCTGCTCCCCAGCACTCACAAAATCATATTTTCATTACGAACAGAATACGTGTTTATTATAGAAAGTCAGTTGAGAAAGGAATAAAGAAGAAAAACCTCTATCATCCTACAACTCAGATATGTGCGCATGCTTGAGTGTGTGTGTGTTTACAGAATCGGAGTTATACATTTATTATATACTAAAAAGTATATTGCATATATATTTACAAAATTGGACACACACTCTTAGCTACCTTTTGTGAAGTTATTTTTAATATTTGGATAGTTGTATTGTTTTGTGTAGATCAATATTTTCCAAATTTGGCCGTGCTTCACAATTGCCTGCGGAGTTGAAACATTTTTGCAAATTCCTGGGCTCTTTCCTGCATGTTATTGCATCAGAATTTCTAGGTTTAGAAGTCTGCCTTCTTTGCCAGGCACGGTGGCTCACACCTGTAATCCCAGCATTTTGGGAGGCTGAGGCGGGTGGATCACTTGAGGACAGGAGTTCAGCACCAGCCTGGCCAACATGGTGAAACCCCGTCTCTACTAAAAGTACAAAAAATCAGCCAGGCGTGGTGGCAGGCGCCTGTAATCCCAGCTACTGTAGGGGCTGAGGCCGAAGAATTGCTTGAACCCGGGAGGTGGAGGTGGCAGTGAGCCAAGGTCGCACCATTGCACTCCAGCCTGGGCAACAAGAGTAAACTCTGTCTCAAAAAAAAAAAAAAAAAAGAAAGAAAAAGAAGAAGTCTGCCTTCTTATAGCCCTCCCTGGTGAATCTGATGCAGGCCATCCTGCTGTGACCCATTTTGGGAACCACTGGTGTCCTTGTGCCCTGGTAAGCAGTGAGAAGTGGCACCAGGCACAGGGCCACCTGCAGCACAGGGTGAGAGCTGTCACCTTGGAAGAGCCCAGGAAGGTACACCTGGCCAAGTACCCTTCCAGTTCTCTCGTTGAGGGCAGAGCATTAGCGCAGCCTCCTGGAGCTGACGGAGACGGATGACCCTGGGAAAGAAGAAAGGCTTATTGAAATGTATAGGGACCTGGGTCTTCCTATTTGCATAAAAGGAAGGAATGTGTGACCTCACTGTGGTCATTTCTCATAAGATATAGTCTACCTCCCGCCTCGGTTCTTCACTTTGTACTTAATACCACCACAAATAGCCTTTTATTTTGGGTGACAGCTCTGCTTCATTCATCTTCTCCAACTCTTCCCTAAGGGCTGGGCCCTGCTGCCTCTTCTGGGTGTCTGTTTTGAAGTGACAACTGGCATTGTGGCCACTCCAGCTGAATGTGGACAGCATCTTTGAGCACCTGACTCAAAGCCTCCCTGGAGGCTTTAGAATTACTCTAGTGACTCTGCAGCCATTTCAGTTTTATGATTCTAATGGGCACCAACATGTTCTTCCATATCTGTCACCAATTCTACCCTGACGGCCGCCTCTCAGCCAACTGACCCCTCTGCCTCTGGTCTCCCTGGACTCCTCGAGTGGGTGGACCAGTCCTCATCAGGTGTGTGTAGTCTGCTACCTGGGCACTCACTATTGCTCCGTCCAGCTTTTCTGAGGCTGTGCCTCTGACCTTGACCTCCATCCCCTTCCCAGACCCCCAAATAGTGCAGTGACACTTGTCCCAACATCTGGGGCCTGGCTGCCACACTCTCTCTAGAAGCCCTTGTCTTGTCTTCCACTGCCCTCTCCTCAAGACTGTCTGCAAGGAGGCAGGAGTGGGCCACCTTCTTTGTGTCAGGTTTTGGATAAGGGGCCCTAAGGGCCACCATTTTGATCTCAGCTTGGCTCTGTGCTCTTGCCACCCCCACACCCCCATGCATCCAAGTCCCACCACCTGTCAGAACATTACCTTCCTGGCCCCACCCCATCAGAATTGTGGCTCATCAGTGGTCAGTGGCTACACTGTCCATGCTGAGATCCAGATCCTTTCGGCCATCAGAATGATTGTCATCTTGGTGGCCCCATCTTGTGGTTCATGAACCAAATGTAGACCTTCTAACTTCCCAACTCCTATGGAGCAGTGGTTACGGGTCTCTACTGTCCAGGAGTGGGGGGCAGGCCCAGGTTGTGTGTCTGTATGGGGGACTCAGGCTCTGCCATGTGACCTGCAGCCGTGACTCCCAGGCCTGATTCCCCAGTGACTCCTGCCACCCACTGACCCTCACTGCTGGAGTCCTGCAGCAGAGCTCCTGGCATTCCAAGTCTTTTTCTGCTGTCAGAGCATTTCTCTCTAACCTTGCTCAAAGAAAGCTGGATTCAGATCATATTCAATGGTCTCAGACAGAGGCTGAGTAGGAAAGTGGTCCCATAGAGGTCATGACTCAAGAGATATCAGCCTAGGTCCTTCTCGGACCTCCTGATACCATTTCCATGATTAGAGAGTCTTTCTTTTGAAACAGAAGCCATTGACTCTTTTGAAGTCCCCACTTAAATACAAATATTAGGTTGTATTAAAAGTAATGGCAAAAACTGCAACAGCTTTTGCACCAACCTCTAATATGTTGAGATGAATCATGCCTTAAGCCTTTCTCAGGGGGTGACATGGGCAGGACTGGGGCGGTGCTGTATGTACTAGTTGACAGGCAAAGGAAGCAATTTTTAGTTCTTTCTGAATTAGAATTCACAGTTTATGTGTCAAGAACTGTGCTAAGTACTTTCCTATGCTTCATTTCAGTTAATTTCATTGGCATATCACCACGTACAGCTAATATCAGCATCTGCATGTTGCAGACCAGGAAAATGAGATCCAAAAAGCATAAGCAAAATGCCTTAGTCACATAGCCAGTATGTGGGGTAAGGGTTTTGAACTTGGGCTTCCTGACATCTTGCTCCATGATGTGGGACAGCAGTGATATTTCCCTTCCCTCTTCTTTCTCTCCTCCCTTCCAAGCTGCAGTACAACATTTACAAATTCTGCCGTCTGCATCCTTCCCTGATCCGCTTGTGGTCTATGGCTGTCACCTCCTGTCCCACCTGTCTTTTGCCCCTTCATCTCTCCCTGCCCCACCATCCCTACCAGTCCCTGGCAAAGTTTGCTGTAGCTTTCCACCCTTTTCCTTGAGGAGAGACAAATAGGCCTTGCAGTGTGTCCAAGGAGCCACAGTGTTTCTGAGGAGGGTGGTGGGGCTCAGGAGGGGCTACAGGAACAGTGGCCATTATAATAGGGCTTTCAGGACTGGGCTAAGCATGGTGCACACACAATGCCTTGACTTTTGTCTCTTAATCATTTCCTGGTCCATTTGACTAGTTTCTGCCATTGAAATCCTTTAATAAAGGGTCATTGTGCTTCTTTCCCAAATAGAATTGGGTATGTCATTCCAAATGCAGATAGGAGCCCCGCCTTTTAGTCAGCATGTACAGTGCCACTGTCCCTGCAGCTCCTCATTCTCTCCTAACAATAGCAGCCAGGTGCTGCCAAAAGCATGACTCCGCACAGCTGGAGGCCTCCAGGAGGCACTGGGGCTCGACACCCTCTCAGGGAGCGCTTGATTCGTTGCCTCACATTTGGGGATCTCTAGGCCAATCTGGGGTGGAGGGTAGACTGATGATGGAGCCCCAGGGCCAGAGAACTTAGTGATCTGCCTGAATTTGCAGCCTTCCATCTCATTCCTTGAATCAGACCCTTGAGGTAGGGCGCCGGAAGCAGCTAAACTCTCTGGAAGACGTTACCCCTTAGAAGAGGGCTTCTCAATCTTCAATGTGTGGGAATCATCTGGGGATCTTTTTAAAATGCAAGTTTAGATTCAGCCTGAGAGTCTGTATTTTTACTAAGCTTCCAAGAAAGACCAATGTTGCTCCAAGGGCCCTGTTTTTTACTAGCAAAGGCTCAGGAACTTGCTCAGTATGGTCACTTTGACCTTTAATTACTTATGTGTGGGACTAGGGCCTGAATTTCATTGTCATGAAGAGTTCCATGCATTCATTCATTAATTCATTCATCCAATAAATATGCAAAGAGTGTCTACTATTGTTTTGGAATGATAATGCCATAGGGACGAGAATAGAATATACCTGATTGTAACTGGTCAGTGGTGGAAGCAGGCAATTAAGCTGATAATTAGGTATAGTGCACCAGGTGAGATAAGTGATAGAGGAAGTACTTCCCAGGAGCAGGATCCTTGAAAAATACATCTATTGCTGAAAAAAGCAGAGGTAGTTGGAGCCAGGAGAACAGAGGAAAAGGGAGAGCCAATGGTCTGCTTAGCCTTGATGGAGCAGTAAGTCCAGAAAGGGGAAAGGGAACCAACATGGCCTGCTGGGGTCATTTAACTTGGTACTCACATGGGACCTGGGTTTTCCTGTTAGTTTCTCATGCAGGGAGAGTTTGCCTGGCTCTGCTCACTTTAAATTATTCTCTCCCTACTCCCTTCCTCCCTCATTCACCATTCCTAGGGTCCTCAGAGGATGTTACCCAGAAGCTCCAAAGATCCAACCCTTTCAGCTTTCAGTGGTTTTAAGCAATAAGACAAGATGGTCTCACGGTTTAACTGAGGTTTCATTGAACATCCCATGAAATAATCCATTTCTGACTATTGCGGCCCTTGCGCAATTCCAGGGGTAGGACCTGGGGACAACATTAAATGACACCCCCACCCCCAAATTATCCCTCCTTTTTTTATTTTAACCGGTGCCCATTTTCATCAGGTCTCTACCCAGGAATCTTTGAATTCCTTGTAGCAGCCTGATGGTAGGGTGAATCTTAGGGTAATGTGAGCTCAAATATGACACCACTATGTTTTAAAATATTAAGTAATTTAGTTCTTACAAGAAGATCCTGACAGGCAATATTATTGTTTCTACATTACATTTGAGCAAAGGGAGGTGCACACAGATAAGCACTGCAACTTTCCTAGCATCACTGGGCTGGTGGTGGCCAGCATGCCAAGGCTCCCCTTAGCTGACTGGGTGAGGACCGTCCTCTAGTTCCAAGAGCACTGGGCTGGGGTGGGAAGCCAGATTCCAGTCTCAACTTTCTGCTTGTTGGGAAATTTACTCACTTCTCTGGGCCTCAGTCTTCTCCTCTTTCAAGAGAAGACTGTGTATCATTAGGGCTCTTGCCAGCTCTAACTCACCATGGCCCTTACAGGTATGAGTTGTTATAACTTTAGTTATCAATGATCAGTTAGGGGCTGACAATAAGGCCCCTTTGCTGCACTCAGGGGAGGTTGAATGATGAGGAGCCTGCTTTGTTCTGCACTGCTTCCTGCCGTCTTGTCTTCCTGCCTCCTGCCTAGGCTGTTTCTGAAGCCTGTTCCTGGCTTGCCCCACCTAGTCCAGCTGTCTTGGCTTTCATCTCTGTTATGGTTTGGATGTTTGTCCCCTCCAAATCTCATGCTGAAATGTAACCCCCAATGTTGGAGGTGGTGGCCTGGTAGGAGGTGGCTCCCTCATGAATGGCTTAGCCCTATCTGCTTGTTGAAGAGTGAGTTCTTGCTCTGGTAGTTCATGTGAGATCTGGTTGTTTAAAAGAGTGTGATACCTCCACCTCTCTCTTGCTCCTGCTCTGACCATGTGACACATTGGCTCCTCCTTCACCTTTCACCATGGTGTAAGCTCCCTGAGGCCTCCCCAGAGGTGGGTGCCAGCACCATGCTTCATGTAAAGCCTGCAGAATCATGAGCCAATTAAAGCTTTTTTTCTCTATAAATTAGCCAGCCTCAGGTACTTTTTTTTATAGCAGTGTAAGAATGGCATAACACAAAATTAGTACTGAGGAGTTGGGCATTGCTAAAAAGGTACCTAAAAATGTGGATCCAGCATTGGAACTGGGTAATGGGCAGAGATTGGAAGAATTTGGAGGTTTCAGAAGAAGACAGGAAGATGAAGGAAAGTTTGCAACTTGTAGACTGGCTAAATGGTTGTGACCAAAATGCTGATAGAGATATTGAAGTCCAGGCTGATGAGGTCTCAGATGGAAATGAAGTTATTAGGAACTGGAGTAAAGTCACCCATGTTATGCTTTAATGAAGAGCTTGGCTGCATTTTGTCCAGGCCCTAAGGCTCTATAGAAGTTTGAACTTAAGAGTGATGGCCTAGGGTATCTGGCAGTAGAAATTTCTAAGCAGCAAAGTGTTCAAGAAGTGGCCTAGTTGCTTCAAACAGCCAGTGTTTATATGTGCAAGCAAAGAAATGACCTGAAACTGGAACTTATATTTAAAAGGGAAGCACAGCATAAAAATTTGGAAAATTTTCATGCTAGCTGATATGGTTAGGCTGTGTCCTCACCCAAATCTCATCTTGAATTCCCATGTGTTGTGGGAGAGACCTAGTGTGAGATAATTGAATCATGGGGGGAAGTATTTCCTGTGCTGTTCTTGTGATAGTGAATAAGTCTCATGAGACCTGATCGTTTTATAAAGAGGAGTTCTCTCTCTCTTTGCCTGCTACCATCCATGTAAGACATAATTTGCTTCTCCTTGCCTTCCACCATGATTGTGAGGCCTCCCCAGCCATGTGGAACTGTAAGTCCATTAAACCCTTTTTCCTGAATAGATCACCCAGTCTTGGGTATGTCTCTATCAGCAGCATGAAAATGGACTAATAAACAGGCCATGTAGCAGGAAAGAAAATCATTTTCAGGAGAGAAGTTCAAGCACGCTGTGGAGCAACCACTTGCTAGGCAAATTAGCCTGACCTAAGGGGAGCCAATTGTTAATACCTGAGAGAATGGGAAAAAGGCCTTGAAGGCACTTTAGAAGTCTTGGGGTGGTCCCTTCCATCATAGGTCCAAAGGCCTAGGAGAAAAGTGGCTTAGGGGGCCAGGCCTACGGCCTTGCTTCCCTGTGCTGCCACACTGCTCCCTGCATCCTGGCCACTCTGGCTTCAGGCATGACTCAAAGGGGCCAAGGTACAGCTTGGGCTGCAGCTCTAGAGGGTGCAAGCCATGCCTTGGCAGTTGTCACGTGATGTTAAGTCTTCAGATGCTCAGAATGTAAGCATGAATGAGGCTTCCACCTAGATTTCAGATGATTATGGAAGAGCTTGGTGCCCAGGCAGAAGCCTGTTGCAGGGTGGAGCCCCAACAGAGAAACTCTACTAGGGCAATGGCAGGGGGAAATGTGGGATTGGAGCCTCTACACAGAGTCCCCACTGGGACACTGCCTAGTGGAGCTATGGGAAGGGGGCCACTGCCTTCCAGATGCCAACATGGTAGATTGGCAGCTTGCAAACTCTGCCTGGAAAAGCCACAAGTACTCCACTCCAACTCTTGAGAACAGCCATGTGTACTGCACCCTGCAAAGCCACAGGGGTGGGTCTGCCCAAGGCCTTGGGAGCCCACCCATCATACCAGGGTGCGGGACATGAAGTCTAAGGGGATTATTTTGGAGCTTTAAAACGTGATGACTGTCCTTCTTGGTTTTAGACTTGTGTGGTGCCTACTGCCCCTTTCTTTTGGTGAATTTCTTTCTTTTGGAATGGGAATGTTTACCCAATGCTTGTGCCACCATTGTATCTTGGAAGCAAATAACTTGTCTTTGATTTTACAGGCTGATGGTGGAAGGAGAATGAGTCTCTGATGACTTTGGACTTGATGCTGGAAAGACTTAAGACTTTGGGGGACTACTGGAAAGGTATGATTGTATTTTGTAATGTGAGAAGGACATGATATTTGGGGGCCAGAGGTGAAATGATATGGCTTAGATGTCTGTCCCCTCCAAATCTCATGTTGAAATGTAATCCCCAATGTTGGAGATGGGGCCTAGTGGGAGATGTTTGTGTCGTGGGGGTGGATCCCTCCTGACTGTCTTAGCCCCATCCCCTAATGATGAGTGAGTTCTTGCTCTGGTAGTTCACATGACATCTGGTTGTTTAAGAGAGTGTGGTGCCTCCTCCCTCTCTCTCTTGCCATGTGACATACTGGTTCCCTGTCACCTTCTGCCATTATTGTAAGATTAGTGAGGCCCTCAGCAGAAGCAGATGACAGCATCATGCTTCCTGTAAAGCCTGCAGAACCATGAACCAATTAAATCTGTTTTATCTGTAAGTTACCCAGACCCAGATACTTGTTTATATCAATGCAAGAATGGCCTAATATAATCTCACTTGCCACCTCCACTACTAAGCCATTCACAACTTCTGCTTTCAGATATCCATCTATCTGTTCATCTACCCTTCCTTTCATCCATCCATCCATCTATCCATCCATCCATCTATCCATCCATCCATTCATCCATCCATCCATCCATCCATCCATCCATCCATGTTACCCACTTCTTCCTGATTAAGCTGTCAAATTAGGCCACCCTGTTTTTTCATGTCTAGATGAGACGAATTTAAAGCCCTAGCCCAAGGATTCTGGAGTATCCAGAGCCTCACAAGATTTTCATAAATTCCCAGGGGGCTTATTAATTGTGGTCACTTCTGGCTCCAGCTTCCTTATTCTGAGCAAATTCAGTCTAGGGATCCCCATGCTTGTGGCTCATATCTTCCCTGTTTGGCACCCCATTAACTCAGTTATAGAACTCAGCCATTTTTCTTAACATTCACCAGTCCAACCATTTACATAAGGCATTCACATTGTGAATATCTTGTAGGTATGGAATAATTTTAGCTCAGAAAAGGAAATCTCAATGTTACATATTACTATACCTAAATATCCCATGGTCATTTCCACAATTTGGGCTCATTCAACCTCATACTTGATTCCTTTCCTAAAATGAAGTCTGATGACAGCTGTTAAAATAAGATACATATTTTTTCCTGGCTCCAAATGTATTCAACAGGAATTTATTTTAGAGTGGTCCAGGAACTGGGCCAGGCACTGTACCAGGGGCTGGGGATATTGATGAGTCATGCCTGACTCATCCCTGGCTCCAAGAAATTTACAGTACAGTGGGGTGACAGTCACATGACTAGGTAACTGCTGAAGGTGTTCTGGGTGTGCGCATGGTACAGAGGCAGCTCAGAGGGAGGAGGAGTCTGCTCGCCCTCTTGAGTCCAAAACTGCTTTGATATTTGAACTAAGTCTTGAAGGTAGGTATTCATCAGGCAGATGACAAGAAGAAGAGATTTCTAGGCACAGAGAGCAGCCTGGACTAAGGTACAAAAGTATGCTGCTAAATGTTCACGTACCTGTTCTTGAAAAAGAAAAAGCCTAGTGTCTGCTTATTTGTAGTGACTTCTGATTTCCACGGTGTAAATATTCCCACCCAGGTTGATTTCAAGCTACCAAAGCAATGTCACTGAATGCAGAGTAGGGAAGAGATGTGCACCCTTGGTCTCCATGAGCTGGTAAAAACCTGTGCCCACACCACTGAATGCAGAAGAGCTGAACACAGAGGGGTGCTAAATTTTGCCCACAGAATGTAACTTCCTAAAGTCAGGGACTTTTGGTCTTTGGTTTACTGTTCCCTACCACTCTTAACAGTAGTCTGGGATAGAGTTGGCACTTGATAAATATTTGTTAAATGAATGAATGAATGGATGGAGGCTGTTATAAGGCCTATAATGTGTGTAGACTTTCGCCCCAAGGGTATAGGAAGTCCGGGAACATTGCTAGAGGTAAGGAGGGCCCTGATGAGTTTGGAGATTTACACTGATTGTTGTGAAAGCAGTGGGGAAGTGGAGGAGTACAGTGAGGTGACACTGGTGACAGTCAGAAGACTACTGCAATAATCCTAGCAGTAGTTCATTATGTCTGATAGAAGAGGGTGTGTGGGAACGGAGAAAAGGCAGAGATTTTAAATAGGATCTGATGTCATCAAATTTGCATTTTAGATTAATCACTTTGCAGTACTGTGAATGACTGGGCCTTTATTTCCTCCCCTTGAATTGTTTTGTTGTTTCACTTGAATCGTTTCATTGTCTAATCCACGCTTCCCTGGTTTTTGCCTCCGCTTGGTTATGCAGGACACTTTCTCCCCATGGTTTCCAGAGGCTGTCATTGATGAAAAGTCCTGACTGCTACCATACTGTGGCAGCCCTGTCGTGGAGTAGACATTCGTTCTGCCAGTGTTGTGGGACTCATTTCCCCAGAACCTTGAACTTAAATGTGAAATAGAGTGGTGCATGCAACATCTTTCCTTTATCAATGATAGAAATGATAGAAACAGTAGGTGCAATGAAAGACAGCAAGGGGCAGGTCCTCAGGAGTGGTTGGTCTCCTCTCCTGCTGAAGTCCTGTCTTCTGCAAGCAGGCTTGTTGCAAGTAGCCAGTTTGTTGCCCCGGGCCACCCTGATTCAGGCCTTTGGAGATTTGAGGGTCAGCCGCACCTCTTTCTCCATCTGTGTTATATTTTGTCAGAGGGGGACAGAGTAGTCCTAATGCCTCACAGACTTCTAGTGACCCTGCCTGCCTGCCCCCAGGGTTTAAACGGGAGTCCATGGAAACCGACTCAGGGGGCAAACACGAGTGACCAAGACTACAATACTGTGAGAGCTGCCCCTCTTATTTTGAGGAGAAGGTTTGTCTTACTGGGCCAATCTCATGCACCCAGCTCCTTCTTCCCTTAGTGGGAGGTTTCTCTCTTCTGCCGAGAGCAAGTTCACCCTGACATGTCTGCTGGACAAGCGTAGACACTACTGTGCCTAGTGGTGCATCCTGCTGAGGGTCATGCTAGATGTTGAGTGCAGCTCTGTGTCCAGATCTCATTCCCTTTCCTTGACTTTGGGGCTTACTTTTTGCAGGTTGACCCTCAATCTTTCTTGGTCAGGAATGCTGTAATTCCCAACTTTGATTTTCTCCTTGTTTGGGTTAGAGTTACTTAGGTCAGGCTAAGGGAGAGACTAATAGGCCAGGCGGGAGTAACAGAGTGTTGTGTGGTGCAGAGTGGGGCTGCTGCCTGGTCCCTCCCTCCCCAGGGCTGGCTTTCTAGTGAAGGGGGAGCAGAGGTTTTAGACCCTTCCTAACTCTCACTTTTGGCTATCGCTGAAAGGGTCTACATCCCCACATTCCCTGGGCTTTGAAACCAGCTGACTTCTTGCTCTTTAATAAAGAAAATTCACCAGAGGTTTATTTAATAACAGTCCACTCTCCCACTGTGCCTGCAGATTATTTGGCGATTTGGCTAGTTGAACTGTCAATCTTAGATTCTTCTCATTTGATTTCCTCCCTAATGTCATTGTTTTTGGGGAGACTCAGATACTTCAATATAGTACAGCTTTCCATGTTATAAATTTTAAAGACTGAAAGTTTTTAATAATACTGGCTGGACTTTCTCCATTTAGGGCAGGCATACCTTATTACTTTATTTATTCTACAGATTTTGGAGTTCCTCCTTTTCCATAGGTGAGCTTGGAACTGAGTGCCAAACTATTTTAGACTTATCCTGAAAGGCTGGGAGTGCAATGCCACAGACACCACTGAGCAGGGGAGCCACTTGCTTTATAATTTCTTAAGAGAGATTGCTTCTTAAGGAAGCAATAGTTCTATTTGTCTCCCCAGTGACCCATTACTTATTTCCAGAGCAAAAATCAATCATCCCTGTTGCTCCTGGGGTGATATCGGAAATCTTCAGGAAGAAAGATGACACTACTTCACAGCTATGACAGTTGTGAGTCACGGGGACTTGGATGTGTTTCCAGTGGGCCCTCTGATGTTACTGGCCAGTGGGCATTGCCCCAGGCCTGCCTTCCTTGGGCTGAGGAGCTGGCCTGGCCAATTGCCTGTTCCCTTCAGCTGCTGGCTTCTGGGCTCCAAATAGCCTCAAGCCTTTACTGAAGATAGAAACAGGAGGCGCAATGAGAGGCAGCAAGTGAGAGGATTTGTGAGGCATCAGCTGGGATATCCTATCTCACATGGGACTCCACATCTACCACGCTTTCCACCTGCCACTTTGCCATCTTCTCCAGGGCTTGGCTTGGGAATAAGCCTTCTCACCATCCCTCCTCCCATCTGCTCTGTTTTGGAGGTTGAGTCCACAAAGCCTTTTGGCTCTTAAACTCTGTCAGGACAATCACTCCCTTTCTTAGAGACATTCATTGGCTTTGATGATGAGGGTTCTGGGTTCCTATGTTACCGCAGCCCATGTTTATGGGTACTTGTGCTCAGAGCCTCTTTCACCTTTGCTTGGAAGGGTCTTATTCAGGCCTCAATGTCCCACAGTGGAAGGGCTCAGTCTTGCTCCTGGGTGGAAAGATGACACTGAGGCCTGGCTTTAGTTCTCCCATCCCCAGAAGAAGAGAAGTCAAAATCTTTTATCTTTTATTATTATTATTTTTAACCAGCACCATGATTTCCTTGAAGACCTCCCATGTGGTCTAAAGAATTTTTCAATTTGGCATGGGTTTTGCTGCAGGAAACTTTTTTTTCTAACTGTAACCTCCAAATCTCATAGTAACCTAAAGAATATCCCAATAATTCACCTAGCTTACTCTCCTTTTCCCTAGAGTGCAAATCTTGCAAAACTATCTAGTGCTTATTCATACCCTTTTCCCAAAGTTTTTACCTCAAGGCATCTGCTATTTTAGGTAGGAAGAGGAGAAGCCCATATGATCATGGTTTTCTAGATCACTTATCACAGTCTAATTATGCAATTGTGCAACTGAGTTGTCTCAATCAGGCAAGACATAGTGACCTTGACCACCCAAGTCAGGTCAAGGAAAAAGGGGCTTATTATAAACATAGACATGGAAAGAAAGCACTGAACAACGGACAGGTTCTGAGATATCTCTGTGAATAGTTTCCTCCAGGCTGTGCGCTCTGCCTCCTGTCCCTCCGCTATCCTCTCATCATTTGCATGTCTGTCTACAACTGTGCCCTTGTCCTTTCTCCATGAGCTGACTTCCTCTGTTTACTCACGGGTCCTGCTGTTTCATGGTTTTGAGATGGTTCATTGTGACTTATCTCATTTGAATTCTACATCATGAACTTTGGGTTTCAATTCCCGTTAACTGGCTTATCTCTCAGCCATAGTGTGCTGACCAATCCATCGGCATCCACCTCTGCCTCATCTGTTTTGGTTGGGAGGTGGAGGCCGTGTGGGACAAAACGTAGGTCCAAGTATCCAGGGCTATGCAGGGTATTGTCCCTCAGTAGGGACTACAAGCATGGCAAGCACATTGAAGTGGATTCATCCCAGCATTAGTTTTGTTATGATGAAGATTGGAGCCTTTCTCTCTCCTTTTCAAATAAAGGCAGGGAAGGAAGGTGGGTCTGTAAAGCAGGTGGACTCTGGGCATTGCTGTGGGTGCAAACTTCCCTTAGGAAGAGCCTGGTGATTTGTGAGGAAATGACCTCATTGTTAAAAAGAAGAATGCATCCAGGATCCTTATTATGTCTGCTGAGAATGACCCTTCATGGACTCTGGAATCTGGAGCAGGTGGGGAGAGAGGTCAAGAAGGGCTGTTTCTCCTTTAACTCTCACCCAAGCTTGCCCAAAGGGGACCATGTGACTGGCATTCATGGGCTAGTCAGAAGAGAGAAATGTAGTGCCCCTCTGTCTTATACCTGCTAAGGATGCTAAGGGGGGTGTGTCTTGAGAAACAGTATATAGAATCTGATGGGGAACAAAGGGAAAGATTTCTAGAGATCAAGAAAAGAGCTGCACAAAAAGAAAACACATTTTCAGTGGGGAGCTGTTTCCTTCCATGTGGCGCTGTGATTATTTTAGCCTCTGGAAAGAAGCTCCCTCACTCCTACCAGGGAAGAAAGAGGGGCTTAAGTCGCTTGGATTGAATGTGGAAAGATTCTACTGAGCATGCTCAGCTCAGCCTCGCCCTCTTTTTCATGGGGGGAGCTGTCCATAGGGTCAGAAGTTTCTTCCGCGTCTCTGTCTCACCTGAGCAGTTCACTTCCTGCCACAGGAAAACCTGTCCCGCATCAGCCCTTCCAGAGATTTTGTGGGTGTATCAGGCAGGATAGGCTAACCAGTGAAACAAACAACTTCCAAACATTCCGTAGCTGAGCAAAAATAAATGTTTGTTTCTCACTTATATCACCGTTCAATGAGGATTGGTGGTAAAGAAACAGGCTCTATTCCATGCAGTAATGCTGAGACCTAGTGTTCTTCCATCTGGTGGCTTTGCCCTCTTCTAAGCCCTGAGAGTCCTCTTCATTCAGCTTGCAAATGAGGGGAGGGTGTGAAAGCATGAAACACACTTGAGAAATTTTTATGGACCATATTAGGAGGGTGCGCAGAATTTTTTTCCACGTTCCATTGGCCAAAATTCAATGACATGAACAGAGTTAACCATAAGGGAGGCTGAGAAAGATATAGTGTAGTTGTGCCTGGAAGAGGGGACAAACACAGGCATGGGTGAACAGTAGCTGTTTATGCCACAGTGGGGAAGACCAGTTCCAGAGTTCATTGTTAGCAGGCTTTCTTGCCTGTAGGCACAAGTCACATTTGTTAGTAATAAGGGTGTTGTTTTAGTCTCTTCTCTGTTCTCTTTGTTTTATTTTATAATCTGTTCAAGATGCTCATGAGGAAAAAGGAAGTTATATTTGGACATCTCAACTCCAACATTTTGTGCATGGCCTAGGAACATTGAGAAATATAACAAAGCAGTTGGATAAGAAATTGGGATATATTTTGGACATTAATTTTCTTTGAACTTTTAATTACAAGGTGAAGAGAATATGATTTTGGACTTCAACTCCTTTGGGGTTTAATATCTTTGTACATTAATCATTGAACTTAATCATTTAATTTTAATTTCAGAAAATTCATGATGAGAAGGAGTTTATATTCAAATTTGGAACATCTTGTAATTGGTATTTTATTGCTGGAGTGTCTTTTTTTTTTCTTTTTTTTTTATTATTATACTTTAAGTTCTGGGATACATGTGCAGAACGTGCAGGTTTGTTACATAGGTATACACGTGCCATGCTGGTTTGCTACACCCATCAACCCGTCATCTACATTAGGTGTTTCTCCTAATGCTATCCCTCCCCTAGCCCTCCACCCCACAACAGGCTCCAGTGTGTGATGTTCCCTTCCTTGTGTCCATGTGTTCTCATTGTTCAACTGACACTTAGGAGTGAGGACATGCAGTGTTTGGTTTTCTGTTCCTGTGTTAGTTTGCTGAGAATGATGGTTTCCAGCTTCATCTATGTCCCTGCAAAGGACATGAACTCATCCTTTTTTATGGCTGCATAGTATTCTATGGTGTATATGTGCCACATTTTCTTTATCCAGTCTATTGATGGACATTTGGGTTGGTTCCAAGTCTTTGCTATTGTGAACAGTGCTGCAATAAACAAATGTGTGCATGTGTTTTTATAGTAGAATGATTTATAATCCTTTGGGTATATACCTAGTAATGGGATTGCTGGGTCAAATGGTATTACCGGTTCTAGATCCTTGAGGAATCACCACACTGTCTTCCACAATGGTTGAACTAATTTACACTCCCACCAAAGTGTAAAAGCGTTCCTATTTCTCTACATCCTCTCCAGCATCTGTTGTTTCCTGGCTTTTTAAGGATTGCCACTCTAACTGGCATGAGATGGTATCTCATTTTGGTTTTGATTTGCATTTCTCTAATGACCAATTGATGATGAACTTTTTTCATACGTTTGTTAGCTGCATAAATGTCTGTTTTTGAGAAGTGTCTGTTCATATCCTTTGCCCACTTTTTGATGGGGTTGTTTTTTCTTGTAAGTTTGTTTAAGTTCTTTGTAGATTCTGGATATTAGCCCTTTGTCAGATGGATAGATTGCAAAAATTTTCTCCCATTCTGTAGGTTGCCTGTTCACTCTGATGTTAGTTTCTTTTGCTGTGCAGAAGCTCTTTAGTTTAATTAGATCCCATTTACCAATTTTGGCTTTTGTTGCCTTTGCTTTTGGTGTTTTAGTCATAAAGTCTTTGCCCATACCTATGTCCTAATGGTATTGCCTAGGTTTTCTTCTAGGGTTTTTATAGTTTTAGGTCTTACATTTAAGGCTTTAATCGATCTTGAGTTAATTTTTGTATAAGGCATAAGGAACGGGTCCACTTTCAGTTTTCTGCATATGGCTAGCCTATTTCCCCAACACAATTTATTAAATAGGGAATCTTTTCCCATTGCTTGTTTCTGTCAGGTTTGTCAAAGATCAGATGGTTGCAGATGTGTGGCATTATTTCTGAGGCCTCTGTTCTGTTCCATAGGTCTACATATCTGTTTTGGTACCAGTATCATGCTGTTTTGGTTACTGTAGCCTTGTAGTATAGTTTGAAGTCAGGTAGCTCGATGCCTCCTTGCTGTAGTATCTTAATGTCGTCATTGAATTTCACTGTAGAACATATGATGGTCTATATTTACAGTGACCATATAATTTATCACCCAAACTAGATAGTTTTGAGAGAGAAAGGAGGCTATATTAATAATTTTGCTGGGATAACAGGCAAAAACCTGGACTGTCTTGGGTGCATTGGTGTGTATGGTCACCCCACTTATATTGGACAATGTGGAAGGGCATACTTAGGAAAGAGAAATGGAATAAGCAATGGATTTGCACTCTTGTAGAAATTTAATTAGTAAATTTTCTGACCCACATCAGAGCTCCCTGGGGATGAATTCTAACTTGTCCACTGATGTTCCCAAAAGTATCTACAGAGAAGCTGTATGAGTTAGGGTCCATCCAGGCAAAGAAAGAGAAACCACACTAGGTATTTTAGATAGAGAGACTCAATGCAGGGAACTGATCCCATGGCTATGGGAGGAATGAAAGAGCAGGAAAGAGAAGTAACATAGAGAGTCTAACTGCAGAAAGCTGCTAATATTCCTAAGACTGGAGGAACAAAAAATAAAGGGTAGAGTTATCCTAAGAGTTCAGAGGAGGCCCCAGGGCTGATTCTGGGACTCTGGGGGTGAGCTCCATGCAACTGAGGACAAATAGTGCCTGGATGCTGCTAGTAACTGAGGAGATGGCAAGGCTGGGGCTTGGAGGAAGAACTGCCCACTGCCACCCCCCAACTCCCACTCCCGCAATTACGCTCTTGCTTGCTTCCAGTCTCCTGCCTATCTCCTTTTGGCAGACAGGAAGTCAATGATTGAGGTAGTCTGAGAAATTTGGTTTGCAAAGTACTCACCCCACCATCAAGAGAAGTGAATAAAAGGGTGGCTTTGGAGCTGAGAAACAATAAGGAAACAAAGGGTGCAGGTGCAATGGTTGGCACTGGGGGAGTGCCTGTTGAAGAGGGAGCAGAATGCTCTTGCTGGAATTTCTGATCACTGAGGATCACCACAGGCTTAAACTGAGCATGGGCTTAGGAGTTGAATGCAAATGAGTTAAGAACAAACTGTTAGGGATATCAGGGGTGGGTTCTTCTTTTCCATTCCTGATGTCTTCTTTCACTGTGGAGATATCACATTCCCAATTCCTATTTGCCCTTCAGTCACTCTGATGAAAAGGAATGGCTGAACCATGCATCATGAATTTGCAGAGAATAAACCAAGCATGCTTAGCTCTGCCTTCCCCTTCTCTTGGGAGTAGGCTGCTTACAGGAAGCTGATGTTCTCCTCTGCCCCTCCATGTGTAAATATTACCTGTGCGTTCATTAAGCTAATATTTATTGGTATCTACTCTATTTTGGGTGTGGTTCTGTCCTTGGGAATACAACATTGAATAAAACAAAGATCTTTGTCTCATGGGAGATATCAACAATAAACATAGCCAATAAGCACATTGTACAGTATGTTAGAAGGCAATACATACTACTGCAAAAGAAAAATGCCAGATAGTCGGGCATCCAGATTGCTGGGCTGGCAGCTGCAGTATTAAACAATGTAGTCTAGGTGGGCCTCTCTTAGAAAGCACCATGTGGGCAAAGATCTGAGGAAAGCAAGGATGTTGGACAAGCAGATATCTGAGGGAAACATATTCTCAGAAGGGGAACTGCTCAAGTGCATGGGGAGGTGGCTCAGAGGCTCATTCTGACAAACACGAGTGCTGTTTGTTGCTCAAACTCAGAACCCTGGCAAATGCCATCAACTTTGAGGTGAATCTTGACTATTCTCTTCCTCAATTCAAGCAATCACCTGTCCCCAGTGTGAGTAGGGCATTGGGCTTTTGCCTCCGGCAGAGGCGGGTTTAATCACCAGGTGAACCTGCTGAGGTGTTTGTTGCCTGGAACGAAGCCTCAATCAGCATTGGCTATAAGTTAGCGCTTTCACCAGCTCTGCAAATGGATACAAACAGTCCCTTAGCTTGCCTGCCTCATCCAGCTCAGCTTTGTGTCCAAGAGAACAGTGTTACAGCAACGGCTGTCTATTGGCAAAGAAAGGAGCACACTGCTTTTCTTTGAAGAATCAGTCTTCCGTCTCCAAAGCATGGTCCAAAACTAGGATGGGAGTGGGGAGAGTGGGGAAGGAGGGGCCAAGTCTGAGAATCCTGGGGGTCTGTGAGGTCAAAACTCTTTTTACAACAGTACTAAAATGTTACTTGCCTTTTTCATTTTTGTTCTGTCATGTGTACAGTGGAATTTTCCAGAGGTTACATGGCATGTTATAATGCAACAGATTAAGTGCAGAGGCAGATTAAAATACTTTTTTTCTGACCACATATTTGTGAAGACTGATTTTCCTTATATATTTCCATCAAAACAGCATATTGCAACAGATTGAATGCAGAAGATATGAAAATCTGTCTTCTATTAAGTCAAACTTAAAAAGATTTGCATAAAGTTAAAACAATGTCACTTTTCTCACTAAATTTTGTTGAAAATAGTTATTTTCATACAAAAGATATTTATGTTAATATAGTGAGTTTATTATTGTTATTTGTAAATGATTTATAAACAAATATTTTTTCAGTTTTAATTTTTAACATGAATGGATTATAAATATCCATGTAAATATCAATGCATACAATACACATAAGCAATCATAAAGGACTTGTTTGGTCTTTTTGAGGCCAAAATATTTAAGAATGGCTGCTCTAGAGTGCTTTGATAAGGTATCACATCAGCATGTGGGTATAGCCCTCAAAACACCTCTGCAGAGGTGTCCTTCCTTGTTCCAAGACATCACATCAACACATGGCCATATTTCCCAACTTGGCTCTTGTTTGGGCATTTATATGCATGCATAACTACATTAGATTAAAGTCCATCTTTATGTGAAAAAAATGCATTTAAATCTCTAGTGGAAAGAGGAAGAATTAGAGATGTCTTGAGTTTTACTAGCAGATATCTAGATGGTTAGAAGAAGCAATAAAGTTGGACTCAGGAGATAACATTCGTGTTCCAGTTGGACCAGGGGAAACCACTTAGATGTAAGCAAAGGAGGCCTACACAGTTCCTGGCCATGAGGAACTTGAGCTCTGACCCCCGGGGATGCTCCTAAGTACCAGCCCATTGAAGAGTTGCACCAGAGCCACCTGGATGAATCGCCTGGGTGAGTTGCTATAAATACAGATTTCCATGTTCTACCCAGAACCCAGTAAGTCAGAATCTCTGGGGTTGGGGGTTCAGAAATCTGGATAAAAAATAAATTCCTTGAGTGATTCATGATGCAGCCAGGTTTGAGAACATTGGATTGGCCTCCTTAAAGTCTGTCAGATAGTTATGATGATGTTTGAGTTACACTCTTTGCCCCAGATAACTCTTCCAGTTGCCTACCATGGGCCCAAAGTCCCAAGCTTTGGTGATTAGTTCTTTGGAGTTAGGGCAGCAATATCTCCAGTGTTCCCTATATAGAGGATGAATCCTCTCCTGAGGAATGCTGTGTTCAGCTGTGCTCTGGGGCTAACATCACCGCATAGTGGGGTATTATGCACTTCAGATCTCCACTCTGGGGGACAAGGAAGGGCAGAAAGAATGAAAACAAGCAGGAGGAGACTCTTTGGATGAATACTGAAGTGGGAAACCAGGAGCAAAACTTAAGGATTCCAGGTCCCCTTGGCAGGCAAGAAGAGAACAGAAGATGGATATTGATTTCTTCTGAACTGACTCACAAGGCTCTGTGGAGGGGCCAAGTCATTTCTGCAGACTTTGAAAAATGTTGGCATCAATGTTCCTGCTATCACTGGATGCTAATGATAGATGATGGCTCTGAACACAGAGAAGGATCTTTCAGCTGTCTCTGCTGTTTTCTGTATGTAACCAAGACCCAGTTGATCACCTCCCTGTTTCTAGTCTGGCTCCCTTCTCTGCACTGCTTCCAAAATAAACTGAACACCCTTGAACCTGCCACCTAGAGCAAAAAAGAGACTCTGCCAGCCTCTCTCTGTACATCTCCTCCCTCTCCCCACAAAGATATTTCAATCTGGACTCTTATAAAAAGTGATTTCCTGCTTTGCTTTAGAGTTTTGTCACTGATATGGTTTGGATCTGTGTCCCCCCCCCAGATCTCATCCTGTAGCTCCCATAATTCCCACATGTTGTGGAAGGGACCCAGTGGGAGATGACTGAATCATGGGGACAGGTCTTTCCTGTGCTGTTCTTGTGATAGTGAATGGGTCTTACGAGATCTGATGGTTTTAAAAATGGGAGTTTCTTTGCATAAGCTTGCTCTTTGACTGCTGCCATCCATGTAAGATGTGACTTGCTCCTCCTTGCCTTCTGCCATGATTGTGAAACCTCCCCAGCAATGTGGAACTGTAAGTCCAATAAACCTCTTTCTTTTGTAAATTGTCCAGTCTCAGGTATGTCTTTATCAGCAGTGTGAAAAACGGACTAATACAATTACCTATGTGTGCATTGCTAAATATGATAATTTAATTTTGGTTAGTTTTGAATTTCATATAAATGAGATCATATGTTATCTTTAATGTCTCTGTCTTTGACCTTTATATTATGTTTTTAAAGTTTTTTTATGTTGCTGCAAGCATATGCAGTTTCTTCATTTTTTTGTTGCTGTAAAGTATTCCATTGTATGAAATACACCATAATTTATTTATCTATTCTACTGCTAATAAGCATTTGTTTTGCCTCCAATTTGAGGCTCTTATAATTAGTGCTATTACAAATATTTTTCATATCTATTATGGTGCACATAATTCACACTTCTGTAGGGTGTGTACTCAGTGTGGAATTTCAAGGTCACGGGAAACACAAATCCTTAGTTTTACTAGTTTAAGGCACATAATTTTCCAGAATAGTTGTACTAATTATTCTCCAGTTCACACAAGATAAGCATTTCTGATGCTGTACATCCTCAGCAACATTTGATATTGTCAAAGGTTTTAAGTTAGGCCAATATGCATACTCATATATCATTGTGATTTAATTTACTTTCCCTTGCTTTTTAATGAGATTAAACACCTTTTCATAGTTTTTTGTCCATTTGGATAACTTCTTTTCTGAAGTTAATTCTTGCCCATTTTTCTATGTCTTCTACTGTCTTTTAAAATCTTTTTCTTACTGATTTGCAGTAGTTTTTATATATTACAAATACTAGATCTTGGTCAGTTATATATTTTGCAAATGTCATTTTCCATTCTATAGCTTGTCTTTTCACATTTTTAATATATTTTGATGAACAGAAATTTCTACTTTTAAATAATTAAATGTATCAATATTTTCCTTCATGAGTACAGTGTTTTGTGTTTTGTCACATTATTTTTTCAGCGTCCTATTGTCTTGTGAATTTAGGTCTATAATCCACCTGGAACCAATTTGACATATAATCCAGTAGGTTTTCAGTAAATTTTCTCCCACATAAATGTCCAATTTTTTATATAATTGAAAAGAACACCCTTTCCTTACTGCTTTGCAATGTTACCACTGAAACAAATCGTTTACCTATATGTGGGCATCTTTCCCTGGACTCCTTTTCTATTCCATTTGCTAAGTTGTCTACTTTAGCGCCCATACCACAGCTTTCATTATTATTCTTTCATGATAAGTTTGATATGTGGTTAGTTAAGCTCTCCCATTTTTTTCCTTTTTAGTCAACAGTGTCGTGGCTATTTTTGGCCCTTTGCATTTCCATATAAATTTTAGAGACAACTTACCAAGTTCTACCAAATTCCTCTTGGCATTCTACTGAATCTTCAGAGATCAATTTGAAAATTGATTATCTTAGGATATTCAGTTTCTGAACAATAGTCATGATATATTTCTGCATTTCATTAGTTTTTAGAATATATCTCAATAGTATTATAATTTCTCCATAGAGATTTACATACCTTTTTATAAATTTACTCCTACGAATTTCATTTTTTAAGGCTATTGTAAATAACGAATGCAGGAGCTCATGGAACTTTACCCTAAAATATGGCTTCATGGCATTATAATATATTTTGAATTAAAAGGCCCTTAGAGATCAGCAGATGCTAGAAGAGATTTCCCCCCCCATCTACATAAAGACTGGACCAGTTTTCAGTTCTCTTACCAGGGAGAACAATTGTTTCTCCTCTCCCTCCTCCTGCCTCTCAATCATGAAGTTTCCTTATCTGCCTAATTCTAGACTTACCAAAGAAGAAAACAATGACTTGCGGTCCCTTCCCCGAGTTTTCATTAACTGAACCCATATCACAAGAAGGAAGACTAAAGTCTATCAACAAACCTGGACAGACTTTTGTCACAAACAAAAGTCTGCTCTGTGAGTCCAACAGACTCTGTCCTGGACCATTGTTTTCTTCAAGCACACCAAATTCCTAAAAATCATTTATTATTCCCCTAAAATCATCCACGCTTCCCCATCTCTCTTTCCCCTAAGAAGAAGGCTCTACAAGCATCTGTACCCATTGAAGTATTGGCCAATCACTCCGATTTTCCCCGTGTGCATAGGAGTAATAAATTTTATGCTTTTTCTCTTATTTTTCTGCCTTTTTATGACTTGATTTTTCAGTGAAGCCTCCAAGGGCAAAAAGGAAGCTTTCCCTTCATTGCTACAAAACTTTAAAAATTAAATTTTTTATTTATTGCTGCTATGTGGAAATAATATTGATTTTTGTATCCTGCAACCTTATTAAACCTTGTGATTAATTCTAATAATTTATCTGTATATTATTTTGGATATTCAGCTATATATTTATATCTATATTGTCAGTTTTTATTATTTATTATGAATCCATATACCTTTTATCTTATTTTTTTTTCTTGTTTTACTACATTGACTAGGATTTCTTACAATGTTGAACAGAAGTGTTGATGCTGGCATTCTTCACTCATTCTTTATTTCAAAAGGAACATCTTCAAAGCTTCACCATTAAGTATAGGTTTCCTGTAGCTTTCTTGCAGATAAACTTTAAGGTTTAAGAAATTGTCTTCTATCCCAAGTTTGTGAATATCTTATAATTGGAGCTCAAAAATTTTTATCAAACATTTTTTTCTGCATCTGTTGAGTTTATATATTGTTTTATCCTGTAATCTATTAATGTAACGAGTTGAGTGATTTTCTAATAGTAAGCCAACATTGCATTCCTGGAATGAAACCAGTTTTGTCACATATGTTAGCCTTGTTATATTTTGCTGGACTTGATTGGTAATTTTTTTTTGGAATTTTTGCATGTATTTCTGCGGCAAAATTGACTTGCAATTTTTTTCTTGTAATGCCTTTGTAGCATTTGATATTGAGGTTTTTTTAGCCTCATAAATAATCTGAAAAGTCACACTTTTTCTATTTTACTGAAGACTATAAAATTGGTGTTGCTTTGTCCTTAAATTTTAGTACAGCTCACCAATGAAGACATTCTCTTTCTTTAGCAGTTATGCTACTATTCTGATTTTGTTTCTTCTTGGGTCAATTATATGTTTTCCCATTCATCTATATTTTCAATTTGTTTTGACATAAGCTTGATCATAATATCCTTTTATTATCTTTTGATTGACTCTAGGATCTATAGTGATATCATTTAAAGAATACTGTTTATTTGTGCCTTCTCTCTTTTTCTTCCTTTGATCAGTCTCACCAGAGGTTTATTAATTTAATTTTTTTCAAGAACAGAATTTGATCTTTGTTGAGGCTTTTTATTATGTTTGTTTCTTATTTCATTAATTTTACTCCTATTCTTATTATTTTATTCTTTCTACTTCCCTTGAGTTTAATTTGGTAAATGTTTCTAACTTCATAAGATAGATAATTTGTTTATTGATTTTTAATCCTTCTCTTTTTTCTTTAAGTATTGTTTTATTTGTATCCTATACATTTAATACATAATACTTTCATTAACATTCAGTACAATTGTTTTCTAATTTTCATATGCTTTCTTCTTTGGCAATAAGTTGTTCGGAAGTGTATTTCCTAACTTCCAAACCTATTTGAATTTTCTAGTTATCCTCTTACTCTTGAGTTCCAGCATAATTATAACATGATCAGAAAAACTAGACTATATGAATTCAATCTCGTGGAAGTGTTGAAGCTTGTTTTATGGCCTAGCATGTGGTCAACTTTGGTAACTGCTTCATGTGTGCTTGAAAAAAATGTCTGTTCAGGGGTGGTAAGGTAAAGTGCTCTTCCTGTGTTATTCATGTTGCTCAAATTATCCAGATCATTCCTGATTTTTGTCTGCTTTAATGACTGGCATTAAGTGTGATAAAATTCCCCATTAGGGTTGTGAATTTTTCTATTTGTTTCATAGTTCTGACAACTTTTAAAAGTATATATTTTGAGGCCATGTTTTTAAATGCCTGGAAATTTAGAATTATTACTTCATCTTATTAAACTAAAATCTTTATCATTACGAAGTGTCCCTGTTTAACTCTACTAATACTTTTTGCCTTAAAAGGTATTTAGTCTTTATTAATATAGCCTTACCAGCTTTCTTTTAGCTACAGTTTCCATGGACTACCTTGATCCATTCTTTGATTTTCAAACTTTCTGTATCCTTGTGTTTTAGGCATGTCTTTTGTAAACAGCAGACAGTTATTTATTTTTTAAAAAATCAGTCTGATAGTCTTTGATTATTAACTGGGGCATTTAATCTCTTTGCACTTATAATTACTAGTAAGTTTGGATAAAAAAACCACCATCTTCCTATGTGTTTTCTGTTTATCCCAGCTGTTTTATGTCCCTGTTTCTCTCTTTTCTTGCTTTCTTTCAAATTGTTTGAGTGACTTATCACTCAGCTTTCCTTCTCTTTTACTCTGAAAGATGTATGTTTTTGCATTTCTACTATTTTAGTGATGACCCTGAAATTGTAACATGCATTCTTGGTGTATCAATGACTAATAATCCACATTTTGCATGCAAGATAATTCAAGGAACTTGAAACTAACTACATTTAATTGCCTCTCGATTTCTATGCTATTGTTGTGCGTAATAATGTTTTTTTTGTTTTTTGTTTTTTTTTTTTCCAGGCAGAGTTTCCTTCTTGTTGCCCAGGCCAGAGTGCAATGGTGCGATCTCGGCTCACTGCAACCTCCTCCTCCCAGGTTTAAGTGATTCTCCTGCCTCAGCCTCCCAAGTAGCTGAGATTACAGGCGGCCCGCCACCATACCCGGCTAATTTTTGTATTTTTAGTACAGACGGGTTTTCACCATATTGACTGGGATGGTCTCGAACTCCTGTTCGAACTCAGGTGATCCGCCCTCCTCGGCCTCCCAAAGTGCTGGGATTACAGGCGTGAGCCACCATGCCCGGCCGTGTAAAAATATTAATATTGAGTCACCTCCTTGGAACAGCTTTGGAGTCTCCGAGCAATCTGAAAACCATGAGACCAGCTGATATAAGACTCCATCCACTTTAACATTCTGTAAGCCTGGAATTGCACTTTTAAAATGTTAACTGAACCAGCCTGTTGCGGATAATGTATTCTTAAAATGCAATTGCAGAGAAATGAGGCATGGGTTTTTCATGTTTCCAAAAACACAGAGATTGGCACCTAAACAGTTACGGCCTTCTCCCTTCAATTAAATGCAATTGGAAAGCTTCAGGGGACACTAGTCGATCTGCATATAAGATGAGGTACATTCAAATGATGACGAGAAAATTGGAGTTGCCAGCAGGTCTGTAGCTCACCTAAGATAATTCTAGAAGAGCAGAATCACTTTATTTCCTGCTAAAGATATTTTTGTTTTCCTTTTTTCTCTCAGACTCAGGCTTGTGGCCTTTTCTGATTGACACTGTGAATGCAGTTGGAAGAGGCAAGGTCATTTCTGTATATGAGTATACAGAATTTTCCAAATGAAGCTAGGAAGTTTAAGCTGCGTGTTGGGCTGATTTAAAAGGGCCACTTTTTTCTCATGATTATCCACAAATGAAAGTCATTAAAAAGGTGTTATCATTTTCTGGGGGAAAAGGTGGGAGATGTTGCTTAGTGAAAGTAAACTTCAACTAAATTATGTTCCACATGCACCCTGCAAGTAGAGAAGTTTTTACCATTCATATTTAATTTAGTTCAGTAAAGTAGAGTCACTTATTTTCTATAGTATGGCTGAATATAGTAAGCACACCTACTCTGGCTCTCCTAAATTTTCTCCTGTCCCTGATGCCATGCAATAATGTAACCGTAGACTTTTTGACATCTTGGTGCAGGAAGTAAGCACCTTTATTTTAGGTATCGTCCTGCTGGCTTCTCTGATTCCACATGGGCATCAAAGGCTACAAACAGTAACGTCACAGCACTAAGCTTCTAATTTTCTCCAAGAGCTCAAACTGCATTTCTCAGTTGGGAAATGATATTTCTCTGCATTCATAGTGATAGATAGGGAAGTCACACCTCTAAAGGGCAAATGACTCAGCATTAAGTCACTGAGTCATTGGTCCCCTGGGGAAAGAATTCCAGAAGCTCTCAGTCTCTGGACACAATCTCAGAGATTCCTCCCTGTGTCTGGGAGGAACCACCAAGATCCTCTGCTCCAGCCTGATTTTGTCCCCATCTTGCAGATGAGACCATCAATGCCCAGAGGTGTGAAATGATTTGTTCAAGGTCACAAGACTATTAATTACCAGTTCTTCTTTCCTTCCTTCCTCCCTTCCTCCCTTCCTCTCTCTCTCTCTTTCTCTCTTTCTCTCTTTCCTTGAGACGGATTCTCGCTCTCTCGCCCAGGCCGCAGTGCAGTGACGTGATCTCGGCTCACTGCAAGCTCCGCCTCCCAGGTTCATGCCATTCTCTTGCCTCAGCCTCCTGAGTAGCTGGGACTACAGGCGCCAGCCACCATGCCTGGCTAATCTTTTTGTATTTTTAGTAGAGACAGGGTTTCACCGTGTGTTAGCCAGAATGGTCTCGATCTCCTGGCCTCACGATCCGCCCACCTCAGCCTCCCAAAGTGCTGGGATTACAGGTGTGAGCCACTGTGCCCGGCCAATTACCAGTATTTTCATAATGCTTAAATCATGTTTCTCCAAGCTCAGCAAATACATGGAAATGACAATTCCAGAATCCTTACCAATATAAAGCAAGTTTCATTTAAATGGTAGATTATCCTGCAGCAACCTGTACCATTATCTTATTGATCTCCAGTCTTCTCGGGAAATGAGAGAGACAGCATCACAACTAAAAAATCATGTTCACAGTTTCTACAGATCACAACGCCCCTCACTCCACTCTCTCCTTCACTTTGAGACTCTACTGATGGATGAGGTAGGCATGTAATGTATTTTGCAGACCAGACTTGACAAAGAATTAAAGCATCTGTCAAGAGAACCTGGTCCTCCTGTTTTGCCATGTAGGACATCTGCCAGATTTTGCTCTGTTAATTGGCTCCTATGCAGCCAGCTATTTTAGCAACAGTTCCGTGGGTCTTCTGTGGCACATCTTGATTTAAAGTGAAATGTTGAAAAGCATTTCTCAAATGCTCAAAGCTTCCAGGGTTGCTCAAGTTTAGCTGATTGGACAGAGAGGGAGGCAGCCTTCAAAACTGTTGTGTAGAAATAAAACTAGATTATTCAGGCTCCTCAAATTCAGAGAATAATTCTCCGAGAGATGGTGAGTGAGGAGTCTGATTTCCTCCTAAAGAGATACTTTCCCTAAGGTCAGATCGAATTGAAAAGAGTTTATGAAAAAAAAAAAAAAAGCCCACATGACCTTAAACACGCAGACTTTGAGTTGACACCATAATGAGGAATGGAGTGCTATTAAAATATACTGAACAATTTAATGACTCCACTAGCAGTATGCCAAAAAAAAAAAAAAAGATTTAAGCTCTGAATAATTCTGGGAAGGAGGATTTTGCCAAGGAGATTTTAATGTCAAGAATATACGTGAAGCTAAAATAAGGTGTTCACGTGCATACCGGAGCCGTGGGTGGGATGTATATATGATCAAATGAAATTATTTCACTTCCACTTGTGGAAAAATCTGATAGGAGAAATTGACTAGAAAACATTTAGTCATATTTCACTTGGATTATGCTCATAAGTACCAAACTCCAGATCTGTCAAAATAAGCCCCACCAGCACTTCCTGGCCGAGGTGCTAGACAAAGGCTGTGACAGGCAAAAACGATAAAGATCTTAGAGAAACATTAAGCCTGGAAAAGCCGCAGGAACCTAGCTCCTAACTAAAGAGAGTGTTCAGGGATTTAAAAACGGGAAGACTTGTCCTTGAGGTGTGAGGAATGGAGCCCAGAGTGGCCCAAGTGTTAAATACAGAGTGAGAGGTCTCAGAAAGCCTCAAGGACAGGCCGGGCGCGGTGGCTCATGCCTGTAATCCCAGCACTTTGGGAGGCCAAGGCAGGCAGATCACGAGGTCAGGAGATTGAGACCATCCTGGCTAACACGGTGAAACTCCGTCTCTACTAAAAATACAAAAAATTAGCCAGGCGTGGTGGCGGGCACCTGTGGTCGCAGCTACTCGGGAGGCTGAGGCAGGAGAATGGCATGAACCCGGGAGGTGGAGCTCGCAGTGAGCCGAGATCGTGCCACTGCACTCCAGCCTGGGCGACAGAGCGAGACTCTGTCAAAAAAAAAAAAAAAAAAAAAAGGCCTCAAGGACATGTGTGTTCTAGGGACCAGCTCTCAGAGGCTGGAAGTCAGGGGCCCATGGCTTTTTAACACAACTTGTTTTCTATCAGAACCAGTATCCCTTCATTTCACCTTGTTTTGGAGGGCCAACAGCATGCCCTTTCCACAAATCATTTGTTGATGGAATAGGAGATGCACTTGGCTGCTGCCAGCACACCCATCTGCAAACCGAGGCTATCTGCAGAAGAGGTGCAAAGCACCAATGCCTGGAAATGAATTTGTTGGCATTTCAAGGACAAACACTTTCTTGGCTACAAGCACTGAACCTCCAATCCAAAACTGGGGGAAAAATATGGGCTTAATTAAGTCTTTTATTTTCTTCTATTGTAATGAGAATATTCATGTATAACCCAGCTACCTTTGTCCCCTCTGCTTGCCTGTCTACTCACTGGCTCCAAGCCAGGACCCTGGACCACTAATGCCTGTGTTCACTGGGTTCAGGTGCTGGCCAGTGGGAAGGAGGGCTGGGAATGGTGGGGAAGGAAGGCGTTTCCTTCCTGGCTGGCATGAATAACTGGGGAGTTCGTGTTGGCCAATACTTAAGCAGTGCATGCAGTCATTAGAACATTTGTCTTGTGCATCTCCCAGGTAATGACGAGGGTGGGGTGAAGTTGGCTCGGGTTCCATGCACGTGCCCAAGCAGGTGACAAGGACCTGGGAGAGCTGATGGTGCTCAGCCTAGCACTGGCACTGCCCTAGGGTCTAGATGAATTCTGGCTTGGACAGAATCTGCATCTCATGCCTCTCAGTTCTCTCCCGGAACGTCATTCTGGAATCCTGTGATCTTTGCTCCCTGGAGAAAGTCAAAATAAAGCAGGGAGGGAAATAATTTGACCTAATGAAAAGGCAAGTAGACATGTTAAGAGACAATAGTTATGAAAAATGTATTAAATGTCAGACAACTGTGCCAGGCACTTTACATGTAATACCCTGACCTTCCTTCTCCATGACTCACAGCTCTCCTTCTCACTGGTCAGCACCAGAGCCCAGAGGACAGAGACATCACAGGCCAACAGGTAGACACTGCTATTAGCCCTGTTTTACAGATGAAGAAGCTGAGGTTTACAGATGTTAAATAACTTGCCCAAGGTCACACATCGCTACGAATAAACAATGGCAAGATATAAACTTCAACCACTGGCATTAAGCCCAAGACTTAAATCATTCTCCTCTTGTATCTCCTATGGAATTCTCCACCTACCCTCTGTGGCTTATGCAGGAAAACAGCTGAAAAACAGCAGAAAAACAGAAGAATGACAATAACTGTGGGAGGGATTTAATTTCAGCTCTGCTAATTATTCATATAAACTCAATGATGCTATTAACCATGTAAGATTTACTTTGTTTATCTGTAAAATGGTAATAAGGCTCCATGTCCTATTATTGTCATAGAATTGTATTGAGGCAATTCATGTGAAGATGCTTTGAATAAAAGCAAGGTCTTCTAGATGTGTCATGATTAAGGCGGTTTCTATAGGAGGTGTTGTGGTATAGGAAAAAGCACATCAGCTGTGGCCTGGGCCAGGGTTTGAATCAGCCATGTTAGTGGAATCTTTCTGACTCTCAAGCCTCTCATCTATAAAAGGGGGATCCTGTAACCTGCTGGAGAGTTTGGACATGAGAAACCCACATGTTGGCAGAATCCCAGTGCAATGGCCATCAGTGTGTCTGACCCATGCAAGAGCTCCCCTTACCTGCAGGGGAAAGAGATGGAGCTGCTGAAGACACAGTAGATGAGGGGGTTGATGGCACTATTCAATGCTGGCAGGTTCTGAATGATCACAGAGGCATAGAAACGCTCCTGGGTGTCTGGAAGGAGGTTGAAATTGTCCAAAATGTCAAACAGGAAGTATGGACTCCAACAGCAGATGAAGGCTGGGGGAGAAGAGAGCCATTAGCATCACAGCAGGTAGCAGTTGAGGGGTCTCTTTTGGTTGGTCCTGACTGGACTTTTACCTGAGAGGTTCTTTGGGACCTGGAATTTCTCAGAAATATTGGAGTTTGATGTTGTTTGGAGCATTGATGTCATATTCACTTAAACACATACACACATATATATGGACACATCTTACAGACATGTTCCTAAAACTGAGCAAAGGTTGTAGAGCTTCTCTATCTGTAAAGAAGGGTCAAATTTCTACTGCTGTGGATTCTTTATAGAAACCCCAGGAACAAGTGACTATGGCCATAGCCTCTCATCAAACACAGGGATCAGGAAAAAACAGCAAAATACTTTGAAGACTCTCTAGGAAAAGACAGAAGAACAGGAAGCATTTTGACCACGTAGTGACTACTGGTTTTAGGTTATGTCAGGGAGAAGGGGTGATCACAATATTTTCTAAGCACACCCCAGTTTAATGACAGTGTTCTCTTTCACCCCTAAGTTGGCCTCTCCAGAAAACACCCACACTATGCCCTTCTCTAAATCCATTAGTATGTGTGAGACACCAGTTTATTTGGCCCCAAATTCTCAAAAGAAATGGATGAAAGGTGGGGATTCAGGTGTGATGGTTAATTTTGAGACTACTTGACTGGGCTGCGGAGTGCTCAGATATTCGGTTAAACGCTATTCTGGCTGTGTATGAAGACGTTTCTGGAGGAGAGTAACATTTGATCTGGTAGAGTAAGAAAAGCAGATTGCCCTCCCCTGTTTGTGGGCCGCATCCAATCTGTTGAAGGCCTGAGTCATAGAAAAAGGTTAAGTAAGAGAAGATTCACTCTGCTTGCCTGTCTTCGAGCTAGGACGTTGGTCTTCTCCTGCCTTCACACTTGGAATCAAACTGAAATGTACCCCATCCATTCTCCTGGTTTTCAGGCCTTTGGACTCAGACTTGGACTAGAACCTACACCATTGGCTTTCCTGGGTCTCCAGCTTCCAACTGCAGCTTGGGAATTCTCAGCCTCAGTAATCACCTGAGCCAATTCCTTCTAATAAACCTCTCTCTCTCTCTCTCTCATTTTCCTCTGGAAAGCACAGACTACGACACAGAGCTAAACACTCCTAAGTTGACTGGAAATACACGCATCTCTCATTTTCTCACCATAAATTCTCCACTCTCCTTCTCCCACTTTCTCATCCATAGAATTTTTTCTCGGAGTAGAAGTTTGGCTTCCTTGGCTGTCTGCATGCAGGGACAAGCTTTCCGTCATAACTGTGTAATGTGGATTCTGTAACTTGTTGGGAATTTTGGAATGATAAACTGACTCATGTTTCCCCTCTCGACCCCAGACCTTGGCAATGTATTAAAGAGGAGCAATTCAAACACAAAACCCACTAAGTGTTCTGGATCCTGATTAATTAACCCAAACACTGGCGCTGAACAGTATTTGGGGCACTAAGGGGGCAAATGGCCTTGTGTGCTTGGGTGTTTCCATGTGTGTGTAAGTTGGGTTGGAGGATTCAAGTTTTCACAGGGATACCAGTCCTCTGGCATGGTACACGCAGCCCAGCCAGCAAAGATTTGTATCTACTTTGAATGTCCATTCATGTAGAGGAGAACCCTCTATATAGTTATCCCTGACTTTGTTTTACACATAAACACAGGTATTTTAAATAAATATTGAAATTTGTAGAAATGCAATTCTGTTGTAAATGGAGGAAAGATTACTTTGTTTAATTCAAAATTTTACAAGGATTTTTTCTTTTTGCCGGCTGAGAAAATCAAGTCACTGACAGTAATACCGCTTACATTTTTTTATGTCTCCATGAAAATACACCTGTATTGGTTTTCATTGTGGCTGTTATTATGTCACGGTGTAGGTGTGACTACTTCATTATTCTTCTAGTGTAGCTGTGCTTATGTTTTTACACATTAAAATTGGTATACATTTTAATTAATAAAAATAGTATTGTTTCATTTTAGATTATTTTCTTATTCCTCTTTTATATTATTTTTTGGGCAATATATTAATGTTTAAATGATCATGGTAGGTAGTATAAGTAGGCATTTTATTTCAAGGTGGGAAAGGGACATTACAAAGTGTTTGCTATAGAAAGGGCCCTTTTGGTCTGGTAGGGCTGTCAATATTTGCTGACCCTCTAGAGGGTGTTCCTGCTTGCTGACTGAAGGGATCCCACAGGGCCTTGGAGTATGGTTGCTGATGATAAAGGGCTATGCAGGCTCTGGGACACACTTGTAAACATACATTTTCCAACTCAACATCCAGGGAAGGTGCATCTGTGCTTCTGACTATCTGAGAAGACAGAGGAGTCTTTGATCCACTTCAGAAGCCTCTCAGAAAGTTTTTGAGCCCTGGTGGGTTGTATATGTTTTATCCCAGTTCCGCCTGCAGTGTTGTTTTGTGCCTACGTCCTGCTGGCTGAGTCATGCTGCATGTGGTCTGTTTGGCATTTTGCAGTTGCGTTTCAGAAAGGTGAGAAGACTGTTCTGGTGCTTTGACATGCAGCTAATGGGAGATCTATACTTCCTTGGAGCTTCAAGAGCTGCCAGAGGGGCAAGGAGGGGGTATTTAAGCTAAATAAAAAAGAAAATAGCACAAATCCCTTTCCTTCTTGCATAGTTTCATTCATTCATTCATTCATTCATTCGACAAATGTTAATTGAGCAGTGTGTAGGAGACCCTATTTTAGGTCTTGGTGATAATATAAGTAACACAAAAGCCAAAGTCATTGCCCTCATAGATTTATTACTCCAACAGGGGAGACAGACTATAAGAAAATCAATCTATATCCTGTAGTGTGAGGTAGAACCAAGAAGAAAAATAAGGCAGAGTAAAGACTAGAAAAAGGATATTTAAAAAGACTTATCAAGGAGCCCTCAGGGAGGTGGCGTTGTTGGGGAACAAATGAGATTAGGAAGTAAGCCGGGGCACCACCGGAGAGCAGAGCATTTCAGACAGGAAATAGTACAAGGTGACTTTATGAGTCTTAAGAGTAGAGAGAAAGGAAAAGGAAAGGGCAGAAGACAGGAGGGTGGAAGGACAGGTAAGGTGCCATAAGGGGGAAATTTGTAGTGAACCTAACATCAAATATTCAGATAAGGTGGAAAGTCACTTCTATCTTCTTTTTCCTTGTGAACCCCAGCCCTGGGGAACAGTGTGTCTTAAAGGAAGTGACTGAGTTAGCTGGTGATGTGAGCATCCACTTCAGCTAGTTAGGTCCTAATCAGATTTTCTCCAAATTATTCAACCCATAGCCTTGGCAGGCAGCTGTATTCATAAGGAGAGGGATTAGGAACCAAATGTCAGCCCTTGAAGGAACCATGAATGGGCTGATGAGTTTCACACATTCCTTTCTAAGCAGACCGATGTAGAAGTGCCTGCTGGCAAATTCCTTTCTGTCACCAGGTCCCAGGAGCAAACTTGCTTTTGGGACGTTCATACCACTTTACAGCTCAAGGAGGGACATTGCTTACCAAGAATGATGATGATGCTATACTTGATAGCCTTGATTTTTGCCTTTGAGATGAGTCCTCGGTTATAGCTGCTGCACAGTTTCCCATCTGTAGATACAAGAGGGGAATAGTAAGATGAAGTGTTCAAGATGTGACAGTTTCTGTTTCAGCCAATAGGAACATTAAAGGTTAGACTCCAGTTTTCACTTATATCCTGTGCATTTATGCCCAGATGGCCTTCCTTGGAAATTTTTAGATTAAAGTTGGTTCTGGGCTGGTTTCTGGAGAATGCTCAGTTTACACCTTAATATTATATGAAAATGGTATGGAATGCTCAGACTCTCTCAAGAGACTTGGTCAGATGGCCTGAACAGCTGCAGCTGAAATTAGACTATGTGACCATGCAGGAGCTGAGGGCTTCCCTGAGGAGTGCTACTCTCTAAGCCCTGGCTATGCTGAGACACCCATGTGGCCACTTTAGCAACCTAGGCAAAGTTACTTTCTAAAATGGTTGCCCCAGACAAATACATTCATCAAAAAAAAAACAAAAAAACAAAAACAAAAAAACGCTCTCAAGAAAAGCTCAAGCCAGGGGTATCAGAACTCTCCAAAATAGGAGCTTGGATATACATTTTTTTCATGTAGACTGTTGTCTGATGGTGAACACTGAGGGGTAAATATAAGAATCTACTAGATTGATGAGGACAGGGGCTTTGTTTTTCGCACTCCTGTAGCCTAAACACATATTCAATGACTAACACAAATATGTTGAATGAATCAATAACCACGTCTCATTAGTCGAGCAGTGGTAAAACAAAGAGATAAGATTAGGCTAGGCAGGATCCAGTGCAATAGGTCTTAGTTAAAGTAGTGATTACCTATAAATTTGGGGATAAAAATGTCAGATGTGGTGTCCCTTTCCTCATGGAAGAGTTTCTACTGTCAGGGCTTCCACCAGCCCATATGCCACCTTTGTGAAGTTTTGGAAAAGGGGCCCTTGCTCTGATAAGCACAGGCCTGCCTAGAGCACACATTCAGTGAGGGAAATATGAAGAGAATGCCAGCCCCACACAACTCTCAGCCAGGAGCCACCCAGTGGGGCTCAATGGGCACAACCCTAGTGGTGGCCCTGGTCAGAGGCCCACTCAGTGCGTCGAAGTCACATGGAGTAGGGCAGCTGTGCACTAGAAAGGCAAACTGCTGTGCTCCATTGTCTTCACTGCACTGCCCAGCTCTCACGTTTGAAATTTATTTTAATGCCCATGGAAACCAGTCAGATGTTTACCTTTGCAATATTCATTCAATCCCACCTCCAATCTGATCTAGTCCAACCCCACAAGTATAGCACATCTGCTAAGAGATAAGGGCTGACTAGAAGGGCTGAAATATAGTACTTGTTCTCTAAGAATTTTCAATCCAGCATGAAAGATCACACACTCTCCATAAAACTGGTTGAGATGAGCGAGATGCTGCTATGGTTTGAATGTCCCTGCGAAAACTCATGTGTAAATTTAATTGTCATTGTAACAGTATTGGGAGGTGGAGCCTTTGAGAGGTGATTAGGCCACCAGGGCTTGGCCCTTATGAATGGATTATTGCTATTATTGTGTTATTGTGGAAGTGGGCTTCTGATGGAATGGACGAGTTTGGCTTGACGTTCTCTCTGTCTTGTGTGCTCGCTTTCGCCCTCTGTTTTCTGCCATGGGATGACCTTTGCCAGTTGCAAGTGCCCTGCTCTTGGATTTCCCAGCCTCTAGAACCATAAGCCAAATAAATCTCTTTTTTTAAAAATAAATTTCCCAGTCTGTGGTATTCTGTTATAGCAGCAGAAAATGGACTAAGACAGATAGAAACCAACTGTGGACAGAGGAGAGACCCATCCTTCCACCACTGTGCTGGGGAGGCTGTGTGGGAGATGCAGAGAGCATCAAGTGAACTCAAATGACATAAGAAGGATTCCAAGACAAAGGCGGGGTGCAGCGTGGGAATAGGAGAGGTGGGAGGCAGAGAGTGAACATCCTCAGCCAAGACATGGAACAAGAAAATGTAGGATGCGTTTTAACCACAGTGAGTCATATTGCTTGGCTGTAGCCTACAAATGCGTGGAGAGTGGAGGAGAGAACTGAAGGCAAACTGGGGAGGCCTTGAATGTCTTTCTGAGGAGCTTGGGCTGAACTCCTGAGGCGGCCGCAGGCCATTGAAGTTTCTGAGTGTTTTTGTAGTGTGAACATTTACTCATTGCAGAGGACAAATGATTTTCAAGAGTAACAGGAATAGGGGCTCTTTAAGTACAAAGGAAAACTGCTAATTATAATTAATTCATAGTTCTTAAAGCATACCCTGTAAGGCCACTCCTAACTACTATTAGGGTCTTCAAATTATTCTGTGCGTTTCATGGGACCACGAACCTCCGCCTTGTAAGAAAGCAAATGCTTCAGAACATTTAGAGCAGTGATTCTCCATTGGGGGTGATCTTGCTTTACAGGGAACTTTTGGCAAAGCCTGGACACATTTTTAATTGTCACAATTGTGTGTGCATGTGTGCTACTGGCGTCTAGTGGGTAGAGACCAGGAATGTTGCTAAACATCCTTCAATGCACAGGGCAGCCTCCACAACAAAGAATTATCCAGTCCAAAATGCCAAAGGTGTCAAAGGTGAGAAACCTTGATTTCTAGGATGGGATCTTGGGAAGGACACAGGCTTTAAGATCAGACTGGAATGCATCCTCCGTCTCTACCAATTACTAAAACTTTGTAAACTTAGGCAAATCGTCTAAAGTTCCCGGCTTCAGTTCTCCCATTTAAAAATTGAGGTGTAGAACACCTAACTCACAGAGTTACTTTGAAGATTAACATAAAATAATATATTCAAGGAACCAAGCCCCAAGCTTGGATGTTGGATATCTTATCAGTTGAGATGAATGCAGTTTTAACAGTATTTCAGGTGGAAGGTGAGCCATCTTTATGAAAGTGAACAGAAGGTATTATTACGTTTGATTGTCTATTATACAAGGTTGTTATCTGTGTAAGAATTATGTACAGCAGAAAATGATCTGGGTGAGATTATACCCATGGGCTGCAAGTAAAGAAGACAGCAGACCAAATTATATTCTTTCAAAGTGTCCCCACTGGCTGTTCCTAGGCAACAGCTGGCCCCTAAACAGTATGGCTCTGAAGACTAAGTTGGTCTTTCAGAAAAGTTTTCGAGAATGACATTTGTGCTCTGAAATCCCTTTAAAATGGAAACCCGCAGTGCTTCCCACAGGGCAACTGGGTGACAGTATAATCATCTACCTGCCCAGAGATCAGTGAAAAGCATCTTTAATCTGACCATTCCAGGAAATGCAAAGCCTCTAGCTTCTAAAGATGGCCCTTCAGAGAGAGCTGAGCTACGAAATGCTGGTAATTCTCCTTTATTGGGAGATAAAAGGATTATTTCTACTCAGGCCTTGGTGCTGAGCTGCAGTGAAAAGCAGTTAAATTCAGCTGTCACTGTGCATTAATCGGGCTTGGGTAGCCTGAAAGTGGCACGTCCATTCGATTTGGGACTGGGAGAAGCACACTGATGTGGACTGTTTTAGTTCCACAGTATATCCCTAATGGGGACACATGCTGAAAATTTAGTCTCCAAATGGCCATTTCTGGCTCTTCACCTTCCCAAGACCACAGGCCTCTTACAGAGCCACTGGGAACCCATTCTTCATGCAGGCTGAGCACCTGAAGTGGGAGCAATTGGTACCTTGGGATTTCAAATGGAAGCAGAATTGTTTCCTGGGAGGTAGTGGGGGGAATTCATCTGTGGACCTATAAAGAGTGCAGGTGATTTGTTTAGAAACATGGAAGTCTAACTGGCAATATTTTAAAATAAATATGCTTCCTATATTAGAAACTTTGTGTATGTTAGGTTGATTTTTAAAAACTTCAACATTATTTTTAGCAGTTTTTCCTGATTTCTAAAATTCTTGAAACTTGAAATTCATTTTGAACAGTAACATTCTCTTTACTAATATAGCTTGAATACCCCCTGAACTCATCAGTTCAGTATTTTAAGCACATTAGGTCTCATCTGTTTAGCTGCAGGACTGCAGTCAGTTTCTTCCCAGGGTGTCTTTGTCCCTCTAGTTTTTCTGAGAGACCCAAGGAGGTGTCTCAGTGTTCCAGGATCCACCCAGGCCACCGCCTGTGCCTCTATGGTGACGCTCTCTGGATCCTGCTTTCTAGGCTCGCTGCAGCTGCCCTGGGCTGCCCCAGGTCACTTCACCCAGACCTCTTCTTTGCCAATGACTGCCTCTTGAGGGGCTCCGGCTGGGCAGCAGATGCTCCACAGCCACAGTCACTTCAAAGCCACATTGTGAGTCCTCTTCATTATTGCTCTTGACCCTGAGCAGTTGCTTTGCTCTTCTGCTCCACCTCTCAGGGCCTCAGTTCTGTCCCTGGGCTGTGGGTTATTCAGCACTGCTGCTCTTCCCGGGGATACCTGCTCTCCAAGTTCTTCTGCCAGGAAGCAAGGGAATGGCCTCTCTCCTCTGTGCTGTGCTATTCCAGGAGCTTGCAGCAGACTCTCTTGAACTCCCAAGAGTTTCAGCTTCTTTAGCCCACCACACAGCGTTTTCCTCCCTAGATGCTGACAAGTGGCTAGACTGGTTAGGTGGGAATGTTCTTCTGTGACCCAGAACTTACATTTCCCTTTGACCTTAAGGCACTCGTTGTGCCTGACTCTGTATTCTCCAGAATGTTTTCACATTCAGGGATCTTATTGTCCCTTTCTTGTCATCTGAGGTGCTCCCTCTCTCCCCATTAGCTGGGCATGGCTGCATATCTCTGAACCTTCAAGTAGGAAAGTATTTTGCATTCCCTTTCAGGAGGTTTTTAGCCCAGAGCCAACTGTAAATTGTAGCTAGATATGAGAAGATTTCACCTAACCCACCAGATAGCCCTTTCTATACCTCAGCACCTCAGCTCAAGCAGAAGCAGGAGCCCTGACAACCTAAAATAATTATGCAAAGACAGACGAGCTGTTCACAAAACCCATTCCTGTTTCCCCAGGGCACACAACTAGACTACAATTCCCAGCCTGCCTTCCAGCAGTGTGTAGTCATGTGACTAAGATCTGCCTAAGGGACGCTGGGAAGAGTCAATGTCTACCACCCCAAACCTTGCTCAGATACCTCTCCTGAGCAGTCCTCCACTCTCTCTCTTCCCCTGCCCCTGCTTGCTGGAGGGAGGTGCTGAGGAGTACCTTAGCAGCCCTCTGTTAAGCGTGGCAGAATCTCCACCTGCTTGAATTTCTGAATGACTGTGTGGAACAATGCCTTTCCCTCTGGTCTTTATTGCCAACTGGATTTTAATTAAGACATAAACTTCTATGTGGTTAAGGCTACTGATATTTTGGGTTTACACAGCTGCTAGTGTTTCCCTTCTAAAGTAGAGATTGGTACCTCATATGCAGTGCTGTCTTAATGAAAACCTGAAACATGTAGCATTGGATTTGTGGGCAGGCAGCAGGTAGCAAGGAAACTGAGGTTTCCATTTGTCTATTGTGCCAATACCGCACTCTGACTTTACAATGCATTTCAATATTTGGTAAACCGAACTTTCTCTACCTTGTTCTGCATCTCTAGGAATGTCTAGGCTACTCATGTCTCTTGAATTTTCCTTGTCTATTTTAAAATAGGCTTGTGAAGCTCAATAAAATGTTTCAATTCAATTTTGATTGGAAATTTATTAACTTGTAGATCAGCTGGGGAGATTCAACGTCTTTATGATATTGAACCTTACTATCCACGAACATGTCATAATCTTCATTTATTTGTATCTTTATGTTTTTCTGTCACATCTTTTATTAAATGTAGTTAATTGTAGAGAAGCCATTTTATTCACAGTTACTGATGAAGAAGCTGATATGGACAGCAGTTAATGGGCTTCTCTTAAATTTTTTAAGCTAGAAAGTGAATAGGGCTCTAACCCAATTCCTAATCCATAGCTTTTTTTCTTCACTCTAGTATGCCTCATTTAATTAAAAACATGGAATTTGGATATAGCATGGATCATATCCACCAAGCCATGATAGCTAGACATAGTTATAACGAGAAATTTGTCTGTTCCATGGGTACACTTGCCCATGCAGTAAATGTTCTAGTTTGTACAAGTAAATCCTCCTGGACATCAATAATATGCTCATTTATGAAAGATAACATACAGGATTGGAAACCCCATCTCCTCCACGTCTTGCCCTCCATGCTTGTTTATGGGAAAGTCTTTAGATAATTTATGATACAGTTCTTTTTCTTTTCCTTTCTGTCAGCCTTTGACTGGGAGAAAATAGACATATTTGCCAGTAAGAAGAGTGGTTCTCGCACTAAGGATGGCTTGAGCTTTTTAGCCAGTGTTTACAAAGTGAGCTTCTGTTCACACTAATCATGGCTAATGTCCCCTTGTTGATGAGCAATAATCCTGGCATGCGGACCCAGCTGGAGATCCGATTTACCTGCCAACTCCAGAGCTGCTTGGCTGTAATGACAGATGGGAAATCAACTGTGTTCCTTTTACGAATAAGATATAGAGAGCATATAAGCTTCTGAGAATACCAGCTGCCCTCATTTCGGGATGAGGTCACTAATGGTAACTGAAAAATAGATATAATGGAGATATAAAACTATATTAAAGAATAAAAAGTGGCGGTAGCCATTTCCACCTTTGGGAGGGAGTAATGGCATACTCTATATCAGTGGGAAACAGACCTCCAAGTGGCTTTGTACAGTTTCAAGGACTGGAAGTCAGGGGAGCCCAAGAGTGCAAGGACTGGCATATGTAGTAGCAGGAGACATGGGAACTTTGGAGAGAGCCAGGAAGTCAGCCTCCCTGGGGGGAGGCATGCTGAGGAAGGTGGTGAGCAAGGGCGGTGCTGCTGTGGAGGGAACAGGAGAGCTGTAGGAGGTGAGACAGTGAGAGTGAGTGCTCAGAGGGACAAGCAGGGAGGAGCATGTCAGACCCATGGAATTGGCAGAAACCACAAGACAGGGGTTTACACCAATCTGATTCGTCTGAAAGTACAGGAAGACCTTGGCTACCTCCACAAAATTGGTCTCCACACTGCCAGTCATGACTCAGCCTTTAGATTTTAAATATATCAAAACAAAACCTTCAAGAGATGAGGTAGGAATAGCTCTCTGAAGGCAGAGCTCTGGAGGGAGTGTCCAGGAAAGGAAGCCACACCCAAGACCCTGAGTTTGTGTTTTTAATTTTTAAAAAGTCTTGTCTTTATGTGTGCATTCGATATGTGTGCATTTGAATACCAGTTGTGTCACATGCTACCTGTGAAAACAAGCAAACTGCTTAACCTTAGAGCCTGTCTTCTGTCTGTGAGAGACAGTTAATAACACCACCTCAAAGAGTTGTGGATTAACCCATTTACTGTTTAGAAAAAAAAGTGCAACTCACTGCCTGTGCAGTATTCTCAAACGGGAAATGGGTTAAATGGGAAATGGGCAATGGGCCATGGGTGAAATGGGGCAAACAGGAAATGAGTTAAAGGGAAGAACACAAGGAAAGGACCTAGCAGTGGCAGACAGGAGCTGCTCCATCTGTCCCTCTGACTTGTCTGTCTGTGTTGAGATGAGTGGACGATGGCTTTGAGTGGGCCTTAGAGGGTCTAAGCATGACATTTATACAGAGAAGTGCATGGCAAATATATGTTTTGTGGGGCCTGACTTGATGGTTTTAAAAAATGAATATACATATATACATCTAGGATAATATTGGCTGTTTACTCAGGCTAAAGGGCCACAGGGCAATTGTTTCAATTGTATGATTTAGGTAACTGTAGAGAATTTTAACACATGGCTAAGTGGAAAACAGAAGAAAACAAAAATCACCTAAAATTCGACCACTCAGAGATAACTGCAATAACATTGATAACATTTAGCTTCTTGATATTTTCCATCTCCCTCTCTCTCTAGCTATCATCTGTCTATACAGGCACATATATATTCCGCTAAGTAAAAATATGTGCACATATCTATAAAAGGGATACCATACTGCTTTCTTTTTCTTAATGTACTATATTGGAGAAATATTTCTATGGCAATAAGTACACTCTCTATAATAATTTTTAGAGCTGTAGCATTTAATTGTATGGCTATATAATTATTATGCTCAGTTCCCTCATTGTAGGATATTCAGATCTTTTCAGTTTTTCATGAATATAAACAATATTTCCTATATTTTTTTCTTTCTCTTTCTTCCCCCCCGCCTCTCTTCTTCTACCCATCTTTCCTTTCCTTTCTTTCTTTTCCTTCCTTCCTTCCTTTCTCCCTCCCTCCCTCTCTCTCTTTCTTTCTTCTTTCTGTCTTTCTTTCTCTTTCTTTCTTTCTTTCTTCTTTTCTTTCCTCACTCTTTCTCTCTCACTCTTTCTTTCTCCCTCATTCTATCTTTTGTTCTTCGTTTCATAAGGAGTGTATTTCCTTGTAGCATATGATACAACAATCTAATATATGATTGTTTCCATATGGGCAGTTGTCTCAACATTAGTAATTAAACAGTTTCTATTTCTCTATCAGTTTAAAATACTTCATCACATTCTAAATTCCTGAGGTTTCCTTTGGCATTTCTGTTCTGTTGGATTTCCCTGTCCATATAATTCTCTTTCAATGATTTTAGTATTATAATTATAGTACTTACTGCATTTATTTGATATCTGATAGAGGAAGGATGTCTTCATCCAATTTTTTTTTTGGACAAATATTCTAACTTTTAACCAAAGCCAACTGCACTGAATAGAATGAATTCACTTGTGTTTATTCTCTCTGATTGCTTTTGCTCTTCCAGAAAAACCAGGGTGTGGAGACTGCACCAGTGGAAGGGAAGCACTAGGATCTGCATGGGGGCTGGAATTAGCCCCAAGCTGAATGACTGGGTCTTCGTGGGTTGAAAATTTCCAAGCAGCCTAAGCACATCTCTTGGTTACACTGGTCAGTCAGTGTGAAGGTCAGCCACCTATGACTCTGTGTCTCACTGGACCAGATTGTCAAACCTGGTTGAACATTAAAAATGCCTGAAGAGCTTTTCCGAAATAATAAAATCCATGCCCCACTCCAGATGGAGTGAATCAGAATCTCTCAGGGAATGGTGTCTGGGTTTCGGTGCATTGTAAAACCTCCCCAGGCGATTCTACTGTGTAGCCAGGGCCAAGACCCAAGGCCCTAGACTGTAAGCTGCCTATAGTCAGGAACCATGCTATTCATTCTTTGTCATTTCCAGTCCCTGTACCACTCCTGACATGCAGAAGAGTACAGAAGAATTGAACTGAATTCAGGTGAAGAACCCAGACTTATGTATCTCCACTCATACTTCTAGGGAAAGAGACACAAGTTATCAGTGCCCGATAATACTTGTGCATCCTCTTGGTGGCCTCACAGTCTTATTGGAAAAAGTAGCTTTAAGAGGGAGAAAACAAGCTCTGTCTTGGTCCAACAAAAGTTTAGCTCACAGTCTGAAAAGAGGAGGGCTTAGGGAGAATCCAGTCTATCCCCTTATTTTAACCTCTTGGAGCCCAGGGATTAGATAACTTTGCCAGGTGGCACAGCTCTTAGTGGTACATCTGGAACAGAAAGTAGCTCTTCTTATTCCAGATATTTGTGGTATAGCTTGTTGTCCTTGTGTGAGTGCATATAAGTGTGAGTATGCATTGTTAGTGTGTGTGAGACTGAGTGTGTGAAGGTGTGTGTATTTGTGTATATGAGCCTACATTGTGTGTATGTGTGTGCACAAGGAATGGGAGGGGTGTGGAAGCTGAGCGGAGCCAGTCTTCTTCTGCAGACCTATCACATTATAGCAACAGAAAACTAGAAGCCCTTTCTTCTTTTGGCCCCTTGGTTTGCTGTGTTTTCTCCAGGTTGACCTTGGTCAGGTCCAGTAATGTTTTCCTGGGAAGCAGGGTAGGCTTCCAGGGCTCAGAGTCTATTGCATACGAGAGGCTCTGCATTCAGGTTTACTGAGAAGGAATGTGGGGAAGAGTTGTAGTAGGTGGTCTTAGGCTTCATCTGGTTTGAATTGGTGTGTCAGTTGGGAAAGCATGGACTACCGTGCCTTTACTGGCTAAGGGTCCAAGATTGTTCTATGGACAGATGGCAGCTTTATGTATCTGAAAATTCAAGCCAATCAGAAAAGCCTATGCTCATCTTTGCTGAAGGTGTGATGTCCTCCTTGGACAGTCTGTCTTTTCTTATCTGTGTCCTCCAAGGTGCTTCTTTGCTAGATCTGAGGCTGGGGTAACCCTTGGATCCTAGGTCAAAGGCTAACTCTCTGCTGGCATAGCTTGACCAGGTCCAAAGTGCCCCCTTCCTTCTCCTAGATTTCAGGGAGGTCACATGGGGGAAGACAGAGCCCGCCTGTGACAGCCTTTGGTGGGTCTGGTCTGCCGGCTGGGTCCTGATATGATCCTGTATGCTTGTGTATCAAGGAGTCCCTAGCTCACATTTGCTAGAAGAAAACCTCTGGAGAAGCAAATTAGCCAAGAATTGGGCCATGCAGAGTAGAGACTTACCTGAGCAGTTGGAAATCACTGTTTCGTAGGTTTTGCTTTTAATCCAAATAGTTCGGATCACAATGCCATACATGATGCTGCAGAAAGAACCAAAGGTAGTATTAAAGTGACTGGTGGATCCCTACTGTGAGGACACAGAGAAGACCACTCCCACCTCCCCGAGTGCAAGGTGTGAAGGGACAGATCTTTTAACCATGCCTGCCCCCTTATACTTGCTGTTCATAGAATTGCAACTGAAAGTGACCATGAGGATCCACTGGATGGAGTTACTTCTTTCTTAAGTGAGGAGGCTAAGACCTGGTAAAGTTATGCAGTTTCCTCAAGGTAGCCCAAATGGTTTGAGGGAGAGCTGTGATTAGAATCCAAAAACAGGCCTTAGAGTCAGAAAAACTTGGGTCTCCTCTACTTGTCTGTTGTACAGTCCTGACTTTAGACAGTCTTTTAAATGACATCTATGATCCCTGATTCTGGCATTCATGGCTTTGTTGATCCTCACCCCTTTAGTGTGGGAAGAGCAGGTGACTTGCCTCTAATCAATGCAATGTGGCAAAGGGGATGGGACTGATTACATAGAATGTAGTGCCTGTCTTGTTGGTGTCTCTATGCATTGCTGGCTTTGAAGAAGCAAGGTGCCATGAATCCCACAGCTGCAAGAAAATGAATTCTGCTAAGGACCTGAGGGAGCTTGGAAAAGAGCCTCTCCCAGTCCAGCCTCTGATGACCCCTGCCCTGGATAAACAACTTGAATGGCTGCCTTGCATGAGCAGAGGACCCGGTTAAGCCACGGCCAAATTCTTGACCCACAGAAACTGTGAGATAACAAATGTATCTTGATTTAAGTCACTAGGTTTGTGGTGATTTGTAATGCAGTAATAGATAACTACTACACTGAGCCTCAGTTGAGGTTCTACAAAATGGTGTTAACAATACAGACCTCTCGAACTTTTTGAGTATCAGATGTGACAATATTTAAAGTGCCAAGTACGGTGCTGGAAAATTAGTAGAGACTAATTTCCTTTCTCCTCTTTTTTGCCTATTTTTTATACTATATCACACCAATTCTTACATGATTTAATCTGTGCCTAACAGGAAAACAAAGTGTTAAGGATTCAAAAGTGTCAGCAAGTTTTCTATCCTAGGTACTCTTTGATAAATATAAAAACTACTCTTCTTTAATATTACTTGATATTTTGACTACATTAAGCATCTTGACTAAAAACTTTGGGACAAAGCAATGCTTTATTTTAAAACTGTGTATCTTCCCTCTTGAGAATTATTTTAAAAAATCAGAGCTTCAGTTTGCAGTAGCCGACAAAGCACTAATTGCTTTTAATGATCTTTAGAATATAACTTAATTAATGGCAATGTTAAAATCTCTGCTTCTTACTGCCTTTTCCCATTCTTGCTGAGTGAACCCCTCCAAGTGCTCCAGGAAAGCTCAGGGACTTTTTTGGAGCATCTCCATTCTTTCTTATATAATTGCCCAGGGACTATTTTTGCAATTTGTATGCCTGCAGTAAAGAAAAAATGAGAAAAATGTTATTAGTGAGTTCAACCCTAAGTTGACTATTTGCTAGAACAGGGAAACTTCTTCCCCAGAAAGTGAAATACTGTGCAAGGTAAGGTTACACTCACCATGGAAAGTTAATGGTTATGTCAATTGCAACCCCAGTATTTAATTGACCAATAATTCAAATATTTATGGTTATCAACCATGTACACAGGGGAAAAGTTAAGAAATGTCTTATGCTTTAGGGATTTGGGCCTAAGTCACCCCTCTTTTTACTTAGGGCCAATCAGATGAGTGAGAACCAGTACCAGCTTTTCTGTTAGCATGGCGAACACCTAATAACTAGGGTATTATTGCCAAATCAGACTACTTCTTGGAGCTTAGTGATCAAGCATCAAAGAGACATCTGCGTTGCTGTGTGTCCCCATTTTTTTTTGGACACAGGGTTTTGCTCTCTCACCCAGGCTGGAGTACAGTGTCAGGATCATAGTTCACTGCAGCCTTGACCTCCCACCTCAGCCACCTGAATAGCTGGAACTACCAGTGTGCGCCACTATGCCCGGCTAATTTTTGTATATTTTATAGAGACAGGGTTTCACCATGCTGCCAGGCTGGTCTTGAACTCCCGGGCCCAAGAGGTCCACCTGCCTAGGCCTCCCAGAGTGCTGAGATTACAGGTGTGAGTCACCACACTTGGCTTTGTCTCTTTTCCTTTTTCCTTTATCTGATCAATCAGATTGCAGATAAGTTTTGTGGATTGTCCCTGCAAAATGACTCCATAATCTGTACCTTCCTCTCCATCCAGGTTTTCAGCATTAGTGGAGACCCTTACAATCTCTCTTTATTCATTTTGATGACTACTTTTATTGTGGGCCCTGTGATCCTCTTTGACCTTGGACCTTATGCCCATGGCCAGTGCTGGCCAGGTCCCTGGGGCGCTTTTACCCACCATGGCCATGTATTCTATCCACAGGGCTGCACCAACCTGGCATGGGGCTTTCCCACAATGTGATCCCATTTCCTAAGCAAAATAAATGAATTTTTCTCACATATGACAAATCAATGATCCATGACTAATGTGCTTTTTCCACTTTTTTTTTTTGCAATTGTCGGTTGTGAATCTCTTCTGCTTCTATCTTTATCTTACAGAGATGAAAATGATAAGAGAATGAAAAATCAATTAGGTAGCAAGAAAATAAGCACAGCTAAAGTAAAGCAATTACACCAGGGCTAATAACCTCCCCAGCAACAATTAGACAGTTATGTCAAGTGAATTTCAAAACAACTCCTGTTGTTTTGACCCAGAAAAACAATGTATTGCCTTTGCTGTCAGTCACTATGGTTTCAACTCCTGGGAGCCTGATTTAGTGGATGATGGAACAGCTACATCTTTATTCATACGCAGCTCTCATGAGAGTTTGCCACCAACAATACAACTGCCTCTCTCTCTCTCTCTTTCCCTCCCTCCCTTTCTTCCCCCCTCCTTTCTTTTCTCCCTTTCTTCTTTCCTCTCACATATATTTATGGAGGAGCTATCATATGCCAAAAACTGATCTAGGCATTAGATAGCCAGAAATTTCTATATTAGCAGTATGTGTACACGTGTGTTTGTGTGTGTGTGTGTGTGTGTGTGTGTGATGTGTGTGAGAGACAGAGAGAGAGAGAATGAGAGAGGGAGAGAAAGAGTAGAGAGAGTGACATGACACATCTGTTGTTCGGTGCAATTTATTGCGTTATTCATTCAATCTAATATTCACCAACTGTTTAGTGTGTGCTGGATGTGAAATCCAGAAATGAAGAGGCCACAGTCCCTGCACTCATGAGATACAGTCAAACTGCCATGAAGTCTAGATGACGACATGGACAAAGTGAGGTTGGAGGTTAGGGAGTGAGGACCTGAGGTGCCTCTTGGTCCAGGGTTGGCAAGGGAAGCTCTACTGTGGAGTTGGTATTGGAAATGAGACACAAGGGATGTGAACTAGTTGGGTGAAACAAGGCAAGGTGAGCTTGGCAGAGTGTTCAGGCATGGGAGTGATGCACATGGGCCAGAGGGGTGTTTGTTCCATGGCTGGAGCTGGGAGTGCAGGTGAGGCATCAGCAGCTCACCATGAAGCAGCCAGGGAATCTTTGAAAAAAAACAAGTAGATCTTGTCCTAGCAGATACTTAAATGCATACGAAGCTGGGCAATAAGTAAAACAATGAGGTATTTGTGGCAGAAAAGCCACTGAGTTAGTTATTTGTGCTTTTTCTTTTTTTCTTAATTACGTCAATCACTACTTTTAATAATCAAAAACAAAATAAAACCATACTCAATAGAGAGGCAAATGACAAATTAGGAGAAATATTTGCAACATATGCAAAAAGAAAAAGGTTATTGTATGAATAATTTCTAAAGATAGAGAATAGAGAAAATAAAAACATTTAAACAAGAAAAGTGGCATTACTTTCAATGGCAAAGTCCGCAATTACTTTTGCACCAACCTAATAAGTACTTTAAAAAAAACAAAAATGGCAAAAAGCATATAAAATATATTCAATCTCATTTGTAATGAAAGAAATGCAAAATAAAACAACTAAGATATGTTTTTTTTTCTGTCAATTTGGTAAATGTAGCATATATAGCATGCATGAAGGAGAATGAGGCATGGTGAACACGAGTGAACACTTTCCTTGAGCTGTTTTCCTTGTCTATTTAAGCTTGAAATGAAGAATTTAACCTTACTCAGAGAATTGAGCCCAGGGGGCCAGAATATAGGTAATAAAGACAGAATAAGAGTTGAACCTTATATCTGAGATGAAATTGTAGCACCTATGCCAGGTACTAGTTGGAAACAAGTTCCTCACAAAACTCGCCCCCCCAGGGCCTGGTCTTGTTTGAGAAGATAGTTGTTGCTGAAGGAGGTAGAGGATGTTAGTCCCCAAGAGAGAAGTTGTTTCTTCAGCAGCAGGGAGCCACGAAAGAGGGAAGGTGATGGAAGAGGAGCCTCTTGTCAGGTAGGAAATGCTTCAGAGAAGCTCAAGGATGGCTGGAGGTCATGGCTGAGTTTTCATGACCGTCACGGGCTGGAAGCAAGGAGCTAGGATCTGGCCTTCCAGAGGCTTTAGCTTGGTGAGAGCTGAGGGAAACCAGTTTTTGAAATCATTTCCCTCAATCAGCAAACACATTGTATTTTGCCCTTTCAAGGACACGAAAAAGACACACTAGCTAGCCCACAGGCAAGTTTGAGGAGAAGTCCTGGTGGAAAAAGCAGCCCAAATTAATGGGGAAATCATAGATACAGGATAACCTGAGCTGCGTGGTCCATGTGCTGCAGCATCCACTCTGCTGAGCGGGGACTTTGACTGGAGTTCATTTCTTGAGTTGATGGGAAATCAATCAGCAGTGAAGCCAGGACATGTGCTGCCACTGAAATCGATGCCTCAGTTGCTCAGGATGACACAAGCCACTTTCTTCCAAATGCTCTCTGACCGCTGTGGCTCACTTGCCTGTCTCCTCTGCCATGGGCCCCTTCCCATGCGCTGTGACTTACCTTGGATAGTTGTCTAAATAACCTTTTCTCCTTCAAACTTTCTCTCAAGCTCAGCTTGATGGAGTGGAGGGCAATAAGTCAAAATAAAGTGTTGGTGTTAAGTTGTCCATTCAGCAGAGATGACTGGACAACACCCCATTTTGGAAAGGCTGCTGGGTTGGCTTTTGAGGTCACTATGTGCTTGCCCATCTCAATCTCTGATGAGGGGGCGGGGGCAAGGCAGTTAACTTCTTTTAGTCTTAATTCTACTCTTATGAAAAATTCAGGGGTTTGACCATATGATGGATAACGTTTCTCCCAGCTATAGTATTTTATTAGACTAAAGATGAATAATGAGCAGGAAAAGGTGACTCCCACTGTATCAGAAAACACTTGAAAAACATGCCACCAGCTTAGTAATTAAAGAAATGCATATTAAAACAATGAAATACTTTTTAAACTCTTAGGTTGGCAAAGATTTAGTAAGGTAATAGTGCTACCTTCCATTGGGTCAGGGGAGCAGAAAACAAGAGCCCTTGTATGGTATTGCCCAGAATATACCTTTTCTACAAGTGATCTTAGCTAACAGGCCAAGAAGCAATACAGCTTTTCTCAAGGGCAGCTTGTGACTCTGCATCAAAAGTTTTAAAATGTGCATCATCTTTGATCTATACCTTTGATCTAGTAATTCCACAAGAATGAGTTATGAGGAAATAACCAGAGACTCATGTACAGTTTTAAGTACAAGGATTTTTATCACAGCTCTCTTTACACTATCAAAAACAAAGGCTGATAATCTTCCTTTGCTTACAATGTGTTATATGACACACTATGGCAGGCTTAGACCTACCCAAAAGGTGCAGCATCATCATGGCTCAAGGATACACACAATGTGCCAGGTCTCTTCCTGTAGTCTCCCACCCCATCTACACATGCAGAGCCCATTTCAGAGGGTGATCCTGCCACATGGCATGGCCAAGTGAGACCCTACCTTGACCAGGTTGTTGTGCTAATCTCTGTTGAAAGACCCTCTACAGCTCACCATTGGCTGCAGGACAAAGGACTTCCTATGACTTTTTTGCCAAGGTCATTCACAACTGAGCCTCCCCCAGTCACTGGGAGGAGCTCACTGCCAACTTCTGTCCCACTGGCACTGTGTACCTGTCCACTCTGCCTCTACACTCACTCTGATTTCTGGTCATCACAGACTCTGCTTCCTCCCCACTTCTCCCTTATCCTACCTGAATCATTTCCTCCTTCAATGGTGGCTTCCAAAATATATTCCCTGCCATTATCTGACTCCACTGCATAGACAGTTTAGCATATTAGTGCATACTGAGTTTTGTGTTCAGTTTGTTTCAAGTATGTCTATCTTTTCATTTACAAAATCCCTGAAACTGGTAATTTGCCTTATATTTGGAAGGCTGCGAGATATAAAAGAAATAATATGGTATGATTTCAGAAAAACCTGGATATCAATCCTGTTTGATGTTGAATAAGTTACTTAATCACTCTGAGCTTGAGTTTCATCATTCATTAAATTGGGGCAATGGAAATTATTTCACAGGGTTATACTGTGGCTAATGTGATAATTGTTAGCTATTTAGCACAATGCCTGCCCTATATACCCAGTAATTGTTAATTCCCTTCTCCTTACTCTACTTTGAAGAAATTGGGCTTAGCCTATGGTAGCTACACATAAAATCTTGTGGCCTGGTCAGTTCCCTCAAGGGCACTAGGAAAAATGGGTCTGTTGGGGAGGAGAGCAACAGCTGGAGAAACAGGAAAGCCCCCCCCGCCCCACCCCCCCGTGTGGTCCTGTCCTGACGGCTTCTTACCTGATGATTGTCAGAGGGATGAAGTACACCAGGAAGGCCACGATGGTCATGTATGGGGTCCAGTAGGAGTCGTCAGGCCACAGGGCCCAGCACTGCACTTCACCGTTGGACAGTGTCCTCTTCCCAAATATGATCAGGGTGGGAATGGAGAACAGAAAAGACAGGCTCCAGGCGATCACAATGAGGACCCTGGCTTGCTTTTCTGCCCAAAGAAAAGAGAGGAATGTCTGGGTATGTGGCAACCATTTTTGGGAGCACAATGGAGTCTGCTATAGAAAAGGATCACTGTGGGGCAGCCACCCTGGACCTCAAAGAACCTCCCAGAGCCTCAGTTTCCTTCTCTGTAAACAGGGATACAGTATCTCCATACATTGTCAATGTGAAGATTACAAAGGGAAGCTTGAACAGAAGCCAGCACATTGCCTGGCCTAAGGTTGGTGCTTTTTCTTTCCTGATTTACCCATCTGACTTGAGATGCTGACGCATCCATTCCTGCAGTATTAGGGAGCTCAGTTTGTACCATGTACATTTGGTAAGTTGCGGTGCAAATGCTGAGTTGTGTCTACCCATATGCAGTCTCTTGTTACCAGGCAGGGCTACAGCCTTTGGTCCACGTGGCATCTTTTCACTGTACCCAGCACTGCAAAGCACTGGGACAGTTTTTGAGAGTTATTTGCCAAATGGGAAGGAAACTTCTTTCTTTTTTTTTTTTTTTGGTAGGAACATGGGTGGACTTACAAGGCAGAGAAAGAACACTGAACTTCGTTCTGGAGAGTAGGGTGCATTCAAAACCAGCCCAGAAACCTGGTAGCTATGTCTGCACACTGGACTTTAGTTGCAATATTCTGACCTTGGCTAAACCATGCAGTCTCAGCCTCATCTTTTCTTTAAATTGGTATAAAAAATACCTGCTCTGGCCACCTCAGCTGGTTATGATGGGGCTGGAGAGAGACAATTAATACATAAGCAAGTACCTTTAAAATACACCCGTTGTTATGATGTGATGCTTTCTGTCAAGCTGTTGTTGAAACTCTCATCTTAATCCCTCACCTAGCTGGGCTTTCTGTGCTCATTGGCTCTGGGACCTTCTTCCAGAAATAAGAGGCCACCTTGCTCCCCTACTTTCAACTTGGAAAGCAGGTGTGTGTCTTTGGGTGGGGTTGGAATGTAGAGTCAGGTGGTGTTGTTCGACAGTGTGTTGACTGTGGTCGAGCTACAAGAAGTGAGAAAAATCTAGAGGAAACTAGGGACTCTATTAAAATCCAAACCCAAAATATTTAGGAGAATAATATCTAGGGTTCTGTTCTTCCTGAATTGTATGCACTGAAAAGAGATATTAGATTCATGTAGAAAAGAGTTGTTATTGGCCCACTGAGCAAGCAGGAGTCTTGGGGTAGAATTATAATAGCAATCTGATTAAGGTCTTTCCTGTTCCTTACATGCAACCGGTAATCCACTGGGGACAGGGGGAGAGGTTTTCCTGCCTGCATTTGGAAACTCGAGTCCCTTGATGTTAGTGATGACTCACAGGTGACTGACACATTAAGTGGTAAACATTGGTCAATTTAATAATTACATGAAAATTAGTAATTAAAATCCTAGATAACAATAAAAAAACCCCAAATTCCCAAGAAGATTTCAAGTTAAGTCTTTTCTCCCTAGGTGGGCTTGCTTCAAGTAGGAAGTCCAGCAGAGGTACCAGCCCTTCTGCTTTCTATCCTTGTCTGCTATTCCTCCTCCTCCCCCAGGTTGCTATCCACATTGGGGTCTCTCTGGAGCTGGGGTACAGGGAACCAGGAGGAGGAAGAAGACAGAGTTCTTGCTTGACTGCTGCTGTCATCAGAGGGCTTTGTGCTCTCTGTGCCTGGCTGCATCCAAAGCTGATTCTTGGTCCCCTGAGGAACTTTTCTGGGTCCTTTGGAAATTATCCTGTGGGGTCTTGCTGGTGGCCACTTCCTTGACTTGGGCAGTGACCTTCCACCCTCCCTGGTGACCTTCAGGGAGGCCTCTTTCTCTGGCAGAAATGTCTGGGGCAGGATCTTTTTTAACACAGCCTCAGGCAAACTTCATGATGCAGGTTTTACATCAGCCCCCTGGGCTAGGACCACAGCGCCAGCCAGCTTCTCTTCAACATTCTCAGGTGTGATGTAGTCATTGGTCCACAATGCTTTCAAATGCAGGGAACATGTCAAGCTCTGTGAGTCATCATGTGAAGCCCTCTCACTAGACTTAGTTTATGTAGACATCGAGTCACCTGTGATTAGGACAGTATGAAAGGTGAGAGACTGAGAATAGTGTCAACATCTTCACTGGATGAGGGCCATGGCCATATGGGCACAGACATATGGGGAGGTGTTGTAGAAGGTAGTCTAGACTGATAGCATGAGCATCAGAGAAACAGAGAGGGCATGCGTATGCAATACTGAAGGAGAAAAGGCCTGGAGGTGGTCTAGAACGGTAGGAAAATGTCTTCACCACCACCAGGCCATGAGGTACCTAAAAAGGAAGGTTGAGGAGCATCCTCTTGAGATGTCTTAAGGGAATCAGCCACCTCAGGAGGCAGGAGGTGGAGGGAGCCTCCCATTAGGAGTTTGATGGCATAGGGGAGCTGGTCCCTAAAGGAACAGAGAAAAACCAGGCGTGGAGAGAAGCAGTGGGAGTTCAGATTAAGAAAGAAGCAGGGTGGGATGAAGAGGGCAGGTAATAGGACTGGAGGGGGTTCTTCTTGATGGTGGGGGTGTGAAGCCTGATGGGTTTCTATGGTCCTGGGTGACATTAGTAGCTGCCCCCTGTGCTCTTGTTCTTTCAATGGTTAGAATTCTAATGTCATCTTCTTCTATAGGTTCCAGGGCACTCTTAAGGGCAACGTGTGACTCCTGGGCCCCACAAAGTTTCCACTTGATGGATGAACAGTGCATTCACTTTTGAGAGGGATGGACAGGGAAGAGAGTATAGAATCATACTTTAGAATCAATTCTACCAAGGTCTCCGAAGATGTTTCCCCAAAGGCCCAGCAGGGTATAGGCTTGGAGCTGTTTTTCTCTTACTGGTGCTGGGGCTACACTGTGAAAGCCCCACTCTCTTAGGCTGTGACGCAGCTGCCACAGCAGGGAGACTGATGGCCTTCCAGGCAGCTGAGCCCATTTGCCATGAAGAGTGACTTCTCAGGGCTGAAGGATCCAGGATCGAACAGATGAAATGCAGGTTTGCATATAAGGTAGACTGTCTCATGTTTCTCACCCCCGGAAAGTCAGACTCCCTCTTCCATGTGCTCTTGTCCATTTCTGTACTTCTCTGCCGCTTAGCCTTCCTCTTTTCCATGTAACTCATTTACCTTTTTATAAAATCGTATAAGTTACACACATTGATTATAGAAACACTAGCAAATAAAAATAAGCGAAAAGGAAAAAAATCCATAGTGGCACCAACCAGAAACGTCAAGCTTAAATTTTGATAACGCATGCATATATAATACATAGATTACACATTTAGAAATGAGATCATGATACAGATCCTACCTTGTAACCTAATTTTTTTCCTCTGAAAAGCCTGTTATGACCATCTTTTCCTGTTAAGAAATATGAACTTGTACAAGTGGCATTTTTTTTCAGGTAGTAAGATCCTTTCTTCAAATATAATTTTATCTCGAACCCAGTATAGGAAAGTGTTGAAAGCTCAGGTATCTTTGGTTGAAACTGAGACAGCCAGCAGCTCCCAGATCTGCCCTGGAGCAGGCCAGCAAAATGAGCCCTCTGGGGGTCACTGTGGGAAGTGCAATTGGAAAAGCACTGATAAATAACATTTTTTCCGGTGGTTATACTGTACTCCAATTTTATCAATAGCCGATTATTATCTAAGTTGTTTTCCATTTTTTATTATAAATAATTTATATTCATCTATTTTTCTCAGTTCTTGTTATTCCTTAGGATAAACTCTTAGAAACAGAAGATTTATAAATTTTGACAAATATTGTTACATTTCCCTCAAAAGTGCCTACTATTTATGGCTCTCACTGTAACAACAAAAGTACCAATTTCCTTATACTCTCCTAATAGTTGGATAATTCTTCCTTTTAATCTTGTTATGTGGTTGGTAAAATTTTGTATCCAAATGTTCAATTTTGCAATTCTTTAATTAGTAGTCAAAATGAATATTTCTATACATTTTCTATTCATTTATGGTGTTGTTTTTTTTTTTTTTTTTCTGGTGAAGTCTTGCTCTGTTGCCAATGCTAGAGGGCTAGAGTGCAGTGGTGCCATCTCCACTCACCGCAACCTCCGCTTCCCAGGTTCAAGCGATTCTTGTGCCTCAGCCTCTTGAGTAGCGGGATTACAGGTGCATGCCACCATGCCCAGCTAATTTTTGTATTTTTTTAGTAGAGACAGGGTTTCACTATGTTGGCCAGGCTGGTCTCAAACTTGTGACCTCAAGTGATCCACCCACCTCAGCCTCCCGAAGTGCTGGGATTACCGGCGTGGGCCACAGCGCCTGGTCTCATTTATGTTTCTTTGTTTCTTGTTAGTCTGTTCATGCCCTTTGCCCATTTACTCAATTAGAATGTTTTTATTTCTTTGCCAGACTTCTTTATAAAAAGGATATTTTTCTTTGCCTGTTACATAAAAATATTTTCCATTTATAATTTTGCTTTTTAAGTTTGTTTATGGATATTTATTATTTACATAAATAATTTAAATTTTTATGTAGTAAAAAACTATATTTTCCTTCTTGCTTCTGCTTTTGATATGGTTCCTGGAAAGGCCTTTCCTTCACTGAAATTATGAAGGTGTTACCCAAATATTCTTTTACTCCTTTTATGTTTGAAGTGTTAATTTTTTCAATCCAACTAAAATTTACTTTGTTATTAGCTATGGTGGGTGGTGATCTAATATTCTGAAAAAAGGCCAGACAGCTATTTCAACACCGTATACTAATTCATTTTTTGCCAACTGATTTGAAATTTTGTATGATTTATATGTGTTATTCTGGTTCCAGCATTGTTTTAATTATCAAAGTTTTATATTACATTTTAATATAACACTGCATATTTCTCTTTATTATTTTGATATTTTTCTAATTATTCTCATATTCATTTTTGGTGAAGACCTTTAAAATTGTCAACTTTTCTGGAGTTGCTGGCTAAGAAAAATACTGCTTCAGTAAATAGCAGTAAAAAATAAATAAAATATGGCCTCCCCTCAGTTAAGCGGCCATTGCCTTGTGCCTGCACAGCTACATTTGACTCCCTCCTGGTTTCTCCCTGCTCCATGACTCTCCCAGAGAGCCCTGCCACTCTCGGGGAATCTCTTCTTTCTACGGCTTTCTCTCAGCTGAGCCGCATAAACTCCGAACCCTGCCTCTCAGCTGCCCTTAAATTCTGACAAGCTGCGGTACTAAAATGACTCCCGCGTTGGGCTTCCTGGAACCTCTCGTGTCGCGTTCTCACCGGCTGCCCTCACCCTATAAACTTGTGAGTATCAGTTCATCCTCTACAAGGCCAGGGAGTTCTCCCGGGGGCTGAATTATACATTATACACTTGGCTTCCGTGTTTCATCTGCTCCCTCGTGTGCTGGGAATTCTTAGAAGTTTCTGGTATTTGGATGGCTTCTTTCCTTGGCTCTCATTCCAGATGCAGGTCTCCCCCTGTTTTTAGATTTCTTCAGTGACTTTCGTTGGGCCTGGGCAGAGGAAGGCAGCTGGCTAATGTGTTTCTAAGCTTTCATCTTTCCCAGAAGCTACTGATGATGAGGATTTTCCAAGCACCTTATGTTGAGCCTCTCTTAATTTTGTAGTGAGGGAATAAGTTGTTTTACATCTTTAGAAAAGCACTATAATATTAATTGCTGCCTTTCTGATAATTTAGGACACTCTTGATGATATTACACAGTGTCTCCCAGAACTAGACATATTTTCCACGAGCAAACAGCTAATTTTTTAACCTAGTGAATATGGTGAAACATGTAATTCATCATGTCACCCTCTGGCTATGGGTCTCAAGTCTGTACCTCTAACAAGTTTCCTGGGACTTCCCTCCTGCAATTTCCTATACTTATTTTTCCTTCACTTATATTTCTTCACCTTAAAATACTTTGGCGTCGATGTCCTTTTGTCCACCACATTCAACCCTTTCTAAAGTCGGCTAGGCATAAACAAATAGATGGATAAATAAGTGTATCACGGGCCAGGTGCAGTGTCTCATGCCTATAATCCCAGCACTTTGGAAGGCCAAGGTGGATTGCTTGAGCCCAGGAGTTTGAGACCAGCCTGGCCAACACGGTGAAACCCCATCTCTACTAAAATACAAAAATTAGGCGTGGTGATGCACACCTGTAATCCCAGCTACTCGGGAGGCTGAGGCACAAGAATCACTTGAACCTGGGAGGCAGAAGTTGCAGTGAGCTGAGATCGCGCCACTGCGCTCTAGCCCGGGCGACAGAGTGAGACTCTGTCTAAAAAAAAAAAAAAAAAAAAAAAAAAGTGTATCACAAATCCATGAATGTAAACCAAAAATAAAGTTATAAGGCCCCCCAACCTTCCGAATGGATTTCCTCCTCAGCCAAGGCTCTTTTAAGATTTAACCTGAGAGGCTGTTCCAAGCCATGATGGGCAGTGCGGGTTCAGGTGTGTCTCATTATACCTCTCCAGCGTTAACATCAACACAGACTTTAAGTCTGATGAGAAACATTTTACAACATAGTCTCCCTGAAGAGGAAACCTAAAAGTTTCCCCTGCAAATAAGAAGTTTGGTCTCCACAATTCTTTGTCTTAACTCAGACATTCCTTTTTGTTGATCCCAGGTCTTTAGATAAACTCAACCAATTGTCAACCAGAAAAAATTTAAATCTAACTATAATCTGGAAGCTTCGCCCACCCCATCCCCCACTACCCAACCCTGCCATTTCGGACCAACCCTATGTATTTCTTAAATGTGTTTGATTGAAGGTTCATGTCGCCCTAAAATGTATAAAACCAAGCTGCACCCTGACCACCTTGGGCACATATTCTCATGACCTCCTGAGGGCTTTGTCCATTGTCACTGATATTTCACTCAGAATAAATCTCTACAAATATTTTACAGAATTTGATGCTTCATTGACACATTTTTGCATACCTATGTCACGAAATGTCTCTCCTATCTCCCCTGCCTCATCAATTTCCTGCCTCCCCTATCATAATAACTAGGGCTTTACAGTGCCCAGAAAACTTGGTACAGGTCTCAACCCTTCACAAAACAGACACACCAAATGACCGAGAAGAAACCCAGGAAACAAGTATATTTTCTATTTTTAAAATTAACTTCTAAACCACTTTATTGATGTATAATTGGCATATAAAAAGCTATACATATCCAATGCATACCACTTAATGTGTCTGGAGATATGTATACATTCCTGTAACCATCATTACAAGCAATGCCATAAATGTATCCATCACCTCCAAAGGCTTCTTCCTGTCCCCCTTTAGTATTGTTTTGTTTAGTTTTTTCCTTTTGTGGCAAGAGCACTTAACATAAGGTTTATCTTGTTAGCAAATTCTTTTTTTTAAATTATCATTGTACATGTGAACAATGTGCAGGTTGGATACATAGGTATACATGTGCCATGTTGGTTTGCTGCACCCATCAACTTGTCATTTACATTAGCTATTTCTGCTAACGCTATCCCTCCCCCAGCCCCTCACTCCCTGACAGGCCCCGGTGTCTGATGTTCCCCACCCTGCGTCCAAGTGTTTTCGTTGTTCAGTTCCCACCTATGAGTGAGAACATGCAGTGTTTGGTTTTCTGTCTTTGTGACAGTTTGCTGAGAATGATGGTTTCTAGCTTCATCCATGTCCCTGCAAAGGACACAAACTCATCCTTTTTTATGGCTGCATAGTATTCCATGGTGTATATGTGCCATATTTTCTTAATCCAGTCTATCATTGATGGACATTTGGGTTGGTTCCAAGTCTTTGCTATTGTGAATAGTGCTGCAATAGCAATAAACATACGTGTGCATGTGTCTTTATAGTAGCATGATTTATAATCCTTTGGGTATATACCAGTAATAAGATTGCTGGGTCAAATAGTATTTCTAGTTCTAGATCCTTGAGGAATCGCCACACTGTGTTCCACAATGGTTGAACTAATGTACACTCCCACCAACAGTGTAAAAGTGTTCCTATTTCTCCACATCCTCTCCAGCACCTGTTGTTTCCTGACTTTTTAATGGTCACTATTCTAACTGGCATGAGATGGTTTTTCATTGTGGTTTTGATTTGCATTTCTCTGATGATCAGTGATGATGAGCATTTTTTCATGTGTCTGTTGGCTGCATAGATGTCTTCTTTTCAGAAGTGTCTGTTCATATCCTTTGCCCACTTTTTGATGGGGTTGTTTTTTCTCTTGTAAATTTGTTTGAGTTCTTTGTAGATTCTGGATATTAGCCCTTTTCAGATGGGTAGATTGCAAAAATTTTCTCCCATTCTGTAGGCTGCCCATTCACTCTGATGGTAGTTTCTTTTGCTGTGCAGAAGCTCTTTAGTTTAATTAGATCCCATTTGTCAATTTTGGCTTTTGTTGCCATTGCTTTTGGTGTTTTAGTCATGAAGTCTTTGCCCATGCCTATGTCCTGAATGGTATTGCCTAGGTTTTCTTCTAGGGTTTTTATGGTTTTAGGTTTAACATTTAAGTCTTTAATCCATCTTGAGTTAATTTTCGTATAAGGTGTAAGGAAGGGATCCAGTGTCAGCTTTCTCCATATGGCTAGCCAGGTTTCCCAGCACCATTTATTAAATAGGGAATCGTTTCCCCATTTCTTGTTTTTGTCAGGTTTGTCAAAGATCAGATGGTTGTAGAAGTGTGGTGTTATGTCTGAGGGCTCTGTTCTGTTCCATTGGTCTATATCTCTGTTTTGGTACAAGTACCTTGCTGTTTTGGTTACTGTGGCCTTGTACTACAGTTTGAAGTCAGGTAGCTTGATGTCTCCAGCTTTGTTCTTTTTGCTTAGGATTGTCTTGGCAATGCAGGCTCTTTTATGGCTCCATATGAACTTTAAAGTAGTTTTTTCCAATTCTGTGAAGAAAGTCATTGGTAGCTTGATGGGGATGGCACTGAATCTATAAAATACCTTGGGCAGTATGGCCATTTTCACTATATGGATTCTTCCTATCCATGAGCATGGAATGTTCTTCCATTTGTTTGTGTCCTCTTTTATTTCCTTGCGCAGTGGTTTGTAGTTCTCCTTGAAAAGGTCCTTCACATCCCTTGTAAGTTGGATTCTTAGGTATTTTATTCTCTTTGTAGCAATTGTGAATGGGAATTCACTCATGATTTGGCTCTCTGTTTGTCTCTTATTCATGTATAGGAATGCTTGTGATTTTTGCGCATTGATTTTGTATCCTGAGACTTTGGTGAAGTTGCTTATCAGCTTAAGGAGATTTTGGGCTGAGACAATGGGGTTTTCTAAATATACAATCATGTGGTCTACAAATAGGGACAATTTGACTTCTTCTTTTCCTAATTGAATACGCTTTATTGCTTCCTTTTGCCTGATTGCCCTGGCCAGAACTTCCAACACTATGTTGAATAGGAGTGGTGAGAGAGGGCATCCTTGTCTTGTGCCGGTTTTCAAAGGGAATGCTTCCAGTTTTTGCCCATTCAGTATGATATTGGATGTGAGTTTGTCATAAATAGCTCTTATTATTTTGAGATATGTTCAATCAATACCTAGTTTATTGACAGTTTTTAGCATGAAGGGCGTTGGATTTTGTTGAAGGCCTTTTTTGTATCTATTGAGATAATCATGTGATTTTTGTCATTGGTTCTGTTTATGTGATGGATTACGTTTATCAATTTGCATATGTTGAACCAGCCTTCCATCCCGGGGATGAAGCCGACTTGATCATGGTGGATAAGCTTTTTGATGTGCTGCAGGATTCAGTTTGCCAGTACTTTATTGAGGATTTTCACATCGATGTTCATCAAGGATATTGGTCTAAAATTCTCTTTTTTTTGTTTTGTCTCTGCCAGGCTTTGGTATCAGGATGATGCTGGCCTTATAAAATGAGTTAGGGAGGATTCCCTCTTTTTCTATTGATTGGAATAGTTTCAGAAGGAATGGTACCAACTCCTCTTTGTACCTTTGGTAGAATTCAGTTGTGAATTGGTCTGGTCCTGGACTTTTTTTGGTTGGTAGCCTATTAATTATTGCCTCAATTTTGGAGCCTGTTAATGGTCTATTCAGAGATTCAACTTCTTCCTGGTTTAGTCTTGGGAGGGTGTATGTGTCCAGGAATTTATCCATTTCTTCTAGATTTTCTAGTTTATTTGCATGGAGGTGTTTATAGTATTCTCTGATGGTAGTTTGTATTTCTGCGGGATTGGTAGTGATATCCACATTATTATTTTTTATTGCATCTATTTGATTCTTCCCTCTTTTCTTCTTTATTAGTCTTGCTAGCAGTCTATCAATTTTGTTGATCTTTTCAGAAAACCAGCTCCTGGATTCATTGACTTTTCGAAGGGTTTTTGTGTCTCTATCTCCTTCAGTTCTGCTCTGATCTTAGTTATTTCTTGCCTTCTGCTAGCTTTTGAATTTGTTTGCTCTTGCTTCTCTAGTTCTTTTAATTGTGATGTTAGGGTGTCAATTTTAGATCTCTCCTGCTTTCTCTTGTGGGCATTTAGTGCTATAAATTTCCCTCTACACACTACTTTAAATGTGTCCCAGAGAATCTGGTACATAGTGTCTTTGTTCTTATTGGTTTCAAAGAACATCTTTATTTCTGCCTTCATTTCACTATGTACCCAGTAGTCATTCAGGAGCAGGTTATTCAGTTTCCATGTAGTTGTGCGGTTTTGAGTGAGTTTCTTAATCCTGAGGTCTAATTTGATAGCACTGTGGTCTGAGAGACAGTTTGTTGTGATTGCTGTTCTTTTACACTTGCTGAGGAGTGCTTTACTTCCAATTATGTAGTCAATTTTGGAATAAGTGCAATGCGGTGCTGAAAAGAATGTATATTCTGTTGTTTTGGGGTGAAGAGTTCTGTAGATGTCTATTAAGTCTGCTTGGTGCTGAGCTGAGTTCAAGTCCTGAATATCCTTGTTAACCTTCTGTCTCGTTGATCTGTCTAATATTGACAGTGGGGTGTTAAAGTCTCCCATTATTATTGTGTTGGAGTCTAAGTCTCTCTGTAGGTCTCTAAGGACTTGCTTTATGAATCTGGGTGCTCCTGTGTTGGGTGCATATATATTTAGGATAGTTGGCTCTTCTTGTTGAATTGATCCCTTTACCATTATGCAGTGGCCTTCTTTGACTCTTTTGATCTTTGTTGGTTTAAAGTCTATTTTATCAGACACTAGGATTGCAACCCCTGCTTTTTTTTGCTTTCCATTTTCTTGGTAGATCTTCCTCCATCCCTTTATTTTGAGCCTATGTGTATCTCTGCACATGAGATGAGTCTCCTGAATACAGCACACTGATGGGTCCTGACTCTTTATCCAATTTGCCAGTGTGTGTCTTTTAATTGGAGCATTTAGCCCATTTACATTTAAGGTTAATATTGTTATATGTGAATTTGATCCTATCATTATGATGTTAGCTGGTTATTTTGCCCGTTAGTTGATGCAGTTTCTTCCTAGCATCAATGGTCTTTACAATTTGGCATGTTTTTGTAGTGGCTGGTACTGGTTGTTCCTTTCCATATTTAGTGCTTCCTTCAGGAGCTCTTGTAAGGCAGGCCTGGTGGTGACAAAATCTCTCAGCATTTGTTTTTCTGTAAAGGATTTTATTTCTCCTTCACTTATGAAACTTAGTTTGGCTGGATATGGAATTCTGGATTGAAAATTCTTCTCTTTAAGAATGTTGAATATTGGCCCCCACTGTCTTCTGGCTTGTAGGGTTTCTGCCAAGAGATCTGCTGTTAGTCTGATGGGCTTCCCTTTGTGGGTAACCTGACCTTTCTCTCTGGCTGCCGTTAACATTTTTTCCTTCATTTTAACCTTGGTGAATCTGACTACATGTCTTGGGGTTGCTATTCTCGAGGAGTATCTTTGTGGTGTTCTCTGTATTTCCTGAATTTGAGTGTTGGCCTGCCTTGCTATTTTGGGCAAGTTCTGGATAATATCATGAAGAGTGTGTTCCAACTTGGTTCTGTTCGCCCCATCAGTTTCAGGTACACTAATCAAATGTAGATTTGGTCTTTTCACATAGTACCATATTTCTTGGAGGCTTTGTTTGTTTCTTTTTAATCTTTTTTCTCTAACCATGTCTTCTCGCTTTATTTCATTAATTTGATCTTCAATCACTGACACCCTTTCTTCCACTTGATTGAATTGGCTATTGAAGCTTGTGCATGCCTCACGAAGTTCTTGTGCCATGGTTTTCAGCTCCTTCAGGTCATTTAAGGTCTTCTCTACACTGTTTATTCTATTTAGCCATTCGTCTAACCATTTTTCAAGGTTTTTAGCTTCCTTGCAATGGGTTTGAACATGCTCCTTTAGCTCGGAGGAGTAGTTTGTTATTACCGACCTTCTGAAGCCTACTTCTGTCAACTCGTCAAAGTCATTCTCTATCCAGCTTTGTTCCATTGCTGGCGGGGAGTTGCAGTCCTTTGGAGGAGAAGAGGCGCTCTGATTTTTAGAATTTTCAGCTTTTCCGCTCTGGTTTCTCCCCATCTTTGTGGTTTTATCTACCTTTGGTCTTTGATATTGGTGACCTACAGATGGGGTTTTGGTGTAGATGTCCTTTTTGTTGATGTTGGTGCTATTCCTTTCTGTTTGTTAGTTTCCGTTGTAACAGTCAGGTCCCTCAGCTGCAGGTCTGTTGGAGTTTACTGGAGATCCACTCCAGACCCTGTTTGCCTGGGTATCACTAGCAGAGGCTGTGAACAGCAAATATTGCAGAACAGCAAACATTGCTGCCTGATCCTTCCTCTGGAAGCTTTGTCCCAGAGGGGCACCCACCTATATGAGGTGTCTGTTGGCCCCTACTGGGAGATGTCTCCCAGTTAGCATACACAGGTGTCAGGGACCCACTTGAGGAGGCAGTCTGTCCATTCTCAGAGCTCAAACGCCATGCTGGAAGAACCACTGTGCTCTTCAGAGCTGTCGAACAGGGACGTTTAAGTCTGCAGAAGCTGTCTGCTGCCTTTTGTTCAGCTATGTCCTGCCCACAGAGGTGGAGCCTATAGAGGCAGTAGGCCTTGCTGAGCTGCAGTGGGCTCCACCCAGTTTGAGCTGCCGGGCCACTTTGTTTACCTACTCATGCCTCAGCAATGGTGGACGCTCCTCCCCTAGCCAGGCTGCTGCCTCACAGTTCAATTTCAGACTGCTGTGCTAGCAGTGAGCAAGGCTCCAGACCTCCTGAGCCAGGCATGGGAGAGAATCTCCTTGTCTGCTCGTTTCTAAATCCTTGGGAAAAGTGCAGTATTTGGCAGGAGTGTCCCAGGTACAGTGTGCCCCAGCTTCCCTTGGCTAGGAAAGGGACATCCCCCAACCCTTTGTGCTCCCCAGGTGAGGCGATGCCCTGCCCTGCTTTGGCTCACCCTCCATGGGCTGCACCCACTGTCCAACCAGTCCCAGTGAGATGAACCAGGCACCTCAGTTGGAAATGCAGAAATCACCTGTCTTCTGCATCGATCATGCTGGGAGCTGCAGACCAGAGCTGTTCCTATTTGGCCATCTTGGAACAGATCCCCAGCAAATTCTTAAGTATACAATTTAGTATTTTTACTCATATGTCTTATGCTGTACAGTAGGCATAACAAGCATGATCAAAATAAATTCATTTTAATTGCACACAACACATTGATATGTTCTTCATGTAAAAATTACCACCTTGCATATAAGTTCCTGTGGTGGTCACACCACTGGTCTAACTCCCATAACTAGAAGTGAGGTCAAATGTCAAGTTTTGTGTGTTTTTGCAAATAGTTTTTTATTTTTCCTGGAGTTTTCTTTTGTGTGTTCTCTCTTTCTGCTCCTCTCTGTCTTTCTGTACACAATATCTAGCATTGTTTTGAGTTTTTGACTTTAATGTTATCGTTCACATGGATTTTTGTGCATATTGTTTTTGTCACTCAGCATACAATATGGATATGTTCATGTTGATGCATATTACTGCCCATGGCTCTACCACTTCCACATTGAGAGGCAGGCTATATAGCATTTGAGGGCGCTGGAGCTAGACCCAGACTGTGTGGGTTCAAATCCTGTTCCTGCACTTACTAGCTGTGACCTTGGGCAAATTACTTTCACTCTTGGAACAACGATTGCCTTACCTGTAAAATGCAGATAATAATAGAGCCCACCTCACAGAGATATTATGAATATTAAAATATTTAATATGTATGAATCAGTTAGAATCATGAATGACACCTAGTATGCAATCAATAAACAGAAGGTACTGAAACTTCTTCCATAGACTAGTTAGCCATTCCTCCACTGAGACACACCAAGGTTAGCGATGAATTCCTGCTATTGTAGGCAGTGCCACAATATACATCACATATGTATACATGCACACGTGTGGGTGTTTCTCCAGAGCAGATACCAAGAAGTCATATCAAAGGGCTGCACATTTTATATTTCAATAAGATGTGTTTACTTATACCCCTGTCAATAGTAAATGAAATTACCCTATTTCACTCCACTTCTTGTAGATCCTTGATGACGTTAATTATATTTATCCTAAAATTCTGCTACTTCTATTAAATTTGCTTCCCTAGATCCAAATTGTGTGGAATGAGATTTTAAAGGTATTATCTGTTTTCTACAGTTTGGATTTTGTCACTTTTTAAATAATATTTGATTGCACTCATTTTTGTGGTCAAGATTTTTTGTTAGGTTCTTTATCAGTTTTCGAAGTTATCTGGAGGAAGGGAGAACAGGTTGCTAAACAATGGCTTTGTATTTGCTTTCAGGGTGTATGGAGGAGAGTGGTCTCTGATTGTGGGCAGAGCAGTAGGCAGCTAGTCTTGTGAATATGTACTCACCCTTCCTCTAGGGCATTACTGCTCCCCAGGGCCCCTCTCTGCCTCTTCAAATCCAGGGAAACTTGCTGTGATTAATCCTCTGTGTTGTACTTCAGAAATCACCTTGTCAGTTGCCTCGGGTCCTCTCCTACACTCCACATTGATGCAGCCTGTTCAGGAAGTGCTCCTAAGGCCTCCCATCCCACTTCAGCATCTCCTAGGGGTTTTGTGGGCTGTGTGGTCTCAGCCTTCCCTCTGACCCATCTGCTTCCTTTTCTTAGGGATCCCTAACCATTTCTGGATCAAAGAGAGTTTCCTTATTTTTTTTTCCCAATACGATGATCAATTAAAAACATCTTTCCAATTATTTCTATGGTTTTGGATAAGGAGAACAAGGTGTTTGTTTCTGGAAAATGAGAAGTTAGTGTGGGAGAGTTCATTTCTTTGGACAGGTATGCATGTCAACACTGCTCTAGAGGAAAAAGATGGAAGCATCAGCATCAAGCTGAATGGTCACAAAGTGGGTCAGCCACCCACCTTCCTTAGTGGCTCTGGGCTGTCCATGGGAACCATCGGCATTTTTCCAGGCATCTAAGTTTTCTTTTGTACATCTTTTTAGACAATCAGACCCATGAAGTGAGGAAAGAGGTGGAAGAGGAGAATGAAGAGAGAAGAAAGAGAAGGAAAGAGGAGGAAGATCACTATTATTAAGAGTAAAATATTAGTGAAAATGATCCTACCCTCACTCAAGGACAGTTCTTTATGAAAGAGCACCTGGTAAAGCCAGCTCACCTCCTTGAAGGAACTTCATGGGGTAGACGATGGCATGGTATCTGTCTATGCTGAGGGACACCAGGACGTAGGTAGAGGCGTAGAGCAGCACAACCTAAAGACAGAAATGAGAGGAAGCTTATGACTTCAGAGAGGTGAGGGAAGGCACATAATGGAAAGAATAGCACCTTGTGTTATTTAGAAATCTGAGAGGTGAACCAAAGAAGGGGTGAGTGTTGGATTAGGAAGGGAAATAACTCTCTTACATGGACAAGAGAAAGGGAAATACTGGGTGAAAGAGGGCAGTTTCCCAGCAAAGACCCCACCCTCAAGCCTGGAAACCAGTGGTCTTAAATGAGAACAGGTATTCCTGTTTTTGTGCCCAAAAAGTTGCCTTTTGGCCAGCTACATGCCCCTATCCTGTACCCATATAAACCCCAAATCCCAGGCTCCAGGAGGAGATGAGCAGACGAATGGCAGAACAGCATGGCAGAGAAGGAGAGAAGAGAAGGAGGGTCTGAACACTAAGAAGAGTTCAGCTGGGGACAATCAGACAGGAGAATGGCCCTGGACAGCCAAACTCCAGGGGAAGATCATCTTCCCACTCCATCCCCCTTCCAGTTCCCCATCCATCCCACTGAGAACCACCTCCACCACTCAATAAAACTCCTGCATTCATCCTTCAAGTCTGTGTGTGACCTGACTCTTCCTGGCCTATGGACGAGGACATGGCCACCAAGAGGGCACTGAGCTGGTTACCACTTAAGCCATCTGCAGATGGCAGAGTTAAAACAGCACTATAACACTGGGGCTTCAGGAGTCACAGGCACCCACCCCAGACACTACTGTGGGGCCGGAGTTCAATGCACTTGCCCTGGCTCCTGCACCTACCCTTCTGCATGCTCCCCCTCCTATAAGGAGTTTGAGCTTGAGGAAGCTGAACAGAGAGCCATACCCCTGTCCCATGTCCTGTGATGGATGGACCAGGGAACTCTCCCTTTTCATCTCCACACCAGGAAGCAGAGTTTGGTTCCTGGTGCTAGAATTTGTACTGCTGGCCATGATGAGTGACAATGCTTCAGTTCTTTCTTGCTCACTTATTCCCTTGGCCTCTTGGAAACTCCATATTTCAGGATCAGTCCTTGACATTTGCATGGTACATTTGTTTGGAATTGACTTTTAAAGCTAAACTAATTTTTTCTGCCACAATTGACATTCCAGAATAATTAGAAACAAAAGTTCATTTGCTTTTTATCAGTGGGAGTCAAGAGATGATAGAAGGGTTCCGGTTTTAGGGAGCCTATGTGCGGTGTTGAATCATTTATCATCATCAGCACTGACACCATCAGAGAGCTCCCCTTTTTCATCCACTTCATTAGGCTCAGGATCTGGGTCTCCTCTTCCTTCCCACTGTCTCTTTTATTAACTTTACCCACACCTTTTAATTATCTGTGTACAATCTTTTTTTGCATAATTAGCAGAAAGGGAAATTGGGATTTAAGAAGTTAATTTCTCTTATGTGAAGAGCATATTTAGAATGTGATTAAATGAAATATATTTGAAGGGATGATCAAGGTGGACATTTTTCAGGTAACTTGGAGCCTCATTTCTATCAAGAGTCTGGCTGTATCTCCACTTTGTAACATTAGGTTCAAATCCAGAGGGAGTAGAAGAGTAACTTGTAGATTGAAGTCTAATGGAGAGCATTTACTTCACTTTCTTCTTGGCAGTTATCTTTGTTCTGAATTCGTGCCTTTTTGTTCTTTCTCTGGCTCAGACAAATAACAATCAAGCACATTGTGGTTCTTTATGATTTGTTATTTCTACAAATGCATCTCAGCACTAATGTTGTGAAAGCCACCATAGGGAGGAGGTTCTGAGGAATGATTAGAAATTGAAGGCTCGTAAGAAAGAATGAGATAATGTGCTTTGCAGGGACATGGATGGACATGGATGGAGGGCATTATCTTCAGCAAACTAATGCAAGAACAGAAAACAAAATACTGTATATTCTCACTTATAAGTGGAAGCTAACTGATGAGAACACACAGATACATAGAGGGGAACAAAACACACTGGGGCCTATAGGAGGGTGTAGGGTGGGAGGAGGGTTAGGATCAGGAAAAATAACTAATGAATATGAAGCTTAATCCCAGCACTTTGGGAGGCCGAGGCGGGTGGATCACGAGGTCAGGAGATCCAGACCATCCCGGCTAAAACGGTGAAACCCCGTCTCTACTAAAAATACAAAAAATTAGCCGGGCGTAGTGGCGGGCGCCTGTAGTCCCAGCTACTCGGGAGGCTGAGGCAGGAGAATGGCGTGAACCCGGGAGGCAGAGCTTGCAGTGAGCCGAGATTGCGCCACTGCACTCCAGCCTGGGCGACAGAGCGAGACTCCGTCTCAAAAAAAAAAAAAAAAAAAAATACCTGGGTGATTAAATAATCTGTACAACAAACCCCCATGACACAAGTTTACCTGTATAAGAAACCTGCACATGTACCCCTCAACTTAAAATAAAAGTTAGAAAAAAGGTTTAAAAAAAGAAATTGAAGGCTCCTCTGAAAACTAAAAGAAAAAATTATCTCTTGGGAAAAGGTGACAAATAGAGAAAGAGAAAAATGGAAGACTAGCTTTAAGAAAAAAAAAATCGATCGTCTACTTAGACAAAACTGGGGTTTCTACCTGTGATCCATGAATTTAAAATTATTAAGGCTGGCAACAAACAGAGGAGGAGGTGGCATCAGAGAAGGATGAAAAAGAAAGCACACAATGGCAGAACCCTGTGGAGTGGAACATCATGGTGAGGTTATAAGGATCTTGGGGCTCTGTGGCTGTCTTGAGGGAGGTGACAGGCACAGTTCAGAATCTGGAGCAGGAGGAAGAGCCATAAATAAGAGTGTCCAGAAGAGCAGTCAATGTTGATAAAAAGATGCTGACTTTGAGATACAATCAAAAGAGTATTTAATTTCAGAGATTAACCATCTTCAGGCATTTAAGGCAGGGTAAAAAAATTTAAAAGTTACCTAAAAGAAATGCATCTTAAATTATCATACCTCTTTCCCACAAAAAGTAATGCCAGAAAACACTATAACAACATGTTCAGAGTTTTGAAAAAAAATTGTGATTCAAGAACTTTGTAAATATGATTTCTGTGCCAAGGCACAGAACAGTTTTCTCAGATATATAAGAAGGAAGAAAATATAATATTTTATAGTCTTCCTGGCATACTTCAGCTAATTGAGAATTGAATTAAAATTAAGAATTCAAGAAGAGGGAAGAGCATAGAATAATAACAACTATGGTAAGCAATGAAGTTAGAAACACATGAAATGCTTACAAAATAATTATAAATATGACTATGGAACATTTCAGGAAAAACTTAAGGGAGTTGAGTGAAGGGACAGAGTACAAAGAAAGACATCATGTTCAATTTTGTTATGTATTTTGGGTCTCTCTTTTGTTTTTTAACCTTGATAGAGATATATTAAAGCTAAAAGTTAAAGATAAGCTATGATAGAGTAAAATAAAAATGGAGAAATTTTAATTAGTTTCCTATGGTGGCTGTAACAAACTACTACAAACTTTATGGCTTAAAACAACATAAATTTATTCTCGCACAGCTCTGGAGACCAGAAGTCCAAAATTAGTTCTACTGGGCAAAAATAAAAGTTTGGCAAGCCCATGAGTCCTCCAGAGACTCTAGGGGAGAATCTGCCCCTTGCCTCTTCTGGCTTCGGGTGACTGCCAGCAGTCCTTGGCGTGTGACCATATCGGCCCAAGCTCTGCCTTTTCCTCTTCTGTCTGTGTGTCACACTCCCTTCTACCACCCTGTTATGATTACATGTGGGAATCACTGGGATAAACCAGAATAATCTCCCAGTTTTAAGATCTTTAATTTGATTACATTTGTGAAGTTCCCTTTTCTTATATAAGGTAACATCACAGGTTCCAGGGATTAGGATACGGATTTTGTGGTGGTGGTGGTGGTGGGGGGTAGGGGCGGGGAGCTTTTTTCAAGCCTACCACAATTGATAATCAAATAAAAAGAAAAAACAAGTAAATAGCAACAAACAAACAAAAAACCCTTAATATAGAAAGACTAAAATAAGGAACTGAAATTACACCAAACCAAAACACTATTTGTCGCAATACATGTGAATGACTTAAGGTCTTTCATTAAGAAAATAACTTATTTTAAAACTTCCCTAAAATCTAATTCTATGCTGTTTAAAAGAGAAAAATTTTAAACCACATCACTTAGATATCTAAGTGTGGAAATAGAGGGATGGCCAAAGGTATATCAAGAAAGTAAAAATTAAAGAAGGCATTCATTACAACATTGCTATTAGACAAATTAAATTCAAAGCAAACAGCATTTCATGTGATAAAGGATTATTTATATTGATAAAAGATACAACACATGATGGCAATAGGATATTCACAAAGTTATATGTAACAAGTAACATAATGCTAAATATATAATGAAACCGTTCAAAGTTTTACAGAAGAATAAACAAAAATATACAGATAGAAAAAAATAGACTTCATAACATAAGAATAGTACACATTGCTATAAAATATCTAGACATTTCAAAAATTGGCGATATACTAAACTACCAAGAAAAAAAACCCTCTCAATAGCTCTAAAAAGTAAGACTTACGCAAATCACATATTTAAAACAATGAGCAATGAAGCAGAAATTAGTAACATGTTTTTTTAAAAAATACCACTTGGAAATTTAAACACCCTCATAATTAACTCGAGTCAAGAAGGAAATCAAAGTACAATTATAGTCAATTCATAAATGTCAACAATGAAAACTCTACACATCAACAACATATGGGATACCATTTGGAGAACAGATGGCAGCTTGAGGACATATGTCTGAATTCTCACTACCCCACCCCTTAATTCTGACAGAAATGACCTAGGAAATATAAAACTAAAGAAAATCTTGCACAGAGAAGTGAGACTTAAATGCTGGAAACAGAGAAATTTTACTTAGCAAAATGCCAGATTGTATTCATATAAAGGAGGATCCCTGGACTGACTTTAAGAAAATAGACTTTATTTTTCAGAACAATTTTATATTTACAAAAAATTGCAAACAACACAGAGGGTTTCCCTATGACTCCCTCCCATCTATATACTTTTCCTTGTCATTAACATCTTGTAGTTCATTTGTTAAAACTGATGAACCAATATGGATATATTATCATTAACTAAAGTCCATTGTTTATATTAAGGTTCACTCTGTGTTGGACAGTTCTATGGGTTTTGACCATTGCATAATGTTATGTACCCACCATTATAATATCAGAAGAGTTTCACTGTCCTAAAAATCCACTGCTTTTATCTATTCATCTCTTTCCTACTCCAAATCTCTGGCAACACTGGTTTCTTGCTCTTCTACAGTTTTGCCTTTTTGAGAATGTAATATAGTTGAATCATTTAGTATGTAGCTTTTTCAGACTGGCTTCTTTCACTTAGCAATGGGCATTTAAGATTCCTCCATGTCTTTTCATGGCTGGATAGCCCATTTTGTTATATCATTGAATAATATCCCATTTAATGGATGTACCGCAGCTTATCCATTCAGCTTTTGAGGAACCTCTTGTTTGCTTCCAGTTTTTGGTGATTATGAATAAAGCTACAATAAACATTCTTCTGTGGATATAAGTTGTCAACTCAACTGAGTAAATACATAGCCTTACAATTGCTGGGTTGTATGGTAAGACCATGCTTAGTTTTGTAAGAAACTGCTAAATTATCTTCCAAAGTGACTGTACTATTTTGAATTCCCAGCAGCAATGAATGAAAGTTCCTGTTAATATTCATCCTCATCAGCCATTGGTATTTTCAGTTTTTTTTGAATTTTAGTGATTATCTAATAGATGTGTAGTGTTGTCTCACTGTTGTTTTAATTTGCAATTCCCTAATGGCATATGATTTTGAGCTTCTTTCTATCTGTTTACTTGCCATCTTCTTGGTGAAGGGTTTATTCAGATCTTTTGGCCGTTTTTGAAATGAGTTGTTTTCTTATTGTTGAGTTTTAAGAGTTCTTTGTACATATTTGGATACAAATCCTTTATGAAATATATATTCTGCAGATATTTTCTCCCATTCTGAGGGCTGTCTTTTCATTCTCTTAAACAGTGTCCTTTGCAAAGTTGTAAATTTTCATAATGTCCAACATTTCAATCATTTTTCATGGATTATGCTTCTGGTGTTGTATCTAAAAACTCATAGACAAAGAGTAGGTCCCTTAAATCTTCTCCTATGTTATCTTCTAGTCGTTTTATATAATAGTATTGAGCATTATGTTATATCTATGATCTAAACTGAGTTGGTTTTTGTGAAAGGCATAAGGTCTACATTAAGTTTTTTTTTTTTTTTTTTTTTTGCATGTGGATATTCAACCACTCTTTCAACTAAGACAGCCATTCTTGAAAAGGCTATCTCTCAATGCCTTTGCTCATTTGTCAAAGACTAGTTGACTATCTTTTTGTATGTCTATTTCTGGGCTCTCTGTTCTGTTTCATCAATCTACTTGTTGATTCTTTTACCAATACCATGCTGTCTTGATTATGAAGCTTTATAGTAAGTCTTAAAATCAGGTAGTGTTGGTTGTTCAAACTTGCTCTTTTTCTTTAATATTGCATTGGTTATTCTGTGTCTCTTGCCTTTCCATATGATTTTAGAGTTTGTTTATATTGATAAAATATCTCGTTGGGACTTTGATTGGAATTGTATTGAATTTATAGATCACGTTGGGCAGAATAGACATCTTAACAATATTAAGTCTTCCTATTCATGAACATGGAACATCTCTTCATTTATTTAGATATTTGCTTTTTTTTCCATCAGTTTTGTAGTCGTCTTCAATAGATCTTGTATATATTTTGTTAGATTTACACCTAAGTTTCATTTTTTGGTGTTCACATAAATGGTATTGTGTTTTTAATTTCAATCTCAACTTGGTAATTGCTGGAAAAAAACAACTGACTTTTGTATATTAACCTTCTATTCTTCAGTGTTGCCATTTTTTTGCCTACTAGGTCTGGAAGTTTCTTTTTTGTTTGTTTTTATTTTTCTTGTCTATTCTTTCAGATTTTAATATAGAAAATTACAAATTTATTAACAAAGACATTTTTATTTCATCTTTTCCAATGTATAAACTTTTTATTTACTTTTCTTGTCCTGTTAAATTATCTAAGACATCTAGTTCAGTGTTGAATGGGAGTGGCGAGAGAGGACATCTTTACCTTGTTCCCAGTCTTAGGACAAAAGCACCTAATTTCTTGCCATTAAATATGAGGTTAACTGTATGGTTTTTTTAGATGCTGTTAATGAAGTTGAGGCAGTTTCTCTTTGTTTCCAGTTTGCTGAGTTTTTATTATAAATGGATGTTGAATTTTGTTAAATGCTTTTCCTGTGTCCATTGATGGAAAAATCACATAATTTTCCTTCTTTATCTTGTTTGTGTGATAGATTATATTAATTGATTTTTAAATATTTAACCAGATTTTCATGCCTGGAATAAATCTCACTTGGCCACGGACTATAATTCTTTCTATACATGATTATACCTTTAAACAAAAATTTAAGTTGCTAATATTTATTGAGAATTTTTGCATTTATGTTCATGAGGGATATTGTTCTGTAGTTTTCCTTTCTTTTAATATCATTGGTTTTAGAATTAGGGCATTTCTGGCCTCATGGAACAAGTCAGCAAGTATATGAATTAGGAATGGTTCCCTTTTCATCTGTTTTCTAGAGAAGACTGCAGATAATTGTTACCATTTTTTTTTTAAATGATTGACAGAATTCACTAATGAACCCATCTGGGCCTGGTGTTTTCTTTTGTGGAAGATTATTAATTATTAATTCAGTTTCTTTAGTAGGTATAGGCCTATTCAAATTATCTATTTCACTTTATGTGAGTTTTGGCAGATTGAGCTTTTCAAGGAATAGGTTCATTTCATCTAAGCTATCAAACTTGTGGGCATAGAGTTGTTTATGGTATTTATTTATCATTCTTTTAATGTCCACAGAATCAGTAGTGATGACCCCTCTTTCATTTCTGATATTAGTAACTTGTGGCTTCCCTCTTCTTTTTTTTTTTTCTACTCATGCTATCTTTTTTTAAATTTTATTTTATTACTATTATACTTTAAGTTTTAGGGTACATGTACACAATGTGCAGGTTAGTTACATATGTATACGTGTGCCATGCTGGTGTGGTGCACCCACTAACTTGTCATTTAGCATTAGGTATATCTCCTAATGCTATCCCTCCCCCCTCCTCCCACCCCACAACAGTCCCCAGAGTGTGATGTTCCCCTTCCTGTGTCCATGTGTTCTCATTGTCCAATTCCCACCTATGAGTGCGAACCTGCGGTGTTTGATTTTTTGTCCTTGCGATAGTTTACTGAGAATGATGATTTCCAATTTCATCCATGTCCCTACAAAGGACATGAACTCATCCTTTTTTATGGTTGCATAGTATTCCATGGTGTATATGTGCCACATTTTCTTAATCCAGTCTATCACTGTTGGACATTTGGGTTGGTTCCAAGTCTTTGCTATTGTGAATAGTGCCGCAATAAACATACGTGTGCATGTGTCTTTATAGCAGCATGATTTATAGTCCTTTGGGTAAATACCCAGTAATGGGATGGCTGGGTCAAATGGTATTTCTAGTTCTAGATCCCTGAGGAATCGCCACACTGACTTCCACAAGGGTTGAACTAGTTTACAGTCCCACCAACAGTGTAAAAGTGTTCCTATTTCTCCACATCCTCTCCAGCACCTGTTGTTTCCTGACTTTTTAATGATTGCCATTCTAACTGGTGTGAGATGGTAGCTCATTGTGGTTTTGATTTGCATTTCTCTGATGGCCAGTGGTGGTGAGCATTTTTTCATGTGTTTTTTGCCTGCATAAATGACTTCTTTTGAGAAGTGTCTGTTCTTGTCCTTCGCCCACTTTTTGATGGGGTTGTTTGTTTTTTTCTTGTAAATTTGTTTGAGTTCATTGTAGATTCTGGATATTAGCCCTTTGTCAGATGAGTAGGTTGCAAAAATTGTCTCCCATTTTGTAGGTTGCCTGTTCACTCTGATGGTAGTTTCCTTTGCTGTGCAGAAGCTCTTTAGTTTAATTAGATCCCATTTGTCAATTATGGCTTTTGTTGCCATTGCTTTTGGTGTTTTAGACATGAAGTCCTTGCCCATGCCTATGTCCTGAATGGTAATGCTTAGGTTTTCTTCTAGGGTTTTTATGGTTTTAGGTCTAACAATTTAGTCTTTAATCCATCTTGAATTGATTTTTGTATGAGGTGTAAGGAAGGGATCCAGTTTCAGCTTTCTACATATGGCTATCCAGTTTTCCCAGCACCGTTTATTAAATAGGGAATCCTTTCCCCATTGCTTGTTTTTCTCAGGTTTGTCAAAGATCAGATAGTTGTAGATATGCGGCGTTATTTCTGAGGGCTCTGTTCTGTTCCATTGATCTATATCTCTGTTTTGGTACCAGTACCATGCTGTTTTGGTTATTGTAGCCTTGTAGTATAGTTTGAAGTCAGGTAGTGTGATGCCTCCAGCTTTGTTCTTTTGGCTTAGGATTGACTTCGCGATGTGAGCTCTTTTTTGGTTCCATATGAAGTTTAAAGTAGTTTTTTCCAATTCTGTGAAGAAAGTCATTTGTAGCTTGATGGGGATGGCATTGAATCTATAAAATACCTTGGGCAGTATGGGCATTTTCACGATATTGATTCTTCCTACCCATGAGCATGGAATGTTCTTCCATTTCTTTGTATCCTCTTTTATTTCATTGAGCAGTGGTTTGTAGTTCTCCTTGAAGAGGTCCTTCACGTCACTTGTAAGTTGGATTCCTAGGTATTTTATTCTCTTTGAAGCAATTGTGAATGGGTGTTCCCTCATGATTTGGCTCTCTGATTGTCTGTTATTGGTGTATAAGAATGCTTGTGATTTTTGTACATTGATTTTGTATCCTGAGACTTTGCTGAAGTTGCCTATCAGCTTAAGGAGATTTGGGGCTGAGATGATGGGGCTAGATATACAATCATGTCATCTGCAAACAGGGACAATTTGACTTCCTCTTTTCCTAATTGAATACTCTTTATTTCCTTCTCCTGCCTAATTGCCCTGGCCAGAACTTCCAACACTATGTTGAATAGGAGTGGTGAGAGAGGGCATCCCTGTCTTGTGCCAGTTTTCAAAGGGAATGCTTCCAGTTTTTGCCCATTCAATATGATATTGGCTGTGGGTTTGTCATAGATAGCTCTTATTATTTTGAGATATGTCCCATCAATACCTAATTTATTGAGTGTTTTTAGCATGAAGGGTTGTTGAATTTTGTCAAAGGCCTTTTCTGCATCTATTGAGATAATCATGTGGTTTTTGTCTTTGGTTCTGTTTATATACTGGATTACATTTATTGATTTGCATATGTTGAACCAGCCTTCCATCCCGGGGATGAAGCCGACTTGATCATGGTGGATAAGCTTTTTGATGTGCTGCAGGATTCAGTTTGCCAGTACTTTATTGAGGATTTTCACATCGATGTTCATCAAGGATATTGGTCTAAAATTCTCTTTTTTTTGTTTTGTCTCTGCCAGGCTTTGGTATCAGGATGATGCTGGCCTTATAAAATGAGTTAGGGAGGATTCCCTCTTTTTCTATTGATTGGAATAGTTTCAGAAGGAATGGTACCAACTCCTCTTTGTACCTTTGGTAGAATTCAGTTGTGAATTGGTCTGGTCCTGGACTTTTTTTGGTTGGTAGCCTATTAATTATTGCCTCAATTTTGGAGCCTGTTAATGGTCTATTCAGAGATTCAACTTCTTCCTGGTTTAGTCTTGGGAGGGTGTATGTGTCCAGGAATTTATCCATTTCTTCTAGATTTTCTAGTTTATTTGCATGGAGGTGTTTATAGTATTCTCTGATGGTAGTTTGTATTTCTGCGGGATTGGTAGTGATATCCACATTATTATTTTTTATTGCATCTATTTGATTCTTCCCTCTTTTCTTCTTTATTAGTCTTGCTAGCAGTCTATCAATTTTGTTGATCTTTTCAGAAAACCAGCTCCTGGATTCATTGACTTTTCGAAGGGTTTTTGTGTCTCTATCTCCTTCAGTTCTGCTCTGATCTTAGTTATTTCTTGCCTTCTGCTAGCTTTTGAATTTGTTTGCTCTTGCTTCTCTAGTTCTTTTAATTGTGATGTTAGGGTGTCAATTTTAGATCTCTCCTGCTTTCTCTTGTGGGCATTTAGTGCTATAAATTTCCCTCTACACACTACTTTAAATGTGTCCCAGAGAATCTGGTACATAGTGTCTTTGTTCTTATTGGTTTCAAAGAACATCTTTATTTCTGCCTTCATTTCACTATGTACCCAGTAGTCATTCAGGAGCAGGTTATTCAGTTTCCATGTAGTTGTGCGGTTTTGAGTGAGTTTCTTAATCCTGAGGTCTAATTTGATAGCACTGTGGTCTGAGAGACAGTTTGTTGTGATTGCTGTTCTTTTACACTTGCTGAGGAGTGCTTTACTTCCAATTATGTAGTCAATTTTGGAATAAGTGCAATGCGGTGCTGAAAAGAATGTATATTCTGTTGTTTTGGGGTGAAGAGTTCTGTAGATGTCTATTAAGTCTGCTTGGTGCTGAGCTGAGTTCAAGTCCTGAATATCCTTGTTAACCTTCTGTCTCGTTGATCTGTCTAATATTGACAGTGGGGTGTTAAAGTCTCCCATTATTATTGTGTTGGAGTCTAAGTCTCTCTGTAGGTCTCTAAGGACTTGCTTTATGAATCTGGGTGCTCCTGTGTTGGGTGCATATATATTTAGGATAGTTGGCTCTTCTTGTTGAATTGATCCCTTTACCATTATGCAGTGGCCTTCTTTGACTCTTTTGATCTTTGTTGGTTTAAAGTCTATTTTATCAGACACTAGGATTGCAACCCCTGCTTTTTTTTGCTTTCCATTTTCTTGGTAGATCTTCCTCCATCCCTTTATTTTGAGCCTATGTGTATCTCTGCACATGAGATGAGTCTCCTGAATACAGCACACTGATGGGTCCTGACTCTTTATCCAATTTGCCAGTGTGTGTCTTTTAATTGGAGCATTTAGCCCATTTACATTTAAGGTTAATATTGTTATGTGTAAATTTGATCCTGTCATTATGATGTTAGCTGGTTATTTTGCTCGTTAGTTGATGCAGTTTCTTCCTACTCTCGATGGTCTTTACATTTTGTCATGGTTTTGCAGTGGCTGGTACCGGTTGTTCCTTTGCATGTTTAGTGCTTCCTTCAGGAGCTCTTTTAGGGCAGGCCTGGTGGTGACAAAAGTCTCTCAGCATTTGCTTGTCTGTAAAATATTTTATTTCTCCTTCACTTATGATGCTTAGTTTGGCTGGATATGAAATTCTGGGTTGAAAATTGTTTTCTTTAAGAATGTTGAATCCTCTTCTTTTCTTGATTAGCCTGGCTAGAAATTTATCAATTTTATTATCTTTTTAAAGAAACAGCTTTTGGTTTCATTGATTTTTCAGTATTGAATTCCTGTTTTAAATTTAATTATTAATTTTTTCTGATTTTAATTAAATTTTTAATTGAAAAACAAAATAATATACGTTTATGCTGTATAACGTGTTTATGTATACATGTGGAATGGCTAAGTAAAGCTAATTAACATATTCATTACCTCACATACTTACTCTGCAGAGAAAATTTAAATTCTACTTCAATTTAATAATTTATGCTCCAATTTTTATCATTTCTTTTATTCTGCTTTCTTTAGGCCTACATTTCTTTTCTTTCTCTAGTTTCCTAAGGCCTAAGATTAGTTTATTAATATCACATTTTTTTATTTTCTAATATATCCATTCAGTGTTATAAATTTCACTCAAAGAACTGCTTTTACTGCATCCTACAAACTATGATGTTACATTTTCATTTATTTCAAAATATTTCTTGAGATATCTTCTTCAATTCACTTATTACTTAGAAGTGTGTTGTTCAATCTCCAAACAGTTTGAAAATTTTCAGCTATCCTTCTGTTACTGATTTTTAGTTCTATTCTGTGTGTTCTGAGAGTATACTTTGTGTAATTTCTATTTTTTTACATTGTTAAAATGTGTTTTATGGTCCATATGAAGTTTCTCTTGATGGAAATCGCATATAAGTTTGATAAGAAGATATATTCTGCTATTACTGGATGAAGTATTCTACAAATGCCAATTAGATCCATTTAATTAATAGTTCAGTTCACTTTAACTGATAGCTGTTCAGTTAAATTGTATTTCTCTTTGCATTCAACCCCCCGCCCCTTTTTCTTAGACAGAGTCTCACTCTGTCACCCAGGCTGGAGTGTAGTGGTACAATCTTGGATCACTGCAACCTTCGCCTTCCGGGTTCAAGAGATTCTCCTGCTTCAGCCTCCCGAGTAGCTGGGATTACAGGTGCGTGCCACCACATCTGGCCTATTTTTGTATTTTTAGTAGACACGGGGTTTCACCATGTTGGTCAGGCTGGCCACAAGCTCCTGACCTCAAGTGATCCACCTGCCTCGGCCTCCCAAAGTTCTGGGATTACAGGCATGGGCCACCCGTGCCTGGGCTGCATCTCTTTTAATATTGTCATTCAGTTCACTTATCCTAATAAGTGGTAATAATGATTACCAATGCATTATTGCTATTTTTGTGTCGAGCAACTATCTATAGGTCAATTAAGAGTAAGAAAAGTAGCTTTAATTTGCCTTCATTTATTCCTTCTCAATTGCTCTTCCTTTATATTGATTTGTGCTTATTATTTTATCATTTTCCCCTTTATCTGAAGAACTTCTTTTAGCATTTTTTGTAAGAAAAGTTTACTTTTGAGAAATTTCCTGTTTTTGTATGTCTGAGAAAGTCTTTATTTCTTCTTCACTTTTGAAGAATAATTTCACTTGATAGAGAATTCTAGGTCAGGGGGATTTGTATTCTTTTCCCACTTTAAATATTTTATTATACTATCTTCTTACTTGGCTGATTTCTGATAAGTCAGAGGAAATTCTTATTATTGTTTATTTATCTGTAAGTTTCCCCCTCAACTTCTATCAGGATTTTATCTTTGTCTTTGGTTTTCTGCAGTTTGAATATGATATGCCTAGAGGTACATTTTTTCTGACATTTATTTTGCTTTGGTGTTCTCTGAGCTTCCTGGATCTCTGGATTGGTGTTTGCCATTAATTTAGAAAATTTTTCATCTTTTATTTCTTCAAATACTTCTTCTGCTCTTTTCTTTTTTTGGTATTTCTGTTATATGTGTGTGCTACACTTTGTGTAATTGTCCCACAGTTCTTGGGAATTCTATTACATGTTTAAAAGTAGATTTTATTATTAGAGCAGTTTTAGATTAATAACATAATTGAGCAGAAGTTACAGATTTCCCATAAACCCCCTGTCCCCCATACACAGAGCCTCACTCACCATCACGCTTCCATGCAAGAGTGGTATATTTGTTACAGTGGATGAACCTACATTGACACATCATTATCACCCAAAGTTCATAGTTTACATTAGGATTCACTCTTGGTGTTATACATTGTATTTTGACAAAAGTATAGACATGTGTCCACTGTTATAGTATAGTACAGAGTAGTTCTACTGCCCTTTGTTCCCCCTCTGTGCTCTGCCTCCCTCTCCCCAAGCCCTGGCAACCACTAATGTTTTCACTTTCTCCAGAGTTTTGCCTTTTCCAGAATGTCATAAAGTTGGAATCTACAGTATGTAGCTTCTCAGACTGTCACTTTTGCTTACTAATATGCATAAATTTCTTCCATGTCTTTGCATGAGACACGTAACCTTTAAATAAGCTTGACAGCTCATTTCTTTTTAGCACTGAATAATATTTCATTGTATGGATGTACCACAGCTTATTTCTCCATTTACCTACCAAAGGACATCTTGGTTGCTTCCAAGTTTGGAAAATAGGAATAAACATGATATAAACGTTTGTATGCAGGTGTTTGTGGGAATATATGTTTTCAACTTATTTGGGTAAATACCCAGGAGCACAATTGCTGGAATGCATGGTAAGAATGTAATTTTGGAATAAACCACTAAACTGTCGCTGAAGTGGCTGTGCTATTTTGTATTCCCACTAGCAATGAGTGAACGTTCCTGTTGCTTCACATTCTCAATAGCATTTTGTGTTGTTAATGTTTTAGATTTTGATTATTCTAATAAATATGCAGTGCTATATCATTGTTTTAATTTGCAATTCCCTAATAACAAAGATATTCATAAGTATATGAGCATCTTTTCATTTACTTATTTGCCTTCTGTGTAATTTTTTGGTGAGGTGTCTGTTTTTTTGACCATTTTAAAATCAGATTGTTCATTTACCTATTGTGCTTTAAGAGCTCTTCTGCATATTTTGAATAACAATCTTTTATCAGGTATGCCTTTTGCAAATATATTCTCTTTAGTCTGTGGTTTGCTTCTCATTTGCCTTTTGCAGAGCAGAAATTTTAATTTTAATTTTAATAAATGCCAGCTTATCAGTTCTTTTTTTCATGGATCATGCCTTTGGTGTTGTATCTAAAAAGTCATCACCATACTCAAGGTCATCTAGGTTTTCTTTTATGTTCGTTTTTGTCATGGATATAAGATCTGTGTTTAGATTTATTATTAGGCGTGTGGATGTCTTCTTGTTTCAGCACCATTTGTTAAAATTATGACCTTTTCTCCATTGTATTTTGCTTTTTTGTAAATATTGGTTGACTATATTTTTGCCAGACTATTTCTGGGCTTGCTATTCTGTTCCATTGACCTGTTTGTTCTTTCACTAATAGCACACTGTCTTAATTACTATAGCTTTATAGTAAATATTGATTTTGGGAAGTATCAGTCCTTCAAATTTGTTCTTCACCTTCAATATTATGCTGACCATTCTGCATGTTTTGTCTTTCACATAAAGTTTAGAATCAGTTTGTTGATATCCACAAAATAACTTGCTGGGTTACTGACTGGGACTGTGTTGAATCTACATAGAGTAAGTTGAGAAGATCTGACACCTTGACAATATTGAATCTTCCTATGTATACATGGAATAACTCTTTATTTAGTTTTTCTTTGATTACTTTCATTCAAGTTTCGTAGTTTTCCTTGTATAGATCTTGCACATATTTTATTAAATTTATACCTAATTATTTCATTTTCAGGTGTGCTAATGCAGATAATATTGTTTTTTAATATCAAATTATACTTGTTTATTGCGGTTATATAGGAAAGCAATGAACTTTTGTATATTAACATATTCTGTAATCTTGCTTTAATTGCCTATTAGTTCTGGGAGAGTTTTTTTGGTTAATTATTTTAGATTGTCTGCATAGACAATCATGTCACCTGCAACATTTTATTTCTCTCCTCCAATTAGTGTGTCTTTTATTTCCTTTTTTGTCTCATTGCACTAGCTAGGACTTACTGTACAATGATGAAAAGGAATGTGAGAGGGAAATCCTTGTTTTCTTCCTAATCTTAGCAAGAAAGCTCATAGTTTCTCACTATTAAATAAGATGTCAGATGAAGGCTGTTTTGTAGATGTTATTTTTCAAGTTGAGGAAGATTACTTTCTATTCCTAGTTTACTGAATTTTTTTTGAAATCATAATAGGTGTTGTAATTTGTTAAACACTTTTTAAAAATCTGTTGTTATAATCTTGTGACTTTTCTTCTTTAGCCTATTGATATAATGGGTTACATTAACTGATATCCAGTGTTGAACCAGTCTTACTTTTTTGGGATAAGCCTTACTTGTTTGTGGTGTATAATTCTTTTTTCTTTTTTTAAGAGATAGGGTCTCACTCTGTCACCCAGGCTGGAGTGCAGTGGCACAATCATAGCTCACTGTAGCCTCTAACCCCTGGGCTCAAATAATCCTCCTGCCTCAACCTCCCAAGTAGCTAGGAGTACAGGTATGCACCACCATGCTTGGCTAATTTTTGTATTTATTGTAGGTACAGTGTCTTGCTATGTTGCCCAGGCTTATCTCAAGTGTAGAATTATTTTTATAAATTTGTTGGATTGACTTGCTAATATTTCTTGAGAAATATTGCATCTATATTCATCAGATATATTGATGTGTTTTTTTCCTTGCAATATTTTTGTCTGCTTTTGGTATTAGTGTAATGCTGACCTTATACAATGAGTTAGAAAATATTGCCTCTGCTTCTATATTTTCAATGCAACTGTAGAGACTTGGTGTAGTTTTCTTTCCTAAATGTTTGGTGGAATACTCCAGTGAACCCATCTGGGCTTGATGCTTTCTGTTTTGGAAGTTTATTCAATAATTAATTCCTTTAATACAATTAACAGTATTTAGATTGCCTATTTCTCCCTGTATGAGTTATAATAGACTGTATCTTTCAAGGAATTGGTCCATCTTAACTAGGTTATAAAATCTGTGAGATAAGATTGTTCATAATATTCCTTTCTTAACGTTTCTAAAATTTTATTTTATTTTCAATTGAGCCAGAATAATCGTACATATTTATGTGGTACGATATGATGTTTTGATATGTGTATATATTGTGTAATGCTCAAATCAGGGTAATTAGAATATCCATCATCTTAAACATTTATCATTTCTTTATGGTGAGAACATTTAAAATCCTTTCTTCAAGTTATTTTGAAATATATAATACACTATTGTTTTTTATATTCACCCTGATGTGCAATAGAACACTAGAACCCGTTCCTCTATTTAACTTTAACATTGTACTCATTGACCAGTGTTCTCCCATACCCTCTTTCACTTACCCTCACCAGCTTCTGCTAACCACCATTCTACTCTCAGCTTCTATGAGATCAACTTTTTAAGATTCCACATATCAGTGAAATCATGCAGTAGTTTTCTTTCTGTGTGTAGCTTATTTCACTTGACACAATGTTCTCCAGGTTCATCTATGTTGTCACAGATGAAACAATTTCTTTCTTTTTTATGAATGAATAGTATTGCATATTATGTATATACCAAGATTTTTAAATTCATTCATCCATTGATGGACATAGATTGTTGCCATATCTTGGCTATTATGAATAGTGCTGTAATAAACACAGGACAGCAGATGTCTCTTTGACATACTGATTTCATTACTTTTGGGTTTATACCCATTAGTGGGATTGCTGGATCATATGGCAGTTCAATTTTTAATTTTTCAAGGAACTTCCATACTGTTTTTATAGTGACTGTTCTAATTTACATTCCCACCAACAATATGTAAGAGTTTCCTTTCTCCACATCCTTGCCAACACTTGTTATCATTTGTCTTTCTGTAGTAGCCATTCTAACTAGACTGAGGTGGTATCTTACTGTGGTTTGGATTTGTATTTCCCTGATGACTAGGGATGTTAAGCATATTTTCGTATACATGTTGCCCATTTGTATGTCTTCTTTTGTATATATATTTTTTGAGAAATGTCTATTCAGGTCATTTGCCCATTTTTTGGATTGGGTTTATTTTTTGTTTTTTGCTATTGAGTTGTTTGAGTTTCTCATATATTCTGGATATTAACTCCTCATCAGATGCATAGTTTGCCAATAGTCTCCCATTCTGTAAACTGTATCTTTACTCTGTTGATAGTTCTTTTGCTGTGCAGAAGCTTTTTAGTTTCCTGCAATCCCATTTGTATACTTTTGCTTTTGTTGCCTGTGCTTTTTGTTTTCCTAGATGGGGGTCTCACTATGTTGCCCAGGCTGGTCTTGAACTCCTGGGCTCAAGCAATCCTCTCACTTCAGCCTCCCATGTAGCTAGGACTACTAACTCATGCCAATATGCCTGGTTATTTATTTTTATTTTTACTTTTTGTAGAGACAGGGTCTTGCTATGTTTCCCAAGCTGGTCTCAAACTCCTGGTCTCAAATCCTCCTGCTTTGGCTTCCCAAGGTGCTGGTATTATAAGCATGAGCCACTGCACACAGCCTATGTTTTTGTTTGTTTGTTTTGAGACAGGGTCTCTCTCTGTTGCCCAGGCTGAAGTGCAATGGTGCTGTCATGGCTCACTGCAGCCTTGACACCCCGGGTTCAAGCAATCCTACTACCTCAGCCTCCTGAGTAGCTGGGACTACAGACACACACCCACCATGCCTGGCTAATATATATATATATATATAAATATATATATATACGTATATATATACATATATATATATACATATATATAAATATATATATACATATATATATACACATACACACACACACACATATACACATATATACACACACATATATACGTATATATATACACACACACATATATATATATGTACATATATATGTGTGTGTGTATATATGTACATATATATATATGTGTGTGTGTGTGTGTTTTTGTAGAGATAGGGGTTTGCCATGTTTCCCTGGCGGGTCTTGAATACCTGCGCTCAATCCATTCACCAGCCTCAACCTCCCAAAGTACTAGGACTATATGCGTGAGCCACCATGCCTGGTACTATTTTTTAAATTGAGTTGTAGATGTTTCTAATATATTTTGGATATTAACCCTTTATCATATGTATGGCTTGTAAATATTTACTCCCTTTCCATAGGTCACCTTTTCATTTGATTCATTGTTTTCTTTATTGCACCAGAGTTATTTAGTTTAATGTTGTCCCACTTGTCTATTTGTGGTTTTGTTTCTTGAGTTTTTGGTGTCTTATCCAAAAAAATCACTGCCAAGAGAAATGTCAAGGAACATTTCCCCTGTTTTTATCTAGGAATTTTATAGTTTAAGGTCTTACATTTAAGTCTTTAATCTGTTTTGAGTTGATTTTTTTCTGTATTGTATAAGTTAAGGGTTAAATTGCACTCTTCTCATGTAGATGTCCAGTTTTCCAACACCTTGTTGAGGAGACTGTCCTTTCCCCATTGTTTATTTTTGGCACCACTGTTTATTTTTGGCATCACTGTTGAAGATCAGTGGACCATACATACATGGATTTATTTCTGGCTTCTTTATTCTGTTTCATCTGTCTATATGTCTGCCTTCATGCCAGTACAACACTGTTTCGATTACTGTAGCTTCATAATATATTTTTGTAAGCAGGAAGTGTGATGCCTTGAGCTTTGTTCTTTCTCAAGTTAACACTGGCAATTCTGGGACTTTTGTGATTTAATTTGAATTTTTGATTTTTTTTAATTTCTGTAAAACATGCTGTTGGGATTTTGATAGGGAATGCATTGAATCTGTAGATAGCTTTGATTTATAGACACTTTAAAGTATTAAGTCTGTATATTTATGAAAACAGGATGCCTTTCCAATTTTTGCCTAGTTTAATTTCTTTCATCAATATATTATAGTTTTTTTGTATAAGTCTATCACCTACTTGATTAACTTCATTTCTACGTATTTTATTCTTTTTGGAGTTATTGTAAATAGATTCTATTTTTTTTTGGATAGTTCATTGTTAGTGTATAGAAACATTACTGACTTTGCATGTTGATTTTGTATCCTGCAACTATAGTAAATTCATTTGTTAGTTTTAACAGTTTTTGGTGGTGTTTTGTGTTTTGTGTATATATATTATATATTTTATATATTATCTATATTATATATAACTTATAACATATAATATATAACATATAACATATATAATATAATATATAACATATAACATATATAATATAATATATAACATATAACATATATAATATAATATATAACATATATAATATATAACATATTATATATAATATATAACATATATATTATATTATATAACATATTATATATAATATATATAACATATAACATATATAATATAATATATAACATATAACATATATAATATAATATATAACATATAACATATATAATATAACATATAACATATAACATATATAATATAACATATAACATATATAATATAACATATAACATATATGATATATAATATAACATATAACATATATGATATATAATATAACATATAACATATATGATATATAATATAACATATAACATATATAACATAACATATAACATATATATAACATAACATATAACCTATAACATATATAACATATAACCTATAACATATATATAACATATAACATATATTATATATAACATATAACATATATTATATATAACATATAACATATAACATATATTATATATAACATAGAACATATATTATATATAACATAGAACATATAACATATATTTATAACATAATACATATTATATATAAATTATATATTTTATATATATGTAGGATCAGGTCATCTTCAAACAGAAAATTTAAGTTTGTCCTTTCTGATGTGAATGCCTTTCTTTTTTCTTTTCTTTTTTTCTTGCCTTACTTCTTTGGCTAGAACTTCCAGTACTATGTTGAATAGAAGTTGCAATAGTGAGCATTCTTATCTTGTTCCTAATCTTAGAAGAAAAGCTTTTAGTTTACCACTGTTGACTGTGATGTTAGCAGTGGACTTGTCATATGTGGTCTTTATTTGTTGAAGCACTTCTCTTCTGTACCTAATTTGTTGAGCATTTTTACTACAAAAAGATATTGAATTTTGTCACGATGTTTTTCTGCATCTATTAAGATGATCATATGCCTTTTATCTTTCATTTTGTTAATGTGGCATGTCACATTTATTAATTTGTGTATGTTAAACTATTGTTGCATTCCAGGAATAAATTACACTTAATCATGGTGAATAATATTTCAAGTGTGCTATTGAAATATGTTTGCTAGTATTTTGTTGAGGATTTTTAAACCTATGTTCATCAGGGTTATTGCCCTGTAATTTTCTCATAGTATCTTGTCTGACTTTGTTATCAGAGTAATGCTGACTTTGTAACATGAGTTTGGAAGTAAACACTTTTTTCACTTTTTTGGGGGAAGACTTTGAGAAAGATTGCTATTAGTTCTTCTCTAAGTGTTTGGTAGAATTTTGCAGTGAAGCCATCTGATCCTGGTCTTTTCTTGGAATGGAAACATTTTATTACTGATTAAATCTCCTTAGTATTGGTGTGTTCAGATTTTCCATTCCTTCAATACTCAAAGTCTTGGTAGTTTTTGTGTATCTAGGAACTTATCCATTTCCTCTAGGTTATCTATTTTTTTTTTTTTTTTTTTTTTTTGCGCACTGCAACTTCTGCCTCCTGGGTTCAAGCAATTCTCTTGCCTCAGCCTCCTGAGTAGTTGGGATTACAGGGGCCCGCCACCACACCTGGCTAATTTTTGTATCTTTAGTAGAGACGGGGTTTCTGCATGTTGGTCAGGCTGGTGTCAAACTCCTGACCTCAGGTGATCTGCCTGCCTCAGCCTCCCGAAGTGCTGGGATTACAGGCATGAGCCACTACGCCTGGCTGACATTTAGTTTTTCATAGTCGCTTGTTATGATGCTTTTTGTTTCTATGGTATCAGTTGTAATGTCTCAGCTTTCATTTCTAATTTTATTTGAGTTTTCTTCTTTTTCCTAGTTATTCTAGCTAAAGGTTTGTCAATTTTATCTTTTCAAAGAACTAACTCTTCATTGATCTTTTCTATTGTTTTTCTATTCTCCATTTGTTTTCTTTCTTCTCTAATTTTTATTATTTCTCCCTTTTTATGAAAGGGAAACCCTGACTCTTCTTCTTCTTCTAGTTACTTAAGTTGTAATATTAGGTTATTTATTTTAAATCTTTTGTTTGATGTAGGTATTTATTGGTATAAACTCCCCTCTTAGACCTGCTTTTGTTGCATCCCATAAGCTTTGTTATGATGTGTTTTCATTTTCATTTATCTTAAGATATTTTAAATTTTTGCTTTTAATTTCTTCTTTGACCTATTGATTGTTGAGGAGTCTCTTGTTTAATTTTCACGTTTGTAACATTTTTGAAATTCCTTATATTATTGATTACTAGTTTCATGTCATTGTTTTTGAAAAAATAATTTATATATTTCAATCTTAATTTTGTTGTGACTTGTTTTGTGGCTTACTCTATGATTATCCTGGAGAATGTTCCTTGGGTGCTTCAAAAGATTATATATTCTGCTGCCACTAGGTGAAATGTTCTATATGTGTCTATTAGGTCCATTTGGTCTAAAGTGTAGTTTAAATCCAATCGTTCTTTACTGATTATCTGTCTAGATAATCTGTTTATTAAAAGTGGGATTTTGAAGACCTATGATTTTATTGCAGTCTATTTCTCTCTTCAGGTCTATTAATATTTGCTTTATATATTTAGGTGATCCAGTGTAGGGTCCATATATATTTATAACTGTTATTTCTTCCTGATGAAATAATCCGTTTATTATTATGCAATGACCTTATTTGCCCTGTTTTACTGTTATTGACTTAAAGTCTATTCTATGTGATGTAAATGTAGCAACCCCTCATCTATTTTGGTTTCCACTTGCATGGAATATCTTTTTTCCATTTTTACTTTCAGTTATATGTGCCCTAAATTGCCATTTTAATAATTATATTCTGGCTATCATATATTTTTTTTCTGTCTTCCACTCTTTCTGCTTTGTGTGTTTTTTTTCCTTTCTTCTATTTTTCCTGTCTTCTTCTGTGGTTGATGCTTTTCTCTAATGGTATGCTTTGATTCCTTACTTTTTATCTTTCATGTATCTACTACAGGTTTTGCTTTGTGGTTACCTTGAGACTTACAAAGGAATGTCTTATAACGAGCGATTTTAAAATGATAACTTAACTCTGATTACACACAAAAACTCTACACTTTTACTCTACCACCCCCATTTTAGTTTTTGATGTCACAATTTAAATTTTTTATATAGTATATCCCTTAACACACTACAAATATACCTCATTTTGTCATGATTTACTTTATTGTTCTTCACAGATAGTGCATTTTTTTTACAAATTGAAGGTTTGTGGCAACCCTGTGTTGAGCAAGTCTGTCATTTTTCCAGCACTATGTGTTTATTTCATGTCTGTGTCATATTTTGGTTATTTTGAGCTTTTTCATTATTGTTATTATTACGTCCATTAAGGCTATCTGTGATCAAGTGATGTTTGATGATACTATTGTAATTGTTTTGTGGTGCTGTAAATCACATCCATATAAGGTGACAAACTTAACTGATAAATGTTGTGTGCATACTGACAGCTCCACCAACTGGTTGTTCCTCCATCTGTCTCCCTCTCCTCAGCTGTTCCTATTCTCTGAGACACAGTAATATTGAAATTAAGCCAATAAATAGCCCTGAAATTGTCTTTAGGTGTTCAAGTGATAGGAAGAGTCACACATGTCTCACTTTAAATCAAAAGCTAGAAATGACTTAGCTTAGGGAGAAAAAGCATGTCAGAAACCAAGATAGACCAAAAGCTTAGTTTTGGGCCAGTTAGCCAAGTTGTGAATGTAAGGGAAACTTTCTTGAAGAAAAGTAAAATGACTACTTCAGTGAACACACAAATTACAAGAAAATGAAACAAGCTTACTGCTGATATGGAGAAAGTTTTAGTGGTCTGGATATATGATCAAACTAGTTGCAACATTAAGCCAAAGCCTAATCCAGAACAAGTTCTTAAACTCTCTTCACCTCTATGAAGGCTGAGATAGATGTGAAAGCTGCAGCAGAAAAGTTTGAAGCTAGCATAGTTTGTTTCATGAGGTTTAAGGATGGAAGTTGTCTCTGTAATATAAACATGCAAGGTAAAGCATCAAGTGATAATACAGAAGTTGCATTAAGTTATCCAGAATATTGAGGTTAGATAACTGATGAAGGTGGCTACAGTAAACGATAGTTTTTCAGTGGAAACAAACAGTAAAATACTAGAAGAAGATGCCATCTAGCGCTTCTATAGCTAGAGAGGAGAAGTCAATGCCTGGCTTCAAAGCTTCAAAGGACATCATGATATTCTTTTTAACAGCTAATGCAGGTGGTGACTTTGAGTTGAAGCCAATGCTCATTGATCATTCTAAAGATCCTAGGGCCCTTAACAATTAGACTAATCTACTGTGCCTGTGCTCTATAAATAAAACAACAAAGCCTAAAGGGCAGCACATCTGTTCACAGCATGGTTTACTGAATATTTTAAGCTCCCTGTTGATATCTACTGCTCAGAAAAAAAGATTCCTTTCCAAATATCACTGCTCATTGACAGTGCACATTGTTACCCAAGAGCTTTGATGACGATGAACAAAAAGATTAAACTTGTCTTCATTTCTGCTAACACAACATCCATTTTGCATCCCATAGATCAAGGAGTAATTTTGACTTTCCAGTGTTATTATTTAAGAAATACATTTTGTAAGGCCATGGCTGCCATAGATAGTAATTCCTCTGCTGGATCAGGACAAGGGAAATTGAAAACCTTCCAGAAGGACTCACTACTTAGATGTCATTAAGAACATTCATGATTTATGGGAGAAGGTGAATGTATCAACATTTACAGGAGTGTAGAAGGTTGATTCCAACTCTTATGAATGACTTTGATGGGTTCAAGATTTCACTGGAGAAAGGTACTGCGAAAGTGGTGGAAATAGCAAGAGAAATAGAATTAGAAGTGGAGTGTGTACATGTGACTGAATTGCTTCACTTTCTTAATAAAACTAGAATGGATGAGGAATTGCTTATTATGGATGAGCAAAGAAAGTGATTCCTTGAAATGGAATCTACTCTTGGTGATAATGCTGTGAACATTGCTGAAATGATAACAAATAATTTAAACTAGTACATAAACATATTTGATAAAACAGTGGCAAGATTTGAGAGAATTGACTCCAATTTTGAAAGAAGTTCTACTCTGGGTAAAATGCTATCAAACAGTATTGCATACTACAGATAATTTTTTATATGTAAGGAAAAGTCAATTGATGCAACAAACTTTATTGTTGTCTGATTTTAAGAAATTGCCACAGCCACCACAACCTTTGGCAACCACCACCCTGATAAGTCAGCAGTCATCAACATCAAAGCAAGACCTTCCAACAGTAAAAAGGCCAATATTTGATGAAGGCTCAGATGACTGTTAATCTTTTTATTTTAGCCATTAAGTATTTTTAAATTAACATGTATACTTTTTAGACATATTATCACACATTTAAAAGGCTACAGTAAAATGTAAACATAACTTTTATATGTACTGGGAAACAAAAATATTGTGATTAGCTTTATTGTGAAATTTGCTTTATTTAGGCATTCTGGAATTGAACCCACAATATCTCTGAGGTATACCTCTATTGTAGCTATTATTATTTTTAATAGTTTTGTCTTTTAGCCTTTATCCTAATGATATCAGTGATTTACACACCACCATTACATTATTAGAGTATTGTAAATGTACTTACTTTTAACAGTGAGTGATATATACTTTTATATATTTTCTTTCTTTTTTTATTATACTTTAAGTTTTAGGGTACGTGTGCACAATGTGCAGGTTAGTTACATATGTATACATGTGCCATGCTGGTGTGCTGCACCCATTAACTCATCAATTAGCATTAGGTATATCTCCTAATGCTATCCCTCCCCCCTCCCCCCACCCCACAACAGTGCCCAGAGTGTGATGTTCCCCTTCCTGTGTCCATGTGTTCTCATTGTTCAGTTCCCATCTAAGTGTGATAACATGCGATGTTTGGCTTTTTGTCCTTGCAATAGTTTACTGAGAATGATGATTTCCAATTTCATCCGTGTCCCTACAAAGGACATGAACTCATCCTTTTTTATGGCTGCATAGTATTCCGTGGTGTATATGTGCCACATTTTCTTAATCCCGTCTATCATTGTTGGACATTTGGGTTGGTTCCAAGTCTTTGCTATTGTGAATAGTGCCACAATAAACATACGTGTGCATGTGTCTTTATAGCAGCATGATTTATAGTCCTTTGGGTAAATACCCAGTAATGGGATGGCTGGGTCAAATGGTATTTCTAGTTCTAGATCCCTGAGGAATCGCCACACTGACTTCCACAATGGTTGATCTAGTTTACAGTTCTGCCAACAGTGTAAAAGTGTTCCTATTTCTCCACATCCTCTCCAGCACCTGTTGTTTCCTGACTTTTTAATGATTGCCATTCTAACTGGTGTGAGATGGTATCTCATTGTGGTTTTGATTTGCATTTCTCTGATGGCCAGTGATGGTGAGCATTTTTTCTGAGGAACTGGTACCATTCCTTCTGAAACTATTCCAATCAATAGAAAAAGAGGGAATCCTCCCTAACTCATTTTATGAGGCCAGCATCATCCTGATACCAAAGCCTGGCAGAGACACAACAAAAAAAAGAGAATTTTAGACCAATATCCTTGATGAACATTGATGGAAAAATCCTCAATAAAATACTGGCAAACCGAATCCAGCAGCACATCAAAAAGCTTATCCACCATGATCAAGTGGGCTTCATCCCTGGCATGCAAGGCTGGTTCAATATATGCAAATCAATAAATGTAATCCAGCATATAAACAGAACCAAAGACAAAAACCACATGATTATCTCAATAGATGCAGAAAAGGCCTTTGACAAAATTCAACAACCCTTCATGCTAAAAACTCTCAATAAATTCGGTATTGATGGGATGTATCTCAAAATAATAAGAGCTATCTATGACAAACCCACAGCCAATATCATACTGAATGGGCAAAAACTGGAAGCATTCCCTTTGAAAACTGGCACAAGACAGGGATGCCCTCTCTCACCACTCCTATTCAACAGAGTGTTGGAAGTTCTGGCCAGGGCCATTAGGCAGGAGAAGGAAATGAAGGGTATTCAATTAGGAAAAGAGGAAGTCAAATTGTCCCTGTTTGCAGATGACATGATTGTATATCTAGAAAACCCCATTGTCTCAGCCCAAAATCACTTTTATATATTTTCATGTCACTAATTAGCTCGCTCTTTTTTTTTTCCTTTAGCTTGAAGATTCTGTGTAGAATTTTTGGAAAATAGGTTTGGTGGTGATGAACTCTTTCAGCTTTTGTTTGTCTGGGGAAATCTTTCTCTCTACTTGATTCCTAAAGGACAGCTTTGTTGGGTAAATATTTTTGGTTGGCAGTTTGTTTTTCCTTCCTTACATATGTTCTTCTAGTCTCTCCTGTTCTGCAAGGTTTTTGCTGAGAAATTTTCTGCTAGCCTTGTTATAACTCTCTTATATGTGATTTGCCTCTTCTCTCTTGCTGTTATCAGGATTTTCTCTGTTTTTGATTTTTGACAGTTTGATTATAATATGTCTTGGTGTAGTCTTATTTTCATTAAATCTGATTAGAAACTTCTGACCTTCTTGTACACCTGGATATTTGTATCTTTCCCCAGATTTGCAAACTATTCTGCTATTATTTCTTTAAATAATCTATATTTTTTTTGTCTCTCTCATCTCCTTCTATAACTCCTATAACTTGTATAATATAGTTTGGCTATGTTCCTACCCAAATCTCATCTTGAATTTTAGTTGCCATAATCCCTACATGTCATGGGAGGAATTCAGTGGGAGGTAATTAAATCATGGAGGTGGTTTCCCCCATGGTATTCTCATGATAGTAAGTTCTCATGAGATCTGATGGTTTTATAAGGGGCTTCCCCTTTTGCTCAGTTCTCATTCTTCTCTCTCCTGCCACCTTGTGAAGGACATGTTTGCTTTCCCTTCCACCATGATTATAAGTTTCCTGAGGCCTCCCCAACCCTGTAGAACTGTGAGTCAACTAAAGCTCTTTCCCTTATAAATTACCCAGTCTTGAATACATTCTTATAGCAGTATGAGAATGGACTAATGCATTGCACATTTTCTCTTTTGATGCTGCCTCATAAATCTCTTAAGCTTTCTTCATCTTTTCTCATTCTTTTTTCTTTCTTTTTCTTTAGTTGTATATTTTCAAATAACCTGTTTTTCACTTCACAAATTCTTTGTCTACTTGATAATTTCTGCTGGATGCTGTCTAGTGCATTTATTATTTCATTTATAATGTTTTTTAGCTCCAGAATTTCTATTTAATTAAAAAATAATTTCAGTCTCTCTCTTTAATTCTTTGTTTTGGTTGTACTGTTTTACTGATTTCATTGAATTGCTTCTCTGTACTTTAAGTTCACTAAGCTTTCCTAAAAAAATTATTTTGATTTTTTTGGTCAAGCATTGCATATATCTCTATTTCATTGGGGCCAGTTACTGTAAAATTACTGTGTTCTTTTGATGATGTTATGTCTGTTTTTTTATGTTTATTTTTGCCTTATGTTGATGTGTGTGCGTTTGGTAAAGCAGTCAAATGCACACACATCAATATAAGGGAAAGATAAACATCAACAAAACCAAAAAGAATCACCTTCCAGATTTTATGAACTAGTTCACTATGGAAAGACCATGCCCTATGAGGGAGGGTTTGTTGGGTGGGGTAGCATCAGTGATGGTGCAGATTTGTAGTCTCTGTGTAGCTTTTTCAGCTCAGGTCAGAGTTGATAAAGATCATAAGGATCCTCAGTGGCCAAAGCAGTGGATATTGGCAGTAGCAGCAAGAATTGATAGGGTCTTCAGTGGTGATGGCTGCTAAGGTTCTTCTGATCTTTCCCCCCACCAGGGAAGCTGGAGCTGAGAAGATTTCTCTTGGTACTAGATCTGGCTTGTAGGGCCTCTCTTAGTGGCAGTATCACCAGTGTCTGATGGGTGACACTCATGGAGTAGCCATGAAACTGAGGTCTGATGCATGGGCTCACATGGAGAGATTATGGCTCTGGGATTAGAATGGTAATGACATTGGTGCTCAAGGTGCAGATGCCCCTTCTGCTGCATGGTATAGTATGTGAGGCATGAGTGCACATGCAAAGTAGTGTGGGAGCTGAGAACACAGTCTTTCAGTGGCTTCAGGGTTGGGGCAAGGCGTAGCTTTCTATGGCTGAGCTGTTGCCCAGGGCACAGGTGCCCCTGCTGTAATGTTGGTAATAGTATACGTATAAATTAGTCAAGGAGACAAGAATGAGAGCACAGGTATGCACAGAATTATAATGGCTCTGAGGCCTGGATGGGGCTAGCTCTCTATGGTGGTTAAGTCAGTGTCTGGAGTGTGGACACATGCAGGCAGAGTTTAACACTGGGGCTTGGAGTGTTAACTAGCTTACTATGGTGCTGGCTGTGATGTTAAAAACATGGGTGAGCCCAGTGTAGTCAGACTATCAGTCTGGAGTGTGGGCATTCCCAGGGTGGCCATGGCTCCAGGGCTGGAGCTTACACATGGTTGGGAGAGGTGGTGACCCCATTCCCAAAGCAGCTCGACAGCAACTGCTTCTTGGGGGATAGGAGGAAGGTATAGCCACATCTCCCCCTCTGGGGTTCTCTTGCAGGAATGACTGTTGGTTACTCAGTGGGAAAAGATGCTAGTGTCTCCTGTGGAGCAGGCCACTAGAGACAATGTTGGTCCTTTCTGTGTCTAATACTGATAGCTTCCACCTTTCTTCTTTGTTCCTAGCCAAATCATGGCCTCTTAGGTGTGCCAATCACACCAGCAATTCTTTCTATGTGGTTATTCTCCATTTTTTCCTTCACGATGTTGCTGCAAATTCTTTAATGGGCCCTTGAGTCCTCTCTGGGCTATTTTAGTTTGTGAATAGCTGTCTATACTTGAATGCTTTGGAGGGATGAATATCTCCTACTCCATGATCTTGGTGATAGGTCCTAAACAGAGATTTTCTTACATTCTAGAAACTATTAATTCCCCCATTCATTGCAGAGGAAGTCTGTGTGAATGTTGGAGCATGATTTTGACACTTAGCCAGGCAACTTACAATTCTGTCTTTGCCCTCACTTCCTGCTTGCACAAAGCCTCAAGATCATTCACAGGTTACAGCTCAGTGCCTTCTCTATTTTTTCCTTAGGATGAGCATAGTCCTGGGCATATACCTGGTCTTCTAGATTTTTGGGAGTATGTCAGAGATTTTCAAATCCCCTATGGATATCTCATTACTCAGCGTATGTTCTTAAGCTTTGGTTAGTCTGTTGTTTTCCCTGACTATTATCCAATACCTTTGTCATAAGCAAAGTTAATCAATTGCCTGTAACTGTTTTGACGAATGCCCAGAGGAGAAACGTTTTTCACAGTGGGTGAGTTCTGATTTAAGTAAAATAAAGACAGCCTTGCAAGTGGAGTCTTCCAGAGAACTGCCAGACATGTCAAATAATGGCAATTTCTTGGGAATTTGAAAGGGCTCTGTCCCTGTTTTGCTTTCTACAGTGGCTGCCAGACAATTTGTTTTCACTATGAATGAGAGCTATTACTTTTTAAGGCTGTTACAGAGTTGGATACTGGGGGCTGAGAATAATGCAAGCCAAAGCACCGCAAAGCTCATTTTTCTCACTGAGATTCAGCCATTTTCCTGAATAAATGCTCCCTGAGTAATTGCAAGTGTTTGGTTAATTTCCAGAGTTTTACAAATTTGATTCTGATATTTTTTGCCAATTTTCTTGCTTCCTTTATAGAAGAGAGAATTATCAGAATTTCTTTCTCTATCGTTTTCCCTATGTCAAAAGATATATTTTATATATAGTCTTAACATTTATTGTAGATACAGTTAGAAAAAATTTTACTGACATGAATATTTCTAAATCAAGAAGACATTTTAAAGTTAACAATTGGGAGAAACCATAGGTTATCAAATGCTTTGGAAAAATATGAAGATAGTGTGGTTGCCAACCTCCAACATGTCGAAAATAATCCTTACTTCCTAGTTTTGTGGTTCTTCTTTTCCCATACTGAATCCAAGTTGATTTGTACAACCAAAATAATCATATGAAAGTGATGGTGTATGACCTTTGAGACTAGTTCATAAATATGTTGCCACTTCCACCTCAGTCACTTGAATAGGTTATTCTTGGAAAAGCCAGCTACTATGTTGTGAGGACACTAAAATGTACCTATAGAGAGGCCCATGTGGAGAACTGAGTATTCCACTAAAGCCAGTACTAATTTACCACCTATGTGAGTGATCCATCTTGTCCAGTCCCAGCCAAGCGTTCTGATGACTACAGTACCACAAAGCATCTGACCGAACCTTTTGATAAGCCTTTATCCAGATCTGCCTAGCCAAGCTGTTCCTGAATTCTTGACTAATAGAAACTGTGAGATAATAAATGTTTATTGTTTTAAGCCACCATGTTTTGTCATAATTTGTGTATCAGCAATTGATTGCTAATATAATAAGCAATTGAAAGCATTTATTTACAAGGAAGCAAATATCCTCAGAAAGAAATTGAAATATGTTTTTAAAAATTTCCCCTGAGAAAATACTAGCCGTACATAATAGAAAAGGCTCTTTCAGACATACCAAACTTTCAAGGTTATATTCAGAGCACAAAAGAAGATTGTAACTATTCCATATTCATTTTCTGAATATGGAATAACTTCATTACCATGACCTGAAAATAATAAAACCAATGAAAAAAATTAAAATTTTACTTATGAATATATATACAAAGATCCTAAAAGAGTCTACTAACAAATGGAATCTAGCAGGATAAAGCTTTCTAGAAATGCATTATATATACATAAAGCTATAATAATTTAGACCTGAAGTACTAGCATCAGAATAAAAATATATTAATAAAAAATAATCTTAAGAACTCAGAAACAGCACATCAAACCTAATACCAGTTATGAAATAATCCATTCCTTCCAGACTTAGTTGAAGTGTCTAAATCTATATTATAAACATCTAATGCATATTAACAAGTATGTATATATGTAAATATGTATATATGTAATATTTTAAATCAAATATACATATGATACATAAATATGGCTTACAATGAAGCAGATTGACATTTGAAGCATCAATATCTTTAATCTAAAAATAGATCTTAGAAAAACTAAAAAGTCTCTCAGTTATAAAATCATTCAAAAAGGAAAATAGGAAATTTGAGAGGAAGAAATTCAAATGCCAATAGATACTTTAAAAAGTATAATTTAGGCAGTAATTCAATAGTTAATGGTTATGTTCCAACAAATTCCCCTTGGTTTACAAAAAAGAGCAGTAGCCAGCGTTGAGTTCATTTGAGAAGTGAAAGGTAAATATAATTAACAAACTTTTTGGAGATTATCCACAATATGCCAAAATCCTTAATATTGACCCAGACATTTTATTTAACATTTGAAATATGAATGCTTTATGTCCTTAGCATTGCTCATTTGTGGCTCGTTTGTGTTTTCTTTATATAGATACTATTTTTAGCAAAGGAAATACATTAAAAATCAAATTTTCATTGCCCTTCTACCCAGGAGAAAGCGGGCAGTTTGATGCATAGGAATGCAAGGTTTTATATGATTTTCCTTAGATAAATCTAAAAGCTAACTCTGGTATCAGTTTGTCTCATCACATTTGGAAGGTGTGACATACCTGCAAATAGCGGACCACTCGGCAAACCAGGTCAGGTGCCGTGAAGTCTCCAGTGAATCGCCAATTAATATCTGTCAAGATGTTGACCAGTCCTGTGAAAGAATCTAACAAAAACGTACAAGTGCTTACATTCAGGGTTTATTTTTATTTTTATTTTTCAAATTTGCAGCTAAGCCACAATAGAAATGAAATCCTGGGGAGGTTCATTTTTAATTTTTTTCCTTCCTGCTTTATCAGATGGCCACTGAGGAAATGCAAAGCAAGGTAGGAGTTCTTTGACTTATATTACTGAAGCTTCTTACCACTTAAATGTAACCACCTAGGAAGAATTTCAGTAATGACTGAAGAGGAATCATGCTAATCATAGAGTTGACTTTTTAAGTCACAGAACAGAAGTTTTCGGGGTATGTAGGTCTGTACTAAAGAAAGCACTGTGTGAGAATCAAGAGGACAAAATTGAGAAAAGCAAAATCGTTATCTTTGGAGAATACTTCAAAATTCCCCTTACTACACCCATTATTTTGCAAATTGGACCTCTTGTTTCTCCTTATGCCCAGTCTTAGTGCCCCTCCTCCCAGTTTTCTTTGCTTTCTTCTCCTTTCCACTTTCAACCTCTACACTTGGGAAACAGCAAGTGTATGATCTATCCATTTAATTAATATACTTGGTTGAATTACAGAGGCACTAAGGCCAAGATCAGGACATTTTTCCTCTTGTGGGCAGGTCATCTGTACTCAATTCTATAGTTACAGATTGTACAAGCTGTGCAGATGTTTATAGCAGAAATGGCAAGATAGGCTATATGTCTAAAAACTGCCCCTCACCCCTCCATGACAGACATCACTAATTTATCACGTAATCCAGAATCTTTCTCAAAAGAGTGCTGCAGGCAAGGTTGCAGAATAGAAGGTTCCACTGATCGTTCCCTCTTCCTCCCTCAGCAAGGACACTAATTTAGCAACTATCTACACACAAAAAAAGTAGCTTTGTAAGCACCAAAAATCAGGTGAGCTCTCATAGTGCTTGGTTTTAACTTCATATTGCTGAAAGAGGCACTGAAGAAGTAGAAAAAAAAAAAAAACAGTTTTAAATCTCTGACGCCACCCCTCTCCCATCCCCCACCAATGGCAGCAGGGTGTGGAGAGCATTCCTAGGTGCCAGGGGAGAAAAGCACAGCAATTGTGAGGCATTGAACTTAGTGCTGTCCTATTATAGCATAAAAGAAAACTGGGCCAAACTCAGCTGATGCCCCACCCCATGGAGACAGCATTTATATTAGCTCTAGCCAAAAGGAAATCACCAATCCTGGTGGTCAGAACTTGAGTTCCCACAAGCCTTACCACTGCAAGCTAAAGTGCTCTAGGGCTCTAAATACACTTGAAAGTCAGTCTAGGCCACAAGGAGTGCAACTTTCAAGCAAGTTCTAGTTCTGAACTGGGCCCAGAGCCAGTACACTGGGGAGGCACATGGACTACTGAGATACCAGCTTGGGTGGCTAAGGGAGTTCTGGCACTACCCCTCCCCTAACCCCAGGCTGCAATTCTCACAGCTCCAAAAGAGGTCTCTTTCTTCCACTTAAGGAAAGGAGAAGAAGGAGAAGGAAGGAGTAGGAAGGATTTTGTCTTACATCTTGGATACCAGCACAGTCACAACAGGAGAGGGCACTAGTCAGCTCTGAGAGGCCGCCTTTCCAAGCTCTAGCTCCTGGATGGCATTTCTAGACATGCCCTAGGCCAGAAGGGAAACTACTGCCTTGAAGGGAAGGACATAGTCCTGGCAACATTCATCACCTGCTAACTAAAGAGTCCCTGGGCTCAGAATAACCAGCAGCAATACCCAGGTACATTGAAGACTTTGGATGAGACTCTGAGACTTGCCAATCAAAAGTCACCAAGTGGCTGAACGGATTGAAAAAACAAAAGGGATTCAATGATCTGTTGCTTACAAGAAACACACTTCACCAATAAAGACATAAGGCATATGTAGGCGGAAAATAAAGGGATGGGAAAAGATATTCCATGTCAATGGAAACCACAAAAGAGCAGGGCTAGTTATGCTTATATCAGGCAAAATAGATTTCAAGACAAAAACTATAGGAAGAGATAAAGAAGGTTACTATATAGTGAAAAAGGGGTCAATTCAGCAAGAGAATATAACAATTGTAAATATATATGCACCCAACACTGGAACACCCAGACATATAAATTAAATATTGTTAGAGCTAAAGAGAGATATAGACCCCATACAATAATAGCTGGAGACTTCAACACCACAATTTCACCATTGGACAGATCTTCCAGACAGAAAATTGGTAAAGAAACACGAGAGTTAATCTGCGCTATAGACCAAACAACAGCTGTAGAATACACATTATTTTCCACAGCACATGGGTCATTCTCAAGAGTAGACTATATGTTAAATCACTAAAAAGCCTGAAAACATTAAAACAAAATAAAATAATATAATATGAAGCATCATCTCTGACCATAATGGAATAAAACTAGAAATCAATAACAAGAGGAATTTTGGAAACTATACAAATACATGGAAATCAAACCATATGCTCCTGAATGACTGGTGGGTCAATGAAGAAATTAAGAAGAAAATTTAAAAGTTTCTTGAAACAAATGATAATAGAAACACAACATACCAAAATCTATGGGATACAGCAAAATCACTAAGAGGGAAGTTTATGGCTATTAGTACCTTCATTGAAAAAGAAGATAAACTTTAAATAAACAACTTAATGATGCATCTTAAAGAACTAGAAAAGGAAGAGCATAACAAACTCAAAATTAGTAGCAGAAAATAAATAATAAATATCAGAGCAGAAATAAATGAAATTGAGATGAAGAAAACAATACAAAATATCAATGAAACAAAAAGTTGGATTTTTGAAATGTCATGCAAAATTGACAAACCTTTAGCCAGACTAATAAAGAAGAGAGAAGACTCAAATAAATAAATTGTAAATAAATTGGAAATTACAGAAGAAAGGAACAAATTCCTAGATGCATACAATGTACCAAGATTGAACTATGACCAATAACAAATAACAAGAACTTATAATAAAATGTCTTCCAATAAAGAAAAGTTCAGGAACTGATGGCTTCTCTGCTGAATTATACCAAACATTTAATGAAGAACTAATATCATCTTACTCAAACTATTCTGAAAAATAGAGGAGGAGGGAATACTTCCAAACTCATTCTACGAGGCCAATATTATCCTGATACCAAAACCAGACAAAGACACATCCAAAAAATCAGAGTCTGTATTCACATGAAACAGACAATAATATTCGTTTTCTGCTTTGCCCATGGCTATGTTACCTCTTCAAACATCTGTCATAATAAGGTCTGAAGAGACATGGACCATCTGAACATTCTGTAGAATATCACATTGATCCATTTACATCAAAGATGTCATTAAGAGTCAACAAGAAGTGTCTAATACATTAGAGGCATTGGTAGGACACATACACTCTGGAGGGTGAGAGACAAACCCTGTGAAAATTCAGGAACATGCCACATCGGTAAAGTTTTTAGTGGTTCAGTAGTGAAAGTCTGCTAGAATACCACTCCCACCACTGCATTTTCAAGTAAAAGTTAAATTGCTGTATCTTACATTCTCAATCTCAATAAATAGAGCAAGATACCTGGTAGGCCTCTTTGTGTTTTGGAGGCAACACATTCCACATCTAGGAATATTTTTGGTCCCATATACTGAACTACATAGAAGTCTCACAGCTTTGAGTGGGCCTGGAGCAAGAAAGCAAGAAAGGGCTCTGCAGCATGTATGGGCTGCAGTATAAGCAACCCTACTACTTGAGGCATATGATCTGGTGGACCCCATGGTGCTGAATGTGTTAGTGGGGAAAGATACAGTTTGGAGTTGATGGATGCCCAAGCGAAAGAATCAGAATGCAGGCCCCTAGGGCTCTGAAGCAATGCCATCCATTTTCAGTACAAAGTTATACACCTTTTGAGAAACCCTTCCTAGAATGTTGCTGAGCCTTGGTCAAGATGGAACAGCTGATAATGGGGCACCAAATGTATTTGGAACTGACCATTATGAGCTAGATTATTGCCAATGCACTAAGTCATACACTCAGACGTGTCCCACAGCCTTCTATTGGAAAATGGAAATGGCACATCTGGGATCAAACCCATATGGGACTAGACTGGCATGAAGAGGCTGCATGAGCAAGTAGCACAGATGCCTCCATGTCACCCACCAGGGTTGTACCAGTGCCCTTGCATAGCTCACACTTATGGCTATATGGGGGTTCTCTATGACTAGCTGAAAGGGAGGTAAAAGGCCAATCCTGGCTGACAATGGGTTAGTTCCTTAAGTAGCTGTAAAGCAAAAATAGATGATCACTGAAGTACAGCTGAATTATGGGGTAGCCTTGGAAGACAGTGGAGAAGGAAGGTCTTCCCAATGAATGAAGCTGCAAGCAATGAATATGGTTATCTATTCGTGTGGAAGAAAAATTGGCCTAAGGTGTGAATATATGTATAGGTTTCTGCACAGTAGCCAATAGTCTAGCTGTGTGGACAGGGACCTGAATGAAAGGGACTTGGAGATTGGAAACAAGAGTCTGAGACAGAGACATGTGGTTGGGACTATGGGAGTGGGCACAATGTGTGAAGATTTTTGTGTCATGCGTTTAACACTAATTGGAAAGCATCAAGTACACAAGAAGCACTGAAAAAACAAATAGACAAGATAACTTGTCCAGTTGACATTATCCAGGCTTTGTCTTTGGATTAAGTACTGGCATGATGGGCACATGAATCGAGTGGCCACAGTGGCAGAGAGCAAGACTACTCATTAGCCAATAAAATGGACTACCAATTATCCTGGTAAATCTAGCTACTGCTGATTTTGAATGTCCAACTTGCTAACAAGAGAGACCAACAAGGAGCCCTCAATAGGTTACTAGGTCTTCAGGAGATTCGACTGGTTGATTTGTGGCAAGTTGACTACATTGGTTCCCCTCTGTCCTGCATCAGCCAGCTGTCCATCCTTCCAATGATGCACTTATTCTGGGTATAAGCTTTCCTTTCCTGATCTCTGAGTCATAGTCAACACAGCTAACTGTTATCTGGGGGCTTTTAGATTACCAAACAAGAATGGAAATCCCACAACATAGTATGTGATCAGGGGACCCACTTAATTGTGAAGGGGGTGTAGGATAGCTCTTGATCCTAGAACCTACTGTTTGTATTACATACTTCACCAGACAGAAGTAGCTGTACTTTTAGAGCCCTAGAATGAACTACTGAAGGAACATATGAAGTGCCACTTAAAGGTAATGCTCTGAAAGTTTAGGGTCCCATCCTTTAAAGTGCAGCATATGTGTTAAATCAGAGCCCACTTCATGGTGTTGGGTCCCTAACAGGAAGTATACATAGGTCTTAGAATCAAGGGGTACAGGAAGAAATGGCCTAAGTTAACATCACTCCCATTGACCCACTAACGGGCTTTGCACTTCTTCATCTGCACCTCTGTGCTCTTCAACTTGGAGGTCCTGGTCACCAAAGGAAGTGTACTTCTGCCAGGGAACATAGCAAAGGTACCATTGAACTAAAAGCTATGGCTGCCACCAGGGCACTTTGGACTCTTTGTGTCTAGGGACTAGCAGGCAAGAAGAGGAGTCACCATCTTGGCAAGAGTGATTGGTAGTGACTAGCAGATGGAGGTAGAGCTGTTTTTACACAATGAGAAAGGCAGGCATATGGGGAGAACACAGGCAATTTACTTGTAACTGTCAAGTTGTGATTGATGGCAGACAATTAGTGGATGGGGCCAGGGATGTTAAGCATCTTCAGCAGGCCCCCAACACAGGGTTGTTCAGATTATTTATGCTCTAGGGTGCCCTGCCCCTGCTGTTGTGGAAGGGTGAATGGGGGCTGAAATTGAGTCTTCATTATTGTCATGCAGACATACATCCTGGTTGTACAAAGACAAGGCAAGTATTGACTCTTTTCTGTACTACCCATGGGCTGTACCCTAGTATTAAATTATCCAGCTCAGAATTCCAATCATGCCTCTGTTGAGAAACACCATTAGGCTTTATGAGAGATTTGTGGTTTCTGTGCAATTCTAGTCAGACAGAGAACTGGGCAGAACTCTGCTCAGAAATAGAGTATGCACTTGGCTGGGTTCAGGCTCTTAGAAAATCAAACAGCTGAACAACAAAAGAAACTGCAACTTTGGGGATTAATCTAGGATACTCATAATTTCATTTCCAATAGTTTATTTTTATTGCTATGTTTCTGCTAAAGAGCAATAGTAAAAATGGAAAGTCACACTGTCATTTGGTTAATTGCTTTCTGAATATTGGAAAATGAGGTTTACTAATGTTAGAACAGAAGGAGCTCAGGGTATGGCATGCAGCAAGTGCTGAGAACATGCTTGAATGAATTGCCATTGTGGTTTGAAAAGGCTTTAAGAAAAACAAAACAAAATAAAACTTTTATTTTGAAATAATTAGAGACTCACAAGATGTTACAATAAATGGTACAGAAAGGTTTCATGTGCCTACCGCAAAGCATCCCCCAATGGTGACATCCTACATAACTCTAGGTAGACTTCATGGTTTAAAAGAGAATTACTACCCTTAACCTGACTTCTCTAGAACACAGAACATGATTGTGAGGGGTTATTAAGCAGTTATTATATCCTTGGCAAGGTTCTAAGTAGTTAGAATCATTAACTTGTTTAATCTCACAACAAACTGAGATAAAATCTCCATTTTATAGATGAACAAAATAAGAAAGGTTAGAACATTTTAAGATTTCAGAGAAAGTTAGAGGTGAAGCTGGGCTTTAACCCATACTATAGAAGTCAGTGCTCGACTGCCTTCAACACTGCCTTTTATTGTTTTCATTTATTTCTTTTTAGATTGATGTTGTGTCTTTTCTTCTTTATTCCCTAGACTAATGTGCAGATATGAGTCCCTGTCTTCTTCTCATCCCCTCATTCCCTTCTTTGGTTGCCCTTTTTATCTTTTGGCCCCTTCTACTTATAGGGCTATTCCACCCACAGAAGTTGCTTTTGCTCCTTTAGAAAACTAGGGAGATAAATCTCCCTTTTGTGCATCTTTTTTGGTGGGGAAGTGGTACAGGGTATTGCTGTCACTCAGGCTGGAGTGCAGTGGTGTGATCATGGCTTATTGCAGCCTCAACTTCCCAGGATCAAGTGATCCTCTTGCCTCAGCCTCCTGAGTAGTTGGGAACAGTACGTGACACCACACCTAGCTAACTTTTACTTTTTAAAAATTTTCATAGAGACGGGATCTCACTATGTTGCCCAGGCTGGTCTTGAACTCCCGGGCTCAAGTGATCCACTCACTTCAACCTCTCAAAGTGCTAGGATTACAGGTATGAGCCACTGCATCTCGCCCTTTCTGCATCTTCACTGTTAACAGAATAAAGCTGAGTCCCACAGCTTAGAATAAAAGCCTTCCACTATTTGGCTTTGCCTACTGCTACAGTTTGAATGTGTGCCCAAGAATTGGTGTGTTGGAAACTTAATTCCCAATGTGACAGTGGGGCCTAATGGGAAGCATTTAGGTTGAGCCCTCATGAATAGATTAATGCCATTATAAAAAGTGAATGGGCTCATCCTCTTTCTCCCTTTGGCCTTCTGCCACGTGAGGATCTAGGCAGCATGCAAGGCACCATCTTGGAAGAGAATGACCTAACCAGACACTGAACTTTCTGGCACCTGGACCTTAGACTTCCCAGCCTCCAGAACTGTGTCCTAATAAATTTCTGTTTATAAATTATACAGTCTGTGGCATTCCATCACAGCAGCACAAAACAAACTAATACAACTACCTCTTGTCAGGTCCCCATGTGGCATTTCAATGTTGAACACCATATTGATCATACATTTGTGCATCTAGATAGGTGTTCCCTCTGCTTGAAATACCCTCCCCCCATTTTCCAGCCTATTGAATTCCTATTTTTCTTTCAACACCTAGCTAATATGTCCCATGCTCCAGAAGCTTTCCTTGACCATTCACATGGTATAGTTCACCATACAATGTTATGTGACCCTCTGAGTCTTTCGCCTGTCTGTATTTGCTTTTTATTTTTCTACAGTTAACAAAAAAAGCATTGGCAAGCACATGGGATCTATAATCCAAAGTGTCAAAAGCTTGGAGAGGAAAAATCCTATGACTGTTCTAAGCTATAAGAAAAGTCCTTACTGAGAAGGTCAGATGTGAGCAGTCATTGAGAGCTGTGAGTTGTGATTGATCAAATAGGAATGTCATGAAGATTTTCATGGCACAAATGGACTGGATGAATGAACGGAATGGACTTGGGAGTTACTTGGATATTCTCTTTTGGCTTACTGATTCCTTAATTTTAAAAAACGGAAAGATTATTTTGTTTCTCTAGACCTAAGTGGTTATGTAAATAACAATAATCTATTCTGTTAGAATCTATTTTTCCCCTGGAGCTCAATCTTAAATAAGCCTATTTCTGAAAGTAGACTATCAGTGGAATTCTGCCACCGCATTTGTTAGTTGCTATTAAGCAAATGATGTTCAATGCTGATCAGTAAAAAGCTATTTAGTTACCTAAGTAATTGAGCACATTGCAGATAAACTGCTCCTAAATGATAATTAACAAGACCTTGGGAACAAAGGGTACACTTTAAAGGCTTAATCACCTCCATGTATTACTCTTGCTTTTAAAAATTTGTCCTGTGAAAGATCTTAGGAAATTTTAATACTCAGAAAAGCCGAAGTAGAGTCACAACAGGCTTTATTGTCCTTTGAGTGTTTCTTGTAAACATGAATGGGGTTCCAGTTGGAGCACAAAAGCGGGTGGACAAGGAAGAAGTCAAGAATGGGGCAATAGCTGAGCTTTTCAGTGAGGATTGGTCAGGTGAGAAAGGAATGCAGAATATTGATTCTAGGCACATATAACAGCATGAACAAAGTTATGGAGATGAGAAACTACTTGGCTTGTGTATATTAAGCATCTGTTTGTTATTGCTGAAGCCTAAATAGGAGCTAGGAAGTGGCAAAAATGGGTCTGCAGAAACAAGAAGAATCCAGACTTCTGGGTCTCACATGCCAATTAAAAGAGGATGTATTTTTTTATACTGTGAGAGTTGTTGAATGTTTATGTCTCCAAACATGTATTATAAATAGATTTCTTTAGTTGCTGTGGTGAGGATCAATTTGTTAGGTCCAATACTGGAATTACCATTTAATTAGGAAACTATGCAGAAGTTCAAGGAAGAAACGTATGTTAAATAACTGTAGGAATGTAGAGAGGATGTACATTGTGAAGCCTAGGACAACATTAAAAGAAATAGAAAAAGAGGCATAATTAATAAGCCAATAGTGGAGACAAAATGAAATCATAAAAAGCTCAATTAATCCAGGCTGAAATAGAAGGAAAAAAGGAAGAAAAATATAGATGGAACAAATAAAAGCAAGAAACCAGTGGTAGATTTCAATCCAAACACATCAATAATAACATTACATGTAAATTGCCTGAAACCCCAGTTAAAATCCAAACTCATTAACTTTTCATATTAATGATCCTATCCTCCTCTCTCCTCAGACTCACTTGATAGCACCACTGTCTGCTAGGGACACCCAAGCCAGGAACCCATAATACATAGTAGACTCTTCCCTCTACCTCACATTCAGAACATCTCAATACTCAGTCACCGCATCCTCCTTATTTTACCTTATTAAGTAGATCTCAAATTTGAATCCTCTCTGTATTCTTACTATTATTTGGCATACTCTAGGTACTGATGATTTCTTTCTTGAACTTCCGCAGTTTCCTAACTAATCTAAATGGTAATTCCAGTGCTGGACCTGCCAAATTGATCTTCCCTGCAGCAAGTAAAGACTGAGTATTAGATGTTTTATATAATATTATACAAATTCTTACATATTGTGAAGACTTAGACATTCAAATTCCTCATAAACTTTGTGCTATTGTTATCAGACATTTAAATTTTACATGGGTTATAAATCTCACTGCTACAATTTTTCTTCAAGTAGTCAATTACATTTTAGAGTCATTTAACATTAAGAAAAATGTGGCTTTTAATATTAATCTTTATTTTTACTATTTTCAGAGTTCTTCACATCTCTCTGTAGATAAAATTTCCGGTCTGGTTTCACATTCCTCTGTCAGAAGAACTTTCTTTAATGTTTCTTAAAGTACAGGTCTGCTGGTAAGGAATTCTCCCATTACAAAAATTTTGAATAGTCCTTATTGTATCTTCATTTTAAACAGGTATTTTTGCTAGATGTAGAATTCTGGGTGATAGTTGTCCCCCCAGCTGGCTTTGAAGATATGTTTTATCATCTGGCTTTAATTGCTTCAGATAAGAAGTCAGCTATAATTCTTGTCTTTACCTCTTTATATTAATTTAATTTTTAAAATGACAAAATAAGTGTACATATTCATGGGGCTACATGGTGATGTCTCAGTACATATAGTTATCAGAGTATAACTGGCATATCTATCATCTCTAGCATTTATCATTTTTTTGTGAGGATCATGCAATATTCTTTTAGTTATGTGAAACCATATATTATTGTTAACTATAGTAATTCTACAGTAATATGGAACACTAGAACTTATTCTAGTTCTATCTAGCTGTAATTTTGTATTCTTTAAGAATTTCTCTGATTTAATATGTTCATATATTTTCCACTGTCTTCCTTCAATTTCTTCTTTACCTTTATTTGGTACTTTGGATAAGTTATAGCTAGCTTTTTAAAATTTATTCTGCTTCAGGTTATTTAAGAATTTTGGATCTATGATTTGATGCTTTCATTATTTTTGGAGAATTCCAGCTATCATTCAGAGATTTCTTTTGCCCATTCTCTCTTCTCCTTCTGTAACTTCAATGACATATATTTTAGACTATTTGATATTGTCCCATCATTTTTAAATACTTTGTTCTCCTCATCCACTTTCTTTGTCCTTTTCTTACTGATTTTCACTTTGGGCAATTTTTATGGATCTATCTTCAGATTACCTAATTCTTCCTCTGGCTGTGTAAAGTCTACGATTCCTAGAATTAAATCTGTGAATTACTATTGTGATTTATTTCCCCCACACATTTCTACTTGAATCTTGCTTATAGTTTTTATCTTTCTGTGAAATCACTCAACTGTTCATCTATGTTGTCCACTTTTTTCCCCTGGAAACTTTAACCTATTAATCATGGTTATTTAGTAGGGAGAATGTTTTAAAGTGTTTATTTTGAAATCATTTAAGACCCATATTAAAGTTGCAAAAATAAGACAGAAGTTTCCCATGTACGCTCTACCTGGTCAATATCAGTATAATGATGAAAACCAGGAAATTGACATTGGTATAATACTGTTAACTAAACTATAGAATTATTTGCACATCACCAATTTTTACAAGCATGTCATATATCAATGAAATTTAATCTCACATACATATAAGGTCATGTCACTAACACCACAGTCGGGATAGAGAACAGTTCTACAACTGTCGAGAAATTCCCTTGTGCTATCCCTTTATAGCCACACTCCCTACCCACCCATTTCCTAGCAAACACTAATGTGTTCTTTATCATTATAGTTTTGTGATTTTAAGAATCTTACGTAAATGGAATTACAAAATATGCAACCTTTAAAAATTAGCTTTAAAAAATTCATCATAGGCCGGGCACGGTGGCTCACACCTGTAATCCCAGCACTTTGGGAGGCCGAGGCGGGTGGATCACGAGGTCGGGAGATCGAGACCATCCTGGCTAACACAGTGAAACCCCGTCTCTACTAAAAATACAAAAAAATTAGCCGGGCGTGGTGGCTGGCGCCTGTAATCCCAGCTACTCGGGAGGCTGAGGCAGGAGAATGGCGTGAACCCAGGAGGCGGAGCTTGCAGTGAGCTGAGGTTGCGCCACTGCACTCCAGCCTGGGAAACAGAGTGAGACTCCATCTCAAAAAAAAAAAAATAATTCATCATAATGCCTTTGAAATTCTTCTAAGGTGTGTGTATCATTTGTTTGTTCTTATTGCCGAATAGTTTTAAATTGTATAAATGTATTACAATATGTTTATTCACTCACTGAAATATGTTTGGGTTATTTTCAGTTTTTTGTTATTTCAAACAAGGCTGATATAAACATTCATGTACAGGTTTTTGTGTGAATATAAATTTTCATTTCTCTAGGACAAATACTCAGAAGTGGAATTGTTGGGCCACAGAGTAAGTAAATATATGTTTAACTTCATAAAAAACTGCCCAGCAGTTTTCCAATGTTGCTGCACCACTGTGTACTCCCACCAACAATGTATGAGAGAGACTGTGGTTGCACACACTTTCTAGCACTCAGGACTGTCAGTGTGTTTTCTTTTAGTTGTTCTACTAGATATGTAGTGATATTTCATCATGGCTTTATTTTTCATTTCTCTAATGACTAATCATGTTGAACATCTTTTTATTTTCAATTTGTTCATTTTTCTTTTCTTTTTTTAGAAATGATTTCAACTTTAATTTAGATTCAGGGGGTACATGTGCAGGCTTATTACATGGGTATATTGTGTGGTGCTGAGATTTGGGGTACGATTGATCCCATTACACAGGTACTGAGCATAATGCCCAATAGCTGGATTTTCATCCCTTGCTCTAGTTCTTCCTTTTCCCCTCTACTGTTGCCATCTTTATGTCCATGTGTATCCAAGGTTTAACTCCCACTTATAAATGAGAACATGTGGCATTTGGTTTTCTGTTTCTGCATTAATTCACTTAGGATAATGGCCTCCAGATGCATCCAAGTTGCTGTAAAGACATGATTTCATTCTTTTCTACGACTGCATAGTATTCCATTTTTTAATCCAATCCATTGATTGGCATTCAGGTTGATTCCATGTCTTTGGTATTGTGAATATACATAGTGCTATGATGAATATATGAGTGCATGCGTCCTTTTGGGAGAACAGTTTTCTTCTGTTTGGGTATATGCCCAGTAATGGGATTGCTAATTCAAATGGTAGTTAAGTTTTTTGAGAACTCTCCAGACTGCTTCCAACAGTGGAAGAACTAATTTACATTTCCATCAATAGTGTATAAACTGTTGAACACTTTTAAAGGTGCTTCTTTGCCATCCATATATCCTCTTTCATGAAGTATTTTTAATGTATTTTTCTTATTCATTGTAATTATTTTATTTAAAGTCCGTGTCTAATAGCTCCAACATTGGAGTCATGTCTCTGTTTGGTTCTGTTGATTGCTTTGGCTGTTAACAGTGGGTTGCATTTTCTTTTTGAGTCTCATGCATTTTGATTAAATGGCAAACATTTTGTGTAGAGTATATCAAATATTGAGATACATAGTATTTATGCATGGAAATGGGCACACTTCTTTAAGGTTGTTAGAGTGGGGTATTAAATCAATCTGCTTAGGAGTCTAGCTAGACTTGAGTTTTGTTGTTAGTAGGGTCATCCTCAGCCTCCTATGGGCTTCAGATTTTTCTTTGGATTTTCTATTAGCATAGTAGCTGAGACGCTGAAGGGTTTTAATGCCCCACTCTCTGCTTTCAGCTGTGCCTGTTTTGCTGTAATACTGCTACTGCTTGTTACTCAATGCTTGCTACTGGTGGTTTTAGGGCTTCTCTTTTGTCCCAGTTCAGCCACAGACCCATATAGGCCAGTGTGCCTGGGCCTTAGGGGTGGGGTATTCTCAGTGTTCCAATTCCTCCTCCCCATGAAAATCAAACTCCTGCCTTGTATCTGTGATGGGTGTTGCATATGAGAGAATTTCATGTCCTTACCTAGAAGTAGGAGACTTCCAATGGTATTGGTGTTGCCATTTCTGGCCTCCGTCCCCAAGGGATAGGGTTTTCTCAGTCATTTATCTGCCTTTATTAGTGCTCTGTGGGGCAACAGTGTTTGTTCCCACACTGACTTAAGTTTTTTGTTTGGGGAAGTGTCTAGGAAGGAGGGTAGTATTTCATACCTTTCCTGTAGGTGTGGTCTAAACTCTCCTGCACACTTGCGTATAGTCTCTGTAACAGCTACTCAAATCTGCCATTGTAGAGTGGAAGCAACCATAGACAATTCTGTAACTGGATGGGCCTGGCTGTAATCCAATAAAACTTTATTTATAAAAATAAGCTGCAGGATGGATTTGGCCTGTAGGCTGGAGTTTGCAGACCTCTGGTCTAGAGAATAAATTCCAAATGTCCTACTGTGACTTTCCTTCTTCTCAAGTCTGATCTTTTCTCATTCTATTTTAAATTTGTACTTTAAGAAAAACACTTTCAACCAGCACATTAATAATAGCAGCTGTTTAACTGATTAAAACATTGGTTAAAGAAATAACGCATACATACAAATCTACCCTAAAACATTTTGATAAAAACAAACATGCCTTTGTCGTTTGTTTAATGTAGAGCCAAGACTTTGATTTGATTTGATTCTTTTTTGCATAAAATACACTCACAATTTATCTTTTATAATTTCCAGTTTGGGTTTCTTTAAATTGGAGTAATCAGTTGACATACCAGCAAAGCAATCTAAGGCAGAATCTCATTGCAGAGATTTTTATAATGTTCCTTCATCTTTCATAGTTGCATCTCCTGAGCTTAGTTCTATTGCAGTTCACTAAAAAAAAGTCAAGTCTTTCTAAAGGGAAAGCATATAAATTGACAGGTTTGTTAAGTCTAATAATATCCTGCTAGTCATGGGAGTTTAGTTAGTCAGGGTGTTTGCTGAGAGAATGGAGAGCGTTGAGTGATCAGTTGAGGCAGTGAAGAAGATGCAGTTGAGAGTTTCCTTGGCCATACCCAACTGTTCACTCTGCCATGCCATTTCTTTATGCTGCTCCATTGGTGTGGGAAGCTCTTTATACACCTCTACCTGAAGAATATCCATTTCCTCAAGGTTTAATTCAAGGTTACCTCCTTTATAACACCTTTTCTGAGTACTGAGATTGGCTTGGTTATTCCCACTTCTGTGTATCTTCCTACCCTACTATTATAGTACCTATAATACATGAACACATTATTTTTTTTTGTATTTCTTTCCTATTCCACTATACTATGGGATAACAGAGATTATTATTTTTAGTTCAGCTCTACCTCTCCAGGCCCTAAAACTGTGATATTACATAGTAACAGCTTGGTAAATTTCCATTAAATGAAGTAGTACATTATTACTGCTGTTGCTTGATTGGCTGACTGTAGCATGGGTGATTTCATACAGCAGATGGAACCACATTAATCATCTCGTTCAATGAAGATTAAAATAATGATTACAGAATAAAGATGCTGGAAGGAAAAGTGTGATTGGAAATTTTGATCCCTAAGCAGATTTCTAAAAGAGCTCCCTGCATTTTAAGATCTCTGCTAGATTGTAAGCTTCTGATTGGCAGTGGCTGTGCCTTGCTCATGTTTATAGTTTTATCTTTTTTCATAGTGCCTGGCAAGATACTCAGTGCTTGCTAGATAAAGGAAGAAATGTTGTCCAATTAAACATATTTGCAAACTTCCTTAAAACACAAAGGTCACTAGTGTAGGATTCACCCTGTGTAAAGGGCAAGTTGAGTCCCATGTCTTAGATTCCTGCTTTCTCTCAGTTGCTGTTTGCACTTTCCCCTGCATAGCAGAGCCATAGAATAATGAATACGTAGCAAGCTGAGTAACTCTTTTTCTTGAGATGACTCGTACATGAACATTTGTCACACTAAATAAGGGAGATATTGAATATAAACACAATTTTTATGAAGACATTGAAATTTCTGATAATATAAGGTCCTTTTATCCTTAATTGTGGTGTTGCAGATGACCTCTGGCTTTCCTGAAGGGACACTGTGGGTAACAATATCAACTGTGTATCTCAGAGTATGCAATGCTTCCAGCTCAACTCAATGTCTTTAGTGTTGTTTTTAAAGCGAGTGTGTATATATAATAATAGCTTGCTTGCTTTTGGTTGCACAAAAAACTATTTTTGATATTGATAAAGGTCCCTCTTCTACTTTTCTTTTTTAAACACTGAATGCTGAGAACACTGTAAATGGCACAAGTCTTGAAGAACTTGTGTGAAACTTTGTTTAATGATAAAACTGAATGGCCCAACCTGATGTCAGGTACTTAGCCAATTAAAATTATTTCTCCAAAAGTATATGTCTATGTTTTGGGCTCATTTTACAATATTAATATGATTCTGGCACTGTGTCCTTCGCCAAGATGAAGTACCAGCTAAGCCTAATGGTCTAAACTGTCAACTCCCCGGCTCTTTATTAATCCTGGGGAAGTGGCTCACACCTCAGTCATTACTGCTCAATTAGGTAAATAATCATCACATTTATTCTCATTAGAGCACTCTCTTCACAGAAAGCTTTGGTCCTAAGATTTTCAATTAGTCTTAACAAGTTACAAATGCCGCTAGTGTCTCCCTTTCTCCATTAGTTCCCCCAACCAAATAAAAAGCTTGTGTCTAATTAAGGAAACCCAAGTCCTCGTAAAACTTACTCTCTTTGCCTCTGTTGTATTCAGAAACCAAGAAGCTCATTAAATGAGGCAACTGGCCTACCTGAGTTGTTGGTTATTGCTGGGCCACAAAAAACTCCTGTGCTCATAAGCACAAGCATCAGGTTCAGCAATAACAGGTGTTTTCTTAAAACAAGACATTGAGCCTCCACTATTTCTCCTCCTCACTCCACTTAAGGGGAAATTTCTTGAGGCATGGTAGCATGTAATTATCATTGCACAAGATCATTGCACAACATGGGGCTCAAACTGACTCTGAATATAAGACATAGACAACTTGTTTTCTCTTTTAAAGGATGCTATTTTCCTAATAAAAAGAATTCACAGAAATGATCTGGGATGTTTAGAAATCCAAGAGAAGGAGAGGAGAGTTCCATTTTCACTTATCCAAGAGGCAGGCTCTTCAAATGTCTTTTTCCCTTTGCCCAAGGAGAGCTAAGGGGTAGCAGGCTGAGATGGAAGTGGTAAATTGTAACAAAAAAATATTTGTTTCTCATCTCATTCTGCTGCAATCAGGTACACGCTTGTACATAGGGAAATGAGGCAGACATAGAGATATGCTGCTCAGATCCCCCTTCAAGAAAGACCTTGCTGTCCAGCTGTGAGGTATATGGTTTGCTGACATCCTCCAGCTGTTAGATTCCTCAGGGTTTGCCTCAGCTTTTTAGCTGGGATCATGCTATTCTTGGTACAACCTCTACCAATGACTAAGTTATAGTAGAAGAGTCTAATCATTTATACCCAACATGGAAATCCTAAAGGATTCCTGAGCTGCCAGAGACTGTCAGGTTAATGTCAGGCTCTGATGGGTCCTCCAGCCCAATCTTACTTCTTCCCTTTGCTTTCACAGGAGTGACTTCTCCCCAGATTTTTGTATACCTGACTCTGTTTCAGCATCCGCTTCCCAAAGAATGCAGTGTGAAGCAGGAGGTAAGGGAGGAAGGGGCCCAAGATCATTTCATTTTCTAGGGGTGGTCTTTGTGGTTGCCTCTGTTGCATAATGTAAGATCTTAGCAAAAATCCCATTTATTCAAAACTAAAGCCAGTGAGAAAGCTACTAGGATGCTAGAAATTACTACGTGATGATGACTGCTATGCTGAGTCTGTCTGTCAAGTAGCCTACATGCCTATGTTTAGGCATCACACTGGCTCCTCTTAGAGGTCTAAGAATCACTGATTCTTTGTAGAGATGTTATTGAGGACATTTTAGTGCTGTTTCATCAAAGTACTGAATATAAAGCTCCGTAGTATCAGTTTTCTTGATCAAGAAACATCTTGCTGTGCATTTCCCTCAAGATTACAACAAATTATATTTAGTCAGTTTTGCCCTTAGTTTTAGCCACTAACTAGGAAGCACAAAATAAAATATGATGGGTTGCAGTAACTTTGCAGTAACTCTAAGCTTAAATTTGACTTTTTTCCTCTGCAGTTATGATTTGATATTTTCCATGCCCTTTCTATTTCATTTCTTATTTTTCATTGTGTTGGGTATGTTCTTACATGCATGGGCAGTACACAGCATGGCTACTGGAGCCCGACTGTGGGATTTTGAATGTTGGCTCTGCTACATGACAGCTGTGCTATCTTGGGCTTGCTACTGACCACACGGAATCCAGGGCTCTTTGTAAAATTGTAATAAGAATGCCTGATTTATAGGGCTACTGTGAAGGTTAAATGAGATAGTTTATGTAAAATGTTTAGTAAAATGCTTGCCCTATAAAACCTGGGTAGCTGTTGTTGGTGCTGATGCAATGAATAGGGCCAATAACTAGACAGAGAGCTGCAAGAACTGGGGATGAGATGGTGTGTCTTAACATAAGTCCTAGACTCCTTGCCAACTTGCTAGAATAATGTTTTCTGCAAAAATTGACACATAAGAAGTAGAGGCTTTCTTTAAACTAGATCTAAAATGAAGACTGGCTATTTTATTTGCTATAATGCATGCCAGCTAATCCAATATATTTGATTAACACACTTGATCAGTCTAATATATTAGATTCTCACTATGGAAACAGTGGTGATTAAATTAACTGATGGCGGATAAGGTGAAAAGAACTAAGCCAATCCTTGAGAGACTAGAACACAAGATAGATTAGTTCAGGGATTGGGCCACTATTTATTAACAGGATTGCTACTTATGGGGCAATTCTGTGTTAGGATAGATGGTCCTGTGCAGGAAATTTGGCATGCCTGGGCTGTGCTTACTAAATGCCAGAAGTAACCCCTGCTGCCCCAGTCTTTGTGATAACTCCAAATATCCCACCATTTCCAAATGCCCCAGGACTGCTTCCTGTGAAGAACTATTGAGGTGTGGAAGGACATCTAGTGGTAGATTGGGAATATGACCCAGCATTTCTAGGTCAGTTTCAGTTTATACCCGCCATGATTATGCCTGTGGCCCTTTCTCTTAAATATGCCATGGTTTTACTTGGCTCATTGGAGATGGCTGATTCCTGGCCTGGGGCTGGGAAAAGGACAAGATAAGCCTGGAACATCATGTTGTGCTGGCAAGTGAGGACATGCCCAAAAATGCTGAGAAACATGTCAACAGAAACACGCACCAAATTGTAGGGCTCTTGCTGACCCCAGTCAGCAATCTAGGCATAAAAAGAAATAACTATGGCAACAAATTATAACCCACAGAATAAAAGAAGAACCTATGATGTAAATTTAAAAATGGGAGAGAAGGGAAATTTCTTCCTTAAAGTAGAGAGACTGCTAATAAGTATAGAAGAAATAATGAAATTAGAAAATCATCATTTGGAAACCTTTATAGCATTGATTCAGACAGGAATCTACACTGTATGGTAAGTGCTGTGAGTGAAAGTTTAAGGAGTATCAGGATGGCTATGTACTCTTAAAATACTTGTCAGTTGCAAAAGGAAAAATAGTATCTTTACAGTGGAGAAATCTGACAATAACATCACTAGTAATGGGACAAATTGATATACTGTGTCTGCTGATACTATATACTAAGAGGAACATAGCATCATTCCTGGTGTATAACTCTCAAAAGCACATAACCTTAATCTATTCAGAAGGAAACATCACACAAACCCAAAGTGAGAGAAACTCCACAAAATATCTAACCTATGCTATTTAAAAATGTTGATGTCATAAGATACAAAGAAAGACCAAGGAACTGTTCTAAGTTAAAGAACACTAAACGTACATGGCAACTGAATACAATACATGATTCGGGGTTTTTTGTGCTAAAAAGGATGTTCTTGGGATAATTGGTGACATTTAAAGCAGGTTTGCTGATTACCTGGGACATTTTTAGATGGATGGATAGGTAGATAGGTAGGTATTATAGATAGACTGATAGAGGAAATGATAAAGCAAATATGAAAAATATTAACATTTCAGGAATATGTGTACAGGGTACATGGGGGTATTTGTACTACTCTTGAAGATTTTCTGTAAACCTGAAATTATGTCAAAACAAGAAGCTAAAAATGAAAAATGTCCTGGTTGGGAAGACACATATGGTTGCTCAACCCATAGGGGAAGAGCTGGCAGAATATGATGGCTGTGACCTCTGCACGGTACTGAAGATATGGGCAACATGTTGAGCAAGGGCTGCTGTTATATTGAGAAGTGAGCTTTAGAATTGTTCAGCAAGTTTCTTCTTGTTCAGACCAGTATAGGCTTTCCTGGTAAGCTACTGTGCAATGTATTTGTTAATTATTAGCTCAGAGAGAGATTCAGCAAGTGGGCTTACATCTGTTCCCATGAAACACCATGAACTTCACACTCTCTGGGGAGGTCTAGGACTCAGAAATATAGATGTTAGTAAGAGCAAACAGACATAACAGATAACACATACAAAGTGCCTACCACATGCTAACCACTGCTGCAGGCACTTTCTATAGAAGAACTAATTTAATCATCACCATAACCCTATGGGGTAGATGATATTTTTACAACCTCCATTTTACAGATGAAGAAACTGAAGCATAGACCTGGTGAGTAACTCACCCAAGTATTAGTATGGAGGGGAGCTGGGATTGAAACACCAGTTATGGTCATTCCAGAGGATGAATGCTCTCTTCACCACTCTCCTCTTCTGCTTCCTGAGGGGCTCTGAGCAATGAAACTCTTCTTTCCAGATTGTGCTTATAAAGCAAACGAGGTGTCCAGGATTAGACCTCTAGAAGAGTCTGAGCTGTTGTACCCCATACTGGGGCAAAGTAAGTTGTTTGTGCTGAGTGGGGAGTGGAGCCAAAGCTCAGAGGAGGCATCGGAAGGTAGGAGCAGATATGCGGAGCAGACTAGCAGAACAGTCGCATGGCCAGAAGAAAGCTGGAGGGTTGGGCCGAGGTTGGGTCACTAGATAGCAGAGTGAGAGGAAGCAATGCCCAGCCTAGTGGGTGGCTGATCAAGGCAGAAACTGGGGGGTCAGTGTAAGAACAGGCTGGGCTTCAGAGCCAGAACTCATACACAAAATATTCTGGATTTATTCCTTGGGAAGGCTGTGTTCCAGTGTGTCTGATAAGGCCTTGGCCTCATCTTTCTGGTGGCACTCACCTTTCCCAAAAAGTAGCTAAGCCTAATCTTTGTCACTAAGGAAGTGGGGAACAAACACTGGCCGACACCTGCATCCCAGGCTGTGTGCTAGGTATTTAACATGTATTATCTTACTTAATGCAATGTTTTGAATAAGTGTACCTGAGCCAAACTGCCTACTGTGCACATATATATTAGGTTGGTGCGAAAGTAATTGCTGTTTTTGCTACTAAAAGTAATGGCAATTACTTTTGCACCAACCTAACAGAAGGAGTGACTATTCAAAGTGTGCACTCAACTTTCAGTTCAGTGAAATTTGGATTGTTTATTGGAGCTTGATGCAATTGTAATTAAATAGAATAATATAATTAGATAATTTTCACTGTAAGTGCAATACAAATATAGGTACTCAAAACACCACAGGTAGTAGAAAAAGCAGGCATGCTCTCATCGAACCAACATGGCAATTTTTGCGTACAACAGGAAGCATCAAACTCAATGAACTATGGAGGCCAGCTCAGGCACAATTATAGACATAATTTCTTAATCATCGTAACTATCTGAAGAAGGCAATCATATAATTTCAGCCTTTTGTGGTTATTGTAGGATTTAATTCAGTAAAGCATATAAAGCATGTGGCTCAGTGCCAGCCACAAGGGAGGCCCTGAATGCATGGCACCTGCTCTGCTCATTTTCTCAAGAGAGAAATGAAGCTTAGTGAATGTAAGTAATATGTCGAAAGCCACAGAAATAACAAATGGCAGAGAGAGGATTTGAATTCAGGTCGCTAGACTTTGTCCTCCATTTTTGTGCAGCTTTCAAACTAAGAATAACTTTTACATATTTTACTGGTTAGAAAATATTTTTTAAAAAAGAAATATATGCCCAGGCACATGAAAATTATATGAAATTCAAATATCTGTGCCATAAAAGAAGTTTTAGTTACACAGCCATGCCTGTTTGCTCATGGCTGCTTTCATGTTACAATGCCAGAGTTGGGTAGTTGACACAGAGATCATAGGACCTGCAAAGCCTAAAATATTTAATATCTGGGCCTTTACAGAGAAATTTGGTTGACCCCTGTCCTAGACCTTAGACCCCTGCTCTTTCCATTATTCTCAAGTGCCGGTGGATCCAGATCGGTTGTGACATTGCTTAATCTCCTGGCATTCTTGGGGAATTATTAAACTGCCATGTAGGTTGCATAAATGCTCCCTGCTGGCTTGAATAGGAGAGTTTTGAAGGTGCCAGATGGGAACAGATTCCTTTCTTTCATCTTAACAAAAATCCAATCTCACTCTCTTTCATGTTCAAGAGCATTTGATTAATTAGGACAGGAAGTAGGGGGGCGGTGGGGAGAACAATCCGAGCTGTTGAGCTGGACTGAGCTGGCAGTTTCAGGTGCTCTCATTTCAGCTTCTCCTCCCCATGTCTAGCAGGCTCCCTGAACTCCCAGCTGAGTGTAATCAGAGGCTGTGTAATTGGAGGGTGAATGCACAGGCTTTATATTCAGAGACCTGTATTTGTACTGTGATTCCCTACTTGCTAGTTGTATGGTTTTGCACAAGTTATTTAACCTCCTTCGGTCTCAGTTTCTGCAGGTCTAACATGGGCATAATGAGAATACCTATGGCTTTGAGTAATTTGGAGGATTAAAAGCAAACATATATGAAAAGATTTTTTTCCCTAAAGAGGTGGCTCAATGAGCATTCAGTAAATACTAGCTATTACTATTATTTTTTTTTTCTGCCTGCTTGTCAGTAGGGAAGGAGCTAAGTTTCTGATCCTAGTTTAAAAGCCCTTAAAGGTGTTTTTAGGACATTTAAAAAAAGTAATACCTGCACATAATACAAAATTCAGGTAGCACAAATAATAAAAATAAGCAGCTCACAAAATGATGTATCCTGGACTGTTCAAGGCAGCAGTATTCATAGTAGCCCTAAACTGGAAATGACCCAAATGCCCACCACTAGTGGAATGAAAAAAGCAACTGTAGTATGTTCACACAGTAGAACACCATTCAATAAGGATAGTAAACTGTCTGCAACTATACGCAGCAATGTTGATGAATCTCCTGAATCTAATGCTGAGCAAAAGAAGTCAGAAACAAAAGCACACATACTGTAAGGTTCTATTTATGTAAAGAATTAAATCATTCTACGTATTTGCTACTTTGTATCCTTGACCTAAATCTCTGCATTCCTCCCTCCCACCCTGACTGACTCTGGTAACCACTGTTTCATGTATTTGTAATGAACAATCCCCAAACAACAAATGTTGGTGAGGATGAGGAGGAATTGAAACCTTTGTACACTGCTGGTGGGAATATAAAACTGTAGTTGCTTAGAATGCTAACCACAGTGTTACCATATGACCCAGCAATTCTGCTTCTAGTTACATACCCAAGAGAAAAAACTGTCCACACAGAAAGTTGTACATGAATGTTTATAGCAGCATTTTATTCCTAAGAGCCAAAAGGTAAAAACCACTGAAATAATCATCAACTGATGAACGGATAAACAAAATGTGCTATATCCATATGATAGAATATTATTTAGCCATAAAAAATGAAATATGGATACGTGCTACAACAAAAATGAACCTTGAAAGTGTTAAGTGAAATAAACCAGTCACAAAAGATAATATATTACATGATTCCATTTATATGAAATGTGGAGAACTGGCAATTTCATAGACATAGGAAGTAGATTGGCAGTTGGCTAGGGTTACGGAGGATGTGAGGTGGGAGTTATAGCTAAAAGGTATTTGCCTTCTTTTTGAGGTGATGAAAATATTTTAAAATTGACTTTGGTGATGGTTATACATATCTGTGAATATATTAAAAGCCACTCAGTTTTATACTTTTAATGGGTGAACTGTATTGTTATGTGAATATTTTAATAAAGCTGTTCATAAAAAGAAAAAATAAAATATAAAATTAGGTGAAGCCTGTCTGGGCCTCAGGGCTTACTCTTGGTGGGGGGAAGAGGTGGTACTGGGAATTGGTAGGAGGGGGCATAGAGGCAGATGGTAACATTTCTTGATTTGGGTGCTAGTTACACTGGTATCTTCTGTTTGTGAAAATTCATCAGCTGATACTTGCGTGCACCGGATTGAACTTCATACTTCAATAAAAATAATAAAAACTAAAATTAAGAAAGGCACCCTTCTCCAACCATTGTTAGTCACTCAGTTCTTTTTTCAGAAGCAACCACTCTTACATCAAACAGAGTCTAGAGACAGGCTATTCAGAGACTGAGGTACAAGAACATGTGTTCTTGTGTATATTGTATTTCTTGTCTTATTTTTATTTCCCGAGAGCAAGTTTTGATAAACCTAGTCCTGTGTCCAGTTGACCACCTACTACAAAGGGGGTGTAGACCTCAGAAAAGGACAGGGGGAGAAGAGGAGATGGGTGGAAGTTCTGATCCTAGGTGACCTTCTTGGACATGGCAAGGTTTCAACAAATGTTCATGAAACTGTCAAAGTTTTATGAATTTAAGGGCTTCAAAATGTCCAGGTTTTCTTCTAGTGCTGGTCTGACATCCAGATTAAGTCTCTCATGTCTATTTTGTGTTTGAAACTCCAGGAATCCCTTTGGGCTGCCCTGATCCCCAAAGCCTTCTATTATTTTTTCTTTCTTTTTAAAATTCATTTAGAATTTTTTATTTATGTTTAACTTATTTTTATTTTTGTAGAGACAGGGTCTCGCCATGTTGCCCTGGCTGGTCTTGGACTCCTGGCTTCAAGCAATCCTCCTTCCCCAGCCTCCCAAAGTGCTCGGATTGCAGGTTTCCTTCTTTGTTTTTTTGGACAGGGGCGTCTCTTTATGTTGCTCACATTGTAGTGCAGTGGCTGTTCACTGGCATAATCCCACTGCTGATCAGCATGGGAATTTTGACTTGCTCTGTTTCCAACTTGGGCTGGTTCATGCTTCCTTAGGCAATCTAGTGGTCACCTGCTCCTGGGATAGGGGTAACCATACTGATGCCAAACTTAGTACAAACATCCGATCCACATAGCGCACTATGAGCTCCTGGGCTCAAGTGATACTCCCACCTCAGCCTCCTGAATAGCTGGGACTACAGGCGTGCACCACCACACCTGGCTGGTCTTCTGTTCTTGATGAGCACTCACCTGGGTTTGTAATTCAGAATAGCATTCAACTTCTTGGTGAAAGTATTTTCCTCATTTCAAAGTTGTGACATGATGGGATATTTGAATCTAGGACCACCATAAAACACTGGGGAAGACAGTCTCGTATTTCTGGGCTTTTATTCCTCCTGATCTTTCTACTTTTGGCAGCATCAGCATCTCCAAATGTTAGTCATCCTCTAAGGCCCAATACAAGCTCCACCCACTCTGTGAAGTCCCCATCGTGTTGCCCTGGAGGACCCTGATTTTTGCCACTTCCTGTAGTGCTTCTTTAAACACTCATCAATTACTATTGATTGCTGACTATTTGGTTTCAGACACAATGCTATGTGCTGAGAATGCAAGGAAGGAAACTCCATTCCTATCTTCAAATTGCTCACATTCTAGTGTTTCAGGGAGTTGGGAAATAATTAAAATACAGTGTTGCACGATATTTGTCCAAAAGAGGGATGATTGGCAAAATCTTCTGGGAAGGAAGCAAGCGGACTAGGCAGGCTTCACAGAGTGCCTGTTCAGCTTTGTGTCTTGAGGAATGAGTAGTGCTTTGCTGGAGAGATCAGGTGAGAGAAGGGCATCCAGGTAGAGAGAGCAGTGTGTGCAAAGGCATGAAGTAAGGACCACAGGTTGTCATTTACTTATCATTTAATATGTCATTGAGTTTACTAGTCTTTCCAACTAGATTGTGAGAGACTCGTGGAGAATATTCCTAATTCAGGCTTCTCATTCCCCTTCCCCCAAACATCTAGTAAAATTCTGGACACTCATAATTGTGGCAGGCCAGGTGTCACTGACAACTCTTTCAGTACTGACTGAGTGGTTAAGTTAAATATTAAAAGCCAGTGCCCCTGTACGAAGGCTGGAATGTAACAAAAGCCCATCAAGAGTTTTACCTAGGCCTTTCCTGGGACTTAAGGCATGACAAAATAACAAAGGAATTCTTAACAGGACCCATTTAGGATTAAACAAGTTTCACTGGGGGTCTAAGGAAACTCCTTAGGCCTCCACAAACAAGTTTATTGGAGGTCTGAAGGAACTCCCAAAACCTCTGTAATTTAGCAGGAGACAAGATAAGGGTAATCCCCCCAGCACCTGGACCCATTTAGATTAAGTAAATTTACTGAGGCTCCAGAGGAAGGTATTTAGGACTCAGACCTTGGTTATAGATTAAAAGAAGTTAACCATTTACATCTTTAGATGAATGCATACCTTACACGTAGACATATAGTTTGGAAGGTATATAAGCTCTGGAAAACTTTGTAATTTTAAGTTGGTCTGGCAATAATTTCCAGGCCTTCTCCCCGTCACCGGTTGCAGAAAATAAAACTCTCTTCCGAAGTTTCCACAGGACTACCGGCTGGCCCAGCAGGTGTGCCATGCCATCGCCAACATCTCTGACAGTAGAAAGACTTCTCTGGGCAAACGTCACCCCCACTTCCAGTTGCCTCAGGAACACAAGTTGTTTGAGTGACTGCGGGAGACGGTCCCGAAAGGCTTTGTCCACCAGACCCACTCTGGATCCCATTCAAAGAGGTGGCAGTGACCCTCATTTACCAACTGGCAGAGAGTCCCACAGTGATCTGTGCCCAGATATGGCAGGGCTGTGCAAAACAGGCCCTGGAGAAGCTAGAAGAGAAGAGAACCAGTCAGGGGGACCCGAAGGAGTCTCCCACAATGCTCCCCACTTTCCTGTTGATGAACCTCTTGTCCCTGGCTGGGGATGTGGCTCTGCAGCAGCTGGTCCACTTGGAGCAGGCAGTGAGTGGAGAGCTCTGTCAGCGCCGAGTTCTCCGGGAAGAACAGGAGCACAAGACCAAAGATCCCAAGGAGAAGAATACAAGTTTCGAGACCACTATGGAGGAGGAGCTGGGGCTGGTTGGGGCAGCAGATGACACGGAGGCAGAACTAATCCGCGGCTTCTGCAAGATGGAACTGTTGGATGGCAAACAGACACTGGCTGCCTTTGTTCCACTCTTGCTTAAAGTCTACAACAACTCAGGCCTCTATAGCAACCCAGACCTCTCTGCAGCTGCTTCACCTACCCTTGGCAAGTTCTGCATGATCAGTACCACTTTCTGCAACTCCCAGCCTCATCTTCTGTTCACCATGCTAGAAAAGTCTCCACTTCCCATTGTCCGGTCTAATCTCATCGTTGCCACTGGGGATCTGGCCATCCACTTTCCCAATCTGGTGGACCCCTGGACTCCTCATCTATATGCTCACCTTCAGGACCCTGCTCAGCCAGTGTGGAAAACAGTGGGGCTGGTGATGACTCCACCTGATCCTCAAGGACATGGTGAAGGTAAAGGGGCAGGTGAGTGAGATGGCCATGCTGCTCATCAACCCTGAGTCTCAAATTGCTGCCCTGGCCAAGAAGTTCTTCAATGAGCTCTTCCACAAGGGCAATGCAATCTATAGTCTCCTTCCAGATATCATCAGCCACCTGTCAGACCCCGAGCTGGGGGTGGAGGAAGTGCCTTTTCACACCATTATGAAGCAGTTCTTCTCCTACATCATCACCAAAGACAAGCAGACAAAGCCTGGTGGAAAAGCTGTGTCAGCGGTTCCACACAGCCTAAACTGAGCAGGTGCAGCAGGACCTGGCCTACTGTGTGTCACAGCTGCCCCTCACAGAGCAAGGCCCTTGCAAGATGCTTGGCAATTTTGACTGTTTTGGAGATAAACTGTCAGATGAGTCCATCTTCAGTTCTTTTTTGTCAGTTATGGGCAAGCTACAACATGGGGCCAAGCCTGAGGGCAAGGCTATAATAGATGAATTTGAGCAAAAGCTTCAGGCCTGTCATGCCAGAGGTTTGGATGGGATTGAGGAGCTTGAGATTAACCAAGCAGGTAGCCAGAGAGCCCCAACAGCCAAGAAACCATCCACTGTTTGTAGGCACCAGCCTCTGGCTTCTGCAGCCTCAGACAATGACTTCGTCACACCAGAGCCCCGTCGTACTACCCATCGGCATCCGAACACCCAGCAGCGAGCTTCCGAAAAGAAACCAAAAGTTGTCTTCTCAAGTGATGAGTCAAGTGAGGAAGATTTTTTAGCCTAGATGACAGAAGACAGGACACCCAAGAAAATAACCCCCATTCTCAGAGCATCAGCTCGCAGGCACAGATCCTGAGAAGTCATCTTGCCTGTTCCTTTCCTCCCTGTGCAGGGTAACTTGTAGGGTGACCTAGAATTCTAATTCTGTTCCCCTTGTAGAATATTTGCCTGTCTCCTTTTTTGAAAAAAAAAAAAAATACATACACGATCTTTAAAATGCAAGGCCTTTCTCTTAAATTAGCCTAACTGAACTGCATTGAGCTGCTTTCACTTTGGAATATATGTTTGCCAGTCTCCTTGTTTTCTAATGAATAAATGTTTTTATATACTTAAAAAAAAAACTCTCTTCCTCCCCAGTTCATCTGCATCTCATTATTGGGCTACAAGAAACAGCAGCCCGACCCTATTTGGTCCAGGAACAATATTGGATAGAAATAAAAGACTAAGGGCAAACACAGAAAGAGTCATCTTAAAAGATTTAATTAAGTGCCTGAATTTAAAACATTCAACAGATCCCCATTCTTAGAATGGAAATTTCTCATCAGCCTTGGAATATGACGGAAACCTTCTAAGGATACGAAATTGAACTTTAATTGTGTCAGTTATTACAATAATCAGGGCCAAGCTGTGATTGGCAACTTGTCTCCCTTGTACTTTCTGCCCTTACTCAACAACCCCCTCTTGGGCCCCCAGGGCTTGCCTCTTAGGAAGATGTGAATTATTTTGAGTGTAATTGGGCTTGGCCTATGATATAGTCATTATCTGAATCCATTGTTTGCCAGGTAATTGCTTTGTGACTTTGGGCAACTTACTTAGATATCTTGGGTCTTAGTTTCTACCTTATAAAATTAGGGTGGGTATACTTACTTTGTGAAGATTAAATGTCCCACGTGTTTGGAACATTATAGGCTCCCAATAATGAACATCTTCCTTTACCTCTCCTCACTTCCCCTTTCTACCCCCTTCCCTTTATCCTTGAAAGATTTAGAAAGAGATTTTTAGGAAAAGGGATAAGGAGCTAGAGAATCAAGAGAAATGTTAAGACATTTTGCTGTGTACTGTGTTTCATGCCTTTTTCCACACATTCCCCCATTCCCAGGCATTAAGACTGAGGTTGAAGGTTTGGGGTACAACATCAAACTGAGAGTGGCCACACAGAGGCTCAGCTTTGTTTGGGTCATGAACATTGCAGAGGGAGAATCAGGTATTATTTATTTGGGAGAAGAGACCATTCAGGGGGCATGGCGCCTGTCACACACTCTTTCAAGGGCTGTCACCTGGGAGAAGCATTAGACTTTGGACTAATTCAAGGCTGGGCTCAGGGTCTTTTCTCAGTAATATCTTAGAGTTTCCAAGTAGCTTGCCTTAGAAGGAGGTGATTATCCCATCACTAGAGGTTGTTAAGTAAAGATCCTCAGTTCCATTGGTCACAGATTCAGGTACTGGGGGGAAGATGAATGCAATGGCCTATGCTATGCCTCCCAGACATAAGTGTCTAGGATTCTATTGTGATTGACAAATATGCCCCCTTCCGCCAATCCCACTCCCAGGCAGGATATTTCCCCCACTCCAGCAAAGCCTCTTCCACCTGCTCCCCCAGCACCTCACGCACACAAACTGAAAGAGTTCTCAGTTGTAAACAAATCAAACTGGTGAACTCATTCTCCAGGGCTAGTGACTGAAGCCACTTACTCTCTCAACAGCATTTTAATAGGGACATCAAACCTTGGCCCAGGAGTGACTCAGTAATGTAGGAATTCCCGGTTGTATGGCATGCAGAGAGGAACAGAATGGGCTGGCAGCTTGCCCAAGGTCACACAGCCCAGAGTAAATAAAACCCAGCTGCCACCACCCCTAGTCTCATGCTCTGGCCCCGTCCTGAGGCTGCTTTCTGTCTGGTCACCCTGGGGACTTCCTGCCCCAATCCCAAGCTGTGCTGGTGACTGTGGCATGGCCTGAGTGTGAAGTGGCTGTGATGGTGAGACCTGAAATAGTCCTCCCTTGCCGCCAGACGCTGGCATGAAGAATAGCAGCTTCACAGAGGTTTGATCAATAGATATTATGCGAATGCTTAGAGCAATAACATTCCTCTCCATTACCAGGCTAACACTCCCAGTAAAAAGTATGCCTTGATCCTGATGGTTTTATATTTTCTGGTTTGTCAGACTGAGATCAGGGTCTAACTGATGCCTATATGAAAGCATAACAGGTACATGACTGGCAGAGGTCCAACTCCTTTTTCTCTGAATTAGAGGCCCTTTTGCTGTGAGCTGGCAAGAGCTCCAGCTCTGTGCATGTCAATTATGTTCTCTGGCCAAAAGCCTTGCTGCACAGTAAACATGACTGGAGGCACAGTGAGCCTCATTTGTGATACGGTCCCCATATAAAGAAGGCAGAGAGGCAGCAGTGTCCAGATCCCTTCTTTAACTCGTCCCACCCATCACCCCAGGTATAGGGTCCTGGAATCTGAGCATTCATTATATATTTGTTTGTAGTTGTATAATAAAAATAAGATTTGTCGTGTTCTAAAACTGAAGTTAATTGCTAGTAAAAACTCCTACTCTGCTGGATATCAAAAACTTAATTGCAGTCAATTAAGTGTTTACTCTTTGTCCTTGTAGTCATCTTTAAGCTTTAGAAAACTCATGCGGTATCCAGTCACATGCGTGCGTGGGTGCTCGTGCACGTGTGTGTGTGTGTGTATGTGTGTGTGTGTCTAAGATGCCTGGTTCTTGGTATCATCTGTTATCATTGACATCTATTAAGATATCTCTGATTCCACCTTGCACTTAGCTGTCAGCAGATCAAAGTGGTGCCTCCTTGTTCCAAATGCAGGGCCTTCTTGGGCCACGGGCTTTGTCACAAAGGCATGGCTCTTGTTGCACAGAATAAGTACATTCTTCTGATCCCTGCACCAGGCTGCAGGTGCAGAGACCCACAAGTGGCTGTTTCAAGCTCTCTGCCTAGACACTCGCATAGGCATTTCTTCTCACTTTCAATATGCAGAAGAGGGCCCCTGTGCCTTACTCGCTCTCTGGACTGTCTCTTGAGAAAGTGGGTAGGGTGGGTTACAGATGCCCTTGCTTGTGATGTTCTCCAACCTGCAGCTCCTATTTCATGCCCCAAATCCTCTTCAGTGTCTGCCTTAGGGTTAAGGTCTCTCTCTTAGAAATGCCTCTTTTTTTTTTTTTTTTTTGTTTTTTTGGTGGAGTCTTGCTCTGTCGCCAGGCTGGAGTGCAGTGGCGCAGTCTCGGCTCACTGCAACCTCCACCTCCCAGGTTCAAGTGACTCCCCTGCCTCAGTCTCCTGAGTAGCTAGGACTGCAGGTGCGTTCCACCATGCACAGCTAATTTTTGTATTTTTAATAGACACGGGGTTTCACCACGTTGGCCAGAATGGTCTCGATCTCTTGACCTCGTGATCCACCTGCCTCGGCCTCCCAAAGTGCTGGGATTACAGGCAAGAGTCACCGCACCCAGCCAGAAATGCCTCCATGTTTAAGCTCTTGTCTCCTCCTCCCTGCATACTCCTCACTCTTTCCCATTCTTGGATCCAGGTAGCCTGGTTTTCATTTTTCCTTCTAAATCACTTGAAACTCAAGACCAAGAAATAGGCTACTTTGTTTTTCTCATTTCCTAATTAACCTGCATTGTGGCAGTAAAAACCTCATGATACAGTTTTCCAAATAGAGAATTATGTAATGATAGAAATGCTAAGACAGGGATGGGTGGAGGGAGAACACTTGGTTAAGAAGCAAAAATATTACAGCAGGTCTCCCCTTATCTGTGAGGGATATGTTTGAAGAGTTCCAACTGCAGATAGTACTGAACTCTGTATATACCATGTTTTCTTTTATACATACATACATAACTATGATAAAATTTAATTTATAAATCAGGCACATAAAGAAATGAACAACAATAATATACTGATACCATATGATAATGATAAATATATGCTGTAATAAAAGTTATGTGAATATGGGGTCATTCTCTCTCAAAATATCTTACTCTATTGCACTATTAACTGAAACCATGGAAAGTGAAACTATGGATAAGGGAGGACTACTGAATACAGCTAGTTTGATTCTTTCATTGCTTACAATCTTTTTTGATCAGAATTGCAGAGAAAATTAAGCTCCATGGAAAATAATTTGAGCTTTCATTTTCTCAATTTTTCCAAGGTTGGTATTGAGGTAGAAACATTTTGGAGGCACAGGAAAGAAATAACTGATTGTATCGATGGATGCTTTAGTGAAGTGGTTCTGAGTGTGTAGTCTGAGGACCTCTGAGGGTCACTAAGACTCTGAATCCATTAGGCAAAAACTATTTTTATAATTAATACTAAGACTGTATTTGTCTTTTCACTTTCATTTTCTCATGAGTGTACTATGGCTTTTGGAAAACTCAAATGTATAAACATGAACACCTGTGTACACACAGAAATCAGATGTGCAAAGATTGCATATATTGGGAATATCAGATAAACAGTATTACATAATATTTAAAAATAGGCCGGAGATGGTGGCTCACACCTGTAATCCCAGCAATTTGGGAGACCAAGGCAGGAGGACTGTTTGTGACCAGGAGTTTAAGACCAGCCTGGGCAACAGAGTGAGACCCTATCTCCAGAAAAAAAAATTAGCTGGGCTTGGTGGTGCACACCTATAGTTCCAGCTACTTGGGAGGCTGAGATGGGAGGATGGCTTGAGCCTAGGAGTTCAAGTCTGCAGTGAGCTGTGATCATGCCAGTGCACTTCAGCCCTGGTGACAGAGCAAAACTCTATCTCTAAATAAATAAATTAATAGATAATATATTGAAAGAAATTAAGCAGAAAATTGCAAGTTTGATGAAAGAGGAATTCTCTAATTGACTAGATAAATTTAAGAACAAAGTAGAACTTTTAGAAATGAAAAAATAATTGTAATAAAGTTAGAATCTCAATGAATATGTTGATTATAAGGTTGGAACCAATAAAAAGAGAAATAGTAAACTTGATGATTGGACCAAATAAATTACTCAAAAAGCAATAGAAAGAGACAAAGAGATAGACCAAAGAGAAGTGAAGAGGCATAATGAATAGGATGAGAAAGTCCAACAAAAATCCCACTGGAGTTCCAGAAGAAGATAATAAAGAGAATGTGAAAGAGGCACTATGGTAGTGACTAGGAATGTTCTATAATCAGTAAAGGATGCCAATATAGTTGTCCCTTTGTATATATGGGGTTATTGGTTTCCATGGATAGCCTTCCATGGATACCAAAATCCCTGAAATAAAATGATGCTGTGTTTGCATATATTAACCAAGCTTAAATTATCTCTATATTACTTTTAATTCCTAATACAATGTAAGTTCTATATAAATTGTTGTTATACTATATTGTTTAGAAAATTATGACAAGGAGAAAGTGTGAACATGTTCAGTATAGATGCATTTTTTTCTGAATATTTTCAATTCACAATTGGTTGAATTCATAAATGCAGAACCCATGGATACAAAGGGCCAACTGTACTCAGATAATGAAAACATGACAAAGTCCTGGTTTTAAATAATACATACCCTTGTCAAACAATGTCATAGCTTTAGGATGGGGAACTGGTTTTACAGAGATGATGGATGTTGTTTTGAATCACAAACCTGATTGATTATTCATCATGAGCAGAAGGCCTTGGGGATGAGGGATTCCCAATGGGACAACTAGTGTTTCAAACAGGAAGAAGGAATGGGGAGACTTCATCTGAGTCCAAGGGTAACACTAGAAGGAAGTCCAGCCATCTGCATTCATTTTGACAGTTCAATGGACATCTATTGAATCCCTGCTAGGTGCCAGAAAGTCACCCAGCAAAATTGGGGTCCTTCCCATTTCCTCTGCTCTTCCTGCCCCTTTTATCCTGAGGCCCACTGCTACCAGACACAAGGTTAGGCACATGTAGACTTGCTCTCAAAAAAGAAGAAAAAGGAAGCACCTAGAACATAAAAACATAAAATTTTAAAACAACAATAAAATGGTATACCAGACAAATATTAATTAAGAAAAATCCTGTAGTGATATCAATGTAAGATAAAAATCTTTTTAATGCTAAAAGCATTACTAGAGATAAAGAGAGATACTCTATATTGAATACTAGTTAAATTCACCAGGAAGATATAGCAATTCTAAGCCCATTAGAATAAATAAAGTAAGAAAATAATAGAACTATGGGAGAAAAAGATAAATCCACCACCAGAACTTCAGATTTTAGCAAGTTCTCTTATTTATTTAAAGATGGAATACATAATAATAATCAGCAAGGATAGAGCAGATTTTAACTACACAGCAAACAAACTTGACCTAATGTAAACATACAAACTAATACTTCTCAAATCGGCTGAACACATGTATTCAAGGGTACATAGAAGAGTATCAGATTATTATATATTAGACCATATGTCATTTCATCTGATTCAAAAAAACTAAAACATACAGGAAAGTAAGCTAGAAAATGATAACAAAAATATAACTAGACAAGCCTGGTACTTTTGAAAATTAAAAAGCACACTTCTAAGTAACAGTTGCCCAAAAAGAAATCATAATAAAAATTATAGATTTGTTGATCATAATGAGATAGTAATGAAAATAACACATGATCTAATCTTCAACAAAGCTGATACGAGGTTAGGAGTTCAAGACCAGCCTGGCCAAGATGGTTAAACCCCGTCTGTACTAAAAATACAAAAATTAGCCAGGCGTGGTAGTGGGTGCCTGTAATCCCAGCTACTCGGGAGACTGAGACAGAGAATTGCTTGAACCCAGGAGGCGGAGGTTGCAGTGCGCCAAGATCATGCCACTGCACGCCAGCCTGGGTGACAGAGTGAGACTCCATCTACAAAAAAAAAAAAGAAGACAGAGAGAGAGAGAAAACAAGTCATGGGGAAAAGACTCCTGATTCAATAAATAGTGCTGAGATAACTGGCAAGCCATAGGCAGAAGATGGAAGCTGGACCCCTTCCTTACACCACATACAAAAATAAACTCAAGATGGATTAAAGATTTAAATGTAAAACCCAAAACTGTAAAAACCCGGAAGACAACGTAAGTAATACCATCGTGGATACAGGAAGGGACAAAGATTTCATGATAAAGACACCAAAAGGAATCACAACAAAATCAACAATTGACAAGTGGGATCTAATTAAACTTAAGAGTTTCTGCACGCAAAAGAAACTATCAACAGAGTAAAAAGACACCCTACAGAATAGGAGAAAATATTTCAAACTCTCATTTGACAAAGTTTTAATATCTAGCACTTATAAGAAACTTAAACAAATTTACAAGAGAAAAACAACCCCATTAAAAAGTGGGCAAAAGACATGAACAGACACTTTTCAAAAGAAGACACATGCAGCCAACAAGCACATGAAATAAAGCTCAATATCACTGATTATTAGAGAAATACAAATCAAAATCACAGTGAAATACCATCTCACATCCATCAGAATGGCTATTACTAAAAAGTCAAAAAATAACAGATGCTGGTGACGTTGCAGAGAAAAGGGAAGAATTATACACTGTTGGTGGGAGTGTAAACCATTGTGGAATGCAGTATTGCCATTCAAAGAGATGAAAGCAGGGCTACCATTTGACCCAGCATTTCCATTACTGGATATATACCCAGAGAAATATAAATCATTCTACCATAAAGACACATGCATACAAATGTTCATTGCAGTACTATTCACAAGAGCAAAGACATAGAATCAACCTAAATGCCCATCAATGACAGATTGGATGAAGCAAATGTAGTACATATACATCATGGGATACTATGCAATCATAAAAAGAATGAGATCATGTCTTTTGTGGGAACATGGATGAAGCTGGAGGATATTATGCTTAGCAAACTAATGCAGGAACAGAAAACGAAATACCGCATGTTCCCACTTACAAGTGTGAGCTAAATGATGAGAACTTATGAACACAAAGAAGGAGACACAAGACACTGTAGTCTACTTGAAAGTGGAGGGTGGGAGGAGGGAGAGGAGCAGAAAAGATAACTATTGGGTACTGGGCTTAATATCTGGGTGATGAAATAATCTATACAACAAACCCTTGTGACATGAGTTTACCTATGTAACAAACATTCACATGCACCCCCAAACCTAAAAAAAAAAAAGGAGAGAGATTGAGAGAATAGCACATTATAATTTGTGAGATGATGAAACTAAAAAATCCTTGAGAAAAACTTATGGTTCCTAACTGCTTATATTAGAGAAGAAGAAAGTGAAAATAAACTATCTAAGCAACTAATTTGACAAGTTAAAAAAAGGTGCAATTGATTTTGCCAACAATGGCAGAGTAGGGAACTCTAAGGTTCCATACATCCAGCAACAAATGCTGGCAAAAACTGGTAGAATCAACTTTCACAGAACTAGGAAACACAGTGAAAAACTAACAACAACCAGGGGAAGCTTAATGAAGAAAGAAGCTGCTGCATTGTGGTAAGAGGGTGTTAGAGAATTTAAAATTGCCTGCTTGTCACCCCTCTTCCCCAGAGTAATGGTGGCCATGAAAATACTGTTCCAGTTTGCTAATGTCACAGGGGACAGTATAGACTTTATTCTTGAAGAGTTTTGGTTGTGTGTTTTGACTGTCTGGCAGCTCCCTGAAGGATCAGTGCAAAGTGTGCCTTTGTTTTACCTAACTTAGAATATTCCCAGGGTCCCTGAAGGATCAGTACAAAGTGTGCCTTTGTTTTACCTAACTTAGAATATTCCCAGGGTCATAGAGCTTCCTGAACCACATTTGCTAAAAAATATTTAAAGCCAAAGGAATTGTCCACAGCAGCTTGGAGCAGGTGATAACAGTCAGGACAAACAATAGATCAAGAATCCTAGGAAGAATGAGGTTGGGAAAGAAGATATATGGGGGAATAACAATTTTCAAAAGCACTAATATGTACAAGTAAATCAAAGAGATCAAATGCATACTCAGGACTGAATAAACTCTCAAAAAAAACATGAGAAGACCCTGAGCTTTCACCTCTGGGTATCTTAGAGGAAGGCAGAGAGATAAAGGGACAGAAAGAATATTTAAAGAAATAATGGCCAAAACCTTCCCAAATGACACAAATCTACACATGCAAAAAGCCTGATGAACTCCAAGGAGAAACTTACAGATATCCATACCAAGACACCATGTTACTAAATTTCTGAAAGACCAAAGACTAAGAGACAATCTTAAAAGTAACAAAAAAGAAATGACTTGTCATGTACAAGAGTGCCTCCATAAGATTGACAGTAGGTTTCTCTTCAGGAATTATGGAGGCCATAAGGCAATGGGATAACATATTTAAGGTGCTGAAAGAAAAATAATCCTGTCAATCAAGAATTCCATATCCAGGATTTACAGAGGCTCACGGTGGACAGGAGGCAGGACTAGATTGCAGCTGTCACTTAGATGGACAGAGCAGCATGTGGAGTCTTGCTTCATGAACTCTTGCTCCAGAATGACTGCAGGAATAAATCAGGAAAGCCGAGAGAACCCACAGACCCTCTGCAGGAAGCAGATTGTTCCTGCAAGACCTAGGAGACACCCCAAATCCTGTGAGTGCCCAAACTGTGAAAGTGGGAAAGGGAGATTGTCCACCCCCAAACACACACCGTCACTAGGTAACCTAAAGGTCTAGATGACAGGAGAATATTCTGACCATACCTGGAGCTAAGTCAATTTAGAGAGCCAAGTGAAATACAGGGGTAGAGGAAGCAGCAGGAAAGCCCTGTGGGCTCTGTGGGTCCCCTAACAAGCCATTTCTGCCTTGCCTCACAGGGGTCCTTGGGGAGTGCTGCCAGAGGCACTGGGAAAAGGCTACAAGGAGAAGGAAACCTCCAGCTGAACTTCGTAACAATTGCTACCAAACTAGAAGTCTCCTGGACAGAACTTGGGGGAGGGTGTGTATCTGGTATGCAGACTCCACAGGTGGGGAAGTACTGAAGCTCTACTTGCTTTCACAGCTGGGAGGCAGGTAGCCTGGGACAGGTTCTCAGCCCTGCTCACCCACTGCCTGGAAACAAACTCAGTGCTGTTGGCGGGGCATGGTGGGAGTGAGACCGGCCTTTTGGGTTGCTTGGGAGCTGGGTGAGGCCTGTGACTGCCAGCTTTCCCCAACTTCCCTGACAATGTGCATGACACAGCAGAGGCAGGCATAATCCTCCCAGGAACATAACTCCATTGACCTGGGAACCACACCATAATTACCCACAGCAGCTGCACTAAGACTTCCCAAGGAGAGTCTGAGCTCAGACATGCTTAGCCCTGTCCCCAACTAATGGTTCTTTCCTACTCACCCTGCTAGCTGAAGACAAACGGCGTATACTTATGGGTGTTCTAGGGCCCTGCCCACCACCTGATCCTCCCCATACTACCACAGCTGATGCTCTCTTAAAAACACCACCTCCTGGCAGAGGCCAACAAGCACAAAAATAATGCATTAAACAACCAAAAATAAGGAACTTCACAGAGTCCATTTCACCCCCCTGCCACCTGCACCAGAGCAGGTGCTAGTATCCATGGCTGAGAGACCCACAGATGGTTCACATCACAGGACTCTGGGCAGACTCTGGCAGTACCAGCCTGGAGCCTGGTAGACCTGCTCGGTGGCTAGATCCAAAAGAGAGATAACAATCACTAGAGCTCAGCTCTCAGGAAGCCACATCCCTAGGAAAAGTGGGGAGAGTACTACATCAAGGGAATACCCTGTGGGACATGCAACTAAAAAATGGAACAAAGGACTTAAGTGACATTTCTCTGAAGATGATACACAAATGGTTAACAAGCACATGAAAAAATGCTCACCATCATTAATTATTAGGAAAATGCAAACCAAAACCACAGAGATACCATTTCACAGCCACTAGGATGATTATAATTTAAAAAAGGAAAATAACAAGTGCTGGCAAGGATGTAGAGATGTTAGAACTCTTGTACATTGCTGATGAGAATATAAAAAGATGCAGTCATTGTAGAAAACAATTTTGTATTTACTTAAAAAGTTAAACATAGAATTATCATATGACCCAGCAATTTTACTCCTAGGTATATAGTTAAAAGAATAGAAACCAGGTTTCAAACAAATATTTATGTCTGATTGTTAATAGCAGCATCATTCCCAATAGCCAAAAGCTGGAAACAACCCAAATGTCCATCAGTGGATGAGCTGATAAATAAAACATAATATGTAATAATGGAGTATTATTTTTCAGCCATAAAAAAATGAAGTATTGATACATGCTGCAATATGGATGAACTTTAAACATCTTATGCAAAGTGAAAGAAGCCAGAAACAAAAAGCCACATATTCTACCATGATTCCATTTATATGAAATATTCATAATGGGCAAATTCATAGACAGACTCATGGTTGCTAGGGCTGGATGGGGGGTGTGGGGAAGTGACTGTTTAATGGTTCTGAGGTTTCCTATTAAGTTTCCTTTTGGGTTTTGGAGCTAGATAGATCTTATAGTTGACCACATTTTGAATGTACTAACTGCCGCTTAATTGTACACTTGGTTAATTTGATGAATGATATGTTATATAAATTTTACCTCAATTAAAATAAAAAGATGTTAGAAAAAGAATAATGGTATATAAATCAATTTAAATCAGAGGAAAGGAGATGAAGAAGACAAAAGCAGGGAACAAATAAAAACCCCAAATATAATAGAAAGGATCAATCAAGCCAGCTGAAAAAGTATTTGTGATATAAATTACAAGAAAAAAAAGAAGCCAAAAACAAACTATTTGATGTAAAAATCAGACATTCAACTATAGGTACAGTAGAGACAGAAAAAAATAGTATAACACTATTGACACATTTATGTCAGTAAATTGAATGCTTTAATAAAATGCACACATTCCTAAAAAATAACTTGCCAAAAATAATTTGAGAAGAAATAGAAAACCTGATTGTTTTTGTAACCCTAAAGAAGTGGAATCTGTTAGTGTAAAATATTCCTAGAAAGAAAGCATCAGGCCCAGATTGTTTTACCTGTGAATTCCACCAGGCATTCAAGAAACATCTCATTTTGGTCTTTTACAAAATCTTCTAGAGAATAGTGAAAGAAGGTATTGCCTAATTGATTTTATGAAGATACTATAGTACACAAAAGGCAAGATTTTATGAATTTCTTGTTCAAGATGCTTTGATTTGATTTTGGCTCTTTATGCCTCCAAAAATGCTCTCTCCTGGCCTTCAACCATAATGCTCCAATTTCCCATTTATTTATTTATCCTTTCGTTCAAAAACACTTGTTAAATGTCCGTAATGTGCCAGGCACCTTTCTAGGTGCAGTGAATAAAACAGATAAAAATCTTCCTTGGACAGAGTTTCCATTCCGGTGGTGGGATATAGGCAGTAAACATAGTCTGTGTTGGACTAAGGAAACTTGAGTTCAAAAGAGAACTCCTGGAAGGAGATATCACTTCAGGGGTCATCCGTGTAGAGACACTTTAAAAGCCCCAAGACATGATGATGTCCCTAAGTACAGAAGAAGATCCAAGCATTGATCTGAGGGGTAGGGACTCTATTAATATGAGAAATATTAATAAAGTCAGAAATAAGAGAAGGAACCAATAAAAGAGACTGAGAAGAAGCAATTCATAGGATCGAAGCAGACCAGGAGAGTTTGGTGGCTAGACACCAAGTAAAAAAGTATTTTCAAGAAGAGGGAGTGGCCAGTTGTGTTGAATACTACTGTCCGTTCAAATAATCGACCCTCGGTTTAGAATATGAAAGTTACTGAAGGGTACTTAAACCAGAGCCACTTTACTGGCAGAAGCCTGGCTAGACAATTTGAATGGGAATGGGAGAAGAGGAATTGACTACAGTGAGTATGGACAATTACTGCAAGAAGTTTTCCTCTAATGGGTGGTAAAGAAATGCAGTGCGAGATGGAGGGAAAAGTGGGATGAATAAGCTTCTTCTTTTTCGTTTGTGTTTTCAGTGTTTGAGAAAGAACAGCATGAAAAATGTGGATTTTAATAATCAGCAGAAAGAGAAAACTTAATCGGGGTTGGGGGAAGATTTTTGGAGCGAAGATCTAGAGTAGGTAAGAGGTGGTGGTGTCTAAAACATGAGAAGATGGTTTAACCTTGTCACATGGAGAGTTTACTCATACTTTTCAGGTGAGAGGCAGGGGATATGAATGCTGATATTGGCAGCAAAGGTATAGAGAGGCCAGGGAGTGAGGACATTCCCTTCTGTTGCTTCAGCTTTCTCAGTGGAGTAGAAACAAAGTCATCTGGTTGAGGAGAGGATGAAAGAGGAGGTGCTAAAAAGTTAGAAGAGAGAGAAAGTAAGAAAGAGTTCAGGGCAGTGCGAGATGTAGGATGAAATACTGCTTTCTTATCCTGTGAAAATTGCGAATATTTAAAAAATTCTAATGATAATTTTTGGAGAATTCAATGAACCGTAAGGGAATAAGCATATGGTTGCTGGGTAGAATCTGTGACTTATTTGAGTTCTAGGTTATTAAAGTAAGGAGAGAGAGACCTTATGTCTACAAAAATAAAAAATACAAAAATGAGCTGATTGTGGTACTGCATGACCATAGTCCTAGCTGCTTGGGAGGCTGAGGCGGGAGGATCACTAGAGCCCAGAAGTTCCAGGTTGCAGTGAGCTATGATGGCACCACTGCATTCCAGCCTGGGCAACAGAGTGAGATGCTGTCTCTAAAATAAATAGATAGATAAATAAAGTAAGTAAGTAAGTAAGCAAGGAGAGTAGGTAGGGTGTGTGTGTGCATGTGTGTGTTTGTTTCCAGCTTTGTTCGCCAGTGTGGGTACAAAGAGAGAAAAAGCAGGATTTTACCAGGGTTGTAGTTTTGCCAGTAATATCATGAAAAGAGGCAGGGTGAAGGAAGTTGAGGATGTGCAAAAGAGACTTATAAAAATGACTGTGGAATTCAATCTGGGTAAGGAGAGAAAAAACAGATGAAGATGAGTATAGCATAGTACCTGCTGTAAAGGAATTCACAGTATTGTGTGTCAGACAAACACATAAATAGATACCTTTATTATATTGTATTATTATATGAAGACTAGAGGAGACGGGGAGGGCAGAGAGGTTGTTTCAGGGAGGAGGGAGTGATCAGATGTGTCAAATTCTGCTGACAGCTTAACCAAGATGAAGACTGAGAACTAAACATGGGTAAGTTATTTGTGTAAATTATTCTTACTCAAAATATAAAAACTAGAGGAAAGTAGAAAGTTGGGAGATGACAATCTTATATGTTTTATCACCATCAAAACAACTCTTATTTACATTATTAAATGATCCTTCTCATCCCTGTCTTTAATGTGAGGCTTCACTTTTTTATATAGCTGGAGTTTATGGTGCATATATAATTTTCTATTCTGCTTTTTATTCATGTTGAGATTTTTTTATACTATTACAATTTTATTGTCAATAGTTTTTAATGGAACATAATATTATTTGTGTGGATTTACCATCTATTATTTAACTGTTCTTTCAATGCTGGATATTTAAGTTGTTTACGGTTTTCTGTTGTTATAAATAGCCCCGTAATGAAAAGCTCTTTGCCAAAAGCTTTATCAGCAGTTTTAGATGACTTCCTCAGGGGAGAGTATCAAAACCTTAACTACTGTTTCAAAGAAATGAACATTTGAAAACACTGTTTTAGGATTTTTGAAACTAACTAATCAAGCACTACTTTTCATAAGCCCCATTCTGTTTTATCTGGATTCTGAGCAGATAGCTCTCACATTTTCAGCTCTTATATTCTACTAATCACTTAATTTATTCTTTGGAGGGAAGGCATAAGGTATGTAGAAACAGATGTATTTCCAAACATATATTGATGTATTCATTTATTAAGGTCAGCAAAACAGAGGAGGGGAAGAGGGCTCCAGGATAATAAACAAGAGAGATGGCCCTGCCAAGAATGGCACAACAAATTTGCCTTTATTTTAGCTGTGTCTTCTGGGGTGGTCTCTTCTCCAGCATGGTCATCTCTGCCTCCACACATGGCTATGAATGGAGACCAGGGAGGGGATAGAGTCACCCATGAATCATTCCTCAGGTGCATGACCCTGATGAGGGCCAAGGGAGTGGAGAGACTCTCTTGAGGTTTTAGTCATCATCTGTTGTTTTTGCCTACCCTAAAAATATTTCTTCTTCTAATAACACTATCTCAATTATCTTTCCCCCAACCAGGTCTTCATCCACATGGTTTAGGTGGTGGTGACTCTCTTTCTCCTTAACCAGGGTTATCTTATGACCTAGGGCTGGCCAGAGTAGTCCATCCATGGCCATAGTGACTGGTTACTCACTCTAAGGGTGGTGTAAGCCTAGTGCTACTGAGGTCCCTTGTGGGGAGATTGCATAACACCATCTCAGAAAAAAGTACAGCCAAGAGGGCAAGCTAAGAGAGAAAAATATAAGGCCAATAGGAGGTGACAGAGAACACACTTGCAGGTAACACGGGTTTTCATGGAGACTGAAATCTGTTAATTATTATCAAACTTTGTGGTCATTTAGACCACCTTCTTGAGAAACACTGTCCTCTGAGGACACTCGCTCCATCTCAGTATTGAAGAAATCATCAATCTAATCTCACATAATGGGATGCTGCTATTTCAACATCCAGATCTCCCTTCAGAACAAGCACCTTTAGTGCTTTTTCTCTTGTGAGTTTTGAGAAGACTTACTTTTCCCAACCAAAGAAAAGATTATTTTTGGAGTAATAGAGGTTTTCCTTGCTGATTGCCACTCCCAGTCTGTGGGCCTGGAGAGGGCAGGTTAGATTTGAGGAACTTATACCTTAGTGTTTTTTTTCAAAGCTTGAAATGTGTTAATATTTTCGACCCTATCATCCATGCTGTTCAAGACACATATCTGGAAGTTGAGGCCTGCCTGTTTCTCCATTCCCATCCATCAGTCATCATCTGTTTTCTAAAAGCTTTTTGAATGTATCCACATTTATTGCCTTGTTTGGTTTAGAGTAGCATTCTCAATTCTTACCTTGCATCACAACTATCTGGGGACCTTTAAAAAATTGATACCCAGATGTCACTCTTAAATACAATTTATCTGGAATGATATTCAACATCTGTAGTTTCAAAAGCTCTTCAGCCATCTCTAATATCTAGCTAAAGTTGAGGACCACTGGATTTGAACCTAACTTTAGATCTTCATCATCTTTTCAGGGCTATTAAATTCGTTTCCTAAGTTGTCAACCTGCCTCCTCCAATCTGGTTTCTTTCCCATCTGTCCTCCATTCATTTCCAGGGGAATATTTGTAAAACACCAATCTGATTCTGTCACTCCCATGACTATGACTCCTCTGTGACCCTAACCTCTGCATAGCTTTAAAGACAACCTCATTGTCCATCTCCTCAATATCATCTCTGTCCCTTCCCCCTCCCAGTTTTCTATAGCAGTACCAAAGTAGTCCTCGGCATTCGTAAGAGAAATATCTCAAGACAGTTGTGAAACTCCATTTTCTGGAAAGTCATGTAATTTTATCCCATAGAAGGCCATAACTTATAATGGAAAAACTGTGACTTCCACACAGATTCTATAAATGCAAAAGTAATGTAATTTAAATAGCAATGAGTGTACTTTGTCATGAAAAGATCCTCCACAAAAATATTGCATTACATCTCTATGATAGCACTGACCAAGAGTGATGAATGATGTTAATTATTCCTATTGAGTCCACATTTATATACAGGTGTGATCATGAAAAGCCGTCTCTTCACAAAGAGAATCTAAATTCTGCAAAGAAAAATATTTCCTAAAAATTTGAACTAACTTTTATTTTGCAGGATAGGCTATTGCAAAGCCTTGATAGTACTTTTGCTCTGCAAGGATTCATTTTTTCTTTTTCTTTTTCTTTTTTTTTTTTTTTTAAGACAAAATCTTGCTTTGTTACCCAGGGTGGAGTGCAGTGGCGTGATCGTGGCTCACTGCAACTTCCACCTCCCGAGTTCAAGCAATTCTCCTGCCTTAGCCTCCCAGTAGCTGGGATTACAGGCAACCGCCATCGTGCCCGGCTAATTTTTGTATTTTTAGTAGAGATGGGGTTTCACCATGTTGGCCAGGCTGGTCTTGAACTCCTGACCTCGTGATCCACCCACTGTGGCTTCCCAAAGTGCTGAAATTACAGGCATGAGCCACTGCACCTGGCCTGCATGGATTCTTAAATGAGTCAGTGACCTGTTAACACTCTGTTAACCACCGTTTCATCATTCATTTGTCTAATTTTTAAGTTGATGAGCAATTTTTGAATTGGTTCAAGAAATTATTAAAACAGCTTCACAAATCACCTTTACTTTTACCAAGTGCTGTATTCACATGCAAACTTTTAGATGTGTTAATATTTTTCTTCTTTGTCATTTATCCAGAACTCTCTTTTCTGTCCAAGAACTACCAATTTCACTCTTAACGGCCACCACCATCATTAGGAATTAGCACCCCTTTGTGGCTACTCATTTTGTGAGTGAGCATGCATATGTGCTGATAAATACCTGAACAGAAGTCTAGTTGAGATGTGACTGCTGGTGGTCCACAGCCTCATTTGCTTGTTTAGTGATGTGTTATACACCCTACCTTTCAAGCATGAGTGAGTCAAATTCAGCCTCAGTAAAATTAAAATTAATGAAATGTCATAGAGCTCTGGTATCACAAATAGGGCAGTCCAAAAGCAACCGTGGAAATTCTCCCCAGGTTGCCTGCATGATGAATGAGTGAGGACAATGAGTTTTCCCCATGTCAGGAGGTGGGGCTGCACCTGATCTCAACTTCCCCTGAATCTTAAGCTGGCAGTGGGTGGCTTTCCTAAGCAGCTAAACAAATGACATCAAAATCATACCCTCTGGTGCCCAAGTGGTCCAGTTCCTGCCCCCACCACTAGCTTCCCCTCACTGGTAAACTTGCTTTATCTACTGATATATTAGAAAGTTGAGCAACTTCTTGATGAGTGAGAAAGGGAGCTGGGCCCCTCTTGCAGAAGGTACACTCATGACCTGTTCCAGCATTCCCCAGAGTGCGAGATCAGAGAAATGTGTCCTTTCTTTTCTTGCTGACATTTTCTGTGTCAGTCTCATCAAAAACCCTGTCTTTAACTCATAACCAGTGAGGTGAACTTCAACCGGAGCCCTGTTACATGATAGACTTTTAGTATCAGTTGTGAATTCTACAAACTGAGAATTCCAAGTGTTGCTATTTTTTTTTTTTTTTTTTTTTTTTGAGATGAAGTCTCACTCTGTCACCCAGGCTGGAATGCCGTGGAGCCTGGCTAATTTTTTTTGGTAGAGATAGAGTTTCGCCATGTTGGCCAGGCTGGTCTTGAACTCCTGACCTTAGGTGATCTGCCCGCCTTGGCCTCCCAAGGTGCTGGGATTACAGGCATGAGCCGCTGCACCTGGCCTTGTGTTGCTTATTTTTATTATGATGCTACATTGGCCCATGCTGTCTTGTGTTCCTCTCTTTTCACACGTTCTATTCATCTGCCTATAATTTCTCCTTCCTTTGGCCATGTGGAAAACTTCATTTGTCCTTCAAGATTTATCTGTGCACTATTAACCCCTCAGCTCCTGGCCCTCATCTAAAGTAGTGAAAAACCAATCTCTCCTTTGTGCTACTGAAAGATGCAACTTACCTACACAGTTCTCAGCACTGGGGCATTGTTTTCCAAGATTGGCCCACTCTCTAGGAGCCAGCGATTTACCATACTATTTATTTTTTCTTGTAAAATCACTTCTTTGAATTACATAAGTAATACATATTGGTGGAATAATTAGAAAGTACCAAAAAGCAAAATGTAACCCAGGGGTACTTTTAAATATTTCATTGATACCATTTTAGGTTTATTTAATAAAAATGGCCTAATGCACTACCAATTTCTTAAAACCTACTTTCTTTTCTTATTGGAAAATTTGGTAACTCATTGTTATTTTTATTTTCATTTATTTAGTTTTTGGCAAAATTAAACATTTAAAACAGGTTTACTGGTGAATTGCATTTTGTGTGTATCTTACTTGTTCCTATATTTGTATTTATTCTTGTATTAAGTATTTATCTTCTACTTATTGATTTGTAGAAAGTCCTTTTTTAGTGAGTATATTAACTCTTGATCAGCTATGTAAATATTATTTATATTCTAAACATTTAAATCCGTTTATAATTCTATTTGTATTAAAAAAATCTTTACAATTTAAATTTTGTAAATTTTATATTTTGCAGTAAAATCTGTTAGTCTTTTGTAAGGATTTCTGCCTTGGTATCATGCTTAAAAAATCTTTTTCTATGCGAGTTATTGAAATTCTTTTCCTAAAAATAATTTCATGGCTATATTGGAAACTTTAACCTATTTTACTATATTCTCTCCTGCCCCTCTCCTCTCCTACTTCCTTTGGTGAATGTTTATTAGGTTTCCATTCTGTCCAGGCACTCACTTTTTTTTGGTACTGAAAATGCAGTCAACAAGGATGACATGGTTCCTGCCTCCATGGAGTTAACATTCTAATGAGAAAAACAGATAACAGACACACAACCAAATAGATATAGATTATAATGTCACAGAGTGATAGTTGCTATAATAAAAAATGAAGAGGGAGGAGCTTGAGAATTAGGTGGGGTGTGTCATGCACATGAGCCAGAAGGCTTCTGTATATTACTCCTGGGTTTATGACTTCTTCATAGTAGGCTGAGATCTGTTAGCTTAAATGCCCACTAGCACCACGCTCAAATTTTTACACATCCAATTGTTTTAAACATAACCAGATAAACAGATATTTAACCATTGAGAGCCTTCCTGCTTTGCATACTCTACACACCTATGTCCTACATTTGCTAGCCATAGATAAGCCCCAAAGTTATAAAGACCCCAAGACACTGCTATCCTTTAAAAGAACATTGAGCAGAGATCAGAAACAGGCTCTGAGGGAAGACTGTTCAGGCCAGAGGGAACAGCAAGTACAGAGGTCTTCAGGCAACACAGAGTTAAGTGTGTTCAGAAAAGCAGGAACATCAATGTGCTGGAGACATGATCCCTTTTTTCTCTATTCATTTCAAATGCACTTAAAAAAATCCTAGGTTCTTATATATATTTGATTTGTTTCTGACCATTAATTCTGTTCCCTTACCAGGAACATTGAATGGATTTTCAATTATTAAAGTTTTAAAATGTCACTCAGTAAACTTGTGCGATTTTCTTCATGTAAGTCATCACAATTCTTTTAAAATTTATTCATGACCAGGCACGGTGGCTCATGTCTGTAATCCCAGCACTTTGGGAGGCCATGACACTCAGATCACCTGAGGTCAAGAGTTCCAGACTAGCCTGGCCAACATGGTGAAACCCCATTGCTACTAAAAAATAAACATTGAGCCAGGTGTGGTGGGTGGGTGCCTGTAGTCCCAGTTACTTGGGAGTCTGAGGCAGAAGAATCACTTGAACTGGGGAGGCGGAGGTTGCAGTGAGTTGAGATCGTGCCATTGCACTCCAGCCTGGGTGACAGAGCAAGACTCTGTCCCCAAAACAAACAAAAAAGTTTGTTCATATGCATTTTGTATTTTGATTGTTCTTGAATATTTAATCTTTTGTTTTTTAAGATTGTATTTTCTAATTGGTTATTGATAGTGTACAGAGAAGCTAGTTGCTTTTTATATTTGTTGGTTTTATAATCATCTTCTTTAATTACATGTCTTATTAGGCCCAATGATTTTTCAAAAACAATCTTGTTTTTTATTCTTAATCATATCATTTCCAAATTGATAATTTCATTTTTTCAGTTATATCTTTTATTATGTTGTTTCCTTATTGAGTTGAATTAGCTAAATTACTCAGATAAATTCTTTAGTCACTGTTAATAAGAGCCATAGATACAGACTCTTTGTATGTGTTCATTGATCTTTTTGATTTTTCTCATCTTTCCAGAGGGGGTCAATTTTTTCATGATCTTTCAATCTTGTGAAATTCAGGGATTCAACCCCTCTCTGGGATTGAATATGCTTTGACTTTTTTATTCACAATGAGATGGAAATTTCAAGGCACAAAGGGGAAAACTGAGAACAATCAAGGGGTTTCCCTCGTCTTCACTCCATCTCAAGTACAAGGCCAAGCAGTCTGTAGGCATCACTAGCACTGCAAGTACCCTTTGTGAGGTTCTCAAACGGTGAAGGTGGTTCTGGACTGTGGGTTGATAAGGCTTCCTGGGAGAGGCTCAGAAGGGGTTTGTTCAGAGCTGAACCTCTGAGTGGGTGATGACTATAGCAAAGAAGAGCTGGGAGGGGTTTGGATTCCTGTATTAATGTTCTTAGGTCAGAAATTGTGGGTCCACTATAAATTCTAATTTAACTTTCATTCTTCTCTTGGGAGCTGGAGGAGTAAATTTCTCTCTATTATTTAATAGAAATATAAAAGGTAAGCAGAAATGCTTTCTAAACAAAAAGGGGCTGCAATGAAAATTTACAGACATTTAATCTTCTCTCTTTGTTCCCATTTACAGCTTATGTGAGAAGAAACGCAGGGAGACAGTTCAGTCACTGCAATCTTCATGCCCATCAGTTTCTTGTGAGAAGAAAACAAGTACGTATAGCTATCATGGGTCTGAAGCCCATCAGAGGGGTTATTCCCAAGGGTCTTTCATAATACCAAACTGGTAACTGAAATTATTTTCTTCAGAGATAATGTCACTCCTGTTTAATTGCTTGGATGGTTCCTGAAAAACCTCAGGTGAACAGACAAAAGGAGGGGGAGAATTTTCTCCAGTTCCATTTGGCCAGATCAAAGTCCAGTTATTTTTAAAGATTAAGGCAAGAGCGTCTGCTCTACCTGGAGCTTCTGAGCTTTGTCGGGGGATGAGGCACTGCACGCCTCTCTAGTTAGCATCACTGGCTCAGGTGGGAACTGGCTCTGCCAGCGTGCACCCCACATCATGTACCCAGCTCAGCCCAGCCCGCCTCCAGCATGCCTCCTTGGCCCAGAATAGATTGGGAGGATGTTCTGATACCCTGTTCCAGCGACAGGGTCTGGTGCATTTCCTCTGTAACTGGCACCTTGTACACCTTTTATTTCCAGCTCTTGGTTTGGGGGTTGAGAATGAAGTTTTGATGGGTATCTCTTCCCATCTCTAAATGACGAGTTAATGGGTGCAGCACACCAGCATGTCACATGTATACATATGTAACTAAACTGCACATTGTGCACATGTACCCTAAAACTTAAAGTATAATAATAATAAAAAAAACTTACACCTCAAAAAAAAAAATAAAGGCAGTTTTTTGTTTTTCTTCCCAGATGGTGGTTTTCCATCTCACCTGTTCTGAATCTGGCAAGAAAGCCTCAGGTTTTTTTTTTAACCATATGGATAGCACTCTTTCCTATCATCAGGGATTTTTAAAAAATCATTTCCTCCACTTTTATGTTATATTATTTCAATAACGATCTTTGGGAGAATGGCAGTTACACTCACATAGGCTCAATTAGTCAAGTTGAAGTGGAAGAAAGGGCACTTTAATGTGTGGTGAGGTGCTCCCAATCCTTGTATTTAATAGACTGCTCTCAGCTCAAGGCTTTATACAAATAAAAATGATCTGTGAGATTGACTGAGTGCATATGCAAATCAGAAGAACCACATGCTCTTTACTGATGTCATGGATTCAGTCATCTGTTCATTCACTTGCTTATTTGTTTGTTGACTGAGTCACTTAAGAGTATTGTTGAGAATCATGATCAGCACCGGATGACAAAAGTGAACAAGATATTGTGGTGGTTGCTACATGAACTTATCCAGGTAGCAAAGTGGTGTCCAGCTATACACACATTGTACATACATCATTGTCCTGATTTTGATATCAAACTAGAGTTACGTTAAATGTTATGCAAAAACCATTGAGGGAAACTTGGTCAATAATACATCAGGCCTCTTTATTTTTGCAATTTCCTTTGAATTTATTGCTTTTTCAAAATGACTTTTTAAAAAGTGAACAAGATAAACATGATCACCCTCCTGGAGATCCTGTTTATAAATGAATTTTAAAAGGCTGCACATGTGTTTGAAGATAGCCTCCACTCCTTTTGATCTCCCAGCTTTATTAAAATATAATTGGCAAATATGCATCATTAAAAAAAACACCTTATTTTTCAGAGCAGTTTTAAGTTCATGGCAAAATCGAGTAAGTGCAGAGTTTCTATATACTCTCTGCTCCCACACATGCACAACCCCCACTCCCTGCTCTCAATATCCCATACCAGAATGGTACATTTCTTACTATTGATGAACCTGTATTGACACATCATCATCACCCAAAGTCCATTGTCTACATTAGGGTTCACTCTTGGTGTTGTACATCCTATGGGTTTAGACAAATGTACAATGACACATATACACCCTTATAATAACATATGAAATAGTTTCACTGCCCTAAAAATCCTCCATGCTCTGCTGATTAATCCCTCCCCCTCCCTAATCCCTGAAAGCTGCTGATTTTTTTTTTTTTTTTTACTGTCTTCATAGTTTTGTTTTTTTCCAGAATGTCATATACTTGGGAATCATAATATGTAGTCTTTGCAGATTGACTTCTTTCAATCAGTAATATGCATGTAATTTTCTTTCATATCTTCATGGTTTGATAGCTCATTTTAGTGCTGAATAATATTCCATTGTCTGGATGTACTATAGTTTGTTTTTCCATTCATCTACTGAGGACATTTTGGTTGCTTCCAAGTTTTGGCTGTTATGAATATAACTACTATAAACATTCATGTGCAGATTCTTGTGTGGGCATGAGTTGCCAATTCATTTGGATAAATACCAAGAAGTGTGATTGATGAATTATATGGTAAGAGTATATTTAATTTTGTGAGAAACTGTCAAACTGTCTTCCAAAGTGACAGTCCTATTTCGCATTCCCACCAGCAGTGAATGAGAAATCCTGTTATTCCACAGCCCCACCAGCATTTGGTGTTGTCAGTGTTCTGGATGGTGGCCATTCTAAAAGATGTGTAGTGCTATGTCATTGTTGCTTTAATTTGCATTCCCTGATGACATATGATGTGGAGCATCTTTTCATATGTTCATTTGCCATCTGTGTATCTTTATTGGTGAGGTGTCTGTTCAAGTCTTTTACCCATTTTTAATTGGGCTATTTGTTATCTTATTGTTGAGTCTTAGGAATTCTGTTATATTTTGTACCATAGTTGTATTAGTCTGTTCTCATGCTGCTAATAAAGACGTACCTGAGCCTGGGTAATTTATAAAGGAAAGAGGTTTAACTGACTCACAGCTCCACATATGATTTAGAGGTCTCTCAATCATAGTGGAAGGTGAAGGAGGAGCAAAGTCATATCTTACATGGCGGCAGGCAAGAGAGCTTGTGCAGGGGAACTCCCATTTATAAAACCATCAGATCTCGTGAGACCTATTCACTACCACAGAAACAGTATGGGGGAAACTGCCCCCATGATTTAATTATCTCCACCCGGCACCACCCTTGACACGTGGAGATTATTACAGTTCAAGGTGAGATTTTGGTGGGGACACAGCCAAACCATATCAATAGTCCTTTATCCGATGTCTGTCTTTTGCCAATATTTTCTCCCAGCCTGTGGCTTGTCTTCTCATTCTCTTGATCCACTTTCTTTTTACTAACAATCTGGTGAAAACAGCTGGTATGGGGCGGAAAAGAGTCTCTCCACTAGATTTTGCCCACATTCTGGGGACCTCACTATGTTCTTAACTACAGGAGCAGTTCTGTATGAGGGCTGTGTTTGGGAGCACAGGCTCTGGGATGCGTTAACTTATATATGAGTCTTGCCTCAACTGTCTATGAGGTGTGCAGCCTGGGTAGATTACCTAGTGTCTCTGTCCTTCAGTATCCTCAATTGTAGATGTCTCAAAACCAACACTTACCAACTAGAGTGGCTGTCAAGATAGCGTGATCTTATCCCGGTAGAGGATTTGGGACAGTTGATGGGACATAGTAAATTTTACATAAATGTTATTATGGGTATTCAGACAAGCATTGTGACATCCATTTTGGCTATAGTATCTTAATTAATAAGTTTCAGTTTTACAAGTATTTTCCCTTCTTGGAATATATGTGATTTCAGCAATGGTTATGAAAGTTGTATCTGCATTCACCCTCTGGCAGCAGTGTTCTGAGAGCTCTGTGTGTGTGTGAGTGTGTGTGTGTGTCTGTGTGTGTGTGTGTGTGTGTGTGTGAGTCTGTGTGTGTGTGGGTACTTAGAAGGGTTTCAGAGGTCCCTTTCCTTTTTTGCTCCTTTTCCATGTAGAAATTAAATGGATCATCCATTTGGGTAGCTTGGTAACACTTTGCTGTCTATTACCGTTGAACATCTCCCTCATCTCACCCCACAGGCACAGACATTTGCGGTTTTATTTAATCACTCTTTTCCAACAAAATGAGGACTTTGCTACATACTATGATACTATTTGTTTTGTACTTTCCATGTAATATAATGATGGTAGTTATCACTCCCATTTATTGGTCACCTACTGTAACCTAGATACTATGCTAAGCACTTTTCTTATATCACCACTCTCCATTTTAAAAACAGGTAAGGTGAGGCTTAGCCAGTGAATTGACCTGTCAAGTTCACCCAGCTCATTAGACATAGAGCTGGGATTTTACCCCAAATTCTGTGACTCCACGCTCTTCACCACTATGTGCAGACCACCAGATACTCCACTCCAGAGATTCTCAAAGCATAGTCCCAAAAGCACATGAGGAGGAATAACTTTGAAGGGGGAATTAAAAGAAATCCATCTTCCTGCGTCCCACCTCAGATCTAGGAATCAGGCTGTCGTCTTTCTCTCCCTCTCTGAACCCACCTTTTCCTCACAAATGTTTCACACTTTATCAGAAGGAAGAAACCTTTCCGATCCTGGGAGGAGAGAACAGATGTCAGGAAGTAAAGCTATGTGGGCTTATGGGTAGAAATGAATAAGTTTACATCCAACTATGAACAAAGGCTGCCAAACTCTAGGGAGAAACTTATATAACATGCATTCTTTCTCCAGAGTTCTTAGGTTTATTTTTCTGAATCTGTTTCTGTGGCAATATGGCTACACTGTTCAGAAGTTTTCCTTTATGCTAGCTATAGTGTTTTTCAATATCTAGTTATAGGAGATAATAAAAAGAAAGTCAATATTAATTATGCTTTTGGAGAAATGAGCTAGTAATTCAGGTTTGGGTGATTTTGAAAGCAAAGGTGAAAGTGAAAGTATAATGGATGATTTCCTTTCTTGATAACAACATATTTATTTAAAATAAAAGACTAACTCAGTGTGGAAGATAGATGGGTTTCGGTTCAACCAAATGGATAATTTTTCTCTCTGACCTCTGTAGAAATTGAGTTAGCTTCTTCATGTGATTGTTATAAAGACAGTGATATATTCATAACAGAGCCTGACAGATGGTAACAAACATTCATATTATTTTATTATAATTATTATCACTATTATTGTTATAAATTATAGCTGATAAAAAGTGCTGAGCGGGGTGCAGTGGGGGTGCACACCCAAAGCCCTGCTCCGGAGGCTGAGATGAAGGGATTGCTTGAGCACAGGAGTTCAAGTCTAGCCTTGGAAACATAGTGAGATCCCCCTCTCAAAAAAAGGCTGGATAGATCAAGTGCAAAAGAATTCTTTTGGTAAAGAATTTCAATAGAGATTTGAAATGGAAATCCCAGTGACCTATTTCTACTTCAAATGTCTGCTAAACATAGATAATTACAATTCATCTTTATTTATTTATTTATTTATTTATTTATTTATTTATTTATGCTATTTAGAAATCTTGTGCCCCCTTCCTCCTGCACAGAAAGGATGCTTTGTTCAAATTCTTAGGCACTTGGTGTCCTCAGGGAGATCCTGTCAGTGTGATGACTCTTCTTGTTTTGACAGGAGCTCCAATCTGTTAGATGGTATTTTGAAGCAGGTCTTTGGGTAAAGGACACCTAGACCCAGTGAAGGTCATGGTGATTATTATTGGACAATGGGACATCACTCTGCTATTGTAAGTAATTGGGGTCAAATGAAATCTTCCCAGAAATAGTAACTGTGCTGTGCCTGGCTGATCCTGGATTCCCAGAAGTTCTCCATTCATGAGTAAATGAGGCACATAACAGAGAATAACCCCTTTCTGCCAAGCAGCCTAGAACTGAGCAGCATTATCTTGGGATTGCTGCAGCCAGGATGGACGGATTTGCTCTGGCTTAATTTGTTCACAGTTTCCAGAGGGAGCAGTGCTTTCTTCTCCCTTTAAAAATGTTTATTCGAATTTGGTGACTCTGTTTGCAATTTGGCTGGGAAAGGCCACTGTGACACAGGTCAAATAATGGGACACTCACTTCAGGCTAAAATGGCCTTCCTCACCTCTCCAGCTGGCTGACTCTTCATTATCTTTTAAAGCTCAAAGGAGGCATGATTTCTTCTAAGAGGCCTTGCCAACTCCTCCCAGACTGATCTTCTAGTGGCTCAAGACACTTCCCTCCATGTTGATGCTGACATACGGAACTGTCATTATCTGCAGCCACACTCCCATATCTAATGGATCTCCAACACCATCAGTTCCTCATCTTAGAATAGCTCAAGTCTGCCCACTTTTGTCCATCTTCTTGCCATTGTCTGGATTTAGACCACCATCACCTCTCACTTGGTTTGCTTCAATTACCTTCTCTTTCATACTGGCCCCTGCAATTCTGTCTCTACCCTTACAAATCTAAATATACCATAGCCTTGTTTAAATCCTTTACATGTAACTTCCAGAAAAACTAAAAAGTCCAGATGAGCCCCAAACAAATCAATATAAAACAGAACATAATAAGCATGCAAAATCTTTTCCTCCAGATATAACAACTGTTAACATTTAGCTGCAGAGATTTCTAGACCTTATTTTCTATTTATACACATATAGACATATTTTTCCAAAGTAGAATTGTACTAAGTATTAGATTATAACTTGGTTTTTTTACATATACCACATATTACAGTTTATTACCCTACGGATGGATTTTATCCACATTATTCTATTGTATTTCATTATAGGTATGTTTTGTCCATATAAGCAACTCCATCATTGTTTTATTCTTAAATACTTTAACATTTTTCACTTTGTAATGAATATTGCAAATTACACCCTCATTTAGAAACTATTATACCCATCCTTAAATAATTCATTGGGAATTTTTTTTTACTAATGAAACCGTTCCATCTTTTTCTTTCTCCTTCTCTTCCTTCTCCTTCCCCTCCTTTTCCCCCTCCTTTTCTCTATAAAATAAAATAAAAGGAATGGTTGAGTTAAGGATTTATACATTTATATATATTCTTTTCCTGGTATAATATTTGCAATATCATTTCATTATAGCTACATTGTACCAATTATGCTTATCTATATTTTAATAATTTCAGAATTTCTATACCATTATTTCTTTAGTCTTAGGACTTTAATTCTGTTCCAACTCTCCATTGGTTCTGGAACACCTTTAACTATTTTTAAGCATTTAATGTTAATGTCATCTTTTTAAAAACTGTTGCTTTCATACATAAATTCGGCGGCATATGAAATTCCTGAGTCACAAACTATTGTCTTAAAACTGTAGATGTTTTTCCATGATGTTTTGATATATTTGTTTTTACAAAGAAATCTAAAGTCACTGTGCATATTATAAATACATAATTTTGTGCTACCTGAAACTTTGGGGCCTTTTTCTTTAACCTTTCTAATTGCAGGGCCTGGCATGCAGTTGGAATGAAATAAGTGTTAGTTGAGAGAATGAATAAGAATGCTTTGGCAAGATGTGATGCTGAAGGTGGGAGGGAGGTGGGGTCTCGTTCTAATTACTGTGCTTGAAAATGGTGAGCCCTGGGAATTTGTTCACACAAGACTCCTCCTCCGTCTTTTATTAAGCTCAGGAAGGGTTTCTTCTATTGTAGGTTTGATTCTGCTTCTTTTCCATTTATTCCGGTTTCTCTTCCAGGAACACTCGTTGCTATCTTCCATTCCTATTTTGTTGTTTTCATTTCCTTATCCTTTCCTTTGACGTTCTGGAAATGCATCTCAAATTTGTCTTTCCAGGAATGGATTGGGTGTTATGCAACATGAATTACACCTGTTTTGATCATTATTGCCTCAAGCATTGCTCCTTGATCATTCTTGTTCTTTCTTACCATCCTATTCCTTTACCCTCCCTGCCTTTTTGCTTATGCCACTGTTCCTATTTATGTCTTCCTACAACTTTGCATGACAGTAAAACATTTCCTTGAAATATATTTTTCTAGTCACTAAGGTATTTACATATACATAATTTTTTTTTCAGAGATATCCTTTTCTTTTGAGCCTTCCAGATGTTGTTCCTTTTTCTTGGTATAAAGTGTACTTATACAGTTCCAAATTATTTATGGTTTCTCTATTTTTTTCTCAAAAATAGTATCCAGATTTCTTTTCCGACTTGATGATTAGAAGCAGATATGTGAATAAATTACTCTTGCCCCTGCTTTCTGTTCATTGTACAGTGAACAAATAAGACTTTTTCCTGACATGCATCTGGAGGCAGGTCAAAGCTCCAGGCCAACTCCAAGTTTCTGATGGGGTCTCTAGCCAATGGAAGGCTTCTTCTCCTTCAATTGCCTGACTCTTCAGGACTCTTAAATACTGCAGTTAAGTACATGCACACTCACTCCCCATCCCCCATCACACACACCAAACCCCACACATCACACACAACTCTCAACATGGTACTGTTACTCAGAGAACTTTTCCCAACTCACATATTCAGGGCTTTATTTGGGGAACTACACATTGCATCATATCTTATGTCTGCCCCTACATCCTGCCCATATTTCCCCATGGGACTTGTTTTCTCTTCCAGAAAGTGGAGACTGGTATAGAGTCCACATTCTGCTTGCCTCACAGCCTAGTAGCATCTACAGCTCAGCAACCCCTGGTCTGGTGGGCCAGATCCTGACACACAGGGCTCCATGCTTCTGCCTTGCCTTTGTCTGGCTCCCTTTTTTTTTTTTTCTCGGAATCTTGCTCTGTTGCCCAGGCGGGAGTGTAGTTGTGCAATCTTGGCTCACTGCAACATCCACCTCCCGGGTTCAAGCGATTCTCCTCCCTCAGCCTCTTCAGTACCTGGGACTACAGGCGTGCACCACTACACCTGGCTAATTTTTGTATTTTTAGTAGAGATAGGGCTTCACCATGTTGGTCAGGCTGGTCTCAAACTCCTGACCTCATGATCCACCCGCCTCGGCCTCCCAAAGTGCTGGGATTACAGGCGTGCGCCACCATGCCTGGCCTTGGCTCCTTTTTTTTTTTTCTTTTTGAAACTAAGTGTGGCATGGGCATGGAGGGCTCCTTGGCTTGGTGTTTCCTAATGCAGCTCCATCTGCCTTACAATTAGTGTCAGTTCCTCTCTGATTCTGACATTAGACTGTCTGTCACTGGTGGTTTTCCATAATAATGAGTTTTCATTTTTCCCATCTTCTAGAAGTGAGAAAATGAGACAGGTTGCACTGAGGGCTGTTAGCCAGACAGAGTCTCGAACTGGAAGTCCATCTAGATGTTTTGCATAAGAGAATGGAAACAATCTGTCTGTGATTTAGGGACATACTCTGGCAGCAATATGGGAATACAGTTTCAATCCTCATTAACAAAACAGGTATGAAATACATATTTATTTAGTAAGGTGCCAGCTGTATGAAAAATCCATTTCTTATTTCCCATAATGTTTCTGAAATGTCTTAGCAGTGCATAGAGACAGCATGTCATCATTTTCTAGGGACTGTGTGTTATTGCATTTTTCCTAGGGAAGATCTTTTCTAGGTCACCTGCTCCTTCACTAAAGCTCTGACCAATCTAGCTTGCTAACCTGTGACTCCATTTTCCTAAGTCCTGAGAGAGAAAAACGCTTTGCAGCAAATTATGCCAGGCATCCTTGTGTCTAAATGAAAAAAGGAAAAAGCCTCCTTCCTTCCCTCTGTTGAGAAGTGCACGGTCCACATATGCATGCACAGCATATACTGTGAGGGTATTTGCAGTCCCTTGGGTTGCTTTGATAACTGGCCAGGTTGCTGTTCTATTTTTCCACATTCTATTAATCCTCCTACAGGCAGTTATTAGGTATTGAGTGCTCACACACCCCTGGCATAGTCACCACATGCCATTAGCTCCAGATAAACTTCCAGAAAAAAGTCCATCCCCCACTTCTCTCAGCTGCCTGCCAACGCTGGACACCTTCTCACCAAGCCAGCAGGACAGAGAAAAGCCTGGGCTTTAAGATCAAACAAACACAGCTTCAAATTAGGACTCTGTCACTTCCTGTGTACTGGGCACTTTGCTGAGTATGTGGTTTCTCATCTGTAAAACAGAGAAAGATGATTATCTCCCAATCTTTCTATGTTATATGTTTGAATTAAATAAGGTACTCTCCATGAAGTGCTTGGACTTTATTTCCATTTTACAAATGAAGTCTCAGAAAAATGTCATGACTTTCCCTTTTGGTGCAGCTATTAAGAGACAGATCCTGCTACTTCTCAGTCCCTGCCCCTCAGCTGCTGCCCCTTTGGGTTCCAGACTCACAAACACAGAGGCTCAGCAAAGAAACCTGCAACTGCTTTGTCCTTTGCTAGTCCATAATTATTCTACAAACACCAAGATTCCTTGATCTTCAATGTAGGTCTACCCTTAACAAGGAAGAGGCTGTATTGACCTTCCTATTGGGCCCTGGAGACTTGCCTGAGGTGTTTAGAAGCCTAGGAATGGATCATATCAGAACAGCCCAATCACCTAAAACAATCCTCTAAAAAAGAGGTCTTTGAGTAGGGTCAGGGCCTCCTGTGGGTCTCTGGGACCCCTTCGGGGGATCTGCAAAGTCAAAACTATTTTTACAGCAATCCTGAGCTGTCCTTTGTCTTTTTCATTCTCATTCTCTCTTGTGTGTAGAGTGGAGTTTTCTAGAGGTGGCATCATGAGTGATATCACAGCTGAATGGAAACAAGCATCGAAGAGATTTGCAAAAATGTGAACAATGCAAGCTGCATTTTTGTCATTTTGGAAAATATGAGTTATTTAGCATAACGTATTACATTTATGTTAACATTTTATTATTGTTATTTACAATGAATTTATAAATAATATTTTTAAAGAATTTTCCACTTTAACTTTTAAAATGATAAATATCTGTAGAGATAACTTAATCTGCATCCTCAAAAATTCTTTTGGGTTCTCAATATTATTTTTAAGAGTGTAAACTAGAAAGTTAAAAACTGCTGCCCTAAAATATGTCATCAGGATAAGGTACAGTTGGATTTGCCCATCTATTGTGTTTATTCCTGTGCTTATGCACCCAGAAGGGTCACAGTGGCATTTTTCCTGGTTCAGGGGATTCCAGATCCTTTGAGTAAAGAGAAGGGCAGCGATTTGACTTGTCTGATGGCACTCAAAATTCTCCAAGCAGGATGTGTCCTCATGAAAATGCCTTTGGTGATGGAGCTCAGGCCTGCTGAATTTGCACACTGATTAGCTATTGTTCACTGATGAGCGGCACTCAAATGACCATTATACATTCTGAAATCCTAGGCTTGGAAGCTGTCCTTTTCCAAGATGAGACCCTGAAGACCCTACTGGGCTTCATTTTGAGCTTGGACAGTTGGGAGCAGAAGTAGAAGTTCTATGCCAACTGGTAACTCCTTAGTGACTGTCTCTGGGGGTCCCAGGGTTCTCATTTGGATCATTTTCCCTCTCAATTGCTTCTCAAATGCCCAAGTCTTCCACCATCTTACATTTCCCCCTCATCTAACCCTTTAGAAAAGGAGCCTGATAAATTAATTTATACTGAGGTATACTGACTGATAAGACTTGTTATGTGGCCGGGCGCAGTGGCTCACGCCTGTAATCCCAGCACTTTGGGAGGCTGAGGCGGCAGATCACCTGAGATCGGGAGTTTGAGACCAGCATGACCAACATGGAGAAACCCTGTCTCTATTAAAAATACAAAACTACTTGGGGGTGGTGGCACATGCCTGTAATCGAAGCTACTCGGGAGGCTGAGGCAGGAGAATCGCTTGAACCCGGGAAGTGGAGGTTGCGGTGAGCTGAGTTCGCGCTATTGCACTGCAGCCTGGGCAACAAGAGCGAAACTCTGTCTCAAAAAACAATCAAACAAAAAAGACTCATTATACATCCTCTCCCTGGAAATTTTGTATTTTAGCAAATGAATGTGTCCTATCTTCTAGAATTTTAGGCTTTAGAAAGTAAATGAGTAAAATATCCCTGGCAGTGAGGACTTTCTGGTGTTTATTAAAGCATTCCAAAGCAGGCACTGCCTCGCTTCTTCACCTCTAAGGGAAGCACTCATTAGCAGAGCAGTGACTGTAGGACTCCTGTAATCTGCCCCTGACACTCTGGTCTTGGTGCAAAGCAGGCAATGGCAAGTTAGAGACTTGGGATACCCAGAGGCTGAGAAAGGAATTAGGACCCTTAAGCTGTGATGCTCCCATTCCAAAGTGGCAGGAATTGCACAGCAGGTGTACAAAGGGGAGAAGTGGCCTGTGTTGGACATTTACAGAGGAGGAGAGATAAAGGATTGTGAGGGGATACCTGGCCAGCGGTTTAAAAAAACCTGGTGATATCATAATATTCAATGAATTCATCATTCATTGAGGACTCACATATCAGACATGGTCCTAAGAACTTTTCTTCATGATCCACTGTAATTTTCATACTAACCTCATGAAAAAGGAATTGCTTTTATCTCTATTTGACAGATGAAATAATTGAAGCAGAAAGAAGTCAAGCAATTAACTTGCAAGATCTCCCAATAGAAAGCAGGAGAACGAGGATTTGAACCAGAAACTCTGTGTCTTCATCCTGCTCCCAATATGTACACTCTTCTGCTCTTCTTAAGTCAAAGTTGAAGTCAGAAGGCAGTGATTGCCCAATAATGTTCAAATTTTTCCATGGCACCAAGTATAGTGTCTGGAGGGCTGTGTTATTTGCCATCATTTTATGGGCTAGTAATTATATGTCTGTCCATTTCCTCTTTTGGAAGATGAATGGCAGTGTTTTGTTATAGTCATCTCACGGTCCAAGCGGCAAGACTCTCCAGTGACAGAGTTTAGAGCATGCTTTTCATCTCAGGTGTGTTTTCCAATAAGTGGGCACTGAGGCATAGATCACCCATTTGCATACTGAGTCCTGGACAGCTCATCTCAAGCATAATTTGTTGTACATCCTGGTGGACTCAGCTCTGGAGGCCACCCTCTTTCCACTCTTTCCCCAAGGTTTTTATCCTTCCTTCTTTGAATTTAACCAATACCATCTCCCTCATTCTGACTTTTATCTTCCCTCGACTTTCTTCTCATGGTAGTACATCCTAGAACTCCATCTGCTAACTACCTCCAAGCTGAACACAGAGGTTCAGCTTCCCAGGTGCTATTCACCACCCAGGTGCTGCTCCTCATGGATCGCCCTCCCATATGGTAGCCTGAGCATCATGGTGCCCCTGGGCTAGCTACAAAGATGAACCCAGCACATCTTTGGAGTAACAAAATAGGCGAGGCTTATGGTATCTGCAGTAGCACACAAGCTCCAAATACAGCTATTTTGTATTCAGGGCTGCTTTGATCTGAGGACTCTACCATCTCAACACGTGGCCTCCAAACTCACAGCTCAAAGCAGAGGGACAACCATCTAATAGGGGCTTTTCACAGTCTCAGTCTGGGAGTGACATAGTCCCTTCAACTCACATTTCATTGGCCTGAACACATCACATGACCCCATCCATGGGATATTGTGAACATGTGGCATTACTTCTGCCACAAGTTTAAGATAAGGCCAGACAGAAGGTTCTGTAGGGCTGACTGACAATTCCTTGGTAGAGGTGCCAAGGTGAGGGTTTTCTGACTCAAATGTTTTGCCGCTTGGGCTACCTTATAAACCACTTGGGCCTGATTGGCTGTCAAAAAGAGCATTTCTTTGGGAGAAAAACTTTCTGGGCTCACATTCTCATCTGCTTAGTTCCAGAGCAATGCTGGCTTGGGATAGCATAGCCTTTCCATATATGAGTTTCCTGATTTTTCTAAACTAGGTAACTTTTCTTGCTCCGCCTTTCAAGCAACCTAAATTATGAGGCCGTCATATCTCTGCTGTATTCAGAAGCATCAGCCAGACAGAGCAGAACCTGCCACAGTGCAGAATTCCTGCTCTGACAGCCAGGCTCCTCTCATGCTCTTTCTCACATCAGGTGTGCTCCTTCAGATAGAGGGAGTATGATGGAATTTGTCATTTGTGTTAATCTGGGCACACATCATTACTGTGAAGTATACCAGCCTGGGATGTGGGGTGGTGTTTCTTTCCAGAGATCACTGCTGCTGGGCTGAGATGGGAGATTTGTGATCCTGGTACAATTTCTTATAGATATGCTTGTGGTCTTACATCCTTCCAAATAATAGCAAATCTCCATTCATTTGATTCCTGGTATCTATGGCACTTCTCAATGCACAGCTTAAGTCTGGGGCAGCCCACCTACCCACCTAGCCCTGACCCTGGCTCTGCTTCACTCCTGAGGCAGGTCAGGGGCAATTGACTGGGTCTAGGATGAGTAACCTGTAGACCCCCACTAGGTAAATGAGCCCAGCTTGGAGCTCACAGTCCAGCTCTGATAGTGGGCACCTACCTTCTCCTCAAGTTTATCTTCCAGGAGATCTATCATCTTTGGAAACTGAGGGAGCTTTGTAGATGCTCTAATATGTGAAAGTCCTTCTACAGGAGAGTTTTACGGTCACTTCTGAAGTGCACCATTGGATTGACTTATTCTTAACTCATGTTTCTATTTAGGCTTTACACTGGGATTTCTATAACCACAACCAAGTACTGGCCCATTGCACAATTCCAGACGTGTGGTCACTAGTCTCCAAAGATGGCCCCCAATGAGCCAAGTTTCATATTATTCGCACCCTTGTGTGGTCCCGTCTCCCTGAACCCTGGCTGGAGCTGGGACTCATCCTCAACCAATGGAATGCGGCAGAATGGACATTTCATAATTTCAGAACCTGGGTCATAGGAGTCCTTGCAGCTTTCGCCTGGTCCTCTTGGAACCCAGGTAGCACCAGAAAGGGAGTTCTGGAGAGGCCCAAGTGAGGAGGAACTGAGGAACTTTCCTGGCGATCTTTGCCAGACTTCCAGCGGACAGCTGGCACCAGTGCCAACAGTGCCAGTCAAGCCATTTCTGGCTGAGTCTCAGACAGCATGGAGAAAAGATGAGCCACCTCACTGTATTCCACTTAAATTCTTGACCCTCAGAAATATGAAAGGCAATAAACTGATGTTTTAAGCCACTAATATTTGGGATGGTTTGTTACACAGCAATCAATAACCAGAACAAGGACACATGTTCATGTGAATGATGTTCCCTGAATGTGTCCAGTGGACGTGGCGCCTCGCACATAGTGCCCTGTGGCTTTGAGATCCTGTTTCTTGAGATTTCTGGAGGGATCCGGGACAGGCCTGGGATGGGCCTAGGTCAGATGGTTAGTTTTCCAGATTTCCCATCTCCCAGTCACGGACTATGCAGAGCTTTGCCAGCAATAGGCTTATTTGGGAAGCCTAGTTCCATGCTCTAGAGTTGGAGCATTGACTTCTGCACAGGAGAGTGAAAACACCAGCCTCTAAATATTGCATCTGGATCCCCACTGTGCTCTGCAGAGCTTCAGCTCCCACAGCCTTCCCACTAAAGATTTGGCCTTCATTTCTGACACCTACAAATTTCACCTTCTGCGTTTGACCTAAATCATTAATATTTAAAATATGCATAATATTATATTATTATTTATAAATAATACATGTCTAATTTTCAGTGAGATTACTGATGGCCTACAAAGGAGGAATTCTAGAGGCTGCTCCATCTGACATTTTAACTTGAATTCTCAATGTTTTTTCTAGAATATTTTTGGGCATTTTCCTCCTACATCACAGGACTGTGCTAGCAAAACTACGAATATACTGACTCCTAAAAGAGGCAAACTCATTTAGAAAAGTGAGATTATGTCCTTGGTTTCTAAATTATTTAATTCACAGTTGTATTCTATTGTTCCTCCAGGACAGATCTGACAATTGAAATTCTGTATACTGTAGGAACCAGTGGTGGTGGCTCCTGATCAGAACAGTAGCCGCTCTGCTCAGTCTGTGTTCCTTCTTAACAATCACAGAAGGGCGGTGTCCTTAAGATTACACCTGCTTGTAATCCACCTCTAACAGACAACAGCTAATGGAGCTGGGCAGCTCACATGGATCTCCTAGATAATGTAGAGGACTTTTCCCCCCATTTAGATTTTAATGAAACTAGCAGAAGGAAATTCAAGCTGTACCATCCAGTGAGAGAATTAATATACTGAAATGTAGTCTTTTGATGGATACCCAAATGAGCACGTGGCTATCAGGGCAAGAAAATGGAGAGAAAAATAATTACAGAAGAAAGGAAACTGCAGACAGAGCTGAGGTGATTATAGAAGCCCAGTGAGAAATGAATAAAATATTTTTTCTCAGAAGTAATTAAGTAGCCTTTTTAAACCCCCAACTTTTATTTAGACTTATAAGCTTAAATACATCTCTGTTTCGGTTGTTCCTCTGCTCAGGGATTTCAGGGATGATCCAGTGCTCTAATTTATTCCATTCCAACTCCTGCTCCTGGTTGTTGGAAGATTCCATAGTCTGGCCTCCACCTACTCTTAGAATAGTGGTTCTTAATTTTTGAATCACCAGGTACTTTATAAATTGTGGATGCCTTCACACAACAGAAAAATAGATGGAACATTGTAACTAACTGCATGCTCACTGCACCACTGTGTTTATATTATTAGGCTCATTACCCAGCTTCCATAATTAAATTAATTTGAATTTTGAATAAAATAACTTTGGCTACAGTGTGAAGAAGGCATAGAAAAGCACAACAACAAAGAAAACATGAAAAATGGAAAAGTAGAGTGGAGAAGGCAGGAAAGTCTTATAGTTGAGTATCTATGGTTTCTGACAATTAATTAAATTAATATTATGTAAGTATATATCATGTGTTAGAGCTTTGCTGTATGCTGAGTGCAAGGGGAAAGCAATTGTATAAAAACTAAAACAAAACAAAACAAATCCAGTCCCTGATCTGCAGTGGTTCACAGTGGGAGAGATAACGTAAATAAGCAGCTTTAATACAAAGCAGATTGTGAATACTGAAATGGCAAAGAGAAATACCAGTCAATCATTATGGGGAAATAGAGATCAGATCATATGAGGATATTTGTGGAATAGTTAATGGGGAAAGTAAATAATGGGGATACCTGGGTCCCACCTTCAGAGATTCTAATTGGTTAGAGACAGACCCAGCCATCTTTTGCAAACCTTGGCAAGGCTCCTCTATTGATTCAAATGTGTAGCCGGTGTTGAGAAGTGCTGCTATAGGGTCTCCTTTTCCACCACTTACAGGGAACTGTGGGGCAATGGGAGGAACACTCCCCTAGGAAGCCTGGGCACAAGTCTCAACCACCCAAACAGTGACAGTAGAGAGCAACAGCTAACATTTCTTGAGCAGGCTCTGGGCTAGGCATTTTATGTGCATCGTCTCAGTGTTTCTCAGCACTGGCTGCAAATTAAAATCACCTGGGAAGCTCTGGAAAAGTACTAATGTCTTGGTTTGGCTTCATACCAATTAAATCAGAATCTTTGGTGTGAATGTGTAGGTGTATTTTAACTATGTATTTTTTTTTCAAATCGAAAGCAGTCACTGTTTATTAACTGACAAGATTACAAAAATAATCATGGCAGACACCTTATTTTATCCTTCTAATGAGCCCATTAATCTGGTCTTCCCTGTTGCCAACATCTCCACCTCTATAAAATGAGTGGTTTTTCTCTTCATTCCATCTCATAGAGAGGATAATTTGAAGGGGTACAGGAAGTTATTTGCTTCTTTGAAGTGTTTCCAGCAGTACAAATTTCATGAATCAGATCCTCCACGCAGATGAAGCCAGATCAAGCAATCAAATTGGTATCTATCATGGCAGTTCTCTTCTTATTGATCTTGCCATAACAATGCTTGTAGATTAGTTCATTTAATGACTTCAGGTTTGGGTACCCTCGTGCAATATATGGTTCTACAATCCTCAGCATGCTAAGCTTGTTGAGCTTAACAAAGCTTCCATTGAAGATCTGACAAAGGCGAAGAAGCTACAACACCTTTTGGACCTTTGGGCTCACATCATTGATATCTCTGATCCTGATGACAAATGCCAATTTGCGTTCTGCAGGTACATAGAAGTGGTCAGCTTTTCTTGCCATCCTAGCCATTTGAATTTCAGTTCTGTCCCATCTGCCTGTACTCCTTGTGATAGTGTTTCACTTTTTCATCAATAAGCTTCCAACTTGCCTTTGGAAGCATCTCTTGAGGCAAACTTGTTTCTCAGGTGCTTGATCTTCAGCTCTGTGAAATTCCTTTGCTTTTTCTTAAGGGTTTCTGGCACAGCAGGAAACATTTCTTCTCTTCAATAGAATTTTAACTATTCTTGCAGTTGATGCTTATAGGCAGAATAATTGAGAATCACTAGACCCCAATGCTATAAAGGTCTCTTGTGCTTGTATTTATGAACCTACTCCTGTATGAAGTCTTTGTTCTCTAGCCAAGGAAGCCTGTGTCTGCCATTTTCTGAAAACACTGCATACTTCTAGGCATCCTGTTTTCTAGGTTAGAATGGCTTCCCCACCTATCTCTGTGGGAAACCTGCCCATCATTTAAGATTCATCTATTCTGGAAAGGACTTTCTGAATTCTCTTCTTAGAATACAATTTACCTTCTTTGAAACTCTTTTAGCTCTTGCTAAAACAGGAATATAGGAAGTACAAATGGCAGTTTAGTCACTAATATTAGAATCTAGAAACAGTTAATTCACAGAAAATAATTCCTCTGCTCCTTTCCTCTGCTTTCTTCCCTAAAGGGAGGCCACTGTAGCTTTAGTCTTAGGAGGTTGGGGTGAGGATCAAAAGAATTGGGAATAATCCAAAAACTCATCCTCTACAAACCTACCCAACTTTTCAGATTTGGTCAGAAGGTGGCCTTTCTAATATATTGCAAGTAGGAAGGGTTTTGGATACAGCAATTTGAGACTGAAGAGGGATCAGGGATTGAAAATCGTGGAAGCTATGGCTTGAGTTCCTAAGGTCAACAAGTACCTGAATGACTAGAGAGCTACTGCAGGTGCTTGCAGCACCAAAATAGGTGTTTTGCAGGAGCTTGCTCAGGAGTCTGAAAGCTTTAAGAATTTTTGGAAGCAGCAGGAAATCAGCTGATTTCCAGGAACTAGCCCAGAAGGTGCTGATAATCTCACGTTTGCCATCTGCTCATGTTCTGTTAGCCCTGCTACAGAAGAATAATGGTTTCTCCTTCTCATCTTTTTTTTTTGGTGGATATTCTGTCATAATGCTTAGTAGAGTGTTAGGACATATAAATATTTTTATATTCATCTTTCATTCATTCATTTGGTTCATTCATTGCTTCAACAAATATTAATTGAATAACTACTGTTCTAAGTTCTTGGAGAATAAAACAAAGATCCCTGTCTTATAGTGAGGTTAGGCAAACAATCAGTGGTAAATTCAATAAATAAGTAAGTTATAGTAGAATAGAATGTGACAATTGCTGTGAAAAAGGGAAAAGTGAAGCAGAGTAAAGGAAGTCAGGAACGCTGTGGTCTGGGGCTGGTGGGCTCTATTCATCAGGTTGGTCACAGAAGGCCCCAAAAGAAACTGACATTTGAAGAAAGATTTGAAGGACATGAGGGAGTTAGCTATACAGACTATGTCTAGCTTCTGTCTGTGCAACAGTGACCATACTGTTATTGTCCAAGAACAGTAAGCCAAAGAAACCTGAATTAAGAGTCACTGGAAGTTGTAAAACTCTTAATTATTAAAATTGAGAACAGGTAATAATTATTAATGTTAAGAGTTTTTGGCAGAGTTCAGTCAGAATGGAGTCAGTAATTGCTGAGCAAGGGCACAGTTGCACAGGACCAAGTTGTGGTAGCTGTATTTTGTCACTCTATTCCTGGGGATCCTAAAAGTGTAACCTCCCCCAGGGACTCCTGAGAAACGTAATGAGGCCGCCAAATTCTCAAAAGTGTTTTGAACAGATACTTAGTTACTCTCAAGCCTCTTGAGGAGAAGAATGACCCTGCAACTCCTGGCTCCTTATTCCTTTTTCCCTCACAGGCAAGATGGTGGAATTCAAAAGGAAGATCAAGCTGGTTACAATTCAGCTAGAAGACCCTGGGGAGGCCACTTACCCTCTCTGAGCCTCATTATCCTCTCCTAGAAAATGGGAATATTTACCTCAAAAAGCTGGTGCAAGGGTGAAAGCAATGATAACTTTAAAGGTCCTGAAGTTTACTGCTCACCACTCACCTTCCTATGTGAATATCAGGGAGGGAAACACAATTGCAATTTATTTGATCTGTGTACAATCCCCTGAGTTGAATGGGATAGGCTAAATGTATAACTTCATAACTACTACTTTTCTCAGGCAGTGTTAAAATGTTTTTAATACTCAAAGATATTCAAAAGGTTTCCAATACTTGGGCAGAGGCATCTTCTGACCTGCTTTGGAATCTAGGCGCTGACTGCCAGGTGCCCCAATCCCAAAGCCCTGAGAAAAATCTAATTTTTCCTTCCTCTAACTATAAGCTCCAGCATGTTTGGGACTCTGTCGTTTTCCCTCATAGCATTTGCACTGGACGTTGGGATTACCTCCCCAGCATCTATTTCTCCTGCTTTTGTTAAGTACCCTGGCTTTCAGTTGAAGTATCCATCTTACCTGTTCAGCCCATGTGTTTTGGGGAAGTCTGAATTTTCAGGAGTGAGACATTTGACTTCAGCCTAAGCTCATCAGTGTAATTGCATGTCTTGTTCCATGGATTAGTTCAAATATGACCCTATAACTTAGTTATGTCAGTGAGGCACATGCACAGGCTTGTCAAGCCCTGCTGGGAAGGGTTCCTTCCTATATTTCTAATAAAACTTGCAGAAATCACATTTTATCTCTTTGCATGTGGAAGAGAGTTCCCATGAGTTACTAGCAGGCATTTGTTATGGGCTGAATTGCATCTCCCCTAAATTCATATGTTAAAGTCCTAACCTCCAGTCCTTCACAATGTGACATGCTTAGAGATAGGGACTTTAAAGAGATAATGAAGAAAAAAAGATGAGGTAATTCTGGGTGGGCCCTAATCCAGTATAACTGGTGGTGTCCTCATAAGAAGAGAAGATTAGGATACAGACATGGACAGAAAAAAAGCCATGTGAAAAAAACGGAGAAGACAGCCATCTACAATCCAATGAGAAAGGCCTCAAAATAAAATTAGCCAACACTTTGATAGAGGACTTCTAGCTTCTAGAACTGTGAGAAAGTAAATTTCTGTTGTTTAAGCTGCCCAATCTTTGGTATTTGTTACGGCAGTCCCAGCAAACTAATACAGCATCCTATAACCAGCCTTGGGAGCAAGGCTTAGGATGAGACTTCTCCTCTGCCCTCTACCACTGCTGCATTGCTGAGGCAAATAAAGTCTAAAGCTTACTCTATCACTGAGCTTTCGATGATGAAAGCAAAATTATCCTTTTTATTGCTTTATTATTTTACCTGTAATTTGTAATCAAATCCACTGTGGGTCCTTAGCACCTGGAACCATGCCTCGCCATAGTAAGTGGTTAATACTGTTTGTTGAATTACGAAAGCAAAGCAGGAGTAAATAATCACAGTATGGAATTGTCCTAAGTTGACTGTGGAAACTGAGTGAGGCAGGGAACAACAGGAGAATGGGAGTCAGCTTGTTACTATAGTCTATTTTCTACATTCCTTCTGCATGGGCCAGAAGCCAGCTATTTCTATTATTAAGTGACAAGCTGATTCATAAAGGTGACTGACACTCATTACAGCAAAAGTTGTTTAATTAGTTGGCTTCTGAAGATGTAAGAATCCCCCTCAACTTTTGCAGTTGGAAATTTCTAATTAGAATCAAAGGACCATTAGAACCAGATCAGTTCTGGCTTCCTAAAGATCATGGAGATAACCCTTGTAATTTTAGAAATGAGAAAATGAAGGTTTAACAAGGGTAAATGCCTTTCCCAGGTCACATATTGTGCTCTGAAGCAAAGGCATGGAATATAAAGAAACCCAATTTTTCTAAGAAAGAAAAAGCTTTACTGGGAGAACAGTTATTCTTTTTAGTTGAATTATTCACATAGCGATAGGACAATGCCATTTTTTCTCCTGTTTGAGAGAAACTGATTTTCTCAATGAACATGGCCCACCCAGCTCTTCTTGGTGGAGGAAACAATGATGGCATTGTGCAGCTAGTGTAGGAATAATCCAAATAAAAGATATGTGCATTTATTCAGATGTTAGCCAATTAAAAAACTTTCAGTAGATGGGTGAAACATATGAGACAGAGAGAGATTTCCTAGCATTGAGTTAAAAAGAGCACAAAAATATCAGAAAAAGAATATATATTCAAAAAAACTTTAGCTCAAGAAACCCTGAAATTTTAGCGCATATTTTGCATTCTTTTTACATTTTGGGGACACTTTGACAGTATGGAATTAAAGGTGAAAGACGAGATAATAAGACATTAGATAGGTTGTGAGAAGGGAAACACCAAGAAGCTGACAGAAATAAAAAGGCACCAGATAATACAAAGGAAGAATGTTTTAAAACTTTTCATAGACAAAGCAACCTTTAAGATACTTCAGAAACAATAAAAAGTAGAATTAGCACTGCTAATCATTGAATCAAAATCAAATTATTGATTAATAAAGTATAAATTATTCTTCCCACGTAGAAGAATAGGACCAAGATATTTAAATGATGACAGAAAGGCCAAAATTACTAACATATAGACAGACAGTTAGAGTTCCTGAAGATAAGATTAAAATAAATGGTAAGTAATCTGTATTCAAAGACATAAAGAAAATAACCTACGAATTCACATTAATCAGCAGATCAAAAGAGCATATGGCAGCTCAGAGAACTCACATAACAGACGACCAAAAAATAGACATAACCTGGTGAAAGCATGAAATCTAAAAAAAAAAAAATCAGAAACAAAAGACAAAATTGGATAACCTATCAAGAAAGAAATCTTGGACTGACTTTAGATTTTTTTTTGGTAACACAAAATACCAGAATTAAATGGAGCAACATCTATGGAGATTTGAGTTATGAATTCAAGATTTCTATACCCATCTAAATCATTATTGTTGTGGAGTGAAGAAAAAGGCTCATAAAGAAATGCCAGGTGTTTATAATCTTATCCAATGACTTCTTGAAAAAAAAAATACTACCCAAAGTACTACAGAAAGTTGAGAGCTGTGTCGAAACACAGGAACCAAGAATGGGGAAGAAAACTCTTGATAAGTATTGAAACACTCAAATATAGAAATACACATTGATAATTATTTCAAGTAAAGTCACAATGAAGAAGATAAATGCCAAAACAGTTACAAAAATGTGATATTATTTAAAATGCTTAGTTCGGTGCTTGGCAAACAAGTGCAATAAAAAGAAGATAGATAAACATAATATTAATATCACATTAGCAAAGTTTAAAGCAAAGCTAATAAATGAAAAGACTTATGTGTGTGTATGAGAGAGAGAGAGAGAGAGAGAGAGATCAACATACATACACAAACATACATTAAAGATATGCTAATCAGGAGCCTTTAGGAACCAAATAATAAACCATTGAAATGTATAAAACAAACATTGATCAAAAATACTAAAAGATGAGAGAAAGTGTGAAAGGCTTTTCTTTTCTCTCTTTTTTTTTTTTTTTTTTGATATGGAGTCTCATTCTGCTGCCCAGGCTGGAGTGCAGGAGTGCAGTGGCGTGATCCCTGCTCACTGCAACCTCCACCTCCTGGATTCAAGCGATCCTCCCACCTCAGCCTCCTGAGTAGCTGGTATTACGGGCGTGCACCATCATGCCCAACTGATTTTTATATTTTTAATAGAGACGGGGTTTCACCATATTGACCAGGCTGATCTTGAACTCCTGACCTCCAGTGATCTGCCCGCCTCAGCCTCCCAAAGTGCTGGGATTACAAGCATGAGCCACCACGTCCAACCAAAAGTGTGAAAGTTTTTAATAGCACTTTTAGTCATCTATCATACGTTAAACAGGCAAAAAATATGTATATAAAAAGAGACAATATAGAGACCATAATTAGTAAAGGCAAATTCAAAAGAATAAGTACAAATAATGCATTGAGAGACTGAACATATAGACAATGGCCAGACCATATACATAAAATAGAACTCTTATCCACAACCTGCAGCAACCAGCTCAGGAAGCCAAACAATACCACCATAGCAATTAGCCCAACAAACCCAGAACTTGGTTCATAACTGATAGCTCCTTTAATTGTTTCCCTTGCTTCTAACTTAGGACCAATAGGAGAAAGGTAAATATGCACCCTTAAGCAATCCGATAAGATGCTGTGCTTCAGGTCAACTTCCCTAGGCCAGCAGCCTCCAATCAGGGCATAGCTGAGACCCTGCCTTTTTTTCCCCCTTGCAAAGCTTTTCCACTCAGCCTTTTGAGTCTCTGTCAACACAAGAAACTGTGGGCTGACTCCCAAACTCTGAGTAAATAGCCATTGCTTGTTCTCATTTGGATGGTCTTTGTTTAATTCCACAGCAATAAATTGTGTCTTACATTTTAGTATACATTAAATATTTTTAAGATAATAATTACATATTAAACCTCAAAGACACTCTTAATAAGTTCCAAAGAGCAGAAGTCCTTTCAGAAATATTCCTTGACTACAAGGCAATAAAATTAAATGTGAATTACAAAATATTAAAGAAATGGTCACGTAGAAATTAAAAAAAGACAGCAAAAACTATTAGTTTTTTTGGGTGAAAGAGGAACTACTTCAACAGTAAAATATTTAGAAAATAAAAAATAACATGTCATATAAATTGTATGAATTCAGAAAAAATTCAGTCTTCAATATTTTCACTATGAATAAAAATAAAAATAATGTATTGAGAATGCAACTCAAAATCCAGGAAAACAAGGACTGAAATCCACACAGGAAGGTGGCAGTGAACTCCACAGACGGACCTGGACGCCTCAACACTCCTGGCCTTACCTCCCTTGCTGAACGTCTCAAGTTTCTCTGCGTTCAGGTAATGTATAGGAGGGTTATGAGGGCAGAGAATTCCTAAGCTCATTAGTAAATTGCTCTTCAGAAAGTGCTTTGAAGCAAAGCTAATTTCCTTTCCCAATATGAGAAGATTTGGCCCTACCAGAAAAAGGAAATGATTTGAATGTGCGCCAAAAAATATGTTTTCTTTCTTTTCTTTGTTGAACACTCATCGGGAGTTACTCTTATTAGTTCCGCATTTTTATTGCATTTGAATAAAACAGACAAGTAAGTCTTAAAGATGGTAAATGAATAATTTTAATTGGCACTTTAGCTCATAAAATATAAACGGTTATTAAATTCATCCAGAAAATTGTTAGAATGGAAATTCTAAGAATTACAGAATGTGCCAAAATAGTGGCTTCAAGATCTATTTTCTTTCTAACCTCAAGATTAAGTCTACAGCCAAGATTCCTAATAGAATATATAGAGAATAATTAGTTAAGATTTTTTTTTGAAGGGATCAAAATTGTGGAGAAGTGGAGGTAAAACATAGAAGAGCAAAATAAAAACACGTGCTCTATTCGAATGTTCTAAGTGATGTGTTTTCTTTTCATGAATGTGTGAATACTGCTCTGGGCATTGTAGGGGGAAAAATAAGACAATCAAGTGTGGGTTCTTCTCTGATGCGCTGGCTAAAGTGAAAAAAAAAATGCTTTATTTATTTATTTATTTATTTATTTATTTATTTTGAGACGGAGTCTTGCTCTGTCACCCAGGCTGGAGGGCAGTGGCGCGATCTCGGCTCACTGCGAGCTCCGCTTCCCGGGTTCACGCCATTCTCCCGCCTCAGCCTCTGGAGTAGCTGGGACTACAGGCGCCTGCCATCGCGCCCGCCACCACGCCTGGCTGATTTTTTGTATTTTTAGTAGAGACGGGGTTTCACCGTGTTAGCCAGGATGGTCTCGATCTCCTGACCTCGTGATCCGCCCGCCTTGGCCTCCCAAAGTGGTGGGATTACAGGCATGAGCCACCGCGCCTGGCCGCTCCTTTTGATAATAAGCAAATTACCAGTAGCTGGCTAAGTATCACTAAGGGAGGAACGGAGAGAATCTCTGCTCTCAAAAAACCAGTTATGATTCTGTAGCTACTGCAAGTCAACTAGGGTTTTGTTTACAGGGACCTTTTTGAATAAGACTTAGTGTAGGTCTATGCTAGCGGGTTCTAGAGCATTTGTCCCCCGACATTTTCCATCATCTTTTAACTTGGGTAACCAAAAAAGACATTAGCCAATTCAAAAGCCACAAAAGTGCCTTTCTTTGATGCAGTAAGTCCACTTCTATAAACTTTTTCTAAATAAATAATACAGAATTCTCATACAAATTTAATTATGAGAATGTTTATTGCAGGATTGCTAATAGCCTAAAAATGGGAGAAAAGCATAAACAGCCAGCAATAGGAACTTATCTACATAATGGGACAATCATCCAATGGATCACTGCAGCCTATGGAGGGTGTGAAAAGTGCAGTCTGCCAAGATAATAAGTCATTAGAAGAGAGCGTAGCACTCTGGAAGAAGCATTCTCAAAGCAGGCAATGGGTGGACAAAAAGAGATTTGTTGTCTAAACTTCTCAGTTCTGGATGGAAGTAAAAGTATGGAGAACAAGCTATGCCAGAGACTGTTCCTTAATTCTATTTCTCCTTCTTCCTTAGGAAAAGGAAGCTGGTTTTATTCTGGCCAATGGGCCTGGGTTAAAAAAATAATAATAAATGAAAATATTTCCCAGGCTTTTTTTCACTTAGACGTTACCATTGAGATGCAAGGAAAAACTAATGGGTGGGAATTCTGGCAATGCCAATTAAGAGGAGGACAAAGAGCTGATATGAGCCCCTCTGTCCTTCCTCCCTTCTTCCTTCCTGCTGGCTAGAATTTGGGCATGATGACAGATGTTCTAGCAGTCATCTTGAACCAACCGCCATCTGTACCATGAGCTGAACTTGAGGGTGACAGTCCTTTAATACAGTAGAAATACAGAGGAGCCTGGGTTCCCAATGGTAAGAAAATGCAGCACGAGCCCTGGATTACCTACGTCCGGACTTCTTTACATAAGATAAAAATAAATCCTTATGAACTTAAGCCAGCATTATTTGGATTTTATGTTATGTGCGCTGAATCTAATTCCAGCAGATTCATCAACTCAATAAAGAAAAGACCAAATGGAAGTAAAAATGTTCTTCAAAGAATCACTCAAGACTACTGGTCTTTAATTAGGAAGGTGTTTTCAAGATGTGGGTCATGGTGAAAAAACATCATTTAATTAAAAACATCTGTATTGCCTTACCTGACAATGCCTATTAGTTCTTATTATTCTCCCTCAGAAAAGCCAGATATAATGTCTCTGAATTTAGTTTTCTGAATGTTTGTTTCATTGCTGATGTCAGTTGAATCTTATGATTTAAGCATATAGGGGAGGAAAGAATTTCCCTGTACTCTCCTAGGTTCGATAGCTGTGTCTATGAAATAAACTGACAACAGGCAGATTAATAAGAGAGAAGGCATATTCATTTTAATATTATGTTCATGGGGTGCCACAGGAAAATAATGAATACTCCTAAAAGAGATTTGAGAGCTTACATACTGTGTTAACAGGGGATGGGGAGGGGTGATGTAAGTCACTTAGGGTGGAGTAAATGATTCTGGGGAAAGATGAATGGGTTTTTAGAAGAATCAATGGGAGATATAACAGTTTATGAAAAAGTTTTTCTGTAGGTGGTGTTGACTTCCAGTTTCCTGTTTTGTGATAAAAGTGTATCTTTGCTGATTAATAAAACTCCCAGGGAGAGGATATATGGCAATTGAATTTCTTTTGGAGGATCTGTTTTTAGGCAGCTGAGTTCCGAAAAAGTCTCTCTTGCATTTGCTGTTGAAGTGCTATCAGCTCAAAATAATCAATATATGAAAGCAGCATATTTTGGGGTGGCATGTCCTGAACTCCTTTAAGAATGGTATATGACAAAGTCTGGTCATTCTTTAAAGCAATGCTTGAGAGTCAAAGACACACCTGAGCAAAGTGTATTGTCCTGAATAAAAGAGCAAAACAAGGAAAGAGGTTTGCAGTGAAATTCAAGCCTTTTGGAGAACTTTCACTCTTTAGTAAGTTACTTGAAGGAGTTTAAATTAATCATTTCTACAGTGAATGAAATAACTATAGCAGTAGCATTCACAGCTAGCATTTATTGAACAATAATATGCCTCTTACTATACTAGGCACTTTATATTCATTATCTTATTTAATCCTCACCACAACTCCAAGAGGTATTCCCATTTTTTGGATTGGGAAATTGATATTCAGAGAAATTGTCACTTTTCATAGGTCATAGGGCTCAGAAGTAGAAATGCTGAGATTCAAACTCATGTCTGAATAACATAAAACACTGGCAAAGCAAAATGTGAATTCAAAGAGGTGAGTTTGTGGAAAATGTTATGTTTCAAAGAGTGATTTAGTATATTATTTTATAGGGGAATAGCCATTCTTGAAGGTGTGAAGTCGTATCTCCCTGATCTTTGGATTTGCATTTCCTCTAATGACTAATGCTAATGAACATCTTTTCATGCTCTTACTTGGGATTTGTATGTCTTCTCTGAAAAAAACTTCAGGCTTAAATCCCTGTGTGAGGATTAAATGAGATGATCTACAGAAAGCATGTAGCACAGAGCCTGGTGCATGGTAAACACAAAGTTTAGTTTCCATTATTGTGGCCATGTTTGCTAGTGACTTTCCCTGCCACCCTACCTTGCCTACCCAGTACAATCGTTGCACTGAGTTATACTACCTCTGCAGTATTCATCTGGGAACATCTTGCTTTCTAAACATATCCTTCCTTCCTTCCTTCCTTCCAGCTCTGTTGTTCTGGTGCTCTCGTTACATCCGCCTTATGACTTTGGGACAACCTCCGGTTCCTTGAGCTTCCACTGTCTCTATGTCTTTCTGACCTTCCTTGGTTTGCCCTCTCCACAACAAAGTTATTTTCCTTCCCTTACTGTGTTCCCAAGTTACCAGCAAAACCTGGCCATGGGTTAATTTAAGTATGTGTTTTCTCATTTCATACACCTTGGGTGGCTTTTGTAGTAATCTGCATCAAAGGTGATGGTGGCCTGAACAAAGCTAGCAGAAGAGGGGCTGTGCTAAAAGCAAAGCCTGAACTTCTTAGCAAGACATATGAAGCTCCTATTATCTCCCCACCCCACCTTTTGCTACTACTACATTTCTTCTAGCACCTCTGTTCCCTGTTACAGACTGAAGGTTTGTATTCCCCTAAAATTTATATGTTGAATCTCTAACTCCCAATGTGACTGTATTTGAACATATGACCTCTGTGGAAATAATTAAGGTTAACAAGGGTGGGGCCCTGATTCCATAGGATTAGTGAGCCTACAAGAAGAGACGGCACATAACTTGCTGTTTCTCTCTCTTTGTGCAGAGGCATTGCACAAAGGCCACATGAGGATGCAGTGAGACGGTGACATCTGCAACCCAGGAAGAGAGCCACACCATGCTGGCACCCTAATGTTAAACTTTCAGCCTACAGGACTGCGAGGAAATAAATTTCTGTTGTTTGAGCCACACAGTTTATATTATTTTGTTATGACAGTCCCTAGACTAAAACATCTCCCTTCTTGAGGCTAAGAGGAAAACACCTATAAAATCATAAGTATATTTATGAAAGCATGTTAGCATTGCAGGAATGCATTAACAATAGCAACATCATTTAATTTTTTAACTTTTAATTTAAAAAATTTTTTAGTAGAGACAGGGTCTCACTATGTTGCTCAGGCTGGTCTTGAACTCCTGGACACAGGGGATCTACTCACCAAAGCCTCCCAAAGTGCTGGGATTATAGGCGTGAGCCACCACACCTGGTCAATAACAGCATCTTTATGTGAGAACAACTCATCCATGCTAAGCTTGAGCCAGCAGCCTCTTTTAATATCATCCTAATAGAGCCAGTATCATGTCAGTGTTTCTTCCCCTCATATGACCAATTCATGGTCTTCTGATAGAACAATTCTAGAAATAAGCAGATATGAATATGTGCTTATCTTGACTTTTCTCCTTAATCAGATGGTCATCTGAAAATCATGAAGATTTCGGGTTATATGGGTTACACTTTCCATCATTTGAAAATTTTCCTTTATATTTTTGTTCTCACTGTTATGGTCTCTGAGGCGTGCAATAGTTCAGATTTCTTTAAAAATTATACTAATAAAAACAATAATAAACACATTAGGAGAAGAAAATCCTAATATAAGATATTCTTTGAACAGAAGGGATTTTAAACCTTGTCAAACATATGATTTGTCTAAACCATTGTAAATGTTAACCTCCCCAACTTCTTGGCCTCACTTCTCACAATCCACCAGTAAAGATTAATATTCTACCTCACAAATTGAAGGTGGGTTCATACTTCAGAGGTGGGCTAGAATTTTATAGTGGCACACTTTTCAAATTCTGATGTTTAAATTTTATATATCAGTTGTTGTAAGAAAGTCACCCTTGGGTCAAATCTGGCCTGCATGTGTGATTTGTTTGATCAGCACAGTGTTTGACAAAAATTGATTTTAATGTCTTTAGGCAGGGCATTCATTCTCTGGTTTTTATCTCTGTTTTCATTCTGTCTCTTCCCCTTGGCTCTTTTACATGTTTACATTCATTGCCTGCTTGATTCCTAAAGCCATTTGAGATTGCAACCCCTGCCCTGGATTAATGTGATATATTTTGTAAATAAACTTTGTATTGAAATAAAACACATAAAGAAAAGTATACAAAATCATAAGTATATAATTTGGTGAATTATTACAAGAGGAACACGCCCACGTAACTACAAGCAAGATCAAGAAATAGAACATTACTAGCTTTAGAAGCCCTCCTGTCTTTGTATTCCTTTCAAAGCAAATTCTAAGACACAGATAAAGCTACAAGTGATTCCAAGAATCACAGCAAATTTATAAACTTTTGATACACATATGTAGCTGCATTGGCTTACTTTTACTTTGTGTTTTGTTTTGTTTCATTATTTTTTATCATTTTACTTTACCATCCTTTTCCTTTTAATTTTAACCTGCATCATTTTATTTATGGTGTACACCTTTTATAAACAAATTAAAATAGGTAATTTAAAAATCTACTCTGACAATCTTGTTATTTTAATGGGAATATTTAGTCCATTTACAATTAATGCAATTACTGATACATTTGAGGTTAAGTGTACTGGCCTATTCTTCTTACTTGTTCTAATAATTCTAATATTTTTTCTCTCCTGTCTTAACTTAGATTGATTTTATATAATATGTATGTATTATAATTGGCCCTTTTTATCTGTGGGTTCCACATCCATGGATTCTATCAACTGCAGATTAAAAATATTAAGAAAGTATAAAATAACAATACAATAATAAAATGATACAAATTTTAAGAATATAGTATAAAAATTTTTATATAGAATTTACATTGCATTAGAAATTATAAGTAATTTAGAGATGACTTAAAGTATACAGGAGGGTGTATGTAGGTTATATGCAAATACTATCTATTTTATGTAAGGGACTTAAGCATCCTCGAATTTTTGTATTGGCAGGGGATTCTGGAACTAATCCTCCATGGATACTGGGGAATAACTCTATATATAAACATATATATTTGCATATTCAAATACTGCATTTTATACCTTCTTTAGCTTGCTAGTAATGTCAGTTTTCATAATTTGGGAGGATTACTTTAGAGATTTTAACACACCTCCTTGACATTAAAATCTAATAGAAATTAGTACTTTTACTACATCCAGGCAATCCAAGGACTTTAACATCTTTAACTACCCAGATCTCTTTATTTTGTTTCATTATAATCATGCATAATTTTGTTTTGAATTTTATTATGAAAAAAATCTTAAACTTACATAAAAGTAGAGAGAATAGTATAAAAAAAATAAAGAATCCAATGTACTCACCACCAACCTCCAACAGTTATCAATATCAATTTTGTACATCTATACATCTCAACCCACCCCCAGCCTCAAATTATTTTGAAGTAAATCCCAGACATGTTATCAGTTTACCTATAAACATTTTGGTATGTATCCTTAAAAACTCCTGAAGCATAAAATACATCATGAGCTAGCATAAATATTTTCATTTCAAATTCAAGATTATGGGGCTTTTACTTAGTCTTATCATTTCATGTGTTTTAATTCTCTTTATATTTGTTTGTTTGCTTGCTGTTGTCCTTTATGGTGCTTTATGTATTTGTGTTTTGATGTCTTTAAAGAGTTTGGGAAAATTATTGGCCACTATAAGTGTTGTTTCTATCCAGTCTGGGCTTTATCTTTTTCTGGGAGTCCTTTTCACTACTTCCATATGCTTTTTATTTTCTTTTTGTATTTTTTGTCCTTTCTTTTTTCATGCTTCAATCTAATTATTTTCTTTGGACCTATATTCCAGTTCAATGATTTCTTCTTTAGCTACATTTAATTTGCCGCTAAGTTTAACTATTGTATTGTAAGCTTCAGTTGTAATTGTCAGTTCCTAAATGTTTTGTTTTATTCCTTTCTAGGACATTCAATCTTCATTATTTTAAAATTTTAGATTCCAGGCATATGTGTGCAGTTTTTTACACAGGCATATTGTAATACACAGGTGTATTGTAACATATTGTAACTAGTGGAGATTGTGATTCCAGTGTACCCATTACCTAAATAGTGAACACTGTAACCAATAGGTAACTTTTCAACTCTTATTCACCTCCCACCTTTCTCTCTTTTGGAGTCCCTAGTGTCTATTATTTCCATCTTTTTATCTATGGATGGATATTTAGCTCCCCCTTATGAAGGAGAACATATGTTATTTTATTTGCTTCTGAGTTATTTTACTTAGTATAATGGCTTCTAGCTTTATCTATGTTTCTGTAAAGGACATGATTTCATTCTTTTTTATAGCTGCATAGTATTCTATGGTGTATATATACCGCAGTTTTTTTTTTTTTTTTTTTTATCAAATCAACCATTGCTGGAGACTGAGCTTCATTGCCTGACTTTGCTAGTGTGAATAGTGCTGCAATGAACATATGAGGGCAAATGTCTTTTTTATATAGTGATTTCATTTCCTTTGGGTAGATACTCAGTAGTGAGATTGCTTGGTGAAATGGAAGATCTGTTTCAAGTCTTCTGAGAAATCTCTATACTGTTTTCTATAGTGGTTGAACTAATTTACATTCCCTCAAAAGTGTGTAAGTCTACCCTTTTCTTCACAGCCTTGCCAGCATCTATTGTTTTTTGATTTTTTAATAATAGCCATTCTGACTGGTGTAAGATGATATCTCATTGTGGTATTACTTTTAATTTCTCTGATGATTAGTGATATTGAGCCTTTTTTCATGTGTTTGTTGGCTGCTAGTATTTCTAATTTTGAGAAATGTCTGTTCATGTCTTTTGCCCAGTTTTTAATGGGGTTGTTTGTTCTTTCTTGTTGATTTGTCTTAGTTCCTTGTATATTTTGGATATTAGTCATTTGTTGGAGAAATAATCTGCAAATACTTCCTCTCCAAATAGGCTGTCTATTTGTTGATTATTTCTTTTGTTGTACAGAAGCTTTTTAATTTAAATAAGTTCCACTTGCCTATTTTTGTTTCTGTTCCATTTGTTTTGGGGGTCTTTGTCATAAATTCTTTGCCTAGTCTAATGTCCAGTAGAGTTTTCCCAGGTTTTTTTCCCTAAGATTTTTAGTTTCAGATCTTACATTTAAGTCTTTGATCTATCTTGAGTTAATGTTTGTATATTGTCATAGGTAGGGTTTCATTCTTCTGCATATGGCTAGCCAATTTTCCCAGCACCATTTATTGAATAAGGTGTCCTTTCCATATTGTTTATTTTTGTCAGCTTTGTTAAAGATGGGTTGGTTGCAGGTATGTGGCATTTTAACTGCTTTCTCTATTCTGTTTCATTGATCTGTGTGTCTATTTTTGTACCAGTATCATGCTGTTTTAGTTACTACAGCCTTGTTGTATAAAGTCAGGCAATGTGGTGCCTCTGGATTTTTTCTTTTGCTTAGAATTACTTTGGCTATGCTAGGCACGGTGGTTCACACCTGTAATCCCAGCACTTTGAGAGGCTGAGGCTGGCAGATCACAAGGTCAAGAGATCAAGACCATCCTGGCCAACATGGTGAAACCCCGTCTCTACTAAAAATACAAAAATTAGCTGGGCATGGTGATGCGCACCTGTAGTCCCAGCTACTCAGGAGGCTGAGGCAGGAGAATCTCTTGAACCCAGGAGGTGTAGGTTGCAGTGAGCCAAGATCGTGCCAATGCACTCCAGCCTGGTGACAGAGCGAGACTCCATTTCAAAAAAAGAAAAGAATTACTTTGGCTATTCAGGGTCTTTTAAAATTCTATATAAACTTTAATCTTGTTTTACTAATTCTCTGAAAAATGGCATTTGTAATATGATAGGGATTGTGTTGAATCTGTAGATTGCTTTGGGAAGTATGGTCATTTTAATGATATTAAATTTTCCAATCCATGAGCATGGGATGTTTTTCCAGTCATGTGTGTTATCTACAATTTCTTTCATCACTTTTTGTAGTTGTCCTTGTAGAGATATTTCATCTCCTTGGTTAAAAGTATTCCTAGGTGTTTTATTATTTTATTTTATTTTATTTTTTGTGGCTATTGTTAAGATCAAGTTCTTGATTTGGTTCTCAGCCTGAAGACTACTGGTGTATAGACATGCTACTGATTTTTATATGTTGATTTTGTATCCTGAAAATTTATTGAAGTTGTTTGTTAAGTCTAGGAGTCTTTTGGAGTCTGTAGAGTGTTTTCTAAGTATACAGTCATGTCATTACTGAACAGAGATAATTTGGTAATTTGACTTTTTTTTCTAGTGTGGATTCCTTTCATTTCTTTTTCTTGCCTGATTGCTCTAGCTAGGACTTTCAGTGCTATGTTGAATAGGAGTGGTGAATGTGGACATCCTCATTGTGTTCCAGTTTTTAGGGATAATGCTTTCAATTTTTCCTCATTCAGTATAATGTTGGCTGTAGGTTTGTAATAGATGGCTCTTATTTTGAGGTATGTTCCTTAGATGCCTAATTTGTTGAGGGTTTTTATTATCAAAAGATGTTGGATTTTATTGACGCCTTATTGTATTGAGATGATCATATGGTTTTTGTTTTTAGTTTTGTTAATGTGGTGAATCATGTCTATTGATTTTATTGATTTGCATATGTTGAATCATCCTTGCATCCATGGAATAAAACTCACTTGATTGTGATGTATTATCTTTTTAACATGCTGTTGGATTTGGTTTGCTGGTATCTTGATGAGAAATTTTGCAACTATGTCCATCAGGGTTATTGGCCTGTAGTGGGTTTTTTTGTATTGTTGTTGTTGTGTCCTTGTATGATTTTGGTATCAGGGTGATACTGGTTTTATAGGAACAGTTAGGAATTGCTTCACATTCATGTTTTGGAATAGATTCAGTAAGATTGGTACCAGCTTTTCTTTGTACATCTGATAAAATTCAGCTGTGAATCTGTCTGGTCTTGAGATTTTTTTTGTTGGAAGATTTTTTATTACTGATGTGATTTTATTACTTGCTATTGGTCTATTCAGGATTTCTACTCTTTCCTGGTTCAATCTTAGGGGGTTGTATGTTTCTGGGATTTATCCATTTCCTCCAGGTTTTCTAGTTTGTGTGCACAGAGGTGTTCATAGTCATCTCTGATGATTTTTTTTTATTTCTATAGTATCAGTTGTAATTTCACTGCATTAGTCCATTCTCACAAGGCTATAAAGAAGTAACTGAGACTGGGTAATTTATAAAGAAAAGAGGTTTAATTGGCTCATAGTTCTGCAGGCTGTGCAGGAAGTATGATGCTGGCATCTGCTTGGCTTCTTGGAGGGGCTCAGGAAGCTTACAATCATAATGGAAGGCAAAGCGAAGAGGGAGCAGGCACATCACATGGCCAGAGAAGAATCAAGAGAGAGAGAGCAGGGGGGTGCAACACCAGATCTCACAAAAGCTCATTCACTATCATGAGGGCAGTAGGCTGGTGCCCAAGGGGGATGGTCCTAAACCATTAATGAGAAATCTGCCTCCATGATATAATCACTTTCCACCAGGCCCTACCTCCAACACGGGGGGATTGTATTTCAACATGCGATTTGGTCTAGGACACACATCCAAACTATGTCAATCATCTTTATCATTTCTGATTGTACTTAATTGAATCATCTCTCCTGTTTCTTGTTTCATCTAGCTAGAAGGCTGCCAATTTCATTTATCTTTTCAAAGATCCAACATTTTGTTTTGTTGACTTTTTGTATCTTTTTTTAAATCTCAATCTCATGTCATTGTGCTCTGATCTTTGTTATTATATTTCTTTTTTTTCTGCTTACTTTGGATTTGGCTTGTTCTCGCTTTCCTTGTTCCTTAGAGGTGTAATGTTAGGTTGTTAATTTGAAATCTTTCTATCTTTTAGTGTAAGCATTGAATTCTATAAACTTTTCTCTTAGAACTGTTTTCACTATATCCCAGAGGTTTTGGTATGTTGTATCTCTACTTTCATTCATTTTGAAATGTTTTTTATTTTTGTCTTAATTTTATTGTTTACCAAAAGGCCATTCAGGAGCAAATTGCTTAGTTTTCATGTTCTTGTGTATTTTTGAAGGTGCCCGTTGGTTTGATTTATAATTTTATTCCACTGTGGTTTAAGAAAACACTTGATATGATTTCAGTTTTTTTTAATTTATTGAGAATTGCTTTATGGCTAAGAATAAAGTCAATTTGGGAGAATGTTCCATGTACAGATGAGAAGAATGTATATTTTACAGTTATTAAATGAAATGTTCTATAAATGTCTATTAGGTCCATTTGGTCTATATATAGTTTAAGTCCAGAGTTTCTTTCTTTCTTTTTATTTTGTTTCGTTTTGTTTTGTTTTTTTAGGAGACAGGGTCTCACTCTTTTGCCCAGGCTGGATTGCAGTGGTGCTTACTGTAACCTCAAACTCCTGCACTCACACAATCCTTCCAGCTCAGCCTTGCAAGTTGCTTAGACTACAGGCATGTGCTACTATGCTTAATTAATTTTTATTTATTTATTCATTTATTTATTTTGTGGAATTGGGTCTCAGTATATTGCCCAAGCTGGTCTTGAACAACTGGCCTCAAACAATCCTACCACCTCAGCCCCTCAAAGTGCTGGGATTACAAGAGTCAGTTACTGTACCCAGAATAAGTCCAGAGATTTTTTGTTGATTTCCTGCCTTGATGATCTGTCTACTGATGTCAGTGGAGTATTGAAGACCACTATTTTTTTTCTATTCATCTTTGTTCTTATATGTAGTCGTAATTTTTGTAAATCTGGGCTCTCCAGTGTTGGTCGTGTATACTTTACAATAGTTCAATCTTCTTGTCGTTTGAACCTTTTATCATTATATGATGCCATTCTTTGTCTTGTTTTTTTATTGTTGGTGGTTTGATGTCTGTTTTATCTAATATAAGAATGGCTACTCCTGCTTGCTTTTTTTCCCATTTGCATGATATATATTTTCCCACCCCTTTACTTTGAGTCTATAGCTGTCTTTAGTCAGTAAGTGGATATCTTGTAGGTAGCAGATAGTTGAGTCTCTTTTTAATCCAATTTTCCACTCTATATTTTAAGTGGAATATTTAGGCCATTTGCATTCAAGATTAATATTAATATGTGAGGTTGTGTTCCTGTCACAGTGTTGTTACTTGGAGTTTCAATTGTGTTGTTGGTTTACAGGATCTGTGAGCTTTGTATCTGTGTGTCCTTTTATGATGATGAGTATTGTTCTTTTGTTTCCATGTTTAGAACTCCTTTGAGCATATCTTGTAAGTCTGGTCTAGTATTGACAAATTCCCTTAGCATTTATTTGTCTGGTTAAGACTTGATTTCTTCTTCATTTATAAAGCTTAGCATGGCAGGATGTGAAAATCTTGGCTGGCACATTTGTTCTTTAAGGAGGCTAAAAATAGGCCCCTGATCTCTTCTGGCATGTAGGGTTTCTGCTGAGAAGTCCACTATTAGTCTTATGAAATTTCCTTTATAGGTGATTAGACACTTCTCTCTGGGCACTCTTAGGATTTTTTCCTTCATGTTGACTTTGGATAGTCTGATGACTATACGTCTTGGTGATGTTCTTCTCACGATGTGTCTTCTAGGAGTTTTTTGAGTTTCTTGTATCTGGGTTTCTAAATCTCTCCCAAAACCAAAGAAGCTTTTCTGAATTATTTCCTCAAATAGGTTTTCCATACTTTTTCTTCTTCACCCTTTGAAATACCTATAAATTGTAGGTTTGGGTGCTTTACATAATCCCGTATTTATCAAAGGCACTAGGCATTTCTTAAAATTCATTTTTCTGTATATTTTTCTTACTGGTTTAATTCAAAAGATGTCTTCTAGTTCTGAAAGTCTTTCTTCCACTTGGTCTAGCCTATTGTTGAAGCTTTCACTTTTATTTTGTTTTTCCTTCAATAATTTTTAAATGTCCGTTTCTTTTATTTTAGTGGTATCTATCTCTTCTTGCATGTCCTGAATTGTTTTCTTTGTGTTGGTTTTCAATTTTTTCTTGGATCTCATTGAGCTTTTTAAAAATCAATATTTTGAGCTCTTTACCTGATATTTCAAATATTTCATCTTGGTTAGAATCCATTACTGGAGAGTTAGTGTGATCCTTTGGGGGTGTTGTAGCACTCTATTTTATTCATACATTCCGAGTTATTTCTCTGGTTCCTTCTCATCCAGATAAGCTATCTCTTCTTATTTTTTTTTAAATTTGCTTTTATTTGGATGTGACTTTTTTCCTCATCTGAGGAGATGTCTATAGTTTATGTTGTGTAAGGTCCTTTGGATTTGGTTCTGGGTGCTTTCAGTGGCAACGAGTCTGTATAAGCGTTTCTTGGTAATGGGTAGTCTTTGTATGGTGGCTTTCCCAAATGCTGGTTGTAGTAGCCGTGTACTGGGTATGTGAGGAGGCTCACTGCCTCCTATAAGGCTGGGTGGCAGAGGTCTCAGGAGGCTTATTACATTTTCCAGTGCTGTGCAGTTATGTCATCAGATTTCTTTTCTTTTCCTTTTTTTTTTTTTAATTTTTTTTAGAGACAGGGTCCCACTTTGTTACCCAGATGGGAGTGCAGTGGCATGATCTTGGCTCACTGCTGCCTTGACCTTCTGGGCACCAATAATTCTCCCACCTCAGCCTCCCTGGCAACTGGGACTACAGGTGTGCATCACCATGCCTGGCTAATTTTAAAAATTTTTTGCAGAGATGGGGGTCTCACTATGTTGCCCAGGTTGGTTACGAATTCCTAAGCTCAAGTGATTTGCCGGCCTTAGCATCCCAAAGTGCTGGGACTACAGGCATAAACCACCATGCCCTGCCTAGATTTCTTTCTTTCTTTTCTTTTCTTTTTTTTTTTTTTTTTTTTTTTTTTTTTTGAGACAGAGTCTGGCTCTGTCATCCAGGCTGGAGTGCAGTGGCACAATCTCGGCTCACTGCAAGCTCCACCTCCTGGGGTCATGCCATTCTCCTGCCTCAGCCTCCCGAGTAGCTGTGACTACAGGCGTCCACCACCACACCCAGCTAATTTTTTGCATTTTTAGTAGAAACCGGGTATCACCGTATTAGCCAGGATGGTCTCGATCTCCTGACCTTGTGATCTGCCCGCCTTGGCCTCCCAAAGTGCTGGGATTACAGGCGTGAGCCACTGTGCCTGGCCCCAGATTTCTTATTGTATTGTGCAGTTCAACCTCCAGGCCAGTAGGTGAAGCTTATGGATAAAGTTCAGCTGCAGCTGACTCAAATGGATATATACTTGATTCTTGTTTACTGGGAGAAGTTCTGCTGACTTGGGCAATGGGCTGATCTGTGAAATGCACAGTGGTCTGAGCTCCCTGCTTAGTTCTGGAGTGGGGGCCAAGATGGGTGGGCTAGACTAAGCAAGCTCTCCTACAGTTCTCCCAATGGCAGGCAGAAGCATTAGCTCTGAGGCAGGGTCTGGTGGGCAGCTGCCAAGTGCCTGGAGATGTGCCTAGGCATAGAGTCTGGAAACCTCCACTGTCCCAAGTTCTCTGCACAGGAAGTGGGGGAAGCTTAAATTCCTAATCTAGAAGAGTTGGTGCTTCAAATGCCTGGAAATATGTCTGGGCATCGAGTGCAGAGAGCTTTGCTCTACCAAGATCTCTGCACGGAGGGGCAGGTCATGCTTCTAATTTAGACAATCAGGTGTGTCAAATGCCTGGAAATATGCCCCAGCAAGGTGGAGAGAGACCACTACTGCCACAAAGTTTTCCTGGGGAATGTAGGAGTAGCTCAAGCTCCTGATCTGGAGGAGCAGGTGCACCTCGAGTTGGGTGATATGTCTGGGGAAAGAGCAGAGAAACTGCAGCCACAAGGTCTTTGCATGGGAGGAAGAGGTGGCTCAAACTCCTAGTCCATTGGGGCAGGTGTGTTAAATGGCTGGAATTACATCCAGGTGTGGAGTGGAGGAACTGCCACTACACCAAGTTCTTTGTGTGGAAAGGGAGTTCTTTGTGTGCTCAAGCTCCACTGTTAAGGGGGCAGGTGCACCAAAAGCCTGGAGATAGGACATTCAACCTTCAATCTTATTTTGTAGCTTCTAAACAGATGAGCAACAGTTATAAATTCTGTATCTTGATAATGCCAATAGATGGATCTCTTGTGCAACTCTTCGTTATCTATTTTTCTCCTCGTTTTTCATCAATTATTGTATTGTTGCCTTCCTGGTTATTTTTTAATCAAGTGCTGAACGTTGTGCATGGAAAATTATAGTTAATTTGATGATGGGATAATGCCTTCTTCCTCCAAAGAAGATTTATTTTTGCACTGGCAGATGGTTTGTGTGCATGCAGAGGTAGATCATCTGATTTCATTCAGGTTTTGGGTTGTATTTAATTTTTTGGTGAGGGCTGATCCATTTTTAGTTCACTCTTACTTGTAGGTTGTATCTTTTCAGCAGTACCAATGGAAACCCTGGAATGTTTATCAAAGCCAGTATGCTTTGGCAAATTAATTTTTGCCCCATCAGTCCAGTGAAACTGCCCAAAGCTCTACTCAGGTTTTCAGCCTTCCAGTTTCTGCTTTTAAATCAGCTAATACTTTAAGGGGATAGTGGTGTCAAATAATGTATTTATCTCATAAAATTTTCTGCTCTATGAAATCTTGGCCCCTCAAGTCTTAATTGTCTTTGGCAGCTATGTGATACCTTCTAACAAATGTTTAAATTTTGTCCAGCTTTTCTAATTATTGTAGGTAGGCGTATTGGCCTAAAACCACTTCAAAATTTTTGCAAGCACAGCACATAATATATGATATGGTTTGACTCTATGTCCCCACCCAAAACTCACCTTGAATTGTAATAACCCCCATGTGTCAAGGGCAGGACCAGGTGGAGGTAATTGGATCATGAGGGCGGTTTCCCTATGCTGTTGTTGTGATAATGAGTGAGTCTCACAAGATCTGATGTTTTATAAGCATCTGGCATTCCCCCTGCTTGCCCTCACTCCACCTTGCTGCCTTGTGAAGAAGGTACCTGCTTCTCCTTTGCCTTCTGCCATGATTGTATTAATAAGTTTCCTCAGGTCTCCCTAGCAATGCAGAACTCTGAGTCAACTAAACCTCTTTCCTTTATAAATTACCCAGTCTCGAGAATTTCTTCATAGCAGTGTGAGAACAGACTAATACAACATACTATTGAGTTATCACTGTATATCTTATGGTTTTATACAATTTAGAATAATTTATTTTTAGCCATGACATATGTAACTATAAATATGAATGTGTATTTTTCTTTGTCTGTTTATCATTGTAACTAGTTCCAGGGTTCTTTTTTAGGGAGCAACTTCCTTTGTTAAAAAAAAAAAAAGCCTGATACTTGTTTTTTGGAAGTTGTGGGGTCTCTGAGATCACGGTTTGGTAGTGGTAAGAACAAAGCAAAACAAAAACAGAGGAAAGTATTAAAATTTTTTGGCACAAGATACTAGACATTTAGAAGAGAGAGCAGAATAGTGAGGCTGAAGCAAGGTAAAACTGAGACATTTCTTTTTTTTTTTTTTTTTTTTTGAGACGGAGTCTCACTCTGTCGCCCAGGCTGGAGTGCAGTGGCATGATCAAAATGAAACATTTCTGATGTCAGCTGAATGTTCTGAGAAAATGAAATATTTGCTCTTAAGATATTTACTTTTCTGTGATACAATATCATTATATTACCTGAAATATTCAGAAAAGTCCTTTAAACAAAGAAAGTCATACTTTTGTGGATGATTTTAAAGAAAATAAAGGAAAGGAGGGTGCTTTGAGTGCCTCGTTAGGGACAGCATGAAACAACCGCAAAAAAAGAGGAGCTCAGAAAGATGAGATACTGGTGAGAGAGAGCAAGAATTTAGTGGAAGGAGGAAGCAAGAAGCAAAAGAGAAGTAAAAATATAAATTCCACAGAATTTGAAGAAATCTTAAGGAGGACATTGACATATGATGGGGGACTCAAACCACATTTTTATATATGTCTCAAAGCACAGGGCCCCTCAGTTGATGCCTGGGTAACTTCTATATGCATACTCAAGACTCAGGTATGTATTCTCACCTCCTTTACCAAAGGATCTGTGATCATGCTAAAATGTGTATGAAGGAAATTTCAATAATATATAAATTCAATCTCAGACCATTGAGCTTCAGTCTTAGACCTTTGGCAATGTTTTTCATTTCAGGAATTCTTCATTTAAAATGCTTCTGACCTGACCCCTAGAGTTTTTCTAGAAACAATTAACAAATAAAAACACTGTCCAGGAGATGTACATGAAATTAAGCCCAGATTAATACAACGATGATGAATTAGAACATACAACTTTTGTCTTTGATAATATGTAGTGAATTTTCAATTATCATTTGTTTATTGTTTATGAAAAAACTTTAAATTTCAAGCTGATATTCTTGCCACCTCTAAATCCTTTCATTCTGAAAGAATATGTAGTTCCATACAACATGCATTACCACACTGTAATCGAAGAAATATAATGAAAATAAGCTGTGGCATCCTCATCCAGGGATATTTGCCTCTAAGCATTTGCTGGATGATCCTAATTACCTCTACTTCTACGGTTATAGGAGTGAAAAATTGGAGTTCTTGTTGGTAGGAAAGATTGAAGAAACTTTCCCCCATCCCAGGTTCCATCTTCAGAACTCTTGCTCCTTTTACCTTCTCTGTATTTTTCACTGGTGCCTTGGATGTTTACCCTGGCCACTGCAGCCCAGCTCAAGCAGGTGGGCTTGTTATACTTTGTTAGAAAGAAAAAGGGGAATTTCAGGTTACTAACAATGTATGGCTAAGATTCTCTTGTAAGTTACAGTGTCATAAATTTTTGAAATATTATGGCTCAAGACTAAATTCTAAAGAGCTCCACTACCATTACTACAGCTGAGATAACAGTACAGGTTGAAATGTACCAAATAGCCCTTTCTGAAAGTCATTTGCCGTCACTCCTTGTAAGCATTTAATATTTAAATTTTTCCTTTTGCATTTTTTTTTCTATAGTCTGATCCAAATTAAGCTAATATAACAGCCATCTTGCTCCCAGAGCTTAGGACTCCAAGTGTGGCTTATGCTGGACCTTCTGTGAATCTCATTTTCTCACTTTCTTTCTGGCCTGTAGAACAGGACTCTTTCCCTGGTTGTGTTTTTCTTTTCCTTTTGAACATGAGCTCTACTCATGTCTTTGGGGCCCTAACTTTCACAGATCATTTTCTTCCTTGAGAATATTTCACCATTCCTCTACTAGGTGTGCTGTGCTCACTCTTCTACTGAATGGTCATTTCCAAAGTCTACACTTAAGCATCCCGATCCTTGAGATTATATTACTTCATTATACTACCCCCAGTAGTGGTGTTACACATCATTTGCATTTCAAAAGCAATGTCCACAGGCTTTAATCTGCAAAGTACTCAAGACTTAACATTAATAATTTAATAGAGATAGTGCTGGTACATTTTCTGGGATGTATTCCTTAAGCTTATAATGCAGGATGATATGGTAATATCACCTTAGTGAACTATGGAGGCTACTGTGTATAAAAACAGGGAAACCCTATAGAACCATTTGGTGATACTGATAATGATATTTCCATTAGTGTAGTGAGTTACTTTTATAATGAAATCTTAGAGGCATTCATATGTGTTAAGTATGCCAGAGGAAATATTCAAATATAGGTTTTATATTCTTTCAGAAATTATTCCCAAATTGACCGATGCGTTACATTTTTTTTTTTTTGATAAAATTCATTAAAAGCAGGAAGCCATAGGGACTTCACATATAGCTTCCTGCCTCTCACTTGCATAGTTACTTACCTGTGATGGCCAGCTGAGTCACAAAGAAGGTCATTCTTGACTTCTTCTTTCTCCTCCATGTGGAAAAAAGCACAACGGAGTTTCCAACAATGGTAAAAACAAAGAGGACCCACAGAGTTATCAATTGCTCAGTCTGCAAGAAACAGAGAAAAATAAAACCAGTGTACCAGTGAGAACTGGAGTTCTTTACAGAATGCCTGCCCCAGGCTGGATTTCTTCCTCCTAGCCACATATCCCTACTTTTGGAAGCTCTACTCTCAAGAAAACAATGACAAAATGGTCTTCATTTACACCAGCTGCAGAGTAAATTAATGCACCTTTTAAAAATCTTTTGGAAATATACGTCAAGAGACAAAAAGTTTGTATTCTTTGGTCAGGTAATTGTAACACTATGTGAAAAGTAGGTCAAGATGTGAAAAAGAACACCCCTGTCAGAAATATGTCCATGTTTATTATAAAAAGAAATTAGAAATTGTTTAAAGATAATAGGGTAGCTAAGTAAATAAAGCACTTCAATTCAGTGAACTATTACAGCATAGCTATTAACAATGACAACCATGAAGACTATGTAGCAATATTAAAAATACCTATAATGGTAAGTGGGAAAACATGATAAAATCATATACTGGGTATGATTACAACTCTGTAAAATTATATACATAGCAAAAAGGCTGAAATACAGTAAAATGTTAAAAGCAGTCATATTAGGGTGTAATTATGGGTTATCTTTTGTTCATTTGACAGAATTTTATAAGACAGTAATATTAAAGTTCTACTGAAGAATGTTTCTGTGGTTTGAATGTGTCCTCCAAGGGTTTATATGTTGAAATTTAATCCCCAAAGCAATGGAGTTAAGGTAGAACCTTTAAGAAGTGACTAGGTCATGAAGGCTGTGCCCTCATGAATAGATTAATGTTGTTATTGTGGGAGTGGATTAGTTATTGCAGGAGTGGGTTACTGATAAAGGAATGAGTTCAGTTCCCCTCCCTTGTCCCTCTCTCACCCTCTCACTTTCTGCCATGGAATGATGCAGCAAGAAAGCCCTCACCAGATACCAGCACCTTCCCAGACCCTGGCACTGTAGAAATAAATTACTTTTCTTTATAAATTACTCAGTCTTGGGTATTCTGTCATAGCAGCATGAAACAGATTAAGATAAATGATTAATTAGTAAAAAAGAAAAAAGCGAGAATGCTATGAATCTGACAGTCCTTCTAAGAAATATTTTTTTTTTTTTTGTGACAGAGTCTCACTCTGTCACCCAGGCTGGAGTGCAGTGGCATGACCTTAGCTCACTGCAAGCTCTGCCTCCCAGGTTCATGCCATTCTCCTGCCTCAGCCTCCCAAGTAGCTGGGACTACAGGCACCCACCACCACGCCCGGCGAATTTTTTTTTGTATTTTTTAGTAGACACAGGGTTTCACCGTGTTAGCCAGGATGGTCTCAATCTCCTGACCTAGTGATCCACCTGCCTCAGCCTCCCAAAGTGCTGGGATTATAGGTGTGAGCCACCGCACCTGGCCTTCTAAGAAATTTTTTATGAGCATCTTCATGAGTCCTACACTTTATCAATCTGATATTTAGGCTCTCCATCCTGGATTTACAGATCAGTTTCTGAGATCCTAGGTGGAGGTCAGGGCCTTGGAACTGCAGAACTGTGGAAATGAGGATAGGCATTGTGGTGATGTGGGGGGAGGATGAGGGCTGTACAACTAGAGTGGGAGGATGACAGGGTTGGAGAGCTCTGCAGATATATCGTGTCCAGCATACATATGTCACTTCCCACTTGGAGGCAGCATCTTTGCTCAGCTTCAAGCCACACACTTTTTCTCTGGTTCTTTGATGACTAGAGGGGTCATATCCTGCATAACTCATTTCTCTAGCAGTCTTGAAATGGGTGATAAAGCATCAAGAATAAAAACTAATTGTTATGCAAAGGACCGTACTGAGTGGAGGGAGTGAGTTTTTGTAAGAGAATTCTCCCATTTGAGATAGATGGACAACAGTGCTGTCAGTAGCAGACACAGCAGGAGAGGCCTTTGATGTCGTAGACTGACACTTCCCATTCAGGTGGTGTGCCAGCAGTGGGACATAAACAAGTGATTTGAATTTGGAGGACCTCTCTTAAAAAACACTGGAACAACTTGCAGACTAACCTAAGCAGCCAGGTGGCTTGGAAGTCTCCATCAGAAGGTCTCACTGACACCATGGTGCTGACAGATGAAACAGTTGAGGGACAGGGTTGGGGATAATGTGTCTATGTTCCTCAAATTGTTCTAATATAATATTCTATCAGGGAGGACGATGGTGCCCTGGGGGTGTCTAGGTTCAGGAAAGAGCCCATCAAGCAGGTGGCCTGGCAGGTAAGGTATGACAGAAGGCCATCAAATACTTTCAGTCTCTGGAATGAGCTTTGGTGTGAATGGCCCAGGGCAGTGCTGTGACACAGGTTCTGGGCCAGCCCTCCTGTGCCAAGCTCTTCAGTAGTTCTCTTTCTTCCCTATTCCTTGTTAACATTCTGAGTCTTCTAGGGAAGCACCCCAATTTTCCAGAAGCTTTTCCACCTGTGTAGCATGAGCTTGGCTATGAGCAGCTGCACATGGCAGAGGCCTTTGGAAAGTGCTTCTCAAAGTATGGTCCATGGCTAGGGTAATTATGTAACCTGGTTTGCCTAGGATAGTCCTAGTTGTCAACTGCTGTCCCAAGATAATTATTTAAATTGCCCTTTCTCTCTCAAAAAGTGTCTTTGGTTGGATAGTCAATTATATAATCACCCTATCCATGGTTCCCAGTGAGTGGGCTCAAAATATCATAGCCCAGTCTATATCAATCCCTAAAGGTGAATTACTCTCTCTCTCTCTCTCTCAGCTTTGAAAGATTTAGGGGATTTAGAGGTTTGGGTTAGTTCATGATGTGATATGGGGTCCCTGGAGACCTTTCCAGAACTGTGCTCATTGAATATGGCACTTCAACGCTAGAGTTAAAGGAGTTCACAGCTCTAGTGGGTCACCTATATCTACTTCCGCAACCCCATGCTGGAGGCTGGGATGGCCTCACCTTTCTGGCTAAGGCCACCCTACATGTCTTTGGCACTGCTAGGAGGCTGAGGAAGTGTTTCAGCACACTATCCAGCTGGAAAAGAGGTGCTATCTATCTCTTCCGCTGCTGCTGTTCATCCACGTGGGAGAAGAAACTGAATCCACAAGGCCCTGCATACCTCTACTTACCTTGTAGTTGCCTGATGTTGCAACATGTTCATGGATGTAGGGTGAAGGGTGTCCTGAGGTCAAAGTTAACAGCAGTTGACTGGAGCTAAAACTGTCAAAGGGGCAAAGTTCCATCCTCACCCCTGTGCCCAAAATGACAGGAAAATACAGCTGTGCATCAATCTTCTATGGCCCCTGCCAGCTGGAACCATCCTCCAGGAATGGGTAACCAAAAAGAATGTTGGCATTTCCCATCCTAGTAAAGGGAAGATTGAGACCCAGCTCTCCCTCAGGTTGGGACTTGGTCTGGGGATGGAGGCAGGGCAGAACTTGAGCCTACAGAATGAAGAGCTGAAAGGGTCCCAAAGGATTGTGTCAAGAAGTGGAAGAAATCAAGAGTTTAGGACTATGCAGACGATCTGCCTGACACAAAATATACAACATAAAAAGTGCACAATATATATACATACACATTACTTAGTAATCATAGAGTAAAAGCCCATATAATTATTACCAACATCATTAAAAAAAAAAAAAACCTTTATCAACACCAGAAAGCCCTTCCTGTGCCCCATGTAAAACTCTATTCTGTCTCTTCTAGAAATTACCTCTAACCTGATTTCTACTTATTTAATATTTACTGTTACCACTTATACATGCATCCAAAAAGAGTGCTGCCTGTTTTCCAGCTTTATAGAGTAGTTTTATGCTATGTGTTTCTTTTGTCTTGACTCTTTGGTTTATGATTGCAATATTCGTTCTTGTGATTGCAAAGAGCTGCAGGTTTTTCATTTTTATTCCTATATAGTACTCCATGGTGTGACTATGCTGCGATTTATTGATCTCATGTATTTGATAGACAGTTGGGTGGTTTCCAGTTTGAAGCTATCAGAAACAATGCTATAGGGTACCGTACTTTTTTTCTCTAGTACATATTCTAGGTATGGAAATGCTGGGACATGGGAGAAACAAATCTTAAACTTGACTAGGATATGCCATGATGCTCTCTTTAGTGGTTCTGGGTAGCTTTACAGTTTTCTTCACATTTTTTATTCCTAAGTGTTTTATATTTTAAAATTTCTATTTTAAATGACATATTTCATTTACACCATTGTATTTCTCTAACTGGGTAATGTTGGTTTATATAAAAATAACTTACTTTCATATATGTACTTTGAAGCCAGCCAAGATATAAATTGTTTCACTAATCTTAATTGTCATTTCATTAAGTCTTTTGTATTTTTAGTGGAGATTATCATATCAATGGCAAATAATTTTCTTTCCGACTTTCAAAGATTATTTATATTTCCCATTTTTTTGCATTGGTTAGAAGTTTCAGAACAATGATGAGGTTATAATATGATAGAAGGCATTCTTGTTATGCATAAAATCAATAAGGTTTTCTCTGGTGGTTTATCTATTATGGTCATATCATGTGAGCTTTGTAAATATTTGCTATGCAATTCTTTACATAACATTTCTGCAATTATTTTTATACTGTTGATGAATTATCTAGATAAGATCAATTTTTGATATTTTTTATCTCATTTGTGATCAATTTTAACATTTTGTATTTAGTATTAGGATTAGTTTATTTCTAACTAGTAGTAGCACCATTTCAGTTTATACTTATAAATAAAACTGTTGCATATTATTATTTAAATGATTTCTATACTAATTTTAAAGTTTACCTTTTATTACTAATAATTTTTGTTTACACATTTTAATGAAATATTTTTATTTGGCTTGTGATTTTATGTCTATTTCATCTTCAATTACATAACTTACAGTAAGTCCTCACTTATCATCATCAATAGGTTCTTGGAAACTGTGACTTTAAGTGAAACGAACTAGCAGGCCCAGAATAACATCATTTCCTTCAACATTATGCCATTGATAAGAAAAAGAAAAATCACTGGTTTTATTATATGTAGTTTCGCTTAAAGTCACAGTTTCCGAGAACTTATCAAAACACTCGGATGATAAGTGAGGGCTTACTGTTCTTTTCTTTCATAACTCTTTTTGCCTTGAACTATTTCCTAATATTAATTTTGCCATACTTGATTGAATCATATTTCTATTTTAATGGTATATCTTTGTTTATCTATATATTTCTAACTATGTTGTTTCATTTGCTACCAAGTATTTCTCCTGTAAGTAGAATATAATTTTTGTTTTTGACTTAAACTGACAGTCTATTTTTAATAATGACACTGATTCATTGTAATTTATTGTGTAACTGATATGTAAGATCTTACAAGGTTTTTAAAGTTTGTTTTTGTACTTTAAAAATATTTTCTTTGTCATTTGTGTTTTTATTTTAATTTGTTCACTAGTAATTTGAAACAGTTATTCTCTTTTATCGCATGTTAACTTTAAAAAATTTAAGACATTGAATGCTTAATTTTTAAGTAACCATTAAAAATCATTCAAATTTGACTTCACACTGAGAAATAAAATTAATTAAGAGGCTTTAAAACTATTTTATTTCCCCAACCCCAGGTTCTGTTAAAATAATCTGTGATTTTAAAATTTAGATTATTAGCATATTCTAGTATAACATACTTCTCTTTTCGGGAGATCATATTCTGCTTTCCATTGTTTACAGTGAAGTTTATAAGAATTTCTTTTTTTTTTCTTTTTTCTTTTTTTTGAGACAGAGTCTAGTTCTGTCACCCAGGCTGGAGTGCAGTGGCGCAATCTCGGCTCACTGCAAGCTCCGCCTGCCGGGTTCACGCCATTCTCCTGCCTCAGCCTCCCGAGTAGATGGGACTGCAGGCAACCACCACCATGCCCAGCTAATTTTTTGTATTTTTAGTAGAGACGGGGTTTCACTGTGTTAGCCAAGATGGTCTCGATCTCCTGACCTCATGATCCACCCTCCTGGGCCTCCCAAAGTGCTGAGATTACAGATGTGAGCCACCGCGCCCGGCCACTGTGTCCCTTTTCTTAATGCAATGTCCTTTCAAGCTCTGCTGAGAATACAAGTAAGAGATTTTCCAAGATTTACTCCTGTTTCTTTTAGGGGATCTGTTTCATAAAGAGAAGCATGTTAATGCCTTAAAGCAATTTCTTCTTTAAAAATTGCAATTAGCTGGTCGTGGTGGTGCGTGCTTGTAGTCCCAGCTACTCGGGAGGCTGAGCCAGGAGAATCGCTTGAACCCGGGAGGCGGAGGTTGCAGTGAGCTGAGATGGCGCCACTGCACTCCAGCCTGGAGATAGAATGAGACTCTGTCAAAAAAAAAAAAAAAAAAAAAAAAGAATTGCAAAGCCTTGTATCATATCCAGCATTTTTTCTGAGCCTGGATGGTGCTGGGGGATGGTTTATTTCTTGCACTTGTCCAGAACTGTATTGGTCTCTGTTGAACTTTCATTCTTGGATGAAGAAGGAAGAGAAAAGTTAAAGCACTTGTGATGTTTCTTTGCCAGATCAGAAATCCACGTCTCCATGGTGGGAGAGGTGAGAACAATGTCTGGGAGCAGCCAAAGAAGGAGGCAAGGGTGGAATGTGAGGAAGATAGTAGATACAGGACTGTTTTCCTTACTGAGGCTCTGTCTTCACTGGCACCATCCATGGCCTCGCCCAAGTTTTACTTAGCCAGCTGTCCACACTCCTTTAGCTGGGAGAAGGCACTGGCCAAAATCCTTTTTTGTGAGGTCTGCAGCATTCAGTAAACCTCCCACAGAAATTTGCTCACTGGAGATGGCCCCAGCCTCAGTGGATGGACTCTGAGGAGTGGAATCCCCTGGGGCTGGTCTCTTCTCTACTGACCTCCCCAGGAAGGCCTTTACTTCCTGTCAGAGAGCAGACGAATCTGTTGGCCCCTCCCTCAGAATGTCTTACCTACTCTACACCTTGTGGGCATTCCTCCAGTTTTCCAGCAGGTGGAAGGGAATAGGGAAGTCATCGACCTTCCCTATTTTCTACTTCTGATATGGAAGCCTTTTCAACTGAAATTACATTCTGATAGCCTTTTGGATGAGAATTGGAAAGAGGAAGAGAATAAAATCAGTGAACTCAGGGTAGTTTTGCATTGGAAGTCAACGTTACATTTTCAGACTATATCTCTCTTTCATGTTCTCCTTTCCTCATATAAATACAGGCAGGCCATGTTTCCAGAAAATCAATGCTGAAGTGAGTAAATGGTCTGCTTTTCACATAGAGCGTCGGCATTGATGACTCTGGCAGCAAAGTTCACATTTCCAGAAATGAAGTTTCTGCCTAATGGAAGAGGCTTCTGGTCCCCAGTGGGCAGAAAATGGCTGCCTTCTTCATCTTTGTAGAGTACAATCCGAGCCAAGGGATCCAGTCTTTTCAAAGTAGTCCCGGGGCTCAGATCTGCATTGTTGGAAGTTCAGAGTGACAAACACTGCATATCAAATCACCCTGGTTTGATGTATCAGTGAATTGGAAATCATTCCCAGGGGCTGGTGAGTCAGTGATCCCTTGGACTGGGCTTTTGTTCTTGGACTATGCTTTGGGATGGTAAGTCCGAGGAGCTCTGTAAACAGGTTGGAGTCTATTTTCCTTTGATTGGCTGATGTCTCTAGGGCAGGCTGAGCAAATCCTATAAATCAAACCCTCCCCACCTCCACATCTTTTGGAGTTTTCTGTTGGAAGATAATCTCACCTTACTTCATAGGCTTCAGAACACTTCCAGACATAGGAAGCCTCCCCGGGCAAATGCTTTTGGGGTCTTCCTAAGAGCCATGTTGATTTATCTGTTTATGAATTCATCTAACATCTATTAATTTCCTACTCTATGCCAGACACAGTGTAAGGCGTTGGTGCTACAAGAGAATAAAACAGGTAGAGTGTGTAAGTTATACTCAGTCAAATTTAAATCCTGTTTCACTGACTAGTACAAGGGTCATTAAGTATGAAAACACTCAGCTGCTTGCTCCTTTATTCGCAGCCGTATTATGCGTGCATGTCCCCCTCCCCACCCACAGGCACACAGAGACACACACAAATCCCAGGATAATCTGGAGAGTCATGGTAATGGGGACTGAGGAAACAATTTCAGAGGAGTGAGAATATCACAACTAGGTGAGCCTCGTGGACGAAAAGTTGATAGGCTTTGAAAGCAACCTGACCTGGACTCAGTTTTTGCTACTTGCTGGATGTGTGATAGGTTGTAAGTGATAACCTCTCTGACCTCTTATTTGTAAAATGAGGATGAAGACAAAACCTATCTCAGGATAGTTGTGATGGGTAGATAAGATGATGAAGATGGAGATTTTTAGCTCAGTGCCTGTTACATAGTAGATATGCAATAAAAATTGGTTTATCTCCTCCCTTAGGTTTGTGGACTACATATGTACATTTGAGGGGTGATAACTAACTCACTGCCTTTTCAGAGTGATGCTTGAATTCACCCTGTTCACCCTATTTTCGGTACCAGTCTATCGGAATTTCACTAAGCCTAAGAAGCATTCTCCCTACCCACCCCCCACCACACTGTGCTGATGGTGTCCCAACACAACCCCCAAACTATTGCAGAATATAGTTGGGCATAAAATGCCCCCTAGTGGTGATGTGAGGCAAAATTCCAGCCAGATGGTCCAATACTGAGTGGAAATAAGAAATGTATTTAAAATGTTTCAATAACTAAAGATTGGCCTGTTCTCAGCTCAATTACATGGTTGCTGGCACATGACTGATTGGCTTTTCACCTCAAGTTAGTCAGGCTACACAGTGACATCAGTTTTCTGCAGACTTAGAGAATTGCAAATTGGGATTTAGAAAGATGAATTGCAGGGTTCCTTTGATGATGGTGATGCTGCCACAGGGCTGATAGCTGGGATGTGGCTCCATGAGCCATGCTTCCAGAGCCAAAAGGATGCCCATGCTGGCAGGCACTAAGCCTGGGTCACAACTCCACCCCTGGCATCTGTCTGGCCCGTAGAAGGTGCTTAATAAATCTCTGTCAGATGGAAACTTGGTTGATGACAAGTGCAAAGCTACTTACAAGAATCACAGAAAAGGTCATTTGAAATGGGAATTATCTCAGGAAATACAAGACATTAGTTACTCTAGTTGATTCTGGATCTGTCAGGCTAGTCTGGATTTATCCAGATCCAAGGAATAGTGATCTCCTTTTTCAGTTAGGTGCTGAAAACTGGAAGACAAAAAGCCTAAGTATCTTTAACAATTATAGGGTGAAAGGGAATGAAATAATTTGAGTGAATCACATTAATCCAGTACATGGCTTACTGAGTTTGTAATGTATGTAGTAGGTGCACAATAAATATTTTTGATTGATTGCCATGTGCCAAGCATCATTTAAGAAGGCTTACATATTGCTCACTTAACCATAACAACCTGACCAACGAGTTATCACTGTCCTCAATCTTATAGGTAAGGAAATGAAGCTCAGAGAAGTTACTTACCTGGGTTACTGGCTCATTAGGTGATGCAGCTGGGATTTGCATGTAGTTTTGCTTAACTGGAAAGACCATGCCCTGCTTACTCTAGTAGTTTTCTGCCCCAATTTTGGTTTAAGATAGTGAAAGTTGCCTCATTTACTTTCAATTTTCAAGGGGGAGACAAATCTTCATTTTCTTTCTGAGCCAAAACTTGCCTGAAGCTGGGTTTCTGGGGCTGGGTTGGATTCATGACTGTCTCCCTCAGGACTGAGCATAAGGTCCATGCATTGGAGGAATGGAGGGACTCTATGGCAACATGTGGCCTCCACACAACAGTAGTGATAAATGTCACACAAGATGCAGCTACATCAGCTGTCCTGGGAGTCACAAAGCTTTCCGTGCCCCTCATGTTTTCAGGGTTTGTTTTAGGAAGGTTGTTATGTATGTGATGTTGAAGATGAATATCTCTAACACAGGAAGGAGCAAATATCTGCCATTTTCCAATACAGGAAATAAAGTATAAGAAAAAAGGTTTCAATGATTTGGTGTCACTTCTCAGTGAGAAGACAATGAAATTCTACTGCCCTGTCCCTGAGACTTGTGTGGCTTCCATCATTCACAGCACCAGGCTCTGAGGCCTACTCAAAGCCTCATTAATTTGCTTAGGTGAGTTGGCAATATCAAGTGCAAAGATTGAAAATCTCTAATTTTATTAGGGATCAGTCACAGTGTAACACAGAGACATACATGGGCACCTGATTTTAAGTGAAACAGGTAGGAGCAGATAGCAAAGTTCTGTGTTCCTGAAGCTGCTTAATTAGACTTGGAGAATGAGACACAATGTGAGGATGTGGTGACCCCTGGGCAGTAGCTGGACAGTTGGTAATCTGTCATTCAGGAGGTCATCCCAACTTCTTCCCACATCTCACCCTACCTGCTGCTACAGAAGCAATGCCAGGTGGTCAATAACCAGTCAAGGTCAACAAGGAGGCCTGAAGCTAGGACTGGGCTAGTTCAGGAGGGCCTGCCATTTTTCTCCCTGACAGCCATCTCCTTCCGATGATGCCCCTTTTTAAAATCTGTCTCTCCTCCACTCCCCTGCTATCAACCCCTGAGTAACCCAACTGGGAGGCCTGCTTGCAAATACAGTTGAATTATTGTCATCACGACCTCCTGTTGGCATTTACGTTTTCTAACTGCTTTACCATGAACTATGGGGATTCTATCCTGGATTACCCAGGATTGTCATCAGTTACAACACTCAATTATGAAAATATGTATGATAAAATTTTTTAAATATTCACAAAAAAGTAAGAAATCTGTATACAGCTACATATAAATGTGGTTGTTAGCTCAAGTTTTAATACCTTTGTAAGGCTTCTCATATCACTTTAACAAGGGTCTAGAACAGGGATGGAGAGAGATTACACCCTCTGCAATGCCTCTAGACTTGTCTGGAGACTGGCAAGACAAGCTGACAGAGGCCTTCTTCATGAAGAATAGGGAATGTGAATGGGATGGGAGGTGCAGTTGAAGCCTAGGCCTGTTGAATTGGAGAGTGGGGCTGTGGACCACGATTGTTCCAAGTAGTTGTGAACTGAGAGTCATTCTGTGAACTCCCATGTAGTATGGCAGAGGGAAAGGCATTTATCCAGAGGAGAGAGCCTTGGCTTACATGTTGGTGTAGAAATGACACTCAGGCCGGAAGTGGGAAACTCTCCTGAAAATCATGGAGCTGGAGACATGATTATACTGGTTTGTAATCTGTACAATCAAATTCCATAAACATTTCTGAGAATCTAGTATCAAAGTTCAACATACTTTGGGGATAAAAGGGAGGCGAAGACAAGGAGCTTATAGTCTGATGGTGGAGGCAGGTACGTCAACCAGAATTTTCAATGTGAACTTCTATGATAAAGATGTTGTAGAAACCCAAATAAGGAACATGTAATAGAACCTGGGGAGGAGCTGGTCATGGTTGGTCAGCAGGTATAGCCTAGAGAGACTGTTATGTGAGCTGAGTCTGAAACAATGAGTAGAAGTAGCCAAGCTAAGAAGTAGGGTGCCTGGCAACAGCGTAAGTGAAGGCAGAGAGTGAGAACTGCAGGTTAGTGAGGACAGATAGTGGCCATTCAGGCACTTTTGAGGTAGTAACAGCAGAGAAAGGTTTACAATGAGCAAGCTGGAGCTCGGTCTGAAAGCCAATTATTTCAATAATGGGACAAGGTCCAGGGCCTGTGTCATTGTCCGGAGTTAGAAGAATCTGCTGTCAGGAGGAGAGATTCTTGTCCATCTGCGATCTTCCTCAGTTGTCTTCACCTGAATTGCCTTTGCCTTACCTCTCAACACCATGATTACAAGTGACAGAATGTAATACTAGCACCTTCAGACTGGGACTGTACAGGAAAGTGATTCAGTGGACTCTGGATTACTGCCTGACATTGATTTCTTAGTTTAGTCTCCAGGACATGTTGAATAACTGCATTAGTCATTTCTACTCTGACCAGAAAGACATAGTCATTGGTTTGGAGTTTTTATCATCAGTACCATGGGCCGTAGATCATGCTTTATTAACAATGTTAATCTCCCACATCCTAAACGTTCTCATTTCGATCAGGGCTTGGCATGTGGGACTGCACTTGCGTTACTTTCGAATTCAGTTTTCTGGTTACTGGTGAATCCTTGAATTTCACCAGAAACAGAAATGCCAATGTTCTGCAATCATTTTAACGTGAATCTCTTCTTGCAATTTGTTCTTGGATCGCAAGAGGACTTCCAAATTAACCACTAATAGCATGTATTGAAAGCTTTGAAACAATTAAATTCTGAGATTCCATCTGAATTCCCATAATATAGCAAACCACAGATGTTAGAAATCATTTGGAAACCCACTGGGCTTCAAGTCTATGTAGTAATTAATATTTGCTGAATAAACGAATGAAATGTCAGCTACATAACAAGAACTGAGATTAACATTTAAATTGCTATTTAAGCACTAGACTCTTGAAATATGGAAAACTAACATTTGAGCAAATTAAGTCCAAATCTCTACAATGTCGTAGGAACCAAAGTAATTACTATATAATAAAAATACCCAGAATGTATTATTCCTGATGATCCACGTAATTAAAATAATAAACCTTCAGGAATTTGTTTTCTGTTCTGGAGGTGCTAATAAAAAGGGAAAGTGTCTGAGAAACTTTCCCCTGGAGGGCCCACTTTGGCTTGGACCTGGTATTTAAAATCCATCCGGGAGACTCAAAATCAAGTAGCCAAAAGAAACCAGGAGGAGCGAACACATGCATGGGCAGAAGCAGATGTAAGGACCAGGGAATGGATTTGAACATCCTGGGAGATGAGAACAGTAGGGGAGGGGGCATGAGAGAGGCTCAGCAGAAGGATTCCTGCTACAGAGTCTGGAATTGCTACTCTTGCAAGCTTTGTTTTCTGTGCATCTAAGTTGGGTGGTTGGGTAGCAAAATGTAAAAGGCTAATGAGTTGGTGTGCACTCAATTCATACAGCCAGTCATCTGCCTTGGTTTTCATTGGCTGTCTTGTTCCCTTGCCTGCATTTCTGGATCCTTTAATGTGCTCTCTGGGTCATGCAAGCCTCGCTTGCTTGGGTTCATTTCTGGGCTTCTGCAGAGTAAATAGATTCTTCCTATTTACTGTCATGGAAATACAATGCACACAATTTATTTGAGAGGTGGCATGGTGTATCTTACATGGTTATTTTGTCGTTTAGAATAATAAATATAATATGTGCTCACTCTAGAAAATACAGTAAGCTTTTACACAAAGATAAAATAAAAACCATCTGCAAAGTAACTTTCAGAGAGAATTTCTTACTTTTCCATCTTGGTATTTGTTTCTTCTATATTTTATGAGTGTATATAAAACTTGAAATATATTATATTTATTGTGCTTTTAAAAACCTTTAACATTGCACAAAGAGAAATGGTTATTATAGTTGCATAATATTCCTTAATATTCCATTCTATGGTTATATCACAATTTTATTATTCCATTGCTAGAAACTTACTTTTTAATAAAACAACTTAATGCAGTCTTTGTTTCTGTCTTTGAATGTTTCTTTAGTATACTTATGGTATAATCCTACAAGTAGAATTACTAAGCAGTGCCTGAATACATCATTTAAGTTTGCTGTATATTACTAAATTGTTCTCCAGAAAAATTGGGTTAAGTTGTTCTGATTTACTCTCCCACAAACAGTTTTACAGAACTGTTCTGTGCTTTATATATTATTTTGCTTTGATCTTTATTTGATATATCTCATATTATGGTGAATTATTGAGTTTGTATTGTTCAGACCACTAATAAACAATATTTTTTCACACATTCTTTTAACTCTGTATTTAATCTAAAATTGTTTTTATTTCCCATGCCCACTTTTCCATTAGAAATATTATTTATTTTCCCTCAAGGGCTCTTTACATATTAAGGACTTTAACCATGTTATATTTTTATATAATTAATGTATATACTATTAGCTATAATATTATATATTTATTTTTATTGCAAATAATTTTCTTAGTTTGTTGTTTCCCTTTAAATTTTTGTTTTTAGGCTTGAATAATGCTTGCTAGTCCTGAAATTAGTGTCATCATTATATAATTTTTCTAGCTATTTTGTAAAAATTTAGTTCCGCAATCTAGCTGAGATTTACAACTTTATATAAGAACCATTATTCACCCACTACTTTTGTTGCAAAAATACTAGTTCCTTTTTTACTAACTGTGGTAGTTTCTTTGTAACATTAAGTTCATATATGTACCAGGACTTTATTTTCAGTGCAAAATATTTCTTATTATTGATCCATCTGTCAATTATTTTGCTAGTTCTGTAATGTTTTGCTTACTGTGGATATACATTTATTAATAACTAATAGGGAAACATCTTTCTTCCCCATAGTTGTTTGTGTTCAAATTTCTGAGCTTTTCTCACCTATTTTTTAAATAAAAATTTCAAATTATTTAATCAATTTAAAACAATCACATTGAAGTTTTGATTAAAATTATTTCAAACATTATATGCTAATTTGGGGAGAATTGACATCTTCACCAAATTTAATCATCCTATCTTGAAGCACCTCATGTCCTTCCATGTATTCTATATATTTCAGTAATGCTTCACCTAGAGAATTAATGCTATCTTAAATTCGAATAGCGCTTTCCAGTTTATAAAACACTCTCGTTTTTTCACGATCCTCTCGACAGCTGAGCAGAAGCTCCAACTTGGATAGTTAGAGATTGCAGTTCTTGTCCTGACTCTACCATCTACCAGCTATGTAACCTTGGGAAGGTCACTTTACTTCTCTGGGCCTCATCTGCTCAAAGAGCTAGTTCTGTTTGGTTGTCTGGTAGGCTCTTTCAGGAAAACACATAACAGAGTGTTTTCTGAAGTGTGTGCCAGTGGTCATTATTAGAGGTAATATTGTAATGCTCTGTGGTCAAATAGACTTGGAAAATGCATATTAAAGAATTAAACAAGTTTCTTTTCTTTCTTTCTTTTTTTTTTTTTGAAACAGAGTCTCGCTCTGTCGCCCAGGCTGGAGTGTAATGGTGTGATCTTGGCTCACTGCATCCTCTGCCTCCCGGGATCAAGCAATTCTCCTGCCTCAGCCTCAGCCTCCTGAGTGGCTGGGACTGCAGGCACCTGCCACCACGCCTGGCTAATTTTTGTATTTTTAGTAGAGATGGGGTTTTATCATGTTGGCCAGGCTGGTCTCAAACTCCTGACCTCAAATGATCCACCCGCTTTGATCTCCCAAAGTGCTGGGATTACAGGCGTGAGCCACCATAAACAAGTTTCCTTACTGTAAGACTTCTCAGAGAGTTAAATGGTGAATGCATCCTCTAAGTATATAATGGTGTATAATATGTGGTGCTTCCAAAATTCTTTATTTCATATTCCCCTGACAACTGCTTAAGAACTCTCATAATTAGAGTTCTGTGGAACAACTTTTGGGAAGTTCTGATATGGTGGAAAGAGCATGCGCCTTATCTGGGTTATAATTTTAACCAATATCTGGGTAAAAGTTTTTGGATTATTAACTATTATGTGAACTTATCTTCTCAGAGCCTCACTTTTCTTCTCTCTAAATCAAAGAGGATAATGCCTGTCTCAGAGCTTTAGGAGTTGCATTAGACATTACCGAGCACCAAGATTCCCTGCCTTTCCGAGCAGGAGGATTACATTTCTCTGCTCCACTGATACCAGACGTGACCATGAACTTACTTTGGCCAATGAATAGTGAGTGGAAGTCATATGTGTTATTTCTGGGCAGAAGCTTATGAGAGCCAGGGCAAGGTTCGTTACTCTGTATCTCTCTAGCTCTTGCTCTTCTGACTTCAGTATTATGGAAGCCTTTGTTGACATGGGGCTTCCATCAACTGGTTCCCTGAGAGATTACAATACACGGAGTCACCCTGTTAACCTGTGATGGACATGGGACATGAGTAGGAAACAAACATTAAAATATTATGATTTTAACCCACTGAGAATATCCAGTTATTTGTTTCCTCAGCATAAGCTTGCTTAACCTGATTGATGAATGAAATGATCAATAGAAAAGACTGAGTGGCCTGATAGAATTGCATTCATTACATTATTCTAAGTTTTATTTTAGGCTGATAGTTTCTGTGTTCTTGAATACTCTTTGCATTTTAATCTTAACCTAGACCAAAAATCCTGAAAAGGGACTAAATACATTGGAAAAGGAATAAATGTATTCTTAGCCAAAAGAATATCTTCTATCTGCATGGGTTGCTCTGTGTTGCTAAGGGTTAGAGTCTACAATAATACGTGAAAGATGAGAAACCTGCATTTGAGCACTCACAATATTCCCTGACATTTTTTATTAAATTATGACTTGTGAATAATGCTCCTTGTGTGAACACCTTCGTTCAATATCTTTATGTGAATGGAATTCTGAGTGCTGTGGGGATATCTTGGGTCTGATTCAGAGGCCTGGGTGAATCGTGGCTGTAGCCCAGCAAAAGAGTTTTGGCTTCTTTAAGGAACTCCAAGAATCCTTTAGACTCTGTCCAGAGGGCATGAGGAGTAAGAGTTTATTTTACATTAATATTAACCCCCCTAACATATGTTAGGGGGGTTATAAGAAGAGACACTTGAGGGATGGAACTCAGAACTCTTTTACTTAGAATGGTTTTTTTTGCTAATACTTGGAATCAGTTTATTGAAGAAAGAAGTTCTGATGAGATAAAAGAGGGATGGTGAGAAAGGGGGAGACAGAACTGTTTTTTAAAAACTGAGCGTGCAAAGTCCAAGCTGAATGCCCTGGTAAGGATGAGGGCAAGCAGTTAAGGCTGGGAAAAGAGAGGCTTGTGAGAGGGCAGGGAATCTTCATGAGGGTTCTTGTGAGTCTTGTCAAAGTTATGATTGCATCTTATTCCTTTCCAACCACCTACTCCTGTCTTTAGAAGGAGGAAAGAGTCCCAGGAAGTTTCTTTTTTATTTATCTTTAGCAATGCATGACTAGCCTGGGTGGGTGGAGAGTCTTTGAGGATGGAGTGTCTGGAAAGGTGGAGAATCTGAGTAAGTGGAAAGGCGGGGAAAGTGGAGAGGCCAGGAGGGTGAAGAAGCTGGATGAATGGAGAGTCTAGGAGGCTGGCCTTTGATGGGGAAGAGCATCGGTCCTCCCCTACCTCCCACCTTCTCTGGGCTTGGAGAGGATTGTCACAGATTAGTAAGCAGAACTCCTCCATGACTACCCCCCTTTCTCCTGTCTCTCAAAACTCTTCCTCCCACATGAGAACTGGCTCCATTCCTACTTCACCATCCAGGCAGGGATGGTGGTTATTGTTCTGTACCCAGGGCAGAAATGCCTGGGGCTAGAGCAGCCCTGTGGTGTGCTGAAGGTCCACACCTGCCTGCCAGGTCCAGAGCCCATGGCTCCAGCTCACATTTTGCTTGGATGTTTTAAGCTGTCAGGAAAGGATGTGATTCCTTATGCTTTTTGGAGGAGAATAAAAAAATCTTCTTATTGAGCCATCATGAAAAAATGAGCAAATGTTTTGGGTAGTTTTTTGAGCTGATGTTTTCAGAATGGTTTTAGTATTTTTTCATAAAATTACATAAGTGAATGGCATTGTTATTATCTGGAATGTAGAGAATCATTTGAAAAATGTAAGGCCCTTTTCTTTGAGGAGGGGGAGAAACTTTTACTTTCTTGGTTACTCAAAACCATACAATCTAGTCTGAATCAGTTTTTATAAGAATCTATTCAATCTCTTTGTAATGTAGATAATAACAAGACAAAAACCATGGGCAGATCCAGCCTCTGTACCCTCCAAATGTGTAATAATGCAATGTCTGCTTGACTCTCTGGGGGCCATGTTTTAAGATCTTGGCTTCAATACTGTCAATGTCGTATTACACTTAGTATTTATATCAATTAGGAAAGTATTCAGCTTAGCAGTGGCTTAAACAAAGATTTATTTTTTTTCATATAATAAGAAATCTGAAGATATGTTGCTGCTGAACTCAATTTGCTAAGATTCCCTTGGCTTTTTTTTCCTGTGGTCACAAAATGGCTGCTGCGGCTCCATGCATTATGTCTGAATTCAAGTCAGGGGGACATCAGAATGCCAGCAATATCTTTCCGCTTTCATCAGAAAAGGAAAAATCTTTATTAGAAATCTCAGAGACTTCCAATTAAGCTTCCCAAACTGTGCTACCTTTAACTGCAAGGGAGACTAGGAGAGTGAGTACTTAGCTGGGAAAGTGAGGAGGAGGTTGAAACTAAGTATTGTTTCAACCAAATGTCATCCTGGGTTACAGAAACCTGTTCTCTTTTCCTTTCCCTTTTCCAGGCTTGTGTAGTGCCTCTACTCACCAATCCTACGGATTTTTCCCAAAATCCGATAGCATCATCATTATTCCTCATCATTACTAAATAATATAGAACATGGCTTACTGTGATGTCACGAATCCCTCCCAAATTATGACACCTATAAATTCAAGCCAAATGGTTGGTGAATAAGGATTAAGACTTTATCTACCCAAATTCATTCACATGAGCTTATTGAGATATTAGCAGTAAACTTGTTTTACAGATTATTTCTTGATATACTCTTTCACTCAACAAAATATTTACTGACCTTTTATCTGCTGTGTGTCAGTCACTGTACTAGGAATAGTAGGATCTAAAGGTGTCCCTAAATAACTGACATCTAGTCTGTGTGTGTGTGGGCATGTGTGTCTGTCACTGTGTATTTGTATGTGTCCATGTGTATGTGCTCATGGGTGTGTGTGTATGCGTGTGTGTGTGTGTATGTAGGTGAACATGCATGTCAAGAGAGGAACCATATTGCACAGAGATTCTAAGTGCTTTAGGAGCAGAAGGGTAGTGATGTGATGATGCTGGACTACTGAACAATTCTGAAGCCTTCCTAGAAGAGAAGGCAATTGAGGTTAGCGTGATATCAGAAGAAAAAGGTGTGAGAAAGGCATATCCAGAAAAGGTAAACAGGACCCTGTATCCTCAGACTATGGTAAGACAGTCAGTACAACGTGGTCCAGGATGTGAAGAGAGGAGTAGAGAAGGTGATTGGGTCAGAATGTGAAAGGCCAGTAGGCCAGGCCCAAGGATTTGGGTTTTATCTGCCAGAAGGTAAGGATCAAATCTTTAAAGCCATGCATTATACCCTCGACCCTGGGGGCGTTTCTGTTGCCTATTGAGGTAATTAATTCTTGCCAATGGAATTCAGTCAAAGTCATGTGTCATTTCAGGCCAAAGACAGCAAGAGAAAATTTACCATCACCCCTGGAAGCCACTTGTTCTAGAAGGTGTAGCTACAAGTTGACCTGTTTGCTACTGTGATATGAGGGAACAATAAACCTCTGGTGTGTTAAATCACGGAGATTTAGGGTTTGTTTTTTACTGTTGGAGAGCTTAACCTATCCAGACCAAAATCAGCTCAGAATTCTCTTTCTTTTCTTTCTTATTTTATTTTTACCTTATCTTAACTTTTAGGAAGTTTACACCTTTAACTTCCCTCAGACTTTAGTTTCATATCTGCTCAAAGAAAAAGAATGCTATTTTAAATCCCCCTAGAGCTGATGGGAGGTTCAAAGGTGATATTGTGAAATCATATTGCAAACTGTAAAGTGCTGACAAGAGTAATAGATCTATCATTTTTAGGCAGCCATCAATATTGCCTAAGTGGGAAAACAAGAAACTTGATTATTCCTTACAACTTCCTCATGACCTTGGGTGATTTTGCCATCTGTGGCCTGGAAAATCTTCACAGCAGAGAAGAAGCCATTTCTTTCTTTCTCCAGATAGGGCATAATTTGCTCTTTCTGCAAATAGCCTTTCATGTAGTGGGCCATTAAGTTTGCTTAGATAATAGCTAGACATAATATCAGGATGACAAAGTAAGAAATGGAAATTTTCCCTCTATATCTATATCTTATTCTACATTTTCATGGTCTCATTTTTTTTTTTTAAAAAAAAGAAAAGAAACAGCTTAATTCATGACCATTGTTTGAGGACCACCTGCATATCGAAGCTGTCCTGAAGTGCTTCCACCTGCAGTGGTCTCTCTCAGCATCTTCCGAAACTTCTTCCTTACAGCTAATGCTGCCTCCTCACCTCTCAGTAGTTGTCTTGAGAAAAGAGTGGAATGACGAATTCCTGGGACTCTAATTATGAATAATGAACACTCCTGGGGGCCGCTTGCTGTTCTTTAAGGCTATACAAGCATTCTCTCACTTAACTATTCACAACAACTCTCTACAGGACATGCAATTATTAGCTTTGTTTGTTGGATGAGGAAACTGAGACACCGGTGGAAGTAAAGTGCCCAAAGTCACTCTGCTAGATGGTGTGGCACTGGGATTTGACCCCAGAAGTCTGGCTCTAAAGCCTGCTCTCTGAGCCACACTGCCTCATTGAAATGATGGAGAAAGCTCAAAAGCCTGAGTTTACTTGGGGGACTGAGAGGTCCAGAGAGAAGCTCAGTTTATTTAAGAAAAATAGTGTTAGATTTCTTATCTACCTGAGTGCATGGCTTGAAACATTCTTACTTCATCAACAGGAAATTATTTGAAGGATGGCAGAATGACATTGTCAAGCATGAATGGATGTGCTTCTTTCCACTTCTTTGATACACTGTCCACCAGCCCAGGCAGCCCCACTGTCCTCAGACTGCACTCTTTATCAATGCAGATGGACAGAAACAAGTCAGCACTGGGCTTTCAAAATACCTCAGTGAGGATATCTTAAACAGCTGGAAGAGAAATGGGTTTTTTCTGTTGCAAGAGGGTGTGACTTTTGAGCATTCAGAACAGAGAGCCTGGAATAATAAATTCGGAAGAACACTGTGTCATCAATTTCCCCATGACAGGGGGGTCGCTGAGGGCGATGGAAGAGTTTGATGGCGCAGCAGTGGTGTCAGATGCTGGGGAGATGCGAGGCAACTGAGACAATGACAAGAGGGTATTGGATTGCCCCCCTCCAAGGGTTAGCAGGAAAAAGCGGAGGAAGAGAGAACATTTGCTACATTTGGGGAGCACAGGATTGGAAGGGCGCTGAGGTCCACTTACTGTGTAGGGACCAGGGAAGTACAGTCTCCCAGATTTTCCCATCTATCATGAGGTGGAAGTTGTATAGCGTAGGTGGCTATGTGGGATGAGAGAGGGCCAGAGATGCTCCATTTTGTTTTCTGCAGCCCAAAGTTGGTAGCAGTCAAACTTTCTATTCTTAGGAAGGAGGCAGAAATTATCGCTGGGATTGAGAGACAGGGATTCAAGCACCCTGTACCAGGAGAGAATGTGGCCAAGGGACATTACCCCAGAAAGCAATGTGGGCCTGACACAGGTCGGATGGGAACCCAGATGAAAGTCCAGAACGAGGATGACCACATCTGAGGGACAGACAGGTCTTGTTTCAGCTGATGCCAACTTGCTCAGATCCCTCAGTAGATCAGACTCTCTTCACCATCCATCCTCTACCCCCACTCCCCCCCGCCACACACACATACACACACACACACAGAGAGAGAGAGAGAGAGAGAGAGAGAAATGCACTACAGAAGCACTGCCCCTGGAGTTAGATGCCTTCCCGAAGCCAGAAAATGTGAAAACTCTTCCTGGGCTGAAAAGCTCTGCAATGACTAGGTTTATTCTGAATTAGCTAAGATTATGCTTCCTGCCATCAAATGTATTAGTAATGCAAAGAGAAATTTAGCTGAGGAAGATTTCCTTTTCAAATACTAGCGTCTATAGTTTGGAAATTGTGTGCCATCCTCAGCCTTTCTCATTTGTGTGAAGTGAAATTGGACACACTGCACGGTAGAGTTTACCCAGGGTCAGGGATTGGAAAGCAGAGCACTAGGTCTGGGTAGCAGAACTGGCAGGAAGGAATAATATGTTTAATAATGATTTAACCGAGCAAAACTGGTAGTAATTTCCTTAGGAGCAGCCACAGTATTCAACTGTAGAAACTCAAATTGAACATACTGAGCGAGACTAATTAGAAAAGAATAAAAAATGCATGATGTAAATGCAAGACCTCTCGTTACAAATTGCAGGAGATACATTTGGGGGTTGGGACATGAGGGATTCTGGATTCCAGGAAGGACATCCCTGACACTGTCCTGGGGCCAGGGCAGGAAGGAGCTCCCTTGCAAAAGCATAGCGTGAGATAATTGGGACATGCGTTGAGTTGAAATTTGCTTTTGTTATATTAATGGAGGAAGAGTGTGTTAAGAAAATTAACAGTAAGGCAGCGTGGCAGGGAGGGTGTACAAACAAAGGGAACAAACTGTGTCAAATCACCCTCAAGCACTTAGAAGCAACCATTTACATATAAACAATAGACTAATTGTGTATCACTTGTAACTATCCACCGAAGGAGGCGCAATAAAAGATTGTTATTAGGTGATATTTAGCAGTCTTAGTTCATGTTTCTGTGCTCACCTATGAGTAATAAAACTAAGTTTCATTTACATTATTTTATAATTTAGATAATTCACTAATCAAGACAGGTCTCCCTCCCAGTTACTTCTAATTAGGTTTCTCATTAAGTATCAGAGATTCAGGAAACATTGCTGGTGAATTCACCAGCAAAATTAAGGGCTTTCTGTGTGAAGAGTTTTGTATTTGTTTTGCATTTGGACAGCCTTATATTCAGATACCTCATTTATTTTCTGATGAGCTGGTTCCCATTTCCCCTTGAAAACTTCTGGTAGATTCTTGAAACGCATATAATTCCTTAGTGCCAAGACCTAGGTCTTGAAGAGGTGAGCTGGATGTGATCTTAAAAGCACACAAAACTGGAAACTGTGAAGGGAGCCAGGGTCTGAGCTGAGAATCTTGAACCCAAGACCACGTAGGGTTAGTTACACAAGGCCCATGGTGGAAGATGGGATGGGTGAACCCACCCTAGACCTCCCTGCTCATTTCCAAGAGCCTCACATGCTTAGGAAGGTAGAGTAGGTTAGAGGGGTGGAAGCAGAAGCCAGAATTCAAGGGTGGAGGTGGGAGGAAGGAACAGACTCTAAGCCTGTGAAGGAAGTGCCAGTAAGATCTAGACGGGGTGCTTTGTCTCCTCCTGAAAGAGCTTTGGAGTTCAGAGGATAAGAACTAGAATGTGAGATGGGAAACGAAGTCAGGAGCCTAGGTAAGTGGACGGAGCAAGACAGCTGAGACTAGGTAAGGCTGCCATGCAATAGAGATGGATTCCCCAGGGCTGGACCAGGTACTTGGTACCAGCTCATGGTGCCTCAGCTAATTCCATACCCCACCCACTGGAATCTAGAACCGACTTTGGTCTCATTGGCTTAGAAATGGAATAGGGACAAGCTGAACATGCTTGCAGAAAGGGACCTGGGTGAGTATAGAGACCAGGCAGGGTAGGGGCTGATGGGTGGAAACTTGGTTAATGAGAGCCCCCACCCACCTCTGTCACAGGGAATACATGCTTTCTGTTGCTTATTTGACAAAATGTTGGTAATTGGAAGAAAAAACACATCACAATTTGTTTATGCAGTCAATGTTTATTGAGTATGACTAACATAGTGGTAGGTCCTGGGAGAAAATATGAAACAAATATAAGGCATTCATTTTACTCAAGGAGCTTGAGGACTGTAACACATTCAGCCAACACATATGGAAATAGCAGTTTAAGACAGAACTGCATTAAGTGGCAAGAAGAGAGGTACAGTCCGTGACACTAATGAAGCTCAGGGAGGGATGAGTCAGGGAGGGATGAGTCAAGGAGGGCTTCATGGAGGAAGCAACCCAAGCTGAGCTTTATAGACTGGGTAAAATTGAGATAAACAGATGAAGATGGAAGGCAGGACCGGAAGGAAAGATACACCATGGATTGTGAGAATTAAATGAGATACTTCACAGAAGTCACTTGCTAAGTGAGTCTTGCTATGACTCTTGGCACCAAGAATGCCCAAAGTAAATGAGACGTATGGTTGTTGCTGTTATTTCTGTGACTTTTACTGCTGCTGCTATTTTTATTTTCATGCTATTTTTTTTACTGCTTTTGATGAAGGCAATGGGGATTAAAGGGGATACATCTGGGAGACAGTAAAGGGAGCATGGTTTCGAATTTCTTCTCTAGAAGTATGTCAGATAAAATGAATTGCAGTGAACAAGGGCTTGCATTGGAACTATTTCTGTATCAACAATGCATTAGAATTGCTTGTGCCCAAAGGGGATCATAGAAAAAAAGTTACACTAAGAAATATAAGCTAAGTTCTCACAAATACCACCAGTAATCACTGTGTAACTAAAAATCACAGGGTTTTAGTCAATACACGTATCTCTCAAATAATGAATCTGAGCATTCTAAGCTCCTGGCCAAACACAATTCCTGTCTTTCTGCTTTTCTCCTTGTCCAGTGGTCCAGCCGTTTTGCTGCAAACATATCAATAGGAATCAGCTAGAGATGCTGTGATTCTCTTTAGTGTCTGGCGATGATGTTGCTAGGATAGAGAGGACAAACACTCATAGAGAGCAAGGTGGGATTTGTTTCTTCACATATTCCAAATATCCCTGTAGGTGCTATATTCAAAAAATGGCAAATGAGATTTCAGCTGAGATTGATTCTTGCCAGAGTCTCAGAATAACCACCTTATTGCTGATTTTATTCCCTTTGCAATGGAGGGCCTCTCTTCATTCTGCTTGCTATCATGTTCTAAGAATATCAAAGAGGCTACACAGGCAGCAATACTGAGTGGAGTCCTGTGCTTCCTGGGTGCACACAGCCTGCCAAGACAGACTCTCTGGGTCTGCAGGCTGATTTCATAAAGGGGATTATTCAGTCGACATTAAGTGGCAACAAACTCTAATTTTACTTTCTAAGCTACATCGTGGAGCTGTGCAGCTGGGCTGCGTATGTGCATATGCATTAGGAGGTGATTCCAAGGGACAGGGTTTCACTGAAGCCAGTGGAGGAGTAGTTTGCTCAGGTTCTGCTTTGCTGCAGGATCATTAGGGCCCTGGAAGTTTAAGTCTGACTCCTGGGACAGCACCCTGCTGAAAGTTTTATTCTGAATATTTGCAAAAGAAGTGAACTTCCAGTAGGGAGGTGGATGTTACAGTAATGCTATCTCATTGTGTAAAAACCAAATCATTTCAAGAACATACAGAGGATTAACAACAACAACAACAACAAAACCCAACAAAGCAACAACTAGAATCTTTTTGAAGTATTTTTTCTTCAGTGGAAAGGACCAGTTTGAGACCTGTGAATTATTGCAATGACTAAACATATCGTTAGACAGGTGTGAAATAACCTGACAACCCAGCATTCTGAGGCAAGAAGCAGGAAACTGTTCTTTTCCCAAATGTGCGGTTCATTTCTGTCCACAAGATCTTGTTGCGGAATAAGAAACAATACAGTATTAGCTTAATGAAGATCCTTCCTCAGTGTGGCCCTTGGATACTTTGAAGGTGAAACTCACCAAACTCTCTGTCCTTCATTTGTTCTAGGAGGTAATTTGTTGCAAATGGTGGCATCATCAACTACCCTCAAAGAAATATATTCCTCACTGATGTTTAATGAAAAGGATCATCAAAGAAAGTGTCGTCCTTCCTGCCTTATTCAATGTTGTTTCTCATCATATCAGTCACTGTCCTGGGGATTGTGAGCTTTCCGCATCTCTGGTGTTCCTAGCAAAAAACTCATAGCTCTAACCCCTACTAGAAACAGACATTTCAAGTACTGCTATAGGATTAATTAAAAGTGCTTTCACCTAAGGAAAGGGGGAAAGTAAAAATCATCCACTCATAAATGTTACTCACGATTCACACATTTCCAGCAGCATCAGAAAGAAAAACGTCACCTGTATTCCTAAGAAACTACAATCTAGGTCTCTGCACACTACAGCTTGTTGTTTTAGCACTTCAGACTTTTAAAAATCCTTTTTAGTAAAGAAAATAACACTCATTCACAATACTGGCTATGATACTTCAATTGACACTCTTAAGTTCCAGCAGTCTCATTGTTATAAGTCAGTGTTCAGAGTCGCAGGCAAGAAACTTACCTTAAAGGAGTAGTAGAAGGAACCCCATTCCTTTCCTTCCACCACTTCAGTAAAAGTCACTGTTTCAGTGCAAGCCACTGGGGAAGAATCCAGCGTCTGCCCGGTCCCACTGGAATCGAAGCTGCCCTCTGTGAAGTTGGCTGGCATGGCTCAGGCGGGGTTGAGCCTCACTGTCCTTGCTCCTGCAGCTGAGTGAGGGAGTCCAGCTTGCCTCCTGAGAGCTGGGCAGCAGCTGCAGCTCTGCTGAACGGAGGCACAGAGCCCTCCCTGAGCCCACCTCACTGAAGAGCTCTGCCTGATGACAGGGAGGATCTACGTGCTGCTCTCTCCTTGGCAATTACCACCAGGTAGCCAGCATAGCACAACCCTCATCACCCCACAGTCCCACCCAGGGCCAGGGCCCCACCCCAAGAGCAAGGTGGAGCTCCCCATAGCCATCGACATGGCTCCCTGGATGAGACCCCTGTTCTGTTTTGCTTTTCCTTACTTCCACGGTGGACCCCCACTTCTGCTCCAGCTTCAACAATAAAGGAATTTGGACTAATCAGTAGGTGCATGAATTCGGGTCATGTTTCCACTTCTGAAATCAAATTATAATTATGCATTTGTTTCAGCTGAGGTTGCTTTCTGACTTAAAGCCTCACCTTGCCATCTACTGTGTCATGTGCTCTTATTTCCGTAAGTGTAGGCAAATAGTACGTTTGTATTTCACACCCTTAGTTCTATCTAGGTGTTCACAGGGCGGTTCTCAGAGAAACATGAGGTCTGTGTTTGTCAATAAGCTACAACACCTTGTGATATGACTGGGAGGGGCCTGGTGAAGATTCTTACTGCTTTCAGTATATTCACCTCAGCTTCTACCTAGGACCAATACTCAGGGCGAGGGTAGAAAGGAGGTAATGCAGCATCCTGGGCACCACAGACAGGGCTAGGCGAGAATACTAACAGCTATTCCTGTTTCACAAAAAACCTGCAAAGCACATTTACACGTTCTTTCATTCAGTTTCCCAAACAACCTTGTGAGATAGGCAGGGAAGGTATCTTTATGTTCTCCTTTATGCTAGCAGAGAGTGGCTCCAATAGGTGAAATGACTTGCCCAAGATCCCGCAGCTGCTGATGTAAATGAGCTGATAACCCATCTCCAGAACTTCCTAGACAGTGGTGCTTTTACTGTAACAGACTGGTTTGCATCAAATCTCAAATGTCTATGGGGCATGAAGGTAACATGAATGAGGGTAGCAGGCCAGGTATAAAACAATGGGAACTAAGCTGCTTATATGACAACCAAGCACAATACCTGATTCCTCACATTGAGAACACTCTGTGAACCAACCAGGTCCAGCCACTGGTTTATGGCACCTGGAATAAGAGGTAGTAGCTTTAGTGGCCACCACTAAAGAACCTGGCCCCCATGAGATCTCCTGGGGAAGCTTTATTATAAACCATCGAGCCCCAAGGAGGGCACAGTGCTCTAGCAATGAGAAGGCATTGAGTCTATAATGAAGGGCAGCAAACAGAAGTGAGTTGTGTAGAAAACTGGATAAGCTGTGGACTCTTAAGGAAAGGTTCAAAACAGGACAACAACTCAATAGCAAAACAAGTGCAGCATATTCCAACTAACAAATGAGTATGAAGATAGGCTCAACCATATTAAAAATTAAGGAAAATAACTAAAACCAGTAAGAATGTTTACCTATTATTATAGTGAAAGCTAGCGTGTGGCTATCCCCAAGTGCTGACAAGATTGAAGGGAAACGGGTGTACATCTTTACTTCTGGTGAGAGTTAGTTGATGTGGTAATTTTTGAAAAGCAATTCAGCAGTATTTAGTAAAGCTGGAATTACATATCCTCTAATGCATTGTTCCATTTCTAGATGCTAATAATTTTTCATCTCTATCTGGGTTACTTACATATGCTCAATTCACATAAATTCTTTGCACTACATACTTAAAACATATGCACTTTTCTGTAGGTATGTTTTACTTCAAGAAAATGTTTATAAGACAAAATCTGTGAGGAACTCCTGGGAGAAGGTAGAAGCTGGTTAGGTCACAGTGTGGTAGGGGCAGAGTGAGAGAAAGTGGCAGATGCCATGGACAGAGAATAGGTGGGGAGAGAGAGCTTTCTGGTTGTTTCCTTTTCTCTCCATTCATGATCCAGATAGACCATTGTTTAACCTGTGGCCACCCAAGAGAAACATTTATGTATCTATACAAGCAGTCATGCAAAATGATGCCTTCGCAAAGTATTAAAGAAACGTATCAGAAGCAACCTAAATATTCATGATGTCAAAATCAATGAATCATCCCAAACTGGAAACCACCCAAATGTCCATCAACTGGATGAATAAATTTTCATGTAGTCACACAATGAAATACTATATAGCAATAAGAAAATGATCTGTAGCCAAAAATAACATAAATGGAACTTACAAACATAATATTAAGCAAAATAATAAATATGGTTGTTTCCTTTTTTTTTTTTTTTTTTTTTGAGATGGAGTCTTTTTCTGTTGCCCAGGCTGGAGTGCAATGGCACGATCTCGGCTTACTGCAAGTTCTGCCTCCTGGGTTCACGCCATTCTCCTGCCTCAACCTCCCAAGTAGCTGGGACTACAGGCGCCTGCCACCACGCCTGGCTAATTTTTTGTATTTTTAGTAGAGACAGGGTTTCACCATGTTAGCCAGGATGGTCTTGATCTCCTGACCTCGTGATCCACCTGCCTCGGCCTCCCAAAGTGCTGGGATTACAGGTGTGAGCCACTGTGCCCAGCCCTTTCATCTTTATAAAGTATAACTGTGCATGTATATAACACAATGGAATACTATACAGTAGTTAGAAGAAAGTTGAGTGGACAAGAAGACAAACTAACATGGTATAATGATTAACTGTATGTGTCAGTTTGACTGGGCCATGGAGTGCCCAAATAGTTAAACATTATTCTGGGTGTGTCTGTGAGGTGGCTCTGGATGAGATTAGCATTTGAATTGGCAGACTGAGTAAAGCAGATTGCCCTCCCTAATGTGAATGGCTCTCATCCATTCAATTAAAGGCCTGAATAGAATAAATAGGCTAATTCTTCTGTGAAAAGCGGGGAACTCCTCTTGCCTGACTTCTTTGAGCTGGGACATTGTTTTTTTTCTGGCTTTTGGGCTTGAACTGAAACATCAGTTCTTCCTGGGTCTCAAGCCTGCCAGCTTTCAGACTGGAACTACACCATTGGCTCTCCTGGTTCTCAGGCCTTCATACTCAGACTGGAACTACACATCAGCTCTCCTGGGTCTCCAGCTTGCTTTCATGCGCGTCCGTGTGAAGAGAGCACCAAACAGGCTTTGTGTGAGCAACATGGCTGTTTATTTCACCTGGGTGCAGGTGGGCTGAGTCTGAAAAGAGAGTCAGCAAAGGGTGGTGGATTATCATTAGTTCTTATACGTTTTGGGATAGGCGGTGAAGTTAAGAGCAATGTTTTGCGGGCAGGGGTGGATCTCACAAAGTACATTCTCAAGGGTGGGGAGAATTACAAAGAACCTTCTTAAGGGTGGGGGAGATTACAAAGTACCTTGATCAGTTAGGGTGGGGCAGGAACAAATCACAATGGTGGAATGTCATCAGTTAAGGCGGGGCAGGGCCTTTTCACTTCTCTTGTGATTCTTCAGTTACTTCAGGCCATCTGGGCGTATACGTGCAAGTCACAGGGGATGCGATGGCTTGGCTTGGGCTCAGAGGCCTGACACTTGCTGCTTGCAGATCTTGGGACTTCTTAGTCTCTATTAATTGTGTGAATGATTATTTCATATTGTATTCCCTATAATAAATTTCTCTCTCTGTTTCTCTCTCTCCCCCCTCCCTACACACACACACACACACACACACACACACACACACACACACCCCTCCTATTAGTTCTATTTCTGTTTCTCTGGAGAACTCTAATACACATTCTTACCTGAACTCATTTGTAGAAATTCTGTCTCTTCCTTTTCTAGATGAAGGTCACCTTTCCCAGGTTACTGAGTCCCTTCTTTTCTGCTAGGAGAAGCTTTGCCTCAGTCTCATATCAGCCACATACTACTGGGAGATACTTGGTAAGAACATTTTTAAGTTTTGACCTTTCTAGTGTGACAAGCTTTGCCCATGATACAGGCATTTTAGCTTTAGCAGGGATGGAGAGTTCTGGAAGAGAATGCTCAAGGTTCCATGGATCCCCCCAGCTTCCTGCTTCATACATTCACTATGGGAGCCCTGGCCACAATTTTTATATCCTTGAACAAATACATCATTTTCCTGTAATGCTAAAAGAGAAGAGTTCATAAGCTTTGGAATAAAAGTTATAGGCAAAATATTTAAACTTGTTTTTTATATATGTATTTTTAATGGTTATTGGGGTCCATCTCAGTAGGGATTGACACTCTGCCTCATTGCAGGGAAAGTCCAAAAGTTTCTGTTAGTGCTATGTAAATGAGAAAGTTCTGGAGCTTGCAGGTATTTCCTGACTGTCCACAGTGATGCATTTGTTAGCTAACATTTTGTTAGTTGGCCTTTTCATATATGAACTGTGCCCTGGGCTGTCAAAATGATCTGGATTCAAACTTGGCTCTGCTATGTCCTGTCTGTGAGTCCCTGGATTATTTACTTAACAGTTCTAAGCCTCTTTCTTCTCATCTGTTAACTGAGAGACTGTGGTGCCTGCATCATGAAGGTATTGGAAATCAAATGAGATCTAATTGTCTTCCTTCTTGTCTTCTGCTTAATCGTTACTATTTTTAAAAATGTGAACAATTTTTCCTTGACTCTTTCTTTAGTCTCCAAATTCCTGAATGGAGACACTGCACCTTTTCTCCTTGTATCCTCTGACAAGTTTGAACTTTACCAGAACCCTGTGATCCTGGAAAACAGAAAAGGTTAATAAATGCCCCCACTGCTTTGTGTTCCAGAAAGGGCTTTGTGCAGCTAACCATTATTCCCCATGTGACTTAAATCAGATTCACCAATGCTGCCTTGTGGGCATTGATATGGTTCAAATGTTTTGTCCCCTTCAAATCTCATGTTGAAATGTGACCTCTAATGTTGGAGGTGGGGCCTGGTGGGAGGTGTTTCGATCATGGGGGTGGATCCCTCATGAAGGGCTTGGTGCTGTTCTTGCAGTAATGAGTGAGTTCTTGATTTTAGTTCTCATGAGATCTGGTTGTTCAAAGAGCCTGGCACCTCCTCCTTTCTCTCTTGCTCCCTCTCTTGCCATGTGGCGTGCCTGTTCCTACTTTGCCTTCTGCCATGATTGTAAGCTTCCCAAGGCCCTCACCAGAAGCAAATGCTGACACTATGCTTCTTGTACAGCCTGCAGAACTGTGAACCAAATGAACCTCTGTTCTTTTTAAATTACCCAATTTCACATATATTTTTGTAGCAACACAGAGTAAATAGCCATCAACACTTATAACAAGGCCAGACGCAGACCCTCTAAATTCCTTTTGTTTGTCTCATAAATGATATTAGCTAAGCTGTTTTGTCCCCACTGATCAATCAGAAAAAAATGCAGGCTAAACCAACTTTGGTTAAGATTCTTTGCTTCTCCTAGGCTGAACTTTGTCCCGCCCTCAGCCTCAGCCAGCACACAGCTCCTCCTCCACAGCCTCTCCCTGGAGTACGCTGCAGAGTTCAGGGTAAAATATTCCCTCATCTACTGGCAGATCGTGTCACTCCTGTCATGGTACTTCTCCACACCTGGTTCTTTCTAGCCTTGTCTATTCTTTCCTATGAAAGAGAATCTCTTTTTTCCTAACCCTTGAGATACTTCCAGATCTCATGATAAGAATGTTCTCCAAACTACAACAGCCCCTTTCTCCTTACTGTAATGGTCCAGTCTCCCTCTTGCACTAATCCTTTCGAATAAAGTCTCTTTATTTTATTTTATTCTATTTTAAGATGGAGTCTTGCTCTGTTGCCAGGCTGGAGTGCACTGGCGTGATCTCAGCTTATTGCAATCTCCGCCTCCCGGGTTCAAGGAATTCTCCTGTCTCAGCCTCCCCAGTAGCTGGGACTACAGGCCCATGGCACCACGCCCAGCTAATTTTTGTATTTTTAGTAGAGACTGGGTTTCACCATTTTGTCCAGGATGGTCTCGATTTCTTGACCTTGTGATCCGCCCGCCTCGGCCTCCCGAAGGGCTGGGATTACAGGCGTGAGCCACCCACCGCACCCAGCCTGAATAAAGTCTCTTCTTACCTAAGTGCCAAATTGTTTTTGGACATTCTCAGAGTGTTTAAAAATGCATGCTGTATTGAATTAAAATATGTTATTAGCTCAAAATTCAATCACAAAAACTGTATTAAGCAATTAATATATGAGGAATAAGTTGTATCAGATTTTGCCAGAGCTTCCCTGACACATGCAAATTCATGGTTTGGTTGGGTAGAATAGACACAAATGCTCTCAGTTAAATAACAAAAGAAGAGTAAAATAACACAAGCATAGTAGGTGATAAAGGCAGTGTGATTAATCTCTGAGTAGCAAAGAGAATTATTCTTTTGAGTTCCAAGGAAGCAGAGCTCATAGTTTTGAGGTTTAAATTTGGGCTTGGGTGTTTTTAGTAACTTTGGATGAAGAACACAAGTTTTATTTTCCCACCTGAGTGCAGAATGGTAAGTGTGGATTGTAGAGCAAAGGAAATTAACTTCCACCAGTGGGATTTTGATCCTCTGATATCAGAATGTGTCACAGCCTGCAGAGATTAAATTTCTCAGCATTAGGTGTAAACAGACACTCACTCCCATGACTTTGCTTTCAAAAAAATTAGCTGACATTTAAGCTTGAAATAGCCATGTTGTTGCACCCACTATTTAATTCAGATATATCACAGATGCTGCATTTGGATGTTTATTCTATAAAAAAAACTGTGTAAAAGTGGATTGGTTGGAAGAGTTGTAATTACTCAGATAGGATCAGGAAAGAATATGGGAGAAGGTAAAGGGGGAACTCCATCTCACCACTGTGCTGGGTGCCTGAAAGATGTCACAACATTTAATTCCCATAATATTTCCTTAAAGTAGGTGCATATTTCCCCATAGTGAAGGTGCGGAGAGCTCTTGGTAAGGAATAACTCTTCAAGTAGAGAAATAAGATAAGAAATGACCATTGACTTTCCACACCAGTTAACTTTTCATAGTACCTTAGTTTTGGCTTGGAATTCTGATATGGTGGTGAGGGTTCTAAATCATTAGTATGAAATAAGAGTATCCTCAGCATAGCATTAAACAGAAAATTGCTTTGAGGGCAGAGAAATTCTTGGGATCCTGCAGAAAAGACAAATGTGGTATATTATATTTAGTAATTGCTTGCTGTAATGGGTACAAGAGGTTATACCTGTTACAATGATTAAGAAATACAGTCCCTAAAGAAATGGAATGCAATGTTCTACTTAAAGGAGGACACTAGAATAAATATGATTTCACAGTCCATACTTTTAGGGTTGTATTTTTCTAATTATAACACCAAACTGTAGTTCCTTTAAATAAATACCTGAAGATGTAAAGACACAACTTATATTAACTGCTAATGTATTCCTCAGTGCCCAATTGTGATTCTTATATTCAGCTCTGCATTCTGCTTTTTAATTCCACTTGTTGTAGATTTTTGTATTAAGGTATATATTTTAGTGTCTCTTTGTTCTGCTAACATGAAATGTGTTATGATTTATTCAATCATCCCTATAATAAAGATTAAAGTTTTTTCTGAGTTTCCAGAAACAGCACCGAACAAACATTCTTGAGCTCTTGTCTGATTATTTCCTCAAAATATTTTATTGAAGTACAATTGCTATTACTACATCTTCATCAATTCCTTCTTTTTCTTTCTTAATTTTGCTGTCTTTAAAAAATCTGAATGCTTGGATTAAATACTTAACGTTTATTTTCATTCATTCATATTTATAATTGAAGCATTTAAGGCAACGAATTTTCCTCTGAATCTGCTTTTAGCTGTGACCTGGAGAGTCTGATATGTGGTATTTTCATTTTCATTATTTTCTACAATAAATACAATGTGTGTCTGATTTCTTCTTAGACCAAAGAATTACTTGGAAGTGACTTCTAAATGTTTATATTTTTGTTCAGTTTAATTTCAAGTTTTGTTTATTTCTTGAATTATATTTTGAAGGCAAGTTCTATCTTTTGAAATATTTTAAAACATTATATATATATGTTCAGTTTTTGAAAAAATACCTGGAATTCTATTTATAAGATAATTTCACAAATGCCTGTGTGTGTGCACATGTGCGCACGCACACACACATATTTTTAGAAGCATTTTATTAGGTACTCTTAGTTCTACTGAAGTCTCTAGAATCTCATTTCTTTACCTTTTAGCTTTTGTCTACCTAATTTGTCAAAGGCACAGAAAGGTTTGTTTATGTTTTCCATTATTATTGGGGCCCTGTGTTTCTCTTTGTATTTCCTCTAGGTCTACACTGTACATTTTGATGCTGTATTGTTGTCATAAAAAGATTCATGACACACGTGATTATGTTGAATTTGTCAACCATCAAGTAAAAAGACTCTCATATAATTTTTTCACCTTGGATTTTGATTTGTTATAAACTAATTTTATGTGCTGATATCAGTTAATAATTGCTTTTTAGTCCAAGTACAGAGATCTTAAAAAAAGAGCAATTTGAACAAAACAGAATGCTTGTTTGTCTTTCCCTCAAGAAAGATAGAGTCAAGGTATTGTGGTGAAGACACAAGGTAAATAACATGATCACCTTACTTTGGGCCTAAGAACTAGAGTTGGTAAGTTGCAGAACCAAAACTTTCAGTCATGGAAGTCTCCAAAGCTATTGTTCTTAACCCTTTTATTACACTAAATCTGCAGAGCTATTATAGTGTTCATCATAAAGAAACAAACTAGTTTTAGAAAAAAAAGTGGTTGTACCAAGGAATCCTGTATTTCAAGGATAAACAAGTTTTACATGCATTCAGTAAAAGTGAGTCACTAATAAAGAAATACTATATTAATTTAGTAAGTAAATAAAAAAACAGTATCTTGAATTTTTTCTTTACAACATTATATGCCAGAAAATAATTTTTACAAAGTCAAGTTTGAATTAATGTAGGAAAGCAATGGGGAATTAGTGGTAACATGAATCAAGGGGTGGTGAAGTGGTTCCAGGATATCATTAGTGACCCAGGCTCATCGTATCTTCTTGCTCTGTTTTCCTTGATGAAGTGCTTCCATCTTTAAGGTCACCATATGGTTGTAAGATATACATTTCAGCTTCATCGTGTTTGCATTCCAGCCAATGGAAGAAGGAAAGGGGAAAGACAAAAGGGAGCTCAGCTCTTTTTAAAGGAATTTTCCTGGAAGCCCTCCCAGTAACTTCCACTTATATTTCACTGGTCAGAACTTAGTCACATAGCTTCTCCTATTTGCAAGGGAGGCTGAGAATATGGTCACGCTCTATAAAATCAGGATTCTTTAAGTAAGTCAGATAAGCAGACAAATCCCTTGGTATGCATGGAGGATTTGTTGTAAGACTCCCGTGGATGCCAAATCCAAGATGCTCAAGTCGCTTATATAAAACGGTGTAGTATTTGCATATAACCTATGCATATCCTTACATATACTTAAAATCATCTCTAGATTAATTAAATACAATGTAAATGCTAGGTAAATAGCTGTTATACTGTATTTTTAAATTTGTATTATATTTTAGTTTCTTTTGCATATCTTTACTGATTCTTTTATTCTCTACATTCTGTAATCATTGGCATTTGGTGTCTCTTGTAAATATATTTTACTTATTGTTTTGTTTAATATGAGGCTATCTTTCTTTTAATAAGAGAGTGATTTAACCATTTGTATTTAGTATTAAACATCCTGTGTTTGGTCTCTCTATATACTTCCTGATTTTTACCTTTGTTTTCTGTCTTTTACTGCTATTTAAAATATTTTCTTTAGTTTTAGTATTACCTTTGCATTTTTTCTTTATGTTATCTTTCTAAGGTTTTCTTTAATTCTATTTTCTTCTGCAACATGAAAGATAATACAATTTTTTTTGCTCTACTGATGTATATTTTTACAACTTAAAAATTTTGACTAAATTTCAGACTGCTAGTTTATCAACAACAGGAATAAGACATTATTTATTGGATTCCCCTTGTGAAAATGGGAAAAGCAGCTCATATGCATTTCTTCCCACACTGCTCCCTCGGCCTCTTCTCAAACCAGTGGAATTTTTGATGCAGGATCGAAGTTAGATATGGTGCATATTGTCTTCCAAGAAATATCACATGTATACTTTGTCTAGACATGATATTTACCAGATCAACTGTTACATAATTTGATATTAAAGTGGATTCATTGCCCACTATAAGTACTTCTGTATCTTACTTATGTGTTTGTGAAGTCTAAATTTTGATTTCTACCTAAATTAGCTGGACAATGTCTTTAAGTAGTTGCTTGACTTCTTGATTCTTAGCTACTTGTATATTTGAGAGCTTCCATTAATTCTAACTTGACTTTGTAGACATTGTTTTCTGGCATTTAATGTTGTAAAGAAGAAATCCAGGGTACTATTTTTCATTTACTTATGAAATTAATTAATATCTTTTTCCTTTTTAAATGACTTACTTCTACTGAATGCATATAGAGTTGTTTATTTATCTTTGAAATGCAGAATTTCTTGGTATAATCACTTATTTTTTACAAGTTGTGTCGCTTTGTGATGAACACTTTAGCTCTGCAGATTTAGTATAACAAAATGGTTAAGAACAAAGGCTTTGGAGACTTCTCCAATAAGTTTTGGTTCTGCAGTTTACCACCTGTAGTTCTTAGACTCAAAATAGGGTGATCATGTAATTTATTGTCCAGACTCATAAATTTGAGAATAAAATGGGTATTTTAGGTAGTTTACATGCAGTAAACCAGAATTGTCCTAAGCAAACAAGATATCTAGTCATCTTAGCTCTAGGGATCCTTTGTAAAATGGAAATTATAGTTCATGCTTCCTAGGGTTGTTGTGATGGTTCAAGGAGCTGATGTGTGCTCAGTGCAGTTGTGGTACATTATTGCCTGATATTTATTCTTGCTAATGATAGTATTATTTATGTTTAGAATTCTCTTCAGCTAAAAAGACATTTTAAATAATATCTTTAATATTTTTATGTTGATTCTCCTCTGCACCCCAAGAACACTAATTATCCCTACTCTGTTCCTCATTTTATGTCATCTGTATCTATCTATCATCTATTCTCTGATCACCTTAATCTCTTTCTCCTTTTTCTCTGCATTGTCTGTGATGTCTTTAATCTTCATCTGATCAACACTAGATTTGGGTCTCTATTCTCTTTTTCATTCTTTTTAATACCAGTTACAATTATGCAAACGCACTATAAATTACTCAAATTATTTCTTTAGTACTACCATCTTCCTTTTAATCTGTCTTCTTATTCTAGCATCAGTCTTTTATCTCTAGTTAGACCTCAGTTTCAATACTAGTACAATGGAACATAACATCAAACTTAGAGGCTCATTTATAGGACAAAATGATATAAAGCACTTAGAATAATGCCTGGAATATAGTCAATGCTCAATATTATCATTTTAGAGTTTGTTTTTTTAAAAAAATTCCTGCAGCTTAAACTATTTTCATATTTTTGAAGTAATTTTTTCCAAAGTAATAAGCTTTATTTTTGCATGTTATATCTACTTAAATTTTTACATTATTTTTGCAGAATTGTAAAGTCAATTCTACATGTTTTTCTAAATAGCTTTATTATAATATATATATCATAAAATTCACCCATTTTAAGTACACAACTTAATTAACTTCTAGTAAATTTACAGAGTTGTGCAACCATCGCCACAATCCAATTTTAGAACATTTCTCTCACGCAAATAGTATCTCTCAGGCCCATTTGTAGTCATTCTTTATATCCACTCCAGTCCCCGGCAACCACTAATCAGCTTTTTGTCTCTGCAGATTTATCTTTTCTAGACATTTTGTAGAAATTAAATCATAAAATATGTGGACTTTGTGTTGGATTTCTTTTGTGCAGCATAATTTTCTGAAGTTCATGCATAGTGTGGCCTATATCAGTACTGTATTACTTTTTATTGTTGTAAATTATTCCATTTTGTGGCTATATCACATTTTGTTTATCCATTTACCAGTTGAAAGACATTTGCGTTGTTTCCACTTTGGGGGTATTATCCATAATAAACATTCACATACAAGTCTTTGTGTGGCCATCTTTCATTTTCATCTCTCTTGGAGAGACTACTAGGAGTAGAATTGCTGATTTGCATGGTAACTTTGTGTTTAATTTTTAAGAAATTGGCATACTGCTTTCCAAAGTGGCCACACCATTTTACATTCCCACCAGCAATGTATTAATGAGCGTTTTAGTTTTTCCACATCATTGACATCACTTTTATTGTCTGTTTTTTTGATTATAGCCATTTCAGTGATGAGTAAGTGTTATTTCATGTGGTTTTGATTTGCATTTCCTAATAGCCAATAATGTTGAGCTTTTTTTCAGGTGCTTATTAGTTATTTGTATATCTTCTTTGATAAAAATATCTACTAAAATCTTCTGTCCATTTAAAAATTGAGTTGTCTTTTTATTGAGTTTAAGACTTCTTGATTAAATCTGAATTTCAAATGTGCTGTTCTCATTTCTCTCTTTACACGCCTTATAAAAGAATCAGGTTTACACAGTCTTTCTATTTCCATATGTTGGTGTGGTGGGTATTTTCTTCCTGAAAAGAGCAGGTTTATATTTGCATTGTCACCTAGACTGAAGACTGTAGGAAAGGAGAAGGAATGGGCAATCAGATCTCTGGGACTTTTCTTCGTGCACATTTTCTCATATTTTAAACTACTTAATCTGATACCAAATCATGAGACTATACAATAGAAGAAGTAACCTTAGAGTTACAGGTTGCTCTCTTAAATGCAGGATGAATCTGCCTCATTCGTGAGAATCTGAATTAGAGACAGTTGTTTTCAATTTTGGTTAGATGTTGAATCACCTGGGAAGCCTTATAAACCACCAAAACCTGTGCTCTCCTCCCAATTTAGCTGTAACTAGACTGTGTTACAGCTTGGGCAATGGGGAGTTTGAAACATTCTTCAATTGTAATGTGCAACCAAGGTTGAGAAGCACTGGGCTCAACAAAGGAAGAGCACCTGCAGGTTTTATCTGTGTTGAGGATAGACAGCATGTCCCTACATGTTTAGTTGGCAAGTAAATTGGTCCTTGTCTCTATTGTATGGCTGCATGGGCACCGGCCCTCGGATTCATAATGTGTGTATGGGCATGGAGTCAGAGGGAGAAGGCGCTGCAATTGAGAAACTGCCTGCTCAGTGAAAAGTGATGAAAAAAGACACTTGCTTTCCCATCCAGCTAAACCACTCCTCAACATGTCCTACATGCAGTGGGAAAAGGGGCAGAAAGTGTTGCCCTCTTATCTATAGCTCATCCTTTTCTCTACTTACTTTCTATAACACTACATCAGTGGTTCTCAAACTCAGAAGTGTTTTAGAATTACCTGGGGGAGTTAATAAAGAATAGGGGCTCAGATTCATCAAGTAGACAAAAGCCTGGGCTTCTGCATTTTAACAAGTTCCCCCTGGTGATTCCGATATATACCACAACTTTGAGAATCACTGCACTAAGATATTTTGTGGGGAACTTTCGTTAGTAAGAGTCTTAGGTGATATCTATGCTGTTTTCATGCATAGTTGGATGTGATTCAAATGCAATTATATCTAGTAAAAATTTCTTGTGCTATCTTTTTACTTTACTTGACAACATATGTATTGGACCATATGAGAAGTGATCAAATTGCTGCCCTGATTCGTAACAGGCAAACTATCAAAGTCAGCTGTTGGAGAGTGTGGGGGTTCTGAGGAATTCTGAGATGTCCATTGGAGCCCTGGTTAGGGGAAAATCAGAGATGAGAGGTTTATATCATGACCCCTGACTTCAAATGGGATCATGTCAGGCACAGCTGGGCAATTGCGGTTCCAGAGTAAAGGTCCGTCAAAGTTCTCAGTTCATGTCAATGATTTCACTTTCCACTTTTATATCATTCTCAAATATAAAAGCTTTTCAGCCAATTATTTTCTCTTATCTGAACTACTAACCTTTTTTTTCTTCCTTCTCTCATATGTGACAAAATTTTATCAGAATCAGAACATCATGCTCTTGTATTGTCACACTAAACCATGTTTTAAATTATATTGCTGCCAAGAATCTTAGAAATATCCATATTAAGGTACATTTGCTGAAAGCAAAATTAACAAATCCAGTCTCTTGTCACTTACAGAAGATTCATTGCTCTAAACCGAATGCATGCTGATTGATTATATGTCAGCTAAAAAGGAGGTTCCTTCTAACTTAGTAGAGCAATTGGGCCTGTCCAAGAATGGCCTTTATTCACCACTGCAAGAGAATGCATCTGCTGTTTGAGCTATAGAATGCATCCGAGAGAGAAAACAGAAATTAGCCCTCTGAAGGAAGGTGACAAGAAATGTACAATCCCTGACCTTAGCAATTCCAACCAATTACAGAGTTTCTGTAAAATTAGTGAATTGGCACTCAAAATGTCCCTTGGCAACATACTCATTGAACTCTGTGAGATGAAGGTGAAATCGCTGCCCCAATTTGGCGAAGTCGGCTGTTGCTGGGATGTGGACTATCTGGGGACATTTGAGGTGGCTGTTATATCCCTAGTTAGTGTAAAATCAGAGAAGGGGGTAATAGCAAGTTAGAATTATGTCTTACCCAAGGCATAAGGAGTCTATGAAAACAATAGATTCCTGCTCTTTATGTATTAGGTCCCCTTCTGATTAACCATTTGGCAGGAAATCAGAGCTATTGTGCTAATTTCAAAGACCCTCTCCCCAGGGCAAATGACGTGGTTGATGTATTATCCCAGAGATTCAGAAGGCAAAATTACCAATGCCCATGTGTATCTAATTGGGGTTGGAGTAGAAGAAAAGCATCTGAAAGGATTCCTTATTGCCCTCTGCACTTTCTTGCTCTGCTTATTCCGTAGCTCTTCCTGTCTCAGACCTATACCATTATACCTCAGACCTTTCCCTTGCATTCTTGGGCTTACTTCTGCTTGATCCGGGCTCCTCCAACTTCCCATTTATTTCCTAATCTTGTTCTCTCTCTGTCTTGTTTTTTTGACCTAAAAATTAGGTTTAGGAAAACTTCCTACACCTTCTTTGTTGGGATGTTCTCTGGACTAATGACTCCAGGCGAGACCACCGTTGATCATGAACTCACTTTGAAACAGAAGCTGGGTTGGTAAGACTGGAGCTACTCAGGAAGTTTTTCTCCTTTATTCTCTATCAGCTCAATGCCAAATATACTCCCTAATGGATCTGGCCCCTCTTCCTGAATGTGGTGGTCTGCAGCTATCCATACAGTCTTGGGGCCCTAGAGATAGCATAGAAAAAGCACAGTTTCATGACAGGTGGGTAAAGAAGTTTGCCCACAACTTGAGGTAGAGCCTATATGGGTATGACAAGGAGACTGTGGCCATGACGGGATTGAAGGAGGCATCTTCATGCTTTTCATCTTACCTAGGACAGAAATTGAGAACCTATACTAATACATCACAGCCACCTTCTTTTATTTCATTTGAGACATGAATAGTTTTTCATAGGTACACAAACACACACATAAAAATCCAAACAGCAAAAATAAATAACAATGTTCAAATATTAAGGGCTTTAAATGAAAGTGTTTTGACTCGATATAATTCTTAAGAAGTGACTTTCAAACACTACTTTTAGATACCGCAATTTCCCTTCCTTTTTGTGGAAATGAGAATAGCTCTTAGAAGAGGCACTCAGGCTTCTCAAAAATAGTGACACAACCTATTCATTTAATCCACTCTCTCTATAAGACTGAAATAATTGGCTGGAGGTTTCAAGCGGGATGTTCCTGAGGCTTCTCCAAAGTTTTTTCCAGATGCCCTACCCCTTTTCATCCTTACTACTTTTTTTTTTTTTTTTTTTGAGAACAGAATAGGGCCCTAAAAAATAAAATAATAAACTAGAGCAGATACTAAAAAGATGTTGTTATGTCTTATCCCTTTAAATGTACTATACATTTCTTGGGAGCCAGGAATGTGACTTTACCTCCCTGTATTCCCAAGTCACCTAAGTAAGTGATTCCACCATAGAGGCCTTCAATTAGTATTAACAGAATATGTCATGTTGTCATATGTAACACCTCCCTCCCCCAGCCTACCTGCTATCTGCATCTGTTCAATTAATGAGTTCTGCCAATGCTCCTTTTTAACAGTTTTTAAACTATCTATTTCTCCCCATCTCCATCATGAAAATCACACTTCAGGCTGCCATCATTTCTCACCTTAATTATTGAAACAGTCTAACACAGTCTCCTTGCTTATCACTCTTGGTTTTGAGTTTGATATCCTTTATCTTAGCCTCATATAGCCCTGTCATATTTCTGCCATTGGTAACAGAGGCTGTCCTATCTTCTTTTCTATTTTCTGGGCTTCAGGATGAGATTGGTACACTTTTGTTACAGAGTGAACATCTGTTTAATAAGTATCAGTGGAGCCACCTCTAGCTGTTTAAGTGATTACAGGTGGGTGCTTGAGAGTTTAATGTTTAGTGGTTGGTCCTGTTTTTATCTACAGGGGCCACTGGGTTCAGTCAATGCTGAAATTAATTAGAATGACTAAAAGATGAAGCCACCGTGTTAAACCTTAGCATAAACGCATTGTACTTAAACCCAGAAAATGGTAAAATTTATAGCATGAAATAACAAAAGAAGGGAGAAAAAAAATCTCTTCTTTTTCTGATATTTATTACATTTCTTCTATGGATTAACAAGGTTAGGTGCTTTATATATGTGATCTCTTATAAAATCTTCAGAAAACTATGCTAGGTAGATATTAGCCTTACCATTTCACATATGAGGAAATTGAGGAAAGAGTAATATACCCAGTCAGCTATGGAACTGTGTAGTCTGATTCCATGTCCACAGTCCTTCTGGTACTATGCAGTTGCCTGTGTGGCTGCTCCAGACTCTCTTCTGTTGTGTATGACTTGTAATTTAAACATTATCTTTATGGGCTTTTCAGAACTTTAAAGGGCATAAAAAGTCACCTACAGTGAGTCAAGAAACCTCTCTGTCAACAATAACACATTACTCAAGACAGATCAATACCCCTGGAACTGGTATCAGAAGCAAATCAAGTGGAGTGATATGGCTTCCTTTGAACAGGTCCATTATGGAACATGGAAGTGCTGTGTGGTGAGAGCTATAAAGGCTGGTCAAGTCATATACAAATAAAAATCAGATGTGACAGTAACAGAACAGGCAGCCCCGTTTCCTCTTTTGCAAAGTTGCTGTTCGTTCAGAGAGATGAGTCCTAATGTATTATACTCCAGGGTTGTCACATTATCTGAAGCAACTTTAAATTTTACATTATCAACTCGGATGCATGAAACAAAACTTTCTTTACAAGATAAATTAACATAGCTCTTTTGTTCTATATGGGACAAGACCCAAAAGACTCTTAACTTCTCATTTCAGAGTAATTTATTTTAAAATTTAGTCTGCCTGAATGATTCTCTTTCTACTTATTTTTCTTCCATTTATCTGACATAATCACTTTCTGAGTCTCTGATATGCGGATGTGAATTCCTGATGCATTCCAGCTCTTCATTCTCTGCTGTCCTTTGAGCTCCTTTTTGGGGGAAGCTTGGGAGCTTTTTGAAGTCTCTTCCAAGACCTGAGATGAGTTGGTTTTGCTATGCTGTGCCCCTATTCTGAGCCCAATGCTGTCTACCCACGTTGCTGCAAGGCATTCTTGAAGGCCATCTCCTCTCTGAGTTCGAGGCAGGAAGTGTGGGGCAAGTCCTTTCTACATTCAGATCTCCAAGCCTATTTTATCCACCCCATCAATGGGTCAACCCTGTAGGAAGGGAAAGCCAGGAAGCAGAGCCCAACATTAGCATCTGCTGTCTTCTCCATTCCCAATCCTCTCTAGAAAATGTTCTGATTTTATCTGTGTGCGGGGAGGAAACAACACTCAAATAGATTTCTCCTTGTCCTGCCTCACTGTATAAACTGCTGGCTTCAAGGCCATCAGAAATTTTCTCAAGAATCTGACTCTAATAATTAAAATCTAGGTCTTTTAAACTTGTGTTTTTGCTTCTATGGCTTTACAAAAATGTCATTCAGAGATTCAGTAATTTTCTTGTTCTAGGTGGTGTCTACATTGCAAAAATGACAGAGCAAACAGGCAGTTATTCTTGCATCTCATTTGCTGGTGTATTGGTTTTAGGATACACTCGATAGCAAGGAGCAGAAGACTTAACTCACAGTAGATGAAACCGCCAAGCCATGTATTGTTTATACCACAAAGAACAGAAGCTGGGCAGTATCAGGGTGGGTTTGGTAGCTCAACAAGTCCCCAGGACATCCAGACTCCTTTCATCCTCCTCTATGCTATTTTTATCATGTTGCCAATGTCTTCCTTCACGATCACAAGTTGGCAGTCAGATTCCTAATAATCATATCTTCAATGCCAGTCCAAATCAGAAAGCAAGGATGGTAATGGGTTTAAAAAAAGGCGGGGAGGAGGCTAGGCGTGGTGGCTCATGCATATAATCCCAGCACTTTGGGAGGCCAAGACAGGCAGATCACTTGAGGTTAAGAGGATCACTTGAGGTTAGGAGACCAGCCTGGCCAACATGGTGAAACCTCATCTCTACTAAAAATACAAAAATTAGCCAGGCGTGGGGGCAGGGTGCCTGTAATCCCAACTACTCGGGAGGCTGAGGCAGGAGAATCGCTTGAACCTGGGAGGCAGAGGTTGCAGTGAGCCAAGATTGCGCCACTGCACTCCAGCCTGGGCGACAGAGCGAGACTCCGTCTCAAACAAGAAACAAAAATCAACAACAACAAAATAGGTCGGAGGGTGGGGGAGGATGCTGGTGGTAGAGGAAGACATTCTTCTTCATCTGTTTCTCTGTTCAGAGAGGAAAATATTTTCATGATGCTTATGAAGATGATGACAATTATCTCTTTACATCCTACTGGCAATAACTAGGTTATACAGCAACCCCTGGCCTTATGAAAGGGGTCTTGAAAAATGAGTGCCTGGCTTTTAAAGACTTGGCAATGGGACACAGAAAGGAAGAAAAGTGTTGAAAATGACTGTAGAGTAGCTGAGTTGGGTAATAGCTGATAACGGCTACAAGGAAGCCCAGGAGAGAAGCAACTTCTTGATGTTGCATCAACATATTGTTGTTCTTTATGTCAGAGCTGGGCACACTCCCCACTCTCTGTGCCTGCTGCCTGTCCCCACATTCACTGATGGATTATGGCACTGAGAACCACTGTGTCTTAGTATACCTTAGAGTTTTTCTCAAGGTAGTGCCATGAGAAGTTGATCAGATTGGCTTAAAAGGTAAAACTTAGATTGCATTTTGGAAATTATTAAGAAAAATAATACAAATTTTGGCTTAGTTTCACTTTAAATATGAATCTCCAACCTACTTTTTTAAAATTATACTTTAAGTTCTGGGATACATGTGCAGAATGTGCAGGTTTGTTACATAGGTATGGACATGCCATGTTGGTTTGCTGCACCCATCAACCTGTCATCTACATTAGGTATTTCTTGAATGCTATCTCTCCCCTAGCCTCTAACCCCCTGGCAGGCCATGGTGTGTGATGTCCTCCCTGTGTCCATCTGTTCTCATTGTTCAACTCCCACTTATGAGTGAGAACATGCAGTGTTTGGTTTTCTGTTTCTGTGTTAGTTTGCTGAGAATGATGGTTTCCAGCTTCATTCACATCCCTGCAAAGGACATGAACCCATCCTTTTTTATAGGTGCATAGTATCCCATGGTGTATATGTGCCACATTTGCTTTATCCAGTCTATTACTGATGGGCATTTGGGTTGGTTCCAAGTGTTTACTATTGTGACTAGTGCTGCAATAAACCTACGTATGCATGCATCTTTATAGTAGAATGATTTATAATCCTTTGGGTATATACCCAGTAATGGGATGGCTGGGTCAAATGGTATTTCTGGTTCTAGATCCTTGAGGAATCGCCACACTGTCTTCCACAATGGTTGAACTAATTTACACTCCCACCAGTAGTGTAAAAGCTTTCCTATTTCTCCACATCCTCTCCAGCATCTGTTGTTTCCTGACTTTGTAATGATCGCCATTCTAACTGGCATGAGACGGTATCTCATTGTGGTTTTGATCTGCATTTCTCTAATGACCAGTGATGATGAGCTTTTTTTCATATGTTTTTTGACCACATAAATATCTTCTTTTGAGAAGTGTCTATTCATATCCTTCACCCACTTTTTGATGGGATTTTTTTTCTTGTAAATTTCTTTAAGTTCTTTGTAGATTCTGGATATTAGCCCTTTTTCAGATGAATAGTTTGCAAAATTTTTTTCCCATTCTGTAGGTTGCCTGTTTACTCTGATGATAGTTTATTTTGCTGTGCAGAAGCTCTTTAGTTTAATTAGATCCCATTTGTCAATTTTGGCTTTTGTTGCCTTTGCTTTTGGTGTTTTAGTCATGAAGTCTTTGCCCATGCCTATGTCCTGAATGGTATTGCCCAGGTTTTCTTCTAGGGTTTTTATGGCTTTAGGTCTTACACTTAAGTCTTTAATCCATCTTGGCTTAATTTTTGTATAAGGTGTAAGGAAGGGGTCCAGTTTCTGTGTTTTTTGCATATGGCTAGCCAGTTTGCCCAGCACCATTTATTAAACAGGGAATCCTTTCCTCATTGCTTGTTTTGTCAGGTTTGTCAAAGATCAGATGATTGTAGATATATGTCATTATTTCTGAGGCCTCTGTTCTGTTCCATTGGTCTATATATCTGTCTTGGTACCAGTACCATGCTGTTTGTAGTATAGTTTGAAGTCAGGTAGTGTGATGCCTCCAGCTTTGTTATTTTTGCTTAGGATTTTCTTGGCTATACAGCCTCATTTTTGGTTCCGTATCAAATTTAAAGTAGTTTTTTTCTAATTCTGTGAAGAAAGTTAATGGTAGCTTGATGGGGATAGCATTGAATCTCTAAATTACTTTGGGCAGTATGGCCATTTTCACGATATTGATTCTTCCTATCCATGAGCATGGAATGTTTTTCCATGTGTTTGTGTCCTCTTTTATTTCCTTGAGCAGTGGTTTGTAGTTCTTGAAGAGGTCCTTCACATCCCTTGTAAGTAAGTTGGATTCCTAGGTATTTATTCTCTTGTAGCCATTGTGAATGGGAGTTCACTCATAATCTTTCTCTCTTTTTGTGTATGATTGGTGCATAGGAATTCTTCTGATTTTTGCACATTGATTTTGTATCCTGAGACTTGGCTGAAGTTGCTTATCAGCTGAAGGAGATTTTGGGCTGAGACAATGGGGTTTTCTAGGTATACAGTCATGTCATCTGCAAACAGAGACAGTTGGATTTCCTTTCTTTTTGAATACGCTTTATTTCTTTCTCTTGCCTGATTGCCCTGGCCAGAACTTCCAATTCTATGTTGAATAGGAGTGGAGAGAGAGGGCATCCTTGTCTTGTGCTGGTTTTCAAAGGGAATGCTTCCAGCTTTTGCCCGTTCAGTGTGATACTGGCTGTGGGTTTGTCATAAATAGCTCTTATTATTTTGAGATATGTTCCATCAATACCTAGTTTATTGAGAGTTTTTAGCATGAAGGGGTGTTGAATTTTGTCAAAGGCCTTTTCTGCATCTATTGAGATAATCATGTGGTTTCTGTCATTGGTTCTGTTTATGTGATGGATTACGTTTATTGATTTCCATAAGTTAAACTAGCCTTGCAGCCCAGGTATGAAGCCAACTTGATTGTGGTGGATAAGCTATTTGATGTGCTGCTGGATTTGGTTTGCCAGTATTTTATTGAGGATTTTCACATTGATGTTCATCAGGGATATTGGCCTAAAATTTCTTTTTTTGTTGTGTCTCTGCCAGGTTTTAGTATCAGGATGATGCTGGTCTCTTAAAATGAGTTAGGGAGGAGTCCCTCTTTTTTTGTTGTTTGGAAAAATTTCAGAAGGAATAGTACCAGCTCCTCTTTGTACCTCTGGTAGAATTTGGCAGTGAATCCATCTGGTCCTGTGGTTTTTTTGGTTGGTAGGCTATTAATTACTGCCTCAATTTCAGAACTTGTTACTGGTCTATTCAGGGATCAACTTCTTCCTGGTTTGGTCTTGGGAGTGTGTATGTGTCCAGGAATTTATCCATTTCTTCTAGATGTTCTAGTTTATTTGCATAGAGATGTTTATAGTATTCTCTGATGGTGGTTTGTCTTTCTGTGGGATCAGTGATGGTATCCCTTTATCATTTTTTATTGTGTCTATTTGATTTTTCTCTATTTTCTTCTTTATTAGTCTGGCTAGCGGTCTATCTATTTTGTTAATCTTTTCAAAACACCAGCTCCTGGGTTCGTTGATATTTTTAAGGGTTTTTCATGTCTCTATCTCCTTCAGTTCTGCTCTGATCTTAGTTATTTCTTGCCTTCTGCTAGCTTTTGAATTTCTTTGCCCTTGCTTCTCTAGTTCTTTTAATTCTGATGTTAGGGTGTTGATTTTAGATCTTTTCTACTTTCTCCTGTGGGCATTTAGTGCTATAAATTTTCCTCTAAACACTGCTTTAGCTGTGTCCCAGAGATTCTGGTACACTGTGTCTTTGTTCTCATTGGTTTCAAAGAACTTATTTATTTCTGCCTTGATTTCATTATGTACCCAGTAGTCATTCAGGGGCAGGTTGTTCAGTTTCCTTGTGGTTGTGCAGTTTTGAATGAGTTTCTTAATCTTGGGTTCTAATTTGATTGCACTGTGGTCTGAGAGACTGTTATGATTTCCGTTCTTTTGCATTTGCTGAGGAGTGTTTCACTTCCAATTATGTGGTCAATTTTAGAATAAGTGCCATGAGGTGCTGAGAAGAAGGTATATTCTGTTAATTTGGGGTGGAGATGTCTATTAGGTCTGCTCAATCCAGAGCTGAGTTCAAGTCCTGAATATCCTTGTTAATTTTCTGTCTTGTTGATCTGTCTAATATTGACAGTGGGTTGTTAAAGTCTCCCACTATTATTGTGTGAGATTCTAAGTCTCTTTGTAGTTCTCTAAGAACTTGCTTTATGAATCTGGGTGCTCCTGTATTGGGTGCATATATATTTAGGATAGTTAGCTCTTCTTGTTGCTTTGATCCCTTTACCATTATGTAATGCTCTTCTTTGTCTTTTTTGATCTTTGTTGGTTTAAAGTCTGTTTTATCAGAGACTAGGATTGCAACCCCTGCTTTTTTTTGCTTTCCATTTTCTTGGTAAATTCTCCTCCATCCCTTCATTTTGAGCCTGTGTATGTCTTTGTCTGTGAGATGGGTCTCCTGAATACAGCACACCAGTGGTTCTTCACTGCTTATCCAATTTGCCAGTCTGTGTCTTTTAATTGGGGCATTTAGTTTGTTTACATTTGAGGTTAATATTGTTAGTGTGAATTTGATCCTGTCATTGTGATGCTAGCTGGTTATTTTGCTCATTAGTTGATGCAGTTTCTTCATAGTGTTGATGGTCTTTACAATTTGGTATGTTTTTGCAGTGGCTAGTATGGGTTTTTCCTTTTCATATTTAGTGCTTCCTTCAGGAGCTCTTTTAAGTCAGGTCTGGTGGTGACAAAATCTCTCAGCATTTGCTTGTCTGTAAAGGATTTTGTTTCTCCTTTGCTTATGAAGCTTAGTATGACTGGATATGAAATTCTGGGTTGAAAATTATTTTCTTTAAGAATGTTGAATATTGGCCCCTACTCTCTTCTGGCTTGTAGGGTTTCTGCAGAGAGATCCACTGTTAGTCTGATAGGCTCCCTTTTGTGGGTAACCCGACCTTTCTCTCTAGCTGCTGTTAATATTTTTTCCTTCATTTCAAACTTGGTGAATCTGATGATTATGTGTTTTGGGGTTGCTCTTCTCGAGGAGTATCTTTGTGGTGTTCCATGTACTTCCTGAATTTGAATATTGGCCTGTCTTAGTAGGTTGGGGAAGTTCTCCTGGATCATATCCTGAAGAATGTTTTCCAACTTGGTTCCATTCTCCCCATCACTTTCAGGTACACCCATCAAACGTAGATTTGGTCTTTTCACATAGTTCTATATTTCTCAGAGGATTTGTTTGTTCCTTTTCTTTTTTTTTTTTTGTTATTTATTATACTTTAAGTTTTAGGGTACATGTGCACAATGTGCAGGTTAGTTACATATGTATACATATGCCATGTTGGTGTGCTGCACCCAGTAACTCGTCATTTAACATTAGGTATATCTCCAAATGCTATCCCTCCCCACCTCCCCACACCCCACAACAGGCCCCTGTGTGTGATGTTCCCCTTCCTGTGTCCATGTGTTCTCATTGTTCAATTCCCACCTATGAGTGAGAACATACAGTGTTTGGATTTTTGTCCTTGCGATAGTTTGCTGAGAGTGATGGTTTCCATCTTCATCCGTGTCCCTACAAAGGGCATGAACTCATCATTTTTTATGGCTGCATAGTATTCCATGGTGTATATGTACCACATTTTCTTAATCCAGTCTACCATTGTTGGAGATTTGGGTTGGTTCCAAGTCTTTGCTATCGTGAATAGTGCCACAATAAACATACATGTGCATGTGTCTTTATAGCAGCTTGATTTATAATCCTTTGGGTGTATACCCAGTAATGGGATTGCTGGGTCAAATGGTATTTCTAGTTCTAGATCCCTGAGGAATCGCCACACTGACTTCCACAATGGTTGAACTAGTTTACAGTCCCACCAACAGTGTAAAAGTGTTCCTATTTCTCCACATCCTCTCCAGCACCTGTTGTTTCCTGACTTTTTAATGATTGCCATTCTAACTGGTGTGAGATGGTATCTCATTGTAGTTTTGATTTGCATTTCTTTGATGGCCATTGATGATGAGCATTTTTTCATGTGTCTTTTGGCTGCATAAATGTCTTCTTTTGAGAAGTGTCTGTTCATGTCCTTTGCCCACTTGTTGATGGGGTTGTTTGTTTTTTTCTTGTAAATTTGTTGGAGTTCATTGTAGATTCTGGATATTAGCCCTTTGTCAGATGAGTAGATTGCAAAACTTTTCTCCCATTCTGTAGGTTGCCTGTTCACTCTGATGGTAGTTTCTTTTGCTGTGCAGAAGCTCTTTAGTTTGATTAGATCCCATTTGTCAATTTTGGCTTTTGTTGCCATTGCTTTTGGTGTTTTAGACATGAAGTCCTTGCCCATGCCTATGTCCTGAATGGTATTGCCTAGATTTTCTTCTAGGGTTTTTATGGTTTTAGGTCTAACGTTTAAGTCTTTAATCCATCTTGAATTAATTTTTATATAAGGTGTAAGGAAGGGATCCAGTTTCAGCTTTCTACATATGGCTAGCCAGTTTTCCCAGCACCATTTATTAAATAGGGAATCCTTTCCCCATTTCTTGTTTTTGTCAGGTTTGTCAAAGATCAGATAGTTGTAGATATGCGGCATTATTTCTGAGGGCTCTGTTCTGTTCCATTGGTCTATAACTCAGTTTTGGTAGCAGTACCATGGTGTTTTTGTTACTGTTGCCTTGTAGTATTGTTTGAAGTCAGGTAGCGTGATGCCTCCAGCTTTGTTCTTTTGGCTTAGGATTGACTTGGCATTGTGGGCTCTTTTTTGGTTCCATATGAACTTTAAAGTAGTTTTTTCCAATTCTGTGAAGAAAGTCATTGGTAGCTTGATGGGGATGGCATTGAATCTATAAATTACCTTGGGCTGTATGGCCATTTTCATGATATTGATTCTTCCTACCCATGAGCATGGAATATTCTTCCATTTGTTTGTATCCTCTTTTATTTCCTTGAGCAGTGGTTTGTATTTCTCCTTGAAGAGGTCCTTCACATCCCTTGTAAGTTGGATTCCTAGGTATTTTATTTTCTTCGAAGCAATTGTGAATGGGAGTTCACTCATGATTTGGTCTCTGTTTGTCTGTTATTGGTGTATAAGAATGCTTGTGATTTTTGCACATTGATTTTGTATCCTGTGACTTTCCTGAAGTTGCCTGTCAGCTTAAGGAGATTTTGGGCTGAGATGATGGGATTTTCTAAATATATAATCATGTCATCTGCAAACAGGGAAAACTTGACTTCCTTTTTTACTAATTGAATACCCTTTATTTCCTTCTCCTGCCTGATTGCCCTGGCCAGAACTTCCAACACTATGTTGAATAGGAGTGGTGAGAGAGGGCATCCCTGGCTTGTGCCAGTTTGCAAAAGGAATGCTTCCAGTTTTTGCCCATTCAGTATGATATTGGCTGTGGGTTTGTCATAGATAGCTCTTATTATTTTGAGATACGTACTATCAATACCTACTTTATTGAGAGTTTTTAGCATGAAGTGTTGTTGAATTTTGTCAAGGCCTTTTCTGCATCTACTGAGATAATCATGTGGCTTTTGTTGTTGGTTCTGTTTATATGCTGGATTATGTTTATTGATTTGCGTATGTTGAACCAGCCTTGCATCCCAGGGATGAAGCCCACTTGATCAAGGTGGATAAGCTTTTTGATGTGCTGCTGGATTCAGTTTGCCAGTATTTTATTGGGGATTTTTGCATCGATATTCATCAGGGATAGTGATGGAAGATCAAATGAATGAAATGAAGTGAGAATAGAAGTTTAGAGAAAAAAGAATAAAAAGAAATGAACAAAGCCTCCAAGAAATATGGGACTATGTGAAAAGACCAAATCTACGTCTGATTGATGTACCTGAAAGTGACGGGGAGAACGGAACCATGTTGGAAAACACTCTGCAGGATATTATCCAGGAGAACTTCCCCAATCTAGCAAGGCAGGCCAACATTCAAATTCAGGAAATACAGAGAAGGCCACAAAGATACTCCTCGAGAAGAGCAACTCTAAGACACATAATTGTCAGATTCACCAAAGTTGAAATGAAGGAAAAAATGTTAAGGGCAGCCAGAGAGAAAGGTCGGGTTACCCACAAAGGGAAGACCATCAGACTAACAGCTGATCTCTCGGCAGAAACCCTACAAGCCAGAAGAGAGTGGGGGCCAATATTCAACATTCCTAAAGAAAAGAATGTTCAACTCAGAATTTCATATCCAGCCAAACTAAGCTTCATAAGTGAAGGAGAAATAAAATCCTTTACAGACAAGCAAATGCTGAGAGATTTTGTCACCACCAGGCCTGCCCTAAAAGAGTTCCTGAAGGAAGCACTAAACATGGAAAGGTACAACCGGTACTAGCCACTGCAAAAACACGCCAAATTGTAAAGACCATCAAGGCTAGGAAGAAACTGCATCAACTAACGAGCAAAATAACCAGCTAACATCATAATGACAGGATCAAATTCACACATAACAATATTAACCTTAAATGTAAATGGGCTAAATGCTCCAATTAAAAGACACAGACTGGCAAATTGGATAAAGACTCAAGACCCATCAGTGTACTGTATTCAGGAGACCCATCTTATGTGCAGAGACACACACAGGCTCAAAATAAAGGGATGGAGGAAGATCTACCAAGCAAATGGAAAGCAAAAAAAGGCAGGGTTTCAATCCTAGTCTCTGATAAAACAGACTTTAAACCAACAAAGATCAAAAGAGACAAAGAAGGCCATTACATAATGGTAAAGGGATCAATTCAACAAGAAGAGCTAACTATCCTAAATATATATGTACCCAATACAGGAGCACCCAGATTCATAAAGCAAGTCCTTAGAGACCTAGAAAGAGACTTAGATTCCCACACAATAATAGTTGGGGACTTTAACACCCCACTGTTAACATTAGACGGATCAAGGAGACAGAAAGTTAACAAGGATATCCAGGATTTGAACTCAGCTCTGCACCAAGCAGACCTAATAGACATCTACAGAACTCTCCACCCCAAATCAACAGAATATACATTCTTTTCAGCACCACACCACACCTATTCCAAAATTCACCACATACTTGGAAGTAAAGCTCTCCTCAGCAAATGTAAAAGAACAGAAATTATAACAAACTATCTCTCAGACCACAGTGCAATCAAAGTAGAACTCAGGATTAAGAAACTCACTCAAAACCGCTCAACTACATGGAAACTGAACAACCCGCTCCTGAATGACTACTGGGTACATAACGAAATGAAGGCAGAAATAAAGATGTTCTTTGAAACCAACGAGAACAAAGACACAACATACCAGAATCTCTGGGACACACTCAAAGCAGTGTGTAGAGGGAAATTTATAGCACTAAATGCCCACAAGAGAAAGCAGGAAAGGTCTAAAATTGACACCCTAACATCACAATTAAAAGGACTAGAGAAGCAAGAGCAAACAAATTCAAAAGCTAGCAGAAGGCAAGAAATAACTAAGATCAGAGCAGAACTGAAGGAAATAGAGACACAAAAAACCCTTCAAAAAATCAATGAATCCAGGAGCTGGTTTTTTGAAAAGATCAACAAAATTGATAGACCGCTAGCAAGACTAATAAAGAAGAAAAGAGAGAAGAATCAAATAGACGCAATAAAAAATGATAAAGGGGATATCACCACCGATCCCACAGAAATACAAACTACCATCACAGAATACTATAAACACCTCTATGCAAATAAACTAGAAAATCTAGAAGAAATGGATAAATTCCTCAACACATACATCCTCCCAAGACTAAACCAGGAAGAAGTTGAATCTCTGAATAGACCAATAACAGGCTCTGAAATTGAGGCAATAATTAATAGCTTACCAACCAAAGAAAGTCCAGGACCAGATGGATTCACAGCCGAATTCTACCAGAGGTACAAAGAGGAGCTGGTACCATTCCTTCTGAAACTATTCCAATCAATAGAAAAAGAGGGAATCCTCCCTAACTCATTTTATGAGGCCAGCATCATCCTGATACCAAAGCCTGGCAGAGACACAACAAAAACAGAGAATGTACGTTCCCTTTCATACATTTTTCTCTAATCTTGTCTTCACGCTTTATTTCATTAAGTTAATCTTCAGTCTCTGATATCCTTTCTTCCACTTGATCAATTCGGCTATTGATACTTCTGTATGCTTCAGGAAGTTTTCGTGCTATGTTTTTCAGTTCCATCAGGTCATTTATATTCTTCCCTAAACCGGTTATTCTAGTTAGCAATTCCTCTAACCTTTTTTTTCAAGGTTCTTAGCTTCCTTGCATTGGGTTAGAACATGCTCATTTAGCTTGGAGGAGTTTGTTATTACCCATCTTCTGAAGTCTTCTTCTGTCAATTTGTCAAACTCATTTTCCGTCCAGTTTTGTTTCCTTGCTGACAAGGAGTTGTGATCCTTTGGAGGAGAAGAGGTGTTCTGGTTTTTGGAATTTTCAACCTTTTTGTGGTGGATTTTCCTCATCTTCCTGGATTTATCTACCTTTGGTCTTTGATGTTGGTGACCTTCAGATGGGGTTTCTGAGTGGATGTCCTTTTTGTTAATGTTGATACTATTCCTTTCTGTTGGTTAGTTTTCCTTCTAACAGGCCCCTCTGCTGCAGGTCTGCTGGAGTTTGCTGGAGGTCCACTCCCGACCCTGTTTGCCTGGGTATCACTAGCGGAGGCTGCAGAACAGCAAAGATTGCTGCCTGTTCCTTCTTCTGGTAGCTTCTTCCCAGAGGGGCACCTGCCAGATGCCAGCCAGAGCTCTCCTGTATGAAGTGTCTGTCGACCCCTGCTGGAAGGTGTCTCCCAGTCAGGAGGCACAGAGGTCAGGGACCTACTTTAGGAGGCATTCTGTCCCATAGCAGAGCTCAAGCACTGTGCTAGGAGATCTGCTACTCTCTTCAGAGTCACCAGGCAGGAAAGTTTAAGTCTGCTGAAGCTGCGCCCACAGCTGCCCCTTCCCCCAGGTGCTCTGTCCCAGGGAGATGGAAGTTTTATCTATAAGCCCCTTACTGGGGCTGCCGCTTTTCTTTCAGAGACGTCCTGCCCAGAGAGGAGGAATCTAGAGAGCTCCAATCTACTTTTTAATAACTAAATACCTTTGGAAAATTAGGTCTCTCAACTTTGATTCCTTCCTAAATAAAATAAATCTTAGTGAAGAGTAAATACTAACATGCATTTAGAGCAGCTGGAACATTGTAGGTGCTCAATCAATGTGAGGATACACATCAAATGACGGGAGCGGTTGGTGTGCTCCCAGAATTGAGAGACAAGGACCCCTCAAAGATGGTGGAAAAAGGCAAAACTCACAGAAGGGTTGTTCATTTTGTATGCACTTTGGAGAGTGGGTAAGGTTAATAGAGAAAGTCAAGATGGCATTCTGGATATAAGAATAACTACAGAAACATGGTAGAGACAATTTGAAAGTAAAAGTAGAAGAGTGTAGATTTCAGACTGTTAGTAGAGGTTGATAAAACTTAAAAACTAAGTAGTTGACTGTAAAGGGTTCTGAGTGACAGGCTAAGAAATCTGAACTTAATTCTGTGGGAAAAATAAAGGCATTGAAGATTTTTGAGCAAGAAATTGGTGTGATACCCTCTCAATTGACTTGAGAGAAATGTTTCTTTCCTTTATCATAATATTTAAAGACAGAATTTTAGTTGATCGTTTAAAAATTGCCAGAAAAAAGGTCAATGGTTAAAAAAATAGATGTTGACCTACTTGTTCTCCAAAGTAATGTTTTACCTTTGGTCAAGGTATTGATAATGTTGGTTTATAAAGTTTAGATAGTGAAATGACACACAGACAGAACTATTTATTACAAATGTACACGGTGAAACAGGGCTTCATTCTATAAAGAGTTGGCTTTATTTGTTTGCTATAATCGTTTGGACATAGCATTTGATATTGAAATTGACCTATAGTTGGGGGACTCTGGAAACAGATTTACTGATTATGATCTCAGTTCTGTGACTCTTTGTTGTGTGATTTTAGGTCGTTACTTAACCATTTGTGCCTCGGTTTCTTAATGTACAAGCTGGAGATAAGAATAGCACCCAGCTTTACAGATAAAGCACTTCAGAATTGACAGAGTGTGGCAGATAATAGGTGCTCAATAAATGTTAACTTATTATTGGTAATTGTTCAACTCAATTTGTAAATATTTTTTACTCCCAAAATGTTTCATTTAGTGACAATCTCATTTTCAGTGAGCCATGATGTCATCTGCCTGGAGAAGAAGAAACTTGAATTTATGGAGTATTGTCTATGTACTCAGTAGTATTCTCACAACAACTATTTGTTAAAAACTTATGGTACGTGGAGAACTGTGCCAGGTATTTTATACATGTATTTATTATTTCTACCTTGCTGATGAGGAAACTGAGGCACAAAAAGGGTATTAAGAAGTTTACTTAAAGTCACATTCACCTAGCTAGTAAAGAGTGGAAATAGAATTCCAACTGAGGTACATACAATATGAAAACTCAAATTATTTCCACCTAGGACATCATGGAAAACACTGGGTGCTGCGGGTTAGCAGGTCTGGGTTGTATTTTGAGTAGCAATCCTTAACAACTATGTAATTTATAAAAATGAATGTAGTATTATTGCCCTGCCTGTTCCAGAGTCGATGTGAAAATTAAATAAGGTAATCAGTGTGAAAGTACTGTGAAAGCATGGTAGTGCAAGACAATTGAATGACATTTAAGTAAATAAAAGATATCATCTTTATCATTGTCAATAAATATATGTAGTAGATTGGAAAATTTCAGAGAAAATTGGGAACCTCGTGTGAACTTGTACCAGGCATTTCTAGCCTTGGCTTCACAGTATTCCTTGGAAAGTTAAAAATGGAAGAATCAATGTATAGCATAGATCAGGACATGAAAGGAATTGGGTGGAAAGTAGGACAGGCAGGACTTTTGAAAGAAACACACAACATTATCTTAGAATACCATTTACCCATAATTTGGATGAAATGGGTTTTCTCTACACAGTTGACACTTGATTATCCACATGAATTAAAACCTCAAGTGAAAAAAATTAATTTTATTTTGTAACTCAAAAGATGGAATATGTCTTAAATGGCAACACATGCCAAGAATTAATTTGAGCTGCTTGGAATATTTTGAAAAATTAGAAATGTATAAACACAGAACATTTTTATATATTCACTTTAAAGACCATATGTTGCCTGGATAAGAATATATTAATCTCTTCATTGTTTTTCAGTGATTTGCTCGTAATGGGACTTTAATCATTAACAATTTATGATCATTTTCTAGATTCATATCACCTCAAGTTTCTCATTATAATTTTAATATATTTTAGAAGAGAATAAGTCAAATAGTACATATATATTTAGCATCTATTTTAAAATATTTCAGAGTTCAAAGGCACCTTAAGCTCTTATAACATGTTGAAACCATAGAGTCCTGTTTATGTTGGAGTTGTGTGCTCTGATCTCTAGCAATCTATGAACTCTGGAACAGAGAGGGTTGGTAGGTAGCAGAATGGCCCCTTCACATACATGGACATATTGCTGGTCATACATTCACTATGCTGACATTAATAGAGGATACATATAGAAAGATGTATTTTTTCCAGTTTGTAGCTCCAGGTTTTTTTTTGGAGTCTCACAAATGAGCCGGATGGCAAATGAGGTCTTCAGTCAGGTGTAGAATTTAGAAGAGAAAGAGAATGGGATGACATTTTGGAGATAGATTATCCACTTTTCTTTGAAGAAGCTTATGGCCAAGAAAACATTAACAAAGAAACAATTTATATCATTCATGATTTAAAAAATAGGAACAATTTTAGTTGTATTTTCTTCATCTATGTTAGGCTTTTCGAAATAGAAAAAGTGCTTAATCAAACCTTTAAATATACTACCAGAAAGATGACCAGTCCACAGATACTTTAAATTCTGTTAGTACAAAGATTGCGATAATAGAATCACCAGCCTCTCTGGCTTCAGGGCTAAGGGGCCCTTGACATGGAATACCTCAGACTGACCAAGAACCATTCATTATAATGTCTCACGGGACAACCAAATAAACGATGTGGGCTTGTTTTAGTTAAGGTTCTGTAGAGGGACAGAACTAATAGGATAGATGTGTATATAAAGGGATTTTATTAAGGAGTATTGACTCACACAATCATATAGTCCCACAGTAGGCTGTCTGCAAGCTGAGGAGCAAGGAAGCCAGTCCGAGTCCCAAAGCTGAAGAACTTGGAGTCCGACGTTTGAGGGAAGAAAGCATCCAGCACAGGAGAATGATGTAGGCAAGAAGACTAAACCAGTCTCATCTTTTCATGTTCTTCTGCCTGCTTTTATTCTGGCTTGCTGGCAGCTGATTAGATGGTGCCCACCCAGATTGAGGGTGGGTCTGCCTTTCCCACTCCACTGACTCAAATGTTAACCTCCTTTGGCAACACCCTCACAGACACACCCAGGAACTATGCTTTGCATCCTTCAATCCAATCAAGTTGGAGTGCAGTGGGGTGATCTCAGCTCACTGCAAGCTCCGCCTCTTGGGTTCACGCCATTCTCCTCCTTCAGCCTCCCGAGTAGCTGGCACTACAGGCACCTGCCACCACACCCAACTAATTTTTTGTATTTATTTTTTTTTTTTTTTAGCAGACACGGGGTTTCACTGTGTTAGCCAGGATGGTCTCAATCTCCTGACCTCGTGATCCACCCACCTCAGCCTCCCAAAGGGCTGGGATTACAGGCGTGAGCCACAGTGCCCCGCCTAATCAGCTTAGATTTTTGCAATTATTCCTTACATGTTTGCAATAATTTATTAGATGCTTGCAATAATGCCCTTCAGTGTCTTTGAGCCTGTATTTCAATCTCCTTTCAGTTCTTCAATTTTTATCTCTGCAAAGAGAAAGAATGGTAAATAAGAACAATTCTTTTACACAGTTGTTAGAAAGATATGCTTTTTTTCTGAGATCTTATGAATTAGGGGAAGGGAAACAAGATGTCAACTCAATGAATAATTATGAGGAAACAAAGTAGTCATATTATTACAACTTTGCATATGTGTAACACATTTAGAAGATCCCTCAAGGGTTACAGAAGAAAGGAATAAGGCACTATGGTTGTGCTCAGAGAATCTAAGGTATCATGAGCATAGGAATCAATTTGAGAACCATATAAAACATATTTAAATGCAAAAAAATATGCTCATGTAGCAACTGTGGATTCCATATGAGAGCCAAAACTCTATTAAGGGTTTTACATACATTATTTTATTTTATCCTAATACCAATGCTATGAGGTAGATATTAGAAGAAAATTGATGACCAGGGAGATTAAATAATTTGTTCAAGGACACATAAATAGTAAATGGAGAGTCAGGATTCAAACCCAATTGTCTGACATTAAAGATCCTGTTATGAACAGTGCTCTAGGAGGATGGAGAATTTGCAGAGATGTTGCCTTCTTCCTTGTGATTATTGCCCTTCTCTTTTCTTGCATTTTGTCTATTGGTCTGTAAGCTTGATGAGGTTGGTGATTGCATCTGTCATATTTTCAACTGCATCCCAGCACTGAGAACAGTGCTTGCTACATAGTAGGCCCTTGATTGTATTTGTTGAATGAATGAATGAAACGATGAATGAATATCTTGGTTTCCTTGATGACTTTGAATTGAAAGAGTGTTTCAGAAGAGCTGGACTCTGAATATGAAAAATACTTAAGAATTCTTTAACCAGTTAGTTTCATGTATATTTTCCTTCTACATATGCACAAAAGTGATACATGATTGAAAACCTAAGTCTAAATAAATTTTAAAACAGCTCTTTAAATGGGTGTAAAAATTTCCTGAGTCATAAGGAACTTTATGTGTGATTTAATTAGCAGTGTTTTTCAATTTCTTAGTGGTACAAACAACAACTGTATCTCTTCTGATTGATTGATTTGTAGAGTCTGTGACTTACCCACACAGTAGCCAGGATAATTCTTTTTTAAGTTTAAATCGACTGTGTTCTGTATCCTATTCATCCCTTCCGGGTAGCTTCTCATTTCACTTAGAGACATTGCAAAGTTTTTCACATGACTCACATGGCCCCATTGACCTTCTCCCTCTCTGATCTCAGCCCCCTTCTGACCCCAGACCAGCGTCCTGCCAGTGTCACTGGCCCTTTGCTTTTCTCCTCAACATGCCACACAGCTTTTGCTTCACCCCTTTGCACTTGCTCTTCCCTTGACCTGCAATTGCTGTTTTCATAGATGTTCCTAAGATTCTTATTGTGATCTCTGCTCAACTGTCATTTTTTCAGAGTCTTTCCTGATCACTCTGTACTCCTCCATCTCTGTCACTCTCTGCCTTCTCATATGCTGTGTTATTCTCTATAGGGCCCTTTATTCCATGACCTCCTATGGTGTATTTATTCGTGTATTGTCTGCCTCTCTCTTGCCTCTCCCCTTCTCCTCCCACTAGAATGTGGGCTCCATCACAGCAGAGACTGGTTTTGCTCTCTGTTGTGTCACCAGTGTCTAGAACAATGCCAAACACAGAGGGTTATAAATAACCACTTGTTGAATGAATTGATGAATGGGTAAATAGATGGATGGATAGGCCTCTCTAAGACCAGCACCGGTCTTGTGGGAAAACGTGATACAAAGATAGAATACTATGGGCCACTTTATTGTTGGAGAGGTATATAATTTAAAAGGCCAGAGGGTGAATATACATACTTTGTACCTGAGCGAGAGCTTTCAGGGTCAAAATTCAAGAATCCAAACTTGTTATCTGGTTCAATGGGAAATGACAATAGAAAATGAGGGAAAAAAACTACCTAAGCTGCATGGTCAGCTGGGTAGTCAGACAGCTGAATAAATAAGGTTTGAGAATTTTTCAGCATCAGAATGGACAAAGCTTGTTTCCCTTGAGCACTGGCTGAATTGGGGCACAGTGACCTATGTTACTATATTACTAATTACAGTAAACAACTCCCGTGGTTTTTATTCCAAGCCTATTCTACCCTTATTTGGTCTCCAATTTTCCTCCTAGTCTTGGAAATAGTCACAGAGTTCTATTATTTCCAGACACTCTTGACAGGAGCTGTGTGTCAGGGACTTTTGCTAACATTTCTCAGCTTCAGACCACCCTTACATACCTAACATTTGAAGGCAGGGCTAAGCATTCTGTGAACCCCATTCCAGCTTTGTGAGAGGACTCCTCCTTAGGCTCTGCCATTAGGGAATTCCAGAGGGAGGATGCATGAAAGAGGGAGAGAGGACTTGCTGCTTCGTGTCTTTTCCTGGTCACCTTAGCAACACCACAGCAGTAGTTGTTCACCCTGGCAGTGGCAGTAAATTCTAGGAGCAGTGGTTCTCCATTTTGCCTTGAGAGCTTGCTTCGTGGTATCCTCTCAGGGATGGTGGCACTGGCATGGGGCTGCAGGGGGCTGCTGCTCTGAGGTCTGAGGGCCAGCTCCTCAGAAGGCTCCCACAGGCCCCTGAAGAATCACCCCGGCACCAATTAGGCAGCGAATGCCTTCCAGGAGGTCTCCACCCCAATTCCTTGGGACCCCTTCTGTAAGCATCTAAGTTTTAATAATTGCAGTCCCTTCTCTTTGCCCTTCCAACTCGAGGGGGTAGTTACATCTTCCTGCAGTTACAACCTCTATACTACCTCAGCGTCTCATGTTTGCACTTTCAGTTCTCCAATACCTGATTAACTATTCTTTGAATTAAATTCTCTCTGTAAAAATAACTGGCATGGTCACTGTCTTCTGACTGGATACTGACCAAGGCCAGCCGAGGAAAGGAGAACTGGCTGATTGATAGAGAAGTATGTGTTTCTTTTGTTATCATTTCAAGTTGGCATCAGAATTTTCCTTCCAAATGAGGTCCCACCCTCTGATACGACTCAAATACCATGGATAGTGTGTCGAGAGGGAAAGAGACAAAATTAAAAATAAATGGATACAGAATGCCTGTTATAAAACAAATGATATTGGACAATGAAAACCATAAGATAGAACTGTCTGAATTATAGAAGTTAACATTATTTTAAAATAAGCAAATGTGAAGGGAATTCTTAAAGGAGATGATTCAAAATAAATTATTGAAAGAGATAAAAAGGATTCAGATGTAAAATGCCTTCTATTTCAATTGTACATGAGAGTAGAAAAGGGTAAGCAGAAGTCAAATTATATTGCACATTTTGTCTGATGGGCACCATCAATAGATTCAGTTGTGTATTTCATGTTGATAGACACATTTAAGCTTTCTCCTCTAAAATAAAGGCTCTAAAAATTATAAAGGTAGCTCATCTTCATATCCAGTATTCAAGGAGCCGGCAATCAAATTGCTCTTTCCTTAAACACAGAAACAGAATTATTTTTCATTACTTTAAGTCACTAGTGATATATATTTATTTTAGAATAATCAGGAGATTCAGATAAGTCAAAAATACTACCATCCAGATAACATTAACATTAATATCTTGGTTTATATTCTCTAGACATTTTTATGTGCTTATATATTTATGTATATGCCTATTTAGGTAATATAAACAGGCATAGCCTGTTTCTTTCCTGCAAGTATATCATGAATATGTTCACCTCATCTGTAAGTATCACCCACTAGCTCTGCCAACTTAGTGCTTGTTTTCTCTCAAGTTCATCCCCCACACTTTCCTGCCCTGTTGTGAATCACAGGGAACTATGTTTTCCAGACTCGCTTGCCTCTAATTTCCAGGCAGGTTCACCAATGGGAGAAGCTGGTGGAAGATTGGAAAGGATAAGGCAGCATATTTCCTCGCCTTCCTCTTTGCTTTGAGTGTTACTTTTGACAACAACTGAGCCTCTTAGTTGACTCCAGAGAGAAGGACACCTCTTTTCTCTTTGGCCCCAGGTTCCAGTGAGACATTACTTAGGTACCTAATGGGACCCCAGCTCCCACAGAAGGGCCTGCACTTCTAGGTTCAGTAACACTACTCCTTCCTGTCATCAGTCCCAGCTCAGGGGTATTGGCAGCTTCCCACTGTTCTAATCTCTGCATTGTCTCCTCATCCCCTGTTTGGCTTCTTGGTTCTTCTGTCACTTGCATAACCAATTCCCTGACAGGACTGTGACTGACAATGACCCTGCTGCTGAAATGGTTTCCATTTTATGGATATGCCCTAATACATTCAAAATTGCTTCCTTATTCAATATTTGGAATGTTTCCATTTCATGCCATTATAAACAAAGCTACAGTAAACGTCTTTGTCCATTAGTCTAATTGCACGTTATTGATAGTTTCCTAAAGATGAAATTGCTCTGTCACAGGGCACATCTTTGACTTTTTTTAAGTCAAAATTTTCCCACTTTATCTCAGTATAGCTTAAAATATTTTAAATACTTACCAAAAGTGAGAAATAGTAATGAGGATGATGACAATGATAAAATGATAATAACTGACATTTTACGAGTCCTTACTATGTGCCAGCCTTTCTTCTAATGTAACTATGTGATCAACATGTGTTAGTCCATATTAGGATAGCATGTTTTCTCGGTCCAGATTTATATAAGAAAAAATATTTTCTCTAATTAATCATGAATGGGGTTTGTAGGAGACACTTAAATGAAAACAGAATTCATTGACATTTTAATTGAAATGATTTTAATTTATAGGCTAATTGGAGAACAACCAAAATCTTTATGATGGTGTTTTAGTCAGGTTAGGGTACTATAACAATGTATCACAGACTACTAGGTGGCTTAAACAACAGACATTTATTTTCTCACAGTTTTGGAGCTGGAAATCCATGATAAGGTACAGCTACAATTCAGTTTTTGCCAGCAAATTCAGTTTGTGGTGAGGGCTGTCTTATTGGCTTGTAATTGGCCACTTTCTCACCGTGTTCTCACATGGCCATTCTTCCTTGTGTGTACATGGAAAAGAGTAAGTGAGCTCTCTGGTGTCTCGTTTTATGAGGACACTAATTCTATTGGAACTTCATTTAACCTTAATTACTCCCACCCAGAGTAATTTTGAAAGCTCTAACCCCCAATATGGCTCTATTATCCCCCAAATAGAGCCATATTGGGGGTTAGAGCTTGCTACATAGAAATTTTGGGAGGATACAAACATTCAGGCCATAACACATAGAGACTTTCAATCCAATGCATCTTGTTTCTCCAATGTTATTCATGTTTTCTTGTTGGGTATTTCAGGAAGATCTTCTAGTATTTTTTGCATTATATTTCTTATAAATAAATTCACTAATATAGAATATATTTAAGGGTGATCAATTGAATTTTGCTTAGTTATTGCTAATATATTGATGTATACTGCTTTTTAATTAAACAACTTACTGAATTCATTTATCCACTCTAATAGTTATTTAGTTGGTTATTTGTATGTTTTATGGTATAAAATGACAGCATATGAAAATAATAGTAACTTTGCCTCCTCTTTTATAATATTTATACCTCTTAATTTTTTAATTTGCTTTCTTGTTTTGCTTTTTGGTAGGAGCAAAGATCTTATTGCATTGGCCAAAATATCCAGAGCATTATTGAATAAGTCAATCATAAAGAACTATATTTTATCTATAGTAGAAGAGTCTCTAGGATTTAATTCAAATATAGTTATTTTATCCTTTTATTGCTTCAAGTGTCATTTTAGTATCTTTTTTACAGTTTTTATTCTTTGATTCAGTTGTATGATGAATTAAAGTAACCAATCCTTAAATACTGAATTATACTTTTACTTATGAAGTGAATCTTACATAATCATTGTGCCTGTTTTCCCATTTGTTCTGAGATCCGTTTCGTACTCTTCCTCTACTCTACTGGTTATCTGTGGAGGCAACCTTGCAAACTACATTTCTTAGGCTCCCTCACAAACAGGTTTTTGATTAAGTTTGGCTAGTGCATTTCTCATCATTTTGCCAAGTTCTCAGTGTCTTTTTAATCTAAAGATGGAAGCTTCAGAGAGCTTTTATCTAAAGATGGAAACTACATCTTAGGACATTTTCTTCTACTATTTTTTGACTATTGCTTTATTACTTTCTTTTTTATATGTTGCTTCTCCAATTACTATTACAGGTGAATGAGACCTCCTGACCGTTTTATCAGTGTTTTTTTTCCCCAATTTTTCAAATGTGTTAAAATATATATAACATAAAATTTACCATTTAAACAGTTTTGGATGTACAGTTCAGTGGTATTAAATACATTCATAATATTCTGCAACCATAACCACCATCCATTTCCATAAACTTTTCCTTATATAAAACAGAAACGTTATTACCATTAAAAAAAACTCATTTCCCCCTTTTCTCCAGCCCCCAGCAACTACCATTTTACTTTCTGTATCTATGATTTTAACTACTTTAAGTACCTCATATAAGTGGAATCATACAGTATTTATCTTTTAGTGACTGGCTTATTTTACTTAGCATAATGCCTTCAAGCTTCATCCATGTTATAGTATTTGTCAGAATTTCCTTTCTATTTAAGGCTGAATAATATTATATTTTATATATTACTATAGGTTGGTAATATATAAATATAAACAGCAACTTGCTTGAGTTGCTTCGATGTTTTGGCTATAACAATCCTGTTATAAATAAGGGTGTATACATATCTCTTAGAGACCTTTCCTTCAATTCTTTTGGATTTATACCTAGGAGATAAATTGCTGTATCATATGATAATTATATGGTTAATTGAGGAATGGCCATATTGTTTTCTACAGCAGCTGTACCATTTTACATTCTCATCAACAGTGCTCAAGGGTCCAATTTCTCCAGATTCTTTCCTATTTTGCTATTTTCTATTTTTTTTATAGTAGCCATCCTAATTGGTATGAATTAGTATCTCATTGTAGTTTTGATTTACATTTTCTAATGATTAGTTATATTGAACATCTTTTCATATGCTTATTGGTCATTTGTATATCTTTTTTGAAGCAATGCCTATTTGAGCTATTTGCCCATTTTTAATCCGATTTTTTGTTTCTTTGTTCTTGTGTTTTAAGAGTTTTGTATATATCCTTAATTCCTGGATATAAATTCCTTATCAGTTATATAATTTGTGAATATTTTCTTCCTTTCTGTGGATTGCCTTTTCTTTTTGGAGACAGAGTCTCACTCTGTTGTCTAGGCTAAAGTGCAGTGGCACAGTCTTGGCTCACTGCAACCTCCACCTCTCTGGCTCAAGGGATTCTTTTGCCTCAGCCTCCCAAGTAGCTGGGATTAGAGGTGCCCGCCACCATGCCCGGCTAATTTTTGTATTTTTAGTAGAGATGGGGTTTTGCCATGTTGGCAGGCTGGTCTCGAACTTCTGACCTCAGGTGATCCACCCGCCTCAGCCTCCCAAAGTGCTGGGATTACAGGCGTGAGTCACCACGCTTGGCCTGATACTGTCCTCTGATGCACAAAATTTTTAAAATTTTTATGAAGTCCAGTTTGTCTATGTTCTTTTGTTGCCTATGCCTTCGGTGTCATATCCAAGAAATCATTGTCTAAGCCAATGTCGTGAAAATTTTGCCATATGTTTTTCTAAAAATTGTATTGTTTTAAGTCTTACATTTGGGTTTTTGATCTATGTTGAATCAATTTTTGTATATGTTGTTAGTAATGGTCCACTTTCATTTTTTTTGCAGGTGGATATACACTGTTCCAAGCAGCATGTGTTGAAAAGATTTGTCTTTTCCCCATTAAATGGTCTTGGTACCTTTCTCAAAAATTGACCATATATGAGTGGATCATATATTTATTTCCGGGCTCTATCTTCTATTCCATTGGTCTATATATATGTCTGTTTGTTTGCCAGTACCACACTGTTTTAATTATTGTAGATTTGTAGTAAGTTTTGAAATCAGCTGTTTTTTTTTTTTTTTCAAGATTGTTTTGGTTATTTGAGATTACTTGAGATGTCTGGTAAGTTTTAGGATGGAGTTTTGTAATACTGTGAAAAATGTCATTGAGATTTTAACAGGGATTGCATTGAATCTCTAGGTCACTTTGCCTAGTATTGGCTGCTAGTATTTCAATGAGGGTTTTTGCAACAACATCTGGAACAGATATTGAATGTAGTTTTCTTTTCTGTCTAGTAGTGTCTTTGTCTGGCTATAGCATCGGGGTAATGCTAATCTCACAGAATAATTTAGGAAGTGTTCTCTCCTTACTTTTCAGAAAAGTTTGAGAAGGATGGTATTAGTTCTTCTTTAAATGTTTGGTCACATTCACCAAATCTTCTTAGTAGTTATAAGTCTATTTAGATTTTCCATTTCTTCATGATTTATCTTGGTATGGTTTATGTTTCTAGGAATTTGTCTATTTCATTAGGTTATACAATTTGTTGGTATAGAATTTTTCATAGTACTACATTACAATCCTTTTTATTTCTGTAAAATCAATAGTAATGTCCCATTTCCATTTCTCATTTTAGAAATTTGAGTCTTTTCTTAGTCCATTCAGCTAATGATTTTTTAATTTTGTTGATCTTTTTGAATAACCAACTTTTGGTTTAATTGATTTTCCCTGTTATTTTCCTTTTCTCTATTTCATTTATCTCTGTTCTAATATTTATTTTGTCTTTCCTTCTACTAGCTTTTGTTTAATTTGTTCTCCTTTTTCCATTTTTTAAGTCATAAAGTTTGGTTGGTGATTTGAGATCATTCTTATTTTTTAGTGTGGGCATGTATAACTTTAAATATTGCCCTTAGCGTGGTTTTCACTATGTTCCATGCATTTTTGGCATGTTATGTTTTCATTTTCATTCGTCTCTAAATATCTTCTAATTTCCTTTGTAATTGATGCTTTGATTCATGGTTGATTAAGAGTGTGCTGTTTAATTTCCACAAATTTGTGCATTTTCCAGTTTTAATTATATTAATAATTTCTGACTTCATCCCATTGTCATCAGAGAAGATACTTAGTATCATGTCTGTCTTTTCAAATCTACTGTGATTTTATCTGTGACCTAACATATAAATGTCCTATATGCACTTGAGAAGAATGTGTATTTTTTTTTTTTCCTTGGGTAGTGTTCTGTATTTGTCTGTTAAAACTAATTGGTTTATTGTGTTGTTTACATCCTCTGTTTTCTCACTTATCTTTCATCTGATTGTTCTATCAGTTTTTGAGAGTACAGTAGTGAAATCTCCAACTATTATGGTAGAACTGTCTACTTTTCCCTTCAATTCTTTTGCTTTATATATTTCTATGCTACAGTCTGTCATTAGGTGTGTATAGGTTTATAATTATTATATATTCTTGCTATATTGCCATATTAAGTCTTTGATAATGTCCTTCTTTGTCTCTCATAATCTTTTTAAATTTAAAGTCTATTTTGTCTGATATTAGTATAACCACCTCTTCTCTCTTTTGGTTACTATTTGCATGAAATATAATATTTGATC